>NC_000008.11:88214222-89464222 GCF_000001405.40 Homo sapiens | reverse complement strand
CTGAGAACATGGTTTAATCAGAGTTAACCAGGATGATAAGAATAAAGAGCTTTAAATATCTAGCATGGTATGTTTGGGTACTTCCCATATTGGAATTTCTTGGCATGTAAGAGACAATATACAAATGGACAATGGTCAGACTATGTATATAAAAAAGAACTCCAACCTACAATCTGCAGCAACCAGCCCAGGAAGCCAATTTACTGCCTATAGTAACCAGCCCAGGAAGTTAGACTATTATCTGTATGCAATAGTCCAGGAAGCCAAAGAGTAACACCTGTAAAATCAGCCACAGATGGCCAGGACTTGATTAATGATTGATAGCTTCTTTAATTTTTGTCCCCGTGTCCAAGTTAGGATCAATTGGAGAAAGCTAAATATGCACCCTAACCAATCATGCACCCCAACCAATCATGCACTGTAACCAATCATGTGGGATGCTTTGCTTTTCTTCTCCCTTCTACAGCGTCCCCATGCCAACAGCCACCAATCAGGGCATATCTGAAGCCTTCTTTTTTCCACTCTAGCGCTTTCCCAGTCCCTCTGCCTAACTATGAGTCTCTGCCAAATGCAAGTGACAGTGGCTGATTCCTTGCTTATTCTCATTTGAGTGTTCCTCATTTATTCCCACAGATGCTTTCTTGAAAAATTATGTTTCTAGGCCCTATCCAGACCTACTGAATCAGAATTTCTGAAGCAGAATACAGAAGTGTGCATTTTAAAAAAGCTCCCCAAGGTGATTCTTATGCACATGGAATTTGAGAATTGCTGCATTCCACAGGTGCCTCCTAAATTCTGCTTTGTTTAATATTCCTATAAATACTTGAAGAAGATATGGATGGGCCCTCAGATTGGTGATTGCCATAAAGCTAGGAATGTTAGCTAATAGCTAATGTAGTAAATGTCAGAATAATAAATTTTGACCTAAAAATCTGAAAATATGGGCTAAAACTTAAAAGATAAAGTCCAATAAGAATTCATATAACACCATGTTTAAATACTTGTATGTGTACTCATGTGTACATATCTACATGTAAAACCTGAGCAGTGATTAATTCATATGAAAATGACCTACAGAAGTGAGTTGACAGTATGAGCTTTAAAAATTTAGTATAATGAACAGATTTATAACTGCAAAGTTTTTAAAGAGAGTTTATAATTTTATTGTAACCTGTGCTTGTTAGACTGTCTAGAATGTTGTGCCTGGTTTGGGTCTTAAAGTTTAAGAAGAACCAGACTGTCTAAGGAATAGGGCTCAAAATAGCTCAGAAAACTGAGAATATTTAGTCACCCTTTAACCGAATGTTAACTGAGGTTCAAACTTCTGATGTTATTCTCAATCCAGATTTTAGCATTTATATCAGTTGTCCATTCTTCAGCCATTATTTCTAGAAAACTTCCTAAAATGATTTTATGTAAGCACTATCCTCAAGAGAGTTTAAAAAGAATTTTATACAGGGGGTTGTGAATACCTAAAAAATTTTTAATGTGCATTTTTAAAAAGTAAAAACATTTAGGATCTTATCAGATTGACAGCAGGAGACTCAAGCTGTACATCTGTTACAGCTCTGACACTCTTCTCTCAACAGCCAAATGATCTTACTAGAGAGGGTTTGGATTTTCAAACTCTTCTGCTTTTCTGAGATGAAAAAAATATGCAGTGTGCTATTTGGTTTTTATTTTATTTCATTATTCCCATTTATGCATTTATTCATTTTGCATTCATGCTGCTGTTTGATAAATATAGAGCACTTGGCAATTATGTGAGCTATACAATGACCAACAAGCTACAGACTTTGCATTAAAGAGGACTGTCATCTCATGAAGAAGGTGAGACTTTCACACACACACATCTAACATGTGATGAGGGGCAGGAACTCTTCACATGTATGGTGTCCTTATCTGTCTTCTGTCCTTAGTCTAACCCTGTACTGTCCAATACAGTAACCTAGCCACATGTGGCTGGTTCAGATTGAGATGTGCTGTAAGCACCAGATTTTGAAGACATAGAACAAAAAAAGTAAAATATCTCATTAATATTTTTATATTGATTACAAGTTGAAATTATAATATTTTAGATATATGGGTTAAAATAAAATACAATTACTTTCACCTGTTTCTTTTTATTGTTTAAGATCTGGATACTAGAAAATTTAAGATTACAGTTGTTTCTTTTAATATATCACTTTTATTACCTCCCCTTTAGAGAAAATATTAATGGTTATGAGCCTAAGCTCCAACATTGGACAGATATATATTTGCATCCCACTCTCATTGTTCACTAGGGCAGTAGTGAGGCTTAAATGAGAGGATGAGAATCACAATAAGCCTAAAAATTATTAACACTTAATATAGTGCTTATTAAGTGCCAAACCAAACCAAGTGCTTTAGATACATGAATTCATTTAGTTCTCACAACAATCCCATTACATAGTTATTATTATTATCTCCTCTTCACAGATGAGAAATTGAATCATAAGGAGATTATGTTCAAGTATGTTATAGTGCTTAGAGCAGTTCCTGGTAATTATTTTGATTGTTAACAATTCTGTTATCGTCCCACTCCTGGGGGTGAGCAGGATACTGGGAATAGGAGTGGTGAGAGAGGGCATCCCTGTCTTGTGCCAGTTTTCAAAGGGAATGCTTCCACTTTTTGCCCATTCAATATGATATTGGCTGTGGGTTTGTCATAGATAGCTCTTATTATTTTGAGATACGTCCCATCAATACCTAATTTATTGAGAGTTTTTAGCATGAAGGGCTGTTGAATTTTGTTGAAGGCCTTTTCTGCATCTATTGAGATAATCATGTGGTTTTTGTCTTTGGTTCTGTTTATATGCTGGATTACATTTATTGATTTGCGTATATTGAACCAGCCTTGCATCTCAGGGATGAAGCCCACTTGATCATGGTGGATAAACTTTTTGATGTGATGCTGGATTTGGTTTGCCAGTATTTTATTGAGGATTTTTACATCAATGTTCATCAAGGATATTCGTCTAAAATTCTCTTTTTTGGTTGTGTCTCTGCCCGACTTTGGTATCAGGATGATGCTGGCCTCATAAAATGAGTTAGGGAGGATTCCCTCTTTTTCCATTGATTGGAATAGTTTCAGAAGGAATGGTACCAGTTCCTCCTTGTACCTCTGGTAGAATTCGGCTGTGAATCCATCTGGTCCTGGACTCTTTTTGGTTGGTAAACTATTGATTATTGCCACAATTTCAGAGCCTGTTATTCGTCTATTCAGAGATTCAACTTCTTCCTGGTTTAGTCTTGGGAGAGTGTATGTGTCCAGGAATTTATCCATTTCTTCTAGATTTTCTAGTTTATTTGCGTAGAGGTGTTTGTAGTATTCTCTGATGGTAGTTTGTATTTCTGTGGGATCGGTGATGATATCCCCTTTATCATTTTTTATTGCGTCTATTTGATTCTTCTCTCTTTTCTTCTTTATTAGTCTTGCTAGCAGTCTATCAATTTCGTTGATCCTTTCCAAAAACCAGCTCCTGGATTCATTAATTTTTTGAAGGGTTTTTTGTGTCTCTATTACCTTCAGTTCTGCTCTGATTTTAGTTATTTCTTGCCTTCTGCTAGCTTTTGAATGTGTTTGCTCTTGCTTTTCTAGTTCTTTTAATTGTGATGTTAGGGTGTCAGTTTTGGATCTTTCCTGCTTTCTCTTGTGGGCATTTAGTGCTATAAATTTCCCTCTGCACACTGCTTTGAATGTGTCCCAGAGATTCTGGTGTGTTGTGTCTTTGTTCTCGTTGGTTTCAAAGAACATCTTTATTTCTGCCTTCATTTCGTTATGTACCCAGTAGTCATTCAGGAGCAGGTTGTTCAGTTTCCATGTAGTTGAGCAGTTTTGAGTGAGTTTCTTAGTTTCTTAATCCTGAGTTCTAGTTTGATTGCACTGTGGTCTGAGAGACAGTTTGTTATAATTTCTGTTCTTTTACATTTGCTGAGGAGAGCTTTACTTCCAAGTATGTGGTCAATTTTGGAATAGGTGTGGTGTGGTGCTGAAAAAAATGTATATTCTGTTGATTTGGGGTGGAGAGTTCTGTAGATGTCTATTAGGTCTGCTTGGTGCAGAGCTGAGTTCAATTCCTGGGTATCCTTGTTAACTTTGTGTCTCGTTGATCTGTCTAATGTTGACAGTGGGGTGTTAAAGTCTCCCATTATTATTGTGTGGGAGTCTAAGTCTCTTTGTAGGTCTCTAAGGACTTGCCTTATGAATCTGGGTGCTCCTGTATTGGGTGCATATATATTTAGGACAGTTAGCTCTTCTTGTTGAATTGATCCCTTTACCATTATGTAATGGCCTTCTTTGTGTCTTTTGATCTTTGTTGGTTTAAAGTCTGTTTTATCTGAGACTAGGATTGCAACCCCTGCCTTCTTTTGTTTTCCATTTGCTTGGTAGATCTTCCTCCATCCCTTTATTTTGAGCCTATGTGTGTCTCTGCATGTGAGATGGGTTTCCTGAATACAGCACACTGATGGGTCTTGACTCTTTATCGAATTTGCCAGTCTGTGTGTTTTAATTGGAGCATTAGCCCATTTACATTTAAGGTTAATATTGTTATGTGTGAATTTGATCCTGTCATTATGATGTTAGCTGGTTATTTTGCTCGTTAGTTGATGCAGTTTCTTCCTAGGCTCAATGGCATGTTTTTCCAGTGGCTGGTACAATTTGTGCCTTTCCATGTTTAGTGCTTACTTCAGGAGCTCTTTTAGGGCAGGCCTGGTGGTGACAAAATCTCTCAGCATTTGCTTGTCTGTAAAGTATTTTATTTCTCCTTCAGTTATCAAGCTTAGTTTGGCTGGATATGAAATTCTGGGTGGAAAATTCTTTTCTTTAAGAATGTTGAATATTGGCCCCCACTCTCTTCTGGCTTGTAGAGTTTCTGCCGAGAGATCCGCTGTTAGTCTAATGGGCTTCCCTTTGTGGGTAACCCAACCTTTCTCTCTGGTTGCCCTTAATATTTTTTCCATCATTTCAACTTTGGTGAATCTGACAATTATGTGTCTTAGAGTTGCTCTTCTCGAGGAGTATCTTTGTGGTGTTCTCAGTGTTTCCTGAATTTGAATGTTGGCCTGCCTTGCTAGATTGGGGAAGTTCTCCTGGATAATATCCTGAAGAGTGTTTTCCAACTTGGTTCTATTCCCCCTGTCACTTTCAGGTACAGCAATCAGACATAGATTTGGTCTTTTCACCTAGTCCCATATTTCTTGGAGTCTTTGTTCGTTTCTTTTTATTCTTTTTTCTCTAAACTTCTCTTCTCACTTCATTTCATGCTTTTGATCTTCAATCACTGATACCCTTTCTTCCAGTTGATCGAATCAGGTACTGAAGCTTGTGCATTCATCACGTAGTTCTCATGCCATGGTTTTCAGCTCCATCAGGTCATTTAAGGACTTCTCTACATTGATTATTCTAGTTAGCCATTCATCTCATGTTTTATCAAAGTTTGTAACTTTTTTGTGATGGGTTTGAACTTCCTCCTTTAGCTTGGAGAAGATTGTTCGTCTGAAGCCTTCTTCTCTCCACTCATCAAAGTCATTCTCTGTCCAGCTTTGTTCCGTTGCTGGTGAGGAGCTGCGTTCCTTTGGAGGAGGAGAGGTGCTCTGATTTTTAGAATTTTCAGTTTTTCTGTTCTGCTTTTTCCTCATCTTTGTGGTTTTTGTCTACCTTTAGTCTTTGATGATGGTGATGTACAGATGGGGTTTTGGTGTGGATGTCCTTTCTGTTTGTTAGTTTTCCTTTTTACAGTCAGGACCCTCAGCTGCAGGTCTGTTGGAGTTTGCTGGAGGTCCACTCCAGACCGTTTGCCTGGGTATCAGCAGCGGAGCCTGCAGAACAGCAAATATTGCTGAATAGCAAATGTTGCTGTCTGATCATTCCTCAGGACGTTTCATCTCAGAGGGGTACCCAGCTGTGTGAGGTGTCAGCCTGTCTCTACTGGGGGCCTCCCAGATAGGCTACTTGTGGGTCAGGGACCCACTTGACAAGGCAGTCTGTCTGTTCTCAGATCTCAAACTCCGTGCTGGGAGAACCACTACTCTCTTCAAAGCTGTCAGACAGGGACATTTAAGTCTGCAGAGGTTTCTGCTGCCTTTTGTTTGGCTATGCCCTGCCCCCAGAGGTGGAGTCTACAGAGGCAGGCAGGCCTCCTTGAACTGGGGTGTGGTCCACCCAGTTGGAGCTTCCTGGCCCCTTTGTTTACCTACTGAAGCCTCAGCAATGGCAGGCGCCCCTCCCCCACCCTTGCTGCCGCCTTGCCGTTTGATCTCAGACTGCTGTGCTAGCAATGAGCGAGGCTCCATGGGCGTGGGACCCTCTGAGCCATGTGCGGGATATAATCTCCTGGTGTGCCGTTTGCTAAGAACATTGGAAATGTGCACTATTAGGGTGGAAGTGACCCGATTTTCCAGGTGCTGTCTGTCATAGCTTTGCTTGGCTATGAAAGTGAATTCCCTGACCTTTTGTGCTTCCCAGGTGAGGCGATGCCTTGCCTTACTTCGGCTCACACTCAGTGCACTGCACCCACTGTCCTGCACCCACTGTCTGACAAGCCCCAGTGAGATGAACCCAGTACATCAGTTGGAAATGCAGAAATCACCCATCTTCTGCGTCGCTCATGCTGGGAGCTGTAGACTCGAGCTGTTCCTATTCAGCCATCTTGGAACCCCGACAGTACTATATTCTTGTTAGGTGGACAAGTTAATGTTCTTAGAAACTTGACTATTTATTTCTATTATAAATGTATGGCTTTTGTGCTAAGAATCGGTAGCAATGCACAAGATTTTTCGACTGATGAGTTTACCCTCCTTGCCTTTCCGCCCCAACAGAGGGGAAAAGAGCTCTGCTGTTGCTTCCTAAGTCCTCTGTTGGAGGCAGAAAAATGGTGTTAGTAGCACATGAGATTGAAGAGTAATTAGAATCTATATTCCTGATTTAGTTTCTATCAGTTTATGACCATGGATAAATTTCCTAACCTCTTAGAGTCCCAATTTCTTCATCTTTAATGTGGGATTTATGGCTCCTTTGCTTACCTCAAAGGATATTGCAGAAATAGATGAAATATGCATAGGAACATTTTATAAAAATGAGTAAAACAATTTCCAAAACCATTTCTATAATTACCAAGATTGTAACTTACATACCATTGATATAACTAGGTCTTCCCTGACCCCACAGACTGCTCACCCACACAGACAATGCTCTCATAGCAACTATGAAGACCTTCATGTTTATTTGGCTTGTTTATTTTTTCCCACAGGGCTGTGAGAGACATGAGGGCAGAGTTTGTGGCTTCTAGGTCCATTATGTTCACTGCTCCATGGTCAGAACTTGGTGCAGAGCCCGACATATGGTAGGCATGAAATATACAAATTTAGAATACATAATGGAGATTAGTTGTATCACACATTGCTGTTATTACCTCTCTGTCTCCTTCATACCCTTTTATCCCCAGTTGAAGTGCTTGTATACCCCAGTGCCCTAGCCTCTCTCAAAGTCTCTTCTGACACAACACTCTCTCTCTGGTAATATATTTCCAGAATTTCAAATGTCTTCCATAGCTGTGTTTACAGCCCAGATGGGCCCTCAAGATTTAGGCCAAGAATAACCCACCACCTACCTGTTGGACATCACCACTTGGAATTCGCTCAAGTACTTCAGACTCAACCTGATAAAAATGAACTCACATATTCCTTCCATAATGGACTCCTTTTTAAGTCTTCTCAGGTTCCATTGATGATATTACCATCAACTCAAGCTACAAGCTTGAGAAAGGCTTGAGCCTCAGTTATCCCTGGAATCTGAATGAAGTCACTCACCTGGGCTTGTATAGTTCACTTTCGAGTTTCGGTTTTCCCATCCATAAAAATGAGGGAGCTAATGAATAGCTATTATATATAAATAATATAGCTATTATATACTATATATTTAATATATAGTAAATATATTATATATGATATTTTATAATATATGATATATGATATATATAAATAAATATAAATAAATATATATATTATATATTTAAATATATTTATAATATGTTTATATTATAAATGTATTATAAATTACATTAATATTAAATTAAACAATATTAAATTAAATATAAATATTTAATATATTTATATTTAAATATTATATATTTAATATATATTATGTATTTCATATATAATATATATTTAATATATATTGTGTTTTATATACATATTTAATATATGTTTTATATTATATATTTAATATATATTATGTTTTATATATTATATATTTAATATATATTATGTTTTATATATTATATATTTAATATATATTATGTTTTATATAATATAAAATTAATATTATTATATTTTATATAATATTTTATATAAATATACACACTATTAGTTGAGTTTGAGGTACTTGTGTGAATTCCAAGTAGTGTTGTCCAACAGGTAGGTGGTGGATTATTCTTGGCCTAAATCTTGAGGGCCTATCTGGACTATAAATGCAGCTATGGAAGACATTTGAAATTTTGGAAATATATTACCAGAGAGAGAGAGTATTGGATCAATACAGGCTAGGGCCTCAAACTCAACCTGTTCAAAATGAACTTACATATTCCCTCCAGTAATTACCTTTATTAAGGAATTACCTCCTTAATAAACTCATATATATATATATATATATAAAATATATTACCTTTAGTAAGGAAATGATTACTTTTATTAAGGAATACCAATAATTACCTTTATTGTGGAATAAATACCTTTATTAAGGAATACCAATACTTACTTTTATTAAGGAATTACCTCCATATATATGTGTATATATATATATACACATATATATATACATATATATACATATATATATACACATATATATATATTTGCACAACTATCTCAAACTCAACCTGTTCAAAATGAACTCACATATTCCCTCCGTAATGGAAGGAACTCATATATATATAAGTTCAATATATATCGAGCTCATATATATATGAGCTCGATATATATATATTTATAGGAGTTTTTTAGGGAGTATTAACTCACAGGACCACAAAGTCCCACAATAGGCTGTCTGCAAGCTGAAGAGCAAGGAAGCCAGCCCAAGTCCCAAAACTGAAGAACTTGGAGTCCGATGTTCGAGGGCAGGAAGCATCCAGCACAGGAGAAAGATGTAGGCTTGGGGGCTAAACCTGTCTAGCCTTTTCACGTTTTTCTGCCTGCTTTTATATTCTGGCTACACTAGCAGCTGATTGGATGGTGCCCACCCAGATTTAAGAGTGGGTCTGCCCTTCTTAGCCCACTGAATCAAATATTAATCTCCTTTGGCAATGCCCTCACAGACTTACAGGATAAATACTCTGGATCCTTCAACCCAATCAAGTTGAGACTCAGTATTAATCATCACAAGTCCATCCCTTGTCAACTTGAACCCATACACATCTCCTGAGATCATACATAATCTTCAAATAAAGACAATAATGTCATAATTATGCCTAACATAATACAACTATCCTTCGTACAGCTGGAAACGCACCAATCACCAACCTAAACGCTATTACATAAATTTAACAATACTTAAATTCTGACCTGAAGTCAATAAATCTTATGTCACATGATGAAAAATAAAATGAAGCTATTTTTTTAGTACAGGTGTATACATGCACAAACGTTTTTAATAAAAGAAAGAAGAAATATTCATTACAATTACAATCCTCATTTCTGTAACTGGTCACATGGTCCTAGCTGGTATTGATGACTGCTTTCTGCTACTACCCATTTTGTATTACCTTTGCCTTCAGCAAGTACCTCAGCAGGTCATGGCTTTTTTCCTGGTGGAGTGACCCAAACCTTCATTCCAAAAGGGTCTGGACCATTTGTAGTTCTGCCTGGATTGGGCTGTTGTAGTTTACCATTGACCTTAATCACAGGGCATGGTAATACTAAGTGATGTCCTAATGGATCTCCTGTATTCCATGCATAATCTTCCTTACCTCATTTATGGAGTAGTAGACTGATTTCATCTTGATAGCCTGGGTCAGTTACCCCAGCCAACACTATAACTCCCTTCTTAGCCTGTTGACTTAAATGTAGGAGGAGCCCAAAGTGTTCAGGTGGCAATCTTAACTTCCAGTTTAATGAAATTGTTGTGTTTCCCATTGGCGGCATTTCTCCCTCTGGAACTAAGACCTCTAGGCCAGGAGAACATAATGTCGTGGGAACTGGAAGAAAAAATTTTTCTAGTGGATCACTAGGGGTGATGGTGAGTGGTGCCACTTCCACTTCTACCCCTTGATTTCTGGACCTGTGAATTCTGGCTATGGGAGAAACAGTACCATTTATTGGATGCTGATTCAGAGCATACACTGCCTTCTGGAGAACTTTGCCCCAGCCCTGCAAAGTATCGTCACCTAGTTGGTGTTGTAGTTGTGGCTTCAAAAGGCCATTCCACCATTCTATCAATCCAGCTCCTTCAGGATGATGGGGAAGATGGTAAGATCAGTGAATTCCATGAGCATGAGCCCACTGCCACACTTTAGCTGTAAAGTGAGTGAGTGTCTTGGTCAGAGGCAATGCTGTGTGGAATACCATGATGGCATTCTGTGAGTCCATGGATGGTAGTCTTGGCAGAAACATTGCATGCAGGATAGGCAAACCCATATCCTGAGTATCTATTCCAGGAAGGACAAACCTTTTCCCTTTCCATGATGGAAGAGGTCCAATATAATCAAGCTGCCACCAGGTAGCTGGCTGATCACGCTGAGGAATGGTGCCATATCTAGGGCTCAGTGTTGGTCTCTGGTGCTGTGAAATTGAACACTCAGCAGTGGCCTTAGCCAGGTCAGCCTTGGTGAGTGGAAGTCCACGTTGCTGGGCCCATGCATAACCTCCATCCCTGCCACTGGCCACTTTGTTGATGGGTGCATTGGGTGATGACAAGGGTGGCTGGGGAAAGAGGCTGAGTGGTGTTCACAGAACAGGTCATCCTATCCACTTGATTATTAAAATTCTCCTCTGCTCAGGTCACCTGTTGGTGAACACTCACATGGGATACAAATATCTTCACAGTTTTTGACCACTCAGAGAGGTCCATCCACGTACCTCTTCCCCAAATTTCTTTGTCACCAGTTTTCCAACCATGCTTCTTTTAAGTCCCTGACCATCCAGCTAAACCATTGGCTACAGCCCATGAGTCAGTACATAATCACACATCTGGCCATTCCTCCTTCCATGCAAAGTGCACAACCAGGTGCACTGCTCAATATTCTGCTCCCTGCAAAGATTTCCTTTCACCACTGTTCTTCAGGGATTTTCTAGAAAGGGGGTGTAGTGCTGTGGCTGTCCACTTTCAGATGGTGCCTGCATATCATGCAGAACCATCTGTGAACCAGGCCCTAGTCTTCTCTTCCTCTGTCAAATGATCATATGGAACTCCTCATGGAGCCATTGGTGCAGCCTGGGGGAGAGAAGGAAGGGTGGCAGAAGTGGAGACCATGGGCATTTGAGCCACTTCCTCATGTAACTTACTTGTGCCTTCAGGACATGCTGAAGCCCAATCACATATATACCACTCCTATTTGATGACAGAATATTGCTGTGCATGACCCACTTTATGGCTAGATGGGTCAGAAAGCACCCAGTTTATGATAGGCAGTTCAGGTTGCATGGTGACTTGACGACCCATAGTCAAACATTCAGTTTCCACCAAAGCCCAGTAATGGGCCAAGAGCTGTCTCTCAAAAGGAGAGTAGTTATCTGCAAAAGATGACATGGCCTTGCTCCAAAATCCTATAGGCCTCCACTGTGATTCACCTATGGAGGCCTGCCAAAGGCTCCAAACAGCATCCCTATAAGCCACTGATACCTCAAGTACCACTGGATCTGTTGGGTCATATGGCCCAAGTGGCAGAGCAGCTTGCACAGCAGCCTGGACCTGTTGTAGAGCTTTCTCCTGTTCTGGAACCCACTCAAAACCAGCAGCCTTTCAGGTCACTCAATAAATGGACCAGAATAGCACATCCAAATGAGGAACGCATTGCCTCCAAAATTCAGATAGGCCCATTAGGCATTGTGCATCTTTCTTGGTTGTAGGAGAGGACAAATGCAGCAATGTATTCTTCACCTTAGAAGGAATATCTCAACAGGCCCCACACCACTGGACCCCCAGAAATTTTACTGAGGTAGAAGTTTCCTGAATTTTCATCAAATTTATTTCCCATTGTCTGGCATGCAAATGTCTCACCAAGAAGTCCAGTGTGTTTGCTCACTGGATCCAATTCTTGCTCACTGGATCCGATCAGCATAATGCATCAATATAATGGACCTGTGTGATATCTTGTGGAAGCGAAAAGCGATGAAGCTGTCTCTGAATGAGACTATGACACAAAGCCAGAGAGTTGATAAACCCCTGAGGTAGGACAGTAAAAGTATACTGCTGGCCTTGGCAGCTGAAGGCAAATTGCTTCTGGTGGGCCTTATGGACAGGAATGGAGAAAAAGGCATTTTCCAAATAAATGGCTGCATACCAGGTATCAGGAGATGTGTTAATTTGCTCAAGCAATGAAACCACATCTGGCACAGCAGCTGCAATTGGAGTCACCACTTGGTTAAGCTTATGATAATCCACTGTCATTCTCCAAGATCTATCTGTCTTCTGCACAGGCCAAATGGGAGAGTTGAATGGGGATGTGATGAAAATCACCACCCTGTATCTTTCAAGACCCTGATGGAGGCACTAATCTCTGCAATCCCTCCAGGGATGTGATATTGTTTTTGATTTAGTATTTTTCTAGGTAGAGGCAGCTCGAATGACTTCCATTTGGCCTTTCCCACCGTAATAGCCCTCACCCTACCAGTCAGGGAGCCAAAGCTGGGATTCTGCCAGCTGTTAAGTAGGTCTATGCCAATTATGCATTCTGGCACTTGGGAAATGATGTCAGGATAAGTCTGTGGACCCACTGTAAGTCAGACGTGAGATAAAAGCCCATTTATTACCTGACCTTCATAAGCCCCTACTTTAACTGGAGGACCACAGTGATGTTTTGGGTCCCCTGGAATCAATGTCAGCTCAGAGCCAGTGTCCAGTAGTCCCCAAAATGTCTGATAATTTCCCTTTTCCCAATACACATTTACCCTGGTAAAAAGTCTCCTTGGGGAAGGATGGGAGGAAGATTAACAGCATAAATTGTTGGTAGTGTGTTGGGGTCCTTCCTCAACAGGACCCAGTCTCCCCTTCACTCAAGAGGTTCTGGGCCTGTAAACTGGCTCAGGTCTGGAAATTGATTGAGGACAGTAATTCTCTGTTTTTATAATTCAAATTAGTCTTTTTCCACTTGAGCTGGAATTTTTTTGCTTATATAAATTAAGTAGGAATGTAGTAGGCTTCCTATCAATTTCACTTCTAGGAACACTGTGATTAATTAGCCAATGCCAAAGCTTTGCATGAATCAGAGTATTCTGATTGCTGCTTTGCCTCTGCTATCCAGTATGCTTGCTACACCCACCTTGCCTTTGATGTTCGAGTGAGTGCTGCCACTTGGCCCCTACCACCTTGGGATCCAATTATTCCCATTGTACTTAAATTGTGTAGTCGAGTGACTGTGGTTCCCACTGTTAGATCTGACATACAGAGAAGAGCAATTACAGGGCTCTTCAAAGATGCAGGTGCTGCCCTCACAAATCCATTTTGCAAAGCATTGGTCAAGGGTATGTTTTCTGGACCCTCCCAGCTGAGATGACTAGGTCTAAAGTAAGTAATCCACTCCATGATCCCAACCTCCCTAAGCCTTTGGATCCTTTCCTGTACATTAAACCAAGGGAGATCAAGCATTTCCAGCTTGCTCATAGTGGGTCATCTTTTAATTCATATTTCAGCTAACCAAGCAAATAAACTATTAGAACCTTTTTAAACTCCCTGAGTTGCAACATTAAATGCAGAGACCCTACTTAGTGGGCCCAGATCAATAAATGCAGCCTGATCCAACTCTATGTTCCTTCCATCATTATCCCACACCCTTAATATCCATTCCCATGCCTGTTCTCCAGATTTCTGCTTATATAAATTACAAATCAAGCAGTTCTTTTTGAGTATAGCACACCTCCTCATGGGTCACACTGTAAACCTCACCTGTAGGGGCCCATGGGGACTTTAGTCTAGTTATAGGTCTAGAAGCAAACAGGGGTGTTGGGAGTGGCTCCTGAGGAAAATCAACATTATGTTGGCTGGCAACTGCCTTAGGGGAGGCCATCACTGTTGCCTCACTCAGCACATTGTTTATATTCTTGGACAAAGGTGGAGAGGTTTATGGCAGCGTGGGTTGGAGAGGGGATTTTGCCACTACTGGAGATGGGGAAGCTGTTTCTTCTGGCAAAAAATGTTCATCAGAGTTTACAAGCTCAGTGTCCTCAGCTTCATCAGGGTCCTCCCACGCATCCCCATTCCAAGTTGCAGGGTCCCATTCTTTTCCAGTCCGTGCCCTCACTTT
Organism: Homo sapiens; assembly: GCF_000001405.40. Taxonomy (NCBI): domain Eukaryota; kingdom Metazoa; phylum Chordata; class Mammalia; order Primates; family Hominidae; genus Homo; species Homo sapiens. The sequence continues at coordinate 89,449,745 of NC_000008.11, read as the reverse complement.
AACAGTAGACACCTGGCAAGGCTGTGCATGCACCTTTCCTTGCATGATAAGAGCTTGTGTCTGATTTTCCACAATTTCAGCTCTTTTTCTACAGGAGATAAGACTGACTCAGGGCAATCTTAGAAGATTTGAGGCTCAGTATCTGCTTCCAAAGCTGGGAGTTAGAATCCCTGAGTTCATAATTTTCTTTCATCACTTTATTCAGTGAACTTAGGAGCAACCAACTAGCTTCATTATGTTCCTTGGTTCTCCACACATGGTCAAAGGTATTATGTATAGAGTCACTAAACTCCTTGCCTCTCAAGAGCAGTGAATCAGGGGTGTCAAATGCGTTCTTTCTGCATAACTCTCTAAACAGTTCACGCCAAGGACTATCAGTGTTTTTCATACTAAAGTATAGTCCTTAGTGTTTTTGTGTGTAATAATAAGTAGCCAACTCCAGAAACCCCAAAATCAAGGAAAGAACTCCATCCTTAATATTCTGTTCTTCTAGAACCACCCCTGGTACCAAAATCTGTATTAGGGTTCTCTGGAGGGACAGAACTAATAGGATATATATATGGGAGTTTATTAAGGAGTATTCACTCATAGGATCACAAGGTCCCACAGTAGGCTGTCTGCAAGCTGAGGAGCAAGGAAGCCAGTCTGAGTTCCAAAGCTGAAGAACTTCAAGTCTCATGTTCGAGCGCAGGAAGCATCCAGCATGAGAGAAAGATGTAAGCTGGGAGGCTAAGCCAGTCTGTCCTTTTCACGTTTTTCTGCCTGCTTTTATATTCTGACTGCACTGGCAGCTGATTAGATGGTGCCCACCCAGATTAAGGGTGTTTCTGCCTTTCCCAGCCCACTGACTCAATTGTTAATCTCTGGCAACACCCTCACAGACAGGCCCAGGATCAGTACTTTGCATTTTTCAATGCAATTAAGTTGACACTCAATATTACCAATCACAGAGGGTTTTGCCCCCGAAAGTCCTATGATCTGAATTAAATTTTAAAAGTATCGTTCTGAGTGATACATTGAGAACAGACTGAATTAGAAGAATGGCAAAAGCAAGGGCACCAGCTAGGAAGTTTTTGCCACCATCTGAGAGTTGATGAGCCTAGGTTGTGTTAGTGTGAAGGTGGCAAAAAGTAGTTGGATTGTGAATACGTTTTGATGGTAATTATCAACAGCACTTAATAATAAATTGGATGTACATAGTGATATAAAGAGATTAATCAAAGATGACACCAAGATTTTTGGTCTGAGAAAATGTAAGAATAGAGTTTCCATTTCCTTAGAGGGAGAGAACAAGGGACAAGGTAAGATTTTATGGGAAAAACCAGAAATTTGTTGATGAATAGATGAAGCTTGAGATGACTATTATTAAAAACTAAGTGGAGTTGAAAATGTCAGTAGATATATGAATCTAGAATTCAGGGGAAAAGTCCAGGGCAAAGAGATAACTGTGAGAATCAGATGTAAATAGTTGGTGTTTAAAGCCACAAGGCTGGAGGAAATCACACACACACACACTCACACACTCAGAAAGAGTACAAACAGAAAAGTCTTGAAGACTGAGCCCTAGAGCCAACACACTTTAGATATTGGTGAGATAAAGCAGATTTAGAAAAAAAAAATTAAAGGGGAGGCAATGAAGAAGCAGGAGCACCACAGAGGAGCAGAGTCCTGGGATTCTAAATTGGGGAGGCAGAATCTATTTAAAATGATGCTGCCAAGTCAAGATGAGGATTTAAAATGGACCACTGGATTTTTAACAAGGATGCCATTAAGAAGCCTTACTTGGTCACTTTTCCCAAATAGTTTTAAACTCTGTTTGTATATCTCCATGTCTGTATTAACAGATTGTTTTAAAATTTTGCCTTTTGAGCCATTTCCTTCACTGACTCTTAAACTCTTTAAAGGAAAAGACTGTGTCTTATTTAGTATCTTTGCATCTTTAGCCTGACACATAGTAGCTATTGTATATTTCTCGAAAGATTGCCAAATTTTGAAATATAACTAACTCATAAATATTCAAATTTGTTGAGAAGTATAAAACTCCAGTGCAACAATTTTGGTGTCAACAAAATTTAATTTTCTTCACAAAGGAAGTACAAAGGTACTAATTTCCTTTTTTACAGGATTTGTTACTCCCTAGGAGAACTTTGGCATAATAAGACTTGAATGTAGTAGAAGAGGAATATGAAATTATTATCTTAGTCTATTTTTATCTATTTAGTTCAGTTGGTTGTAGTGCCTTCCAGTCATTTTCACATGATGGCATGCACAGAAAATGACAATGCTTGTACAATGCAGAAGGATATATGAGGATATATGGATGGATGAAGCTTTACACATTGCCAAGGGCTGTGGACTCCATACTCTGTGCTCCTTCTAGCATCCTGAGGACTGAAGAAGAACTATATTTTGCCATTTTAAACTATTTAAGACAATGCAGTTAAGACACTGGGATAGAGAATGTACTGGGTTGAATCCTTCTCAAATTCATGTCCATTTGAAATCTCAAAATGTGTCTTTATTTGGAAACAAGGTCTTAATTAGTTCAGATGAGGTCTTAATAGATTAGGGTGTGCCTTAAATCTAATCACTTATAGAAAGAAGAGAAACAGAGAGGCACACAGGAAGAATGCTATGTGCTGGTGGAGGCAGAGATTGAAGTGATGCATCTGTAAGCCACAGAACACCAAGGATTTCCAGCACAACAACAGAAACTAGGAGAGAGGCTTGGAACAGATTCCCTCTCAGAGTCTCCAGAAGGAACTAAACCTGCTGACACCTCGATTTCAGACTTCTGGCCTCTAGACTGTGAGAGAATAAATTTCTGAGTTTTAAACCAGACAGCTTGAATAATTTGTTATGGCAACCTTAGGAAACCAATATATATTATAAGGCAAAATAATCCAAGATTGTGGATGTTTTTTGAAATGCAAGCCCAAGTTTGCCAATATCTGCTTGGCCATGCATCAATAACAGAGAAGAGCCCATTGCTCCCTCTAATTACCACAATTTATAAAACACATTTCATCAGACACACAACAGCATTCACTCTATAAGCCCAGTGATGTAAAAATATTTAGATCGTTATTTCTCAGTGTGGTCCTCAGCAGCATCAGCGGCATTGGGAAAGCCATTAAATAGACAAATTCTCGATCCCTCCTTAGCCTACTGAATCAGAAATTAAAGGTAGCACCCAGCAGTCTATGGTTTAAAAAGCCCTCTAGGGGATTCTGATGCACACTAAAATTTGAGAACCACCCCCTTAGAAAGTGGCATATCTTTCTCCATGGTAACAGGCAGCTTATAACTGATTTTTTGTTCCTTTTAGCTGCCATAATGATTTTTCCTCTTGTCCCTTTGAAACCTAGAAAACCCAGCAGGGTTTTGTCTTTCCCTCTCCGTGTTTTCTAAGGTCCTGAACATACAAAGATACTTAAGTAATTCAGCTTGAGCAGAAGAGGGCTGTCTATTTTAATTCTCCTATGGAACAGGTACAGTCTGATGATTCCCTATTATATTTCTTTCATCTCTTTCCCCAATCCTGGAAAATTGTTACACAGCAGTGGAAAATTAGACCCAGTGGGAACTGTATGAAAGAGTGTGGGTGAATCATGTCATGTTTGCTACTGTTACTGAACATCTATCTTTTAAGGTGCAAGCTTTCCTAATATTTGGTCAGTAGCATCAGGTCTAAAGCCTTTTGCCTGGGTTCAAATTCTAACAATATTACACACTAAATATTTGACTCTGGGAAGTCACTTAACTTCCTTATGCTTCAGGTGACTCTTCTAAAGAATTGGGAGAATAAGACATTCACCTCATAGGGTTAGTGGGAGGGTTAAATGACTAATATATGTGAAACTGTTAGAACCACACCTGGCATGCAGGCAACACTGCATAAGCTAGGTTATTAGTGGTATTTTTGTTGCTGTTTTTATCATCATCATCATCATCACACTTTCAATATAAAACTATCTCTGTCTTTGGTTCGTTTATATGCTGGATTACATTTATTGATTTGTGTATATTGAACCAGCCTTGCATCCCAGGGATGAAGCCCACTTGATCATGGTGGATAAACTTTTTGATATGCTGCTGGATTCAGTTTGCCAGTATTTTATTGAGGATTTTTGCATCAATGTTCATCAAGGATATTGGTCTAAAATGTCTCAATAGTTGCAGAAAAGGCCTTTGACAAAATTCAACAACCTTCATGCTAAAAACTCTCAAGAAATTAGGTATTGATGGGACGTATCTCAAAATAATAAGAGCTATCTATGACAAACCCACAGCCAATATCATACTGAATGGGCAAAATCTGGAAGCATTCCCTTTGAAAACTGGCACAAGACAGGGATGCCCTCTCTCACCACTCCTATTCAACATAGTGTTGGAACTTCTGGCCAGGGCAATTAGGCAGGAGAAGGAAATAAAGGGTATTCAATTAGGAAAAGAGGAAGTCAAATTGTCCCTGTTTGCAGATGACATGATTGGATATCTAGAATCCAAAAGAGCAAAGCTGGAGGCCTCCCACTACCTGACTTCAAACTATACTACAAGGCAACAGTAACCAAAACAGCATGGTACTGGTACCAAAACAGAGATATAGATCAATGGAACAGAACAGAGCCCTCAGAAATAACGCTGCATATCTACAACTATCTGATCTTTGACAAACCTGAGAAAAACAAGCAATGGGGAAAGGATTCCCTATTTAATAAATGGTGCTGGGAAAACTGGCTAGCCATATGTAAACAGCTGAAACTGGATCCCTTCCTTACACCTTATACAAAAATTAATTCAAGATGGATTAAAGACTTAAATGTTAGACCTAAAACCCTAAAAACCCTAGAAGAAAACCTAGGCATTACCATTCAGGACATAGACATGGGCAAGGACTTCGTGTCTAAAACACCAAAAGCAATGGCAACAAAAGCCAAAATTGACAAATGGGATCTAATTAAACTAAAGAGCTTCTGCACAGCAAAAGAAACTACCATCAGAGTGAACAGGCAACCCACAAAATGGGAGAAAATTTTTGCAATGTTCTCATCTGACAAAGGGCTAATATCCAGAATCTACAATGAACTCAAACAAATTTACAAGAAAAAAACAAACAACCCCATCAAAAAGTGGGCAAAGGACATGAACAGACACTTCTCAAAAGAAGACATTTATGCAGCCAAAAAACACATGAAAAAATGCTCACCATCACTGGCCATCAGAGAAATGCAAATCAAAACCACAATGAGATACCATCTCACACCAGTTAGAATGGCAATCATTAAAAAGTCAGGAAACAACAGGTGCTGGAGAGGATGTGGAGAAATAGGAACACTTTTACACTGTTGGTGGGACTGTGAACTAGTTCAACCATTGTGGAAGTCAGTGTGGCGATTCCTCAGGGATCTAGAACTAGAAATACCATTTGACCCAGCCATCCCATTACTGGGTATATACCCAAAGGACTATAAATCATGCTGCTATAAAGACATATGCACACGTATGTTTATTGCGGCACTATTCACAATAGCAAAGACTTGGAACCAACCCAAATGTCCAACAATGATAGACTGGATTAAGAAAATGTGGCACATATACACCATGGAATACTATGCAGCCATACAAAATGATGAGTTCATATCCTTTGTAGGGACATGGATGAAACTGGAAATCATCATTCTCAGTAAACTATCACAAGGACAAAAAACCAAACACTGCATGTTCTCACTCATAGGTGGGAATTGAACAATGAGAACACATGGACACAGGAAGGGGGACATCACACTCTGGGGACTGTTGTGGGGTGGCGGGATGGCGGAGGGATAGCTTTAGGAGATATACCTAATGCTAAATGATGAGTTAATGGGTGCAGCACACCAGCATGGCACATGTATACATATGTAACTAACCTGCACATTGTGCACATGTACCCTAAAACTTAAAGTATAATTAAAAAAAAAAACTAAAACAAACACATAAATTCTCAGCTATAGTTGGTCCCTTGGCACTAACTTTTCAATTTCTAGTTAAGAATTTTAATCCAGCCAGAATTTATTTTTGTGTATGGCATGAGGCTGGGATGAAACTTCATTTTCCCCATGTGGGATTCCATTGTCCCGACATCTTTACTGTATAGTTCATATTTTATTTTACTGATTTAAAATTCTGTATGTATAACATACTAAATTTACACACATACATGGGTATGTTTTTGACTATCCTGATATATTAACCCTTTTCCTGTTCAGAAAATAGAAAGTGCAGTTCAATATCAGCACTCATTTAATTTTACATAAACATGCTCTTTGAGCCTGAAGCAAATCTGATTGATTTTCAATGTGAAAATAAAATTAAAAAAATTTAAAAAAACGTGTTCTTGGAGTTATTTGTAAACAGACCTAATATCAGAATCGTCTGAATCATCAGAATTGTGTATTTCAGAAAAATCAGATTCATTAAATGAATCTTTGGCCAACAACTGTTCAAGAACGACGTTAACATCACGCATATGAATGCTCTTTTCTAGGGTTTGACATTTTCAGTGATCAAGAATTACTATATTTTTTAAATGGAAATACTACTACTAAAAACAGAATGTTGTAAATAGAATGATGCCTTTTGTTTCCAAAGTTGATATACTAGAGTGATGTAAAAATAATCATAAAAGCCAGATATTTAGAGGCAAAGTTTATGTTGGGGTAAATGCTGCAGCCTCAAGCACTACTAGAAAGTATTCTCAGGGCAAATGAGAAAAGGGTTAACCCTTCTTACTGGGCACCAATACCTTGGTTTTTAATTATTGTAAGTTTATGATACTTGATACCCAATACATATACTTTCCTCTTCTTACACCCTTCTTTTTCAAAAGTGTCTTGATCCAAATAAAATTTGGATCAAACGGAGTAAAACAGACAAGGAAGGCTTTATTCAAGGGTATTGCACTAGGGGTCAAGACAATTGCAATGGGGATAAAGAGAGTGAATTTAACTCCTCTGAAACAAAACAAGGAGAGATTTTAAGCACTGGGGTGAGCCTGTGAAAAAGTACTGATGGGCATTAGGGGAAGAATGCTCAATGTCAGTAGGCCATCTCTGTTTGCTAATTGATGCTTATCAAAGTTAGGCTCCCACCCTCTGACAGAGCTAGAAAATAGGGACCCTATCTTTTTTGATATTTACATTTCAAAAGTATGGCTCCCAGGTTCTTAAGAAAGGCATTCCTGGGCTGTGAAACTGGCAAGAAGCTGAGAGATGATTTATATCTCAAAAGTGCAGAGTAAGAATGCAGTTGTGTTTTTAAAAGTAAATGCTCTAAGAATAGGGAGATCAGAGACCTATAGTCAGGAAAAAATATCTGTCTAAACTTTAGTCAAGCTGAGGGGAATATTAAGGCTGCCTTGGTCAGTTGCTTTCTGCATACTTCCTCCCACATGAACATTAAAATAAGCTTGTTAAGATGCAAAAATGTCGTGTTGAAATTTTAAAAAATAATTTCAACTTATATTTTAGATTCAGGAGGTACATACGCAGGTTTGTTACATGGGTATATTGCATGATGCTACGGTTTGGGGTAGGGTTGATTCCCAACATAGTGAGCATAGCACCCAATGGTTTCTCAGTCCTTATCTCCCTCCCTCCCTCCACACTCTAGCAGTCCCCAGTTTCTATTGTTGCCATCGCTATGTCCGTGATTACCCAATGGTTAGCTCCCACTTACAAGTAAAAACCTGCAATATTTGCTTTTCTGTTCCTGTATTAATTTGCTTGGAATAATGACCTCTAGCTGCATCCATGTGGCTGCAAAGAAACATTCTTTCATTCTTTTTTATGGCTACATAGAATTTCATGGTGTATATGTACCACATTTTCTTTATTCAGTCTACCATTGATGGGCACATAGGTTGATTCAATGTCTTTGCTATTGTGGATAGTACTGTGATGAATATAGATGTGCATGTGTCTTTTCGGTATAATGATATATTTTACTTTGGATATACACCCAGTAATAGGATTGCTGGATTAAATTATAATTTCTATTTCAAGTTCGCAGAGAAATCTCCAAACTGTTTTCCACAGTGGCTGAACAAATTTACATTCCCACTACCCATGCATAAGTTTTCACTTTTATCCAGCATACATTGATTTTTGTTTGTTTGTTTGTTTACTTTTTAATAATAGTCATTCTGACTGGTATTACGTGGTATCTCGGTTTTAATTTGCATTTCTTTGATGATTAGTGATGTTGAGCATTTTTTCATATGTTTATTGGTCACTTATACATTTTCTTTTGAGAAGTCTCTGTTCATGTCTTTTGCCCACTTTTCAATGAGGTTGTTTGTTTTATGCTTGTTGAATTGTTTCTTATAGATTCTGAGTATTAGATCTTTGTTGGATGTCTAGCTTGTGAATATTTTCTCCTATACTGTAGGTTTTTGTTTGTCTCTGTTGATAGTCCCTTTTGTTGTGCAGAAACTCTAGTTTAATTAGGTCTCACTTGCAAATTCTTGTTTTTTGTTATAATTGCTTTTGAGAATTTAGATATAAATTCTTTCCCAAAACTGATATTCAGAATGGTGTTTCCTAGGTTTTCTTCTAGGATTCTGTATTAGTCCATTCTCAAGCTGCTATAAGGACATATGAGAGACTGGATAATTTAGTAAGGGAAGAGGTTTAACCGTCTCACAGTTCCTCAGGGCTGGGGAGGCCTCAGGAAACTTACAATCATGGCAGAAGGGGAAGCAAACATGTCCTTCACATGGCAGCAGCAAGAAGTGCAGAGCAAAAGGGGAAAAGCCCCTTATTAAACCATCAGATCTTGCAAGAACTCATTCACTATCACCAGAATTGCATGGGGGAGACTGCCTCCATGATTCAATTATCTTCACCTGGTCCCTCCCACAACATGGGGAAACTGCAATTCAAGATAAGATTTGAGAGTGGACACAGCCAAATCATATCAGATTCTCAGAGGTTGAGGTCTTACATTTAAATCTTTAATCCATCTTGAGTTAATTTTTGTGTATAGTGAAAAGTAGGAGTCCAGTTTCATTTTCTGCATATAGCCAGCCGCTATCCAGCATCATTTATTGAATAAGGAGTCCTTTCTCCATTGCTTATTTTTCTTGACTTTGTTGAAGATCAGATGGCTGTAGGTGTGCAGCTTTATTTCTGGGTTCTCTATTCTGTACCATTGGTCTACATGTCTATTTTTGTACCAGTACCATGCTGTTTTGGTTACCATAGCCTTATAGTATAATTTAAAGTTGGGTAATGTGATGCCTTCAGCTTTGTTCTTTTTGCTTAGGATTGCTTTGGCTAATCAGGCTCTTTTTTAGTTCCATATAAATTTTAGAGTTGTTTTTTCTAACTGTGAAAAATGACATTGGTAGTTTGATAGGAATAGCATTGAATCTGTAGATTGTTTTGGGCAGTATGGACATTATAATGTTATTGGTTCTTCCAATCCTTGAGCATAAAATATTTTTCAATTTGTTTGTTTCATCTATGATTTCTTCATTTTATTTTATTTTATTTTATTATTATTATACTTTAAGTTTTAGGGTACATGTGCACAATGTGCAGGTTAGTTACATATGTATAGATGTGCCACGCTGGTGTGCTGCACCCATTAACTCGTCATTTAGCATTAGGTATATCTCCTAAAGCTATACCTCCCCCTTCCCCCCACCCCACAACGGTCCCCAGAGTGTGATGTTCCCCTTCCTGTGTCCATGTGTTCTCATTGTTCAGTTCCCACCTGTGAGTGAGAATGTGTTGTGTTTGGTTTTTTGTTCTTGCGATAGTTTACTGAGAATGATGATTTCCAATTTCATCCATGTCCCTACAAAGGACATGAACTCATCATTTACATGAACTCACCATCTTTGATTTCTTTCGGCAATGTTTTGTAGTTATGTATTTTGACACTTTACTGAAGTCATTAATGAAATGTAAGAGCTTTTTGGTGGAGTCTTTAGGGTTTTCTAGGTATAGAATCATTATCAGCAAAGAGAGAAAGTCTGGCTTCCTCTCTTCCTATTTGGATGCCTTTTATTTTTTTCCATTGCATGATTGCTCTGGCTAGGACTTCCAGTACTATGTTGAATTGGAGTGGTGCGAACGGGCATCCTTTTCTTGTTCTATTTCTTAAGAGTAAGCACTTCTAGCTTTTGCATGTTCAGTACGACTAGCTTTTGCATGTTCAGTATGAGGTTGGTTTTGGGTTTGTCATAGATGACTCATTATTTTGAGGTGTATTTCTTCAATATTTAGTTTGTTGAGGATTTCTATCATACATAAATTTTTGACTTTCTTGAAAGCTTTATCAGCATCTATTTGGATGATCATATCGTTTTTAAAAATTCTGTTTATGTGATGAATTACATTAATCGATTTGCATATGTTCAACCAAGTTTGCTTTCAAGTAATGAAGCCTAGTTCTCCTCAATTTTTTGGAATAGTTTCAGTAGAATTGGTGCCAGCTCTTCTTTGTATGTCTATCTGATGTGGCTTTTTTATTTGTTTGTTTGTTTGGGAAGTTTTTCATTAATGACTCAATTTTGGAACTTGATATTAGTTTTTTCAGGGTTTCAATTTCTTCCTGATTTAATCTTAAGTTGTCTCTTTCCAGGAATTTATCCATTTCCTCTAGTTTTTCTACTTTGTGTGCATAGAGATGATCCTCAGTCTCTGAAGATCTTTTGCATTTCTGTGGGATTATTTGTAATATCACCTTTGTTATTTTGATTGTGCTTATTTGGACCATCTCTCTTTTTTTATTTGTTAATTTAGCTGGTGGCCTATTGATTCTGGTTACCTTTTCAAATGACCAACTTTTCATTTCATTGATGCTGTGCATAGATTTTTGGGTCTCAATTTCATTCAGCTCAGCTCTGGTTTTAACTCTTTCTTTTCATCTACTAACTTTAGGGTTAGTTTGCTTTTGCTTTTCTATTTCCTCTAAGTGTGATATTAGATCATTAATTTGAGATTCTTTCTACTTTTTGGAGTTCTGATTAGAATTCTTAAATTGGTAAATAATTTAGAAGAAATTTTTTTTTTCACGGAGAACAGTCTTTCCATTTTTTCAACTCTTTTGTATTTTTCAGTAAATTTTGATGATTCTTTTAATTTGTCTCATAAAATTCTAATAAAAATTATTCCTAGGCAATTAGAAATGGCATATTTTTCACTATATTTTCCAAAAGATTATTCTGATGCATTGAAAAGTTATTTATTTTTTATGTTACTTTAAATAAATCTCCCTATTTCTAAACATTTTCATTAATTTTCTTCGATTTTCTAGGGAGATACTCACTCCTGAAAATAATGGCATGATGACATTTCATTCCAATGTTATGTCCATTATTTTATAGATGAACAAGGAATTAAGAAAAAGAGATATTCATCTTGTCTATTTCTAGTACATGATAGATCTGGAGTTTTAAGTATTTTTTTTCTAATTCTACAATGTTTCTTTTATGTATACTGACATTCAACTGTTTTTTAGGCTTTATTTTCCAGACATATTTATCAGTTCTCTAAGTTTTTATTTCATTGTGTATATTAAATGTGATAAATTTATGCAGCTCATTGCAAAAATCTTTTTAAAGCATATATATTTTGTCAATAAATCAATATAATTAAATAGAAACAAAAACAACAGGAGACATATAATTGTTAAGTCCCTGAGGCATAGATTAATCCTACAATTCTAATATTTTTGATTCACACAAAGAGCCACATGGTTTGTTAGGCATATTGTTAAGCATTTGATGATTGATTAATGCATTATCTGCTTTTCTTTCCCCAATCTACTGACAGATTCTATAGAACTTGTGGAAGGAAGATTTAATTATATCATTATAAATATACATTAAGTTACTATGTTGCTCTATAATCTGAGTTATGGAATGATTGTACAGAAATATGCAGCTTGTCTTCATGTTCCTCTAATATTTTTTTTGTTGGCTGGTTGCCATGATGACAAATATGCTTCAACTATAGTCTTATGCACTAAGTATCATGGAAATGTACATCTGCATTGAATTTTCCTTTTTTCTTTGTTTTTAAAGTGCTGAGTTCTGATACAAATTTTGGATTGAAATCAAATCTGGGAAGCTTTGGCAATGTTGCTGAAATGATATTCCAATATATTATCCTTTAATGAAACAAGTATAGACAGATGATTCATTTATGAAATTTTTTTTTTGCATCATTACTTGACTTATATACAAATAGTTTTTTATGCTCACTATTTTGAAAACTCCATTTTATTTTTAATATGCTTATTTTCAAATACGATATTTTACTTGGTGAGACTATTAAATCCTACAAAAGTATTTATACATAATCCTTCTGAAACCCAGGAATATATTGTCAGATATTTTATTATATTCTCTAAATATTACATTTAACTATAATGTACTTCCTTTTGCCTGACTTCCCCCTCTGTAATGAACAAAGCTGAGTTTTCTATTACCCAATCTAATTTAAATTGATGTGGCCATAATCATTTTTTAAAACATATCTTAAAAATTTCTTCCAGACTACAAAATTTCCTTATCATAGGAATGTTTATATTGCATCTTAGAGTTTAATTTTTAAACTATTCTTTAATTTTAAATGGATGTTATTCCAAGGATAGAATTACAAGAGCTCTCCCTTTATCCAGCCTCTTCCTGATGTGGTTGGCATCTTTAGTATTAACCATGTGCCTGGGATGAGGCTCTAAAATGTAATGCTGCTGTTTGGTAAAGACAAGCTCGTTCTATTTTTGGCATCGGCTGAGTATCCCTTGTCTCAGGCTACTCACGATGATGAATATTAACATTAACAGAAACCATTAGCACTCTATACCCATTTGGGTTTTGATCCTATTTACCTTCATATGTTAGGTAAGCCTAGAAAAGAAAAGAGAAAACTAGAACCAAGGGATCTGTTTTTGTGCACATTTGGGAACTGATTTGGTTCATTCCTTGAAGTCAAGAGATGTTGGTTAATGGATACAAAAATACAGTTATGTGGAAGGAATAATTTCTAGTATTTGATAGTACAGTAGGGAAATTATAGTTAATAATTTGTTATATATTTCAAAATAGCTAGAAGAGATGAAGAATGTGTGGGAAGTGGCAGAGACATGCTGGAACACAAGTTTGATTCCAAATCCTGTCCTTTCTTTTCCTATGCCACACCAGGCTTTGACTACTTGTTCTTCTCTGCAGTTGAACATCCAGCAGGTGACTTTCTTCCTTTTTCTAAATATAAAATAAAATAAAAATGTATGTGAGTTATTTAAAAGAAAAAGCATATGTAAATCTATGTCTGTCATATAAAGATATAGCTTAGTGTCATCCAAAAACCTTGTAAGAATGTTTTCAATTCTGGCAGTCTGAGTCATTGCCAGGAATAAAAATATGAATTTCAGGCTTGATTTGTATGGGTATCACAATATGGCCTTATGATCATATTAATGGATAATGGCAAAACAGACATTTCAGTTCATCCTTTGTAGAATCAGACACATTCCTAAAGGGTCAATAAAGTCTTTTGTTCTAGTCAATAGTTTTCAAAGATTCCCAAACATTTCACCTTTAACTGTGTTTCCTGAAAACATAAAATTTCTTGTTTAAGTAAATGAATGTCCTGCACATTTATTTTTTCCATAAACAATTCCATCAAACTTTACCTTAAAAGCTGGTAACTTTCCTCTCAGCCAGAATGTACTTAGAGTATTTTCGAGCATAGATAACCCAGACCGCATAAACAGATAAGACAATCTGTGCAGCTCTCTTGGGAAGATAATTTTATTACTTATAACCATCTGGATTGCATCATTGTTGAGCTGAATGGACATCAATATATTTTTTCTGAATTCTCACAAAGTTTTGTACAGGAACAAACATCATAAGTGTTGTAGGCTGATCATTTTGCATCATGTCAAGGTCAGTGTTGCTTTGCACATCAAGGTACACAGCACCATGAGTCACTTATATATTCTCCAGTCATTGAACTTTATTTCCCAAATATGCTGATGATTCTTTAGTCACTAGTATGTCAGGGATTGTATTTCTTCACCATTTATACTTTTGAATCACATCTAACATTTAATATTGTATTTACTTTCCTTATAGTCTTATGCTGATTTGTCAAAGATCAGCTTTGTGAGACATGCATATATTTGATTGTTAGTTGAATTTTAGACTCATAGCTGCAGGGCAGTTGACTGTGTTTGTGTGAGCAGAAGGATGTGTGTATTTTGAAATATGAAGGTCTGTGGTACACTTTATTTAATGTTTCACTTTTTCTCTTATATTTTGTCATATATTACAGCATGATCTCAGAACACATTCTAACTTCTCCAAATAAGGGTAGGCCAAATAAATCTTTTGCTGTCAAGACTGGAAGAAGTTTATTAAAAGAGATGGGTTTATTGATTTAAGTTTATGTTCCTATGAAAGCAATTATTTAGTTCAAAAATTGCCTTTTCCCCTTAGCAAACACTTTCTGCTTGTCTCTAATTTTTAACAAGTGTTCCAACAATTTTGTGACAGTTGTTGAACTACAGGGCACTAGTTCAGTGAAGCATTTTATGTGATAATGCTACCATTTGAAAACAAGCTTTTCTCTCTTTTAAAAAAATCATTGCTCTTTACCAATGTAATAAATACATTATGAGAGTAAAATACTATATAAAATAGTTACGACATTTCATTGCCTTTCGACATCTTTGTTTACAGATGAATGCTAAGAGAAAAGAAAATTCTGTTTCTTGTCCCATAGAAGAAAAGATATACTGTCATCAGACTCCTAGGATTACAAATGAGGCATTAGTTTTCTTTTAAAACTTTAAAATCCATTTCTGGAGGGAAGTTAAGATGTAGAAGTTGCTTTGAACATTTTTGTAATAAATTTTATGAAAATAGAAGAAATTCAACAAAGTGTATCCACAAGTATTTTAATTCAGCAATATGCTACACAATCACTAGGATACTAATATAATAAGTCAAGGTAAGTAGAGCAATGGTAGTTGATATTAACCCAGAGGGTCCTAAACCTAGATTATTGTAAAGTCAAGGAAAATAATAGGATAGTGGGAGTTGATATTAACCCAGAGGATCCTAAATCTAGCACACTGTAGTGTAGAGCATCAGCTCTTCTCTGGATCATGTTTTTCCTCACTCCATTACAAATATTTATAACTTCTTAATATTGTTTATTGCTGCTTCAGAGGCAAAAGGCAGTCTGAGTATAAATGACACCCTCTCTCTCATTCAATATGTCTTTTACATAAGAAGTTAAAAAAAGGTATTTTGTCTTTAAACTGAGAATGCTGGAGGTTCTTTTCAAATATGATTTCAACAGTAAGCAAGAGCTATCTCGGTCCTTTAAAAATGACAAAATTGGTATTGTCAAGAAATGTACTGACATATTTTTCTACTTATGAAATGCTAAGAAACACTAAACACTCTGCCACATCCAAATTCTCACTGACTGCTGTCTAAAGTAAGCAATGGACAGAGAATTGCCACTCTGAGGGAGCAGAATATACTGGAAAAGATCCAAGGACAGTCACCTACTGTTCGTGATTACACTTGTTACAAAAATGGCTATTTTAGACCTAGCAACAATTTTGATTTTAACATCACCTTTCACATTGAACAATATCCTGAGAAAGTGCTGGCAATAATTAAAGCAGATCTTCAATTATACCCATGTTTCATTGTTTGTAAGAATTATACTCCATAGGTCTTGCTGTGCCATGTAGAGATTTGATGTAGGAAAAACAAAGAAATGGTATGAGCCCTTCAGAGCTTTTTGGGAGTGGAACAAAGGAAGGTATATATGCTGAGTGAACATTTCAGAGTAGGGAGTCAATTTAGTTTAATAGTTAAAGGCATAACTTTGAAATTAGGCAGCCTGAATCCCAGAACTGCCATATTTTAATCTATGAACTTGGGCAGGTTACTTATTCCTTCATAGTCTCAGTTTCTTCATCTGTGAAATGGCCTTATAATAGTTACCTATCTCATAAGAATATAGGAAAAATAAATAACGTTGTTTATATGAAGCACTTGGTGTGCAGAAATGACTCTCAGCACTTTCATCATATTATCATCATTATTATCATTATCACAGAGAGATCTAGAAGTTCATTTTAAATGCTGAGTTTGAGAAGGGTAAATACCACTTATGTAGCCTCAGTTCATAGACTACTAGAAAATACTGTATTTCAGGTTCTTGATTTTAGTAAATATACCTGTTGCGTGTATATTGGTTCTTGACCTTGACTATCATGGTGGGTTTGAGCTGGTCAGCTGTTTTTAACAAAGAACTTTAGAAAACAAAAAAGGAATTTATTGATTCAAAACAAGTGAGAATAAGTAGAAAACAGTTATATAATTTATAATATACATTCAATATATGAACAAAGTGAATGTTTGGGTTGATCTTATGCACATTTCTTTTCTTGGAAACAAATGATTGCAACTTGAAGAATGATCCTTCTGGTGATTCGTACAGAGTTTTAGGTTGAACAGGAAGATTGGCAGTAGGCAGAACCTTTGGCATCTTCCAAAAACTGTTACTCTATTTGTCACCTTTTTGCTTATGCCTAAATTGTTAATTATAAGTACAGCAAAGGTGAGAAGAGGGGGCAGAGTCTCTAGCTTCTTTCTCATTTTTCAAGCTCAGCATATTTCATGCTCCATAGCTCTAGGCCTTGATGTCTACAAATAATGCTCAAAAGATTTACTTCTTATAAGAAAATAATGAAATAAAGATTAAATGATGATCACAGAAGAAAGCAAATCTTTGACATTGTGTCTCAACCAATCCCCCCCAAAAAGATCCAAAAAGTGGAAAAAAAAAACACTCTGACTTTGACATTTTCTAAGTTTTGTGGTTTCTTTTTTTCTTTTTATTTTCTTTCTTTTCTTTCTTTCTTTTTTTTTTTTTTTTTTTTGAGATGGAGTCTTGCTCTGTCACCCATGCTGGAGTGCAGTGGCGCAATCTCGGCTCACTGCAAGCTCCACCTCCCCGGTTCATGCCATTCTCCTGCCTCAGCCTCCCGAGTAGCTGGGACTACAGGTGCCCGCCAACACGCCTGGCTAATTTTTTGTATTTTTAGTAGAGACGGGGTTTCACTGTGTTAGCCAGGATGATCTGGATCTCCTGACCTCGTGATCTGCCCATCTCGGCCTCCCAAAGTGCTGGGATTACAGGCATGAGCCACCGCGCCCGGCCAAGTTTTGTATTTTCTATCTTCAACTTGTTCACTGTATTAGTCCGTTGTCATGCTGCTATAAGGACATACCCGAGACTGGGTAATCTATAAAGAAAAAGAGGTTTAATGGACTCTAAGTTTCCATGGCTGGGGAGACTTCACAATCATGGTGGAAGGTGAAGGAGGAGCAAAGGCATGTGTTACATCGTGGCAGGCAAGAGAGTGCGTGTAGGGGAACTGCCCTTTATAAAACCATCAGATCTCATGAGGCTTACTCATTATCACAGGAACAGAACAGGAAAAACCCGCCCCCATGATTCAATCACCCCATAACATGTGGGGATTATGAGAGCTACAATTCAAGATGAGATTTGGGTGGGGACACAGCCAAACCATATCATTCATATCAGTTGCATAAGCAGTAGTTAAAAATTAAGACAATTTTTGTGAACAATATGAACTTTTATATTGTTTTTGATACTTAGTTATTTGCCTGATATTTTCTTAGTTTTCAGAAACGTATTTTAATAGCACGAATTTACTTTACTTTTCTCTCTAGAAATACACCATAAAATAACTTTTTTTTTTTTTTTTTTTGAGATGGGGTCTTGGTCTGTCACTCAGGCTGGAGGGCAGTGGTGCGATCTTGGCTCACTGCAACATCTGCCTCCCAGGTTCAAGTGATTCCCCTGCCTCAGCCTCCCAAGTAGCTGGGACTACAGGGATGCACATCACGCCCGGCTAATTTTTTGTAAAATAACCTATTTTTATTATGGAAGTGTAATATTATATAAGAGAACATTTCTAAAATAGACTTCACGTCACCATAGCACATTGAGCTGGGAAAATTCCCTTTTCCCTTCAAACACATAAATCCTGTTGACCATTAGGCTATAATAATATAGAGGTGGACGGGGGGAGATCAGAGTTAAGTATTCTAAAATCCTTTTCATTATTCAGGAGGAGAATAGAGATATTGATTAACTTTAAGTCTTGTTTAGTATCCATGGTAAAAATTTAAAGCTAGCTAATAAAAGATAAAAATAGAGCACATAAGTTCTAAATAAGTGAGTGGTTAGAAAGATTAAAAAAGAGAACTGGCAAACTCAACCAAATACATAGCAGAGAAGGAGAAAATATAAGCTAAAATGGTAAATAAGAAATCAATGGCAGAAAAAGTAAAATTTACCAGAAATTAGATTATATAAGAAAGAATATTAAATTATATAATGCATACGTGATACACATAAATGATATAACTTGAAAATATTGAAAATACAAAATTAAAAATCTAGTAGGCAATCACTAAGCCAAAGAAAGCTGCTATAGCAATATTAGTATCAGACAAAATAGAATTTAGTGCAAAATTATTAATAGAGATGGTGTCAGTACCTAATGACAAAAGAAAAACTTCACCAAAAGTATAAAGTAATCATACACTTATGTGCAATGACAACATAGTCTCAAAATTTAGAAAACAGATATTGTATTGCATGGAAAATTTTTCAAATTTGTAATTATACACTAATCAGGCAAAAAATAGTACAGAAACTGAATATTTGAATAACTCACCATCAAACTTCATTTAAGACATATATATGTACTGAATTAATAGAAAAATTTATATTCTTCAATAGCACATATGAATAATTAAAAATATATTATGTAGCAGATCACAAGACATATCTTTCTTATTTATTTGTTTATTATACTTTAAGTTCTGGGATACATGTACACAACGTGCAGGTTTGTTATATAGGTAGACATGTGCCATGGTGGTTTGCTGCACCCATCAACTTGTCATCTACATTAGGTATTTCTCCTAATGCTATCCCCCCCTAGCCCCCCACCTTGTGACAGGCCCCAATGTATGATGTTCCCCTCCCTGGGTCCATGTGTTCTCATTGTTCAACTACCACTTATGAGTGAGAACTTGTGGTGTTTGGTTTTCTGTTCCTGTGTTAGTTTGCTGAGAATGATGGTTTCCAGCTTCATCCATGTCCCTGCAAAGGACATGAACTCATCCTTTTTCATTGCTGCTTAGTATTCCATGGTGTGTATGTGCCACATTTTCTTTATCCAGTCTATCACTGATGGGCATTTGGGTTGGCTCCAAGTCTTTGCTATTGTGAACAGTGCTTACAATAAGCATATGTGTGCATGTATCTTTACAGGAGAATGATTTATAATCTTTTTGGTATATGCCCAATAATGGGATTGCTGGGTCAAATGGTATTTCTAGTTCTAGATGCTTGAGGAATTGCCACACTTTCTTCCATAATGGTTGAACTAATTTATACTCCCATCAACAGTGTAAAAGCGTTCCTATTTCTCCACATTCTCTCCAGCATCTGTTGTTTCCTGACTTTTTAATGATCACCATTCTAACTGGTGTGAGATGGTATCTCATTGTGGTTTTGATTGCATCTCTCTACTGACCACTGATGATGAGCTTTTTTTCATATGTTTATTGGCTGCATAAATGTCATCTTTTGAGAAGTGCCTGTTCATATCCTTTGCCCACTTTTTCCATTTTTTTTTTGTAAATTTGTTTAAGCTCTTTGTAGATTCTGGATATTAGCCCTTTGTCAGATGGATAGATTGCAAAACTTTTCTCCCTTTCTGTAGGTTGTCTGTTTACTCTGATGATAGTTTCTCTTGCTGTGCAAAAGCTCTTTAGTTTAATTAGATCCTATTTGTCAATTTTGGCTGTTGTTGAAGTTGCTTTTGGTGTTTTAGTCATGAAGTCTTTGCCCGTGCCTATGTCCTGAATGGTATTGCCTAGGTTTTCTTCTAGAGTTTTTATGGTTTTAGGTCTTATATTTAAGTCTTTAATCCATTTTGAGTTAATTTTTGTATAAGGGGTAAGGAAGGGATCCAGTTTCAGCTTTCTGCATATGGCTAGACAGTTTTTCCAACACCATTCATTAAATAGGAAATCCTTTCTCCATTTCTTGTTTTTGTCAGGTTTGTCAAAGATCAGATGGTTGTAGGTGTGTGGCATTATTTCTGAGGCCTCTGTTCTGTTCCATCTACATATTTGTTGTGGTACCAGTGCCATGCTGTTGCTGTTTTGGTTACTGTAGCCTTGTAATATAAATTGAAGTCAGGTAGTGTGATGCCTCCAGCTTTGTTCTTTTTGCTTAGAATTTTCTTGGCTATACGGGCTCTATTTTGCCTCCATATGAAATTTAAAGTATTTTTTTCTAATTCAGTGAAGAAAGTCAGTGGTAGCTTGATGGGGATAGCATTGAATCTATAAATTACTTTGCACAGTATGGCCATTTTCATGATATTGTTTCTTCCTATCCATGAACATAGAATGTTTTTCCATTTGTTTGTGTCCTCTCTTATTTCTTTGAGTAGTGGTTTGTAATTCTCCTTGAAGAGGTCCTTCAAATCCCTTGTAAGTTGTATTCCTAGGTATTTTATTCTCTTTGTAGCAATTGTGAATGGGAGTTCACTCATGATTTGGCTCTCTGTCTATCATTGGTATATAGGAATGCTTGTGATTTTTGCACATTGATTTTTGTGTCCTGAGACTTTGCTGAAGTTGCTTATCAGCTTAAGGAGATTTTGGGCTGAGATGATGGGGTTTTCTAAATATACAGTCATGACATCTGCAAACAGAGACAATTTGACTTCCTCTCTTCCTATTTGAATACCCTTTATTTCTTTCTCTTGCCTGATTGCCCTGGCCAGAACTTCCAATACTATGTTGAATAGGAGTGGTGACTGAGGGCATCCTTGCTTGAGCAGGTTTTCAAAGGGAATGCTTCCAGCTTTTGCCCATTCAGTGTGATATTGGCTGCAGGTTTGTCATAAATAGCTCTTGTTTTTTTGAGATACATTCCATCAACACCTAGTTTATTGAGAGTTTTTAGCATGAAGGGCTGTTTAATTTTATCAAAGGCCTTTTCTGCATCTATTGAAATAATCATGTGGTTTTGGTCATTGGTTCTGTTTATGTGATGGATTACGTTTATTGATTTGTGTATGTTGAACCAGCCTTGCATCCCAGGGATGAAGCCAACTTCATTGTGGTGGATAAGCTTTTTGATGTGCTGCTGGATTTGGTTTGCCAGTATTTTATTGAGGATTTTCACACTGATGTTCATCAGGGATATTGGCCTGAAATTTTTTGTTATTGTTGTGTTCTGCCAGGTTTTGGTATCAGGATGATGCTGGCCTCTTAAAAATGAGTTAGGGAGGAGTCTTTCTTTCTTTCTTTGGTTTTTTTTTTTTTTTTTTTTTTTGAGACAGAGTCTTGCTCTATCACCCAGGCTGGAGTGCAATGGCACAATCTTGACTCACTGCAAACTCCACCTTCCCAGCTCCAGTGATTCTCCTGCCTCAGCCTCCCGAGTAGCTGAGATTACAGGCACGTGCCACCATGCCCAGCTAATTTTAGTATTTTTAGTAGAGATGGGGTTTCAACATGTTGCCCAGGCTGGTCTTTAACTCCTGACCTCAGGTGATCCACCTGCCTTGGCCTCCCAAAGTGTTGGGATTACAGGCATGAGCCACTGTGCCTGGCGGAGTCCCTGTTTTTCTATTGTATGGAATAGTTGTAGAAGGAATGATACCAGCTCCTCTTTGTACCTCTGGTAGAATTCGGCTGTGAATCCCTCTGATCCTGGGCTTTTTTGGTTGGTAGGCTATTAATTACTGCCTCAATTTCAGAGCCTGTTATTGGTCTATTCAGGGATTCAACTTCTTCCTGGTTTAGTCTTGGGAGGATGTATGTGTCCAGAAATTTATCCATTTCTTCTAATTTTCTAGTTTGTTTGCATAGAGGTGTTTATAGTATTCTCTGATGGTAGTTTGTATTTCTGTGGGATCAGTGGTGATATCCTCTTTATCATTTTTTATTGCATCTATTTGATTCTTCTCTCTTTTCTTCTTCATTAGTCTGCCTAGTGGTCTATATATTTTGTTAATCTTTTTAAAAAATCAGCTCCTGGGTTCATTGATTTTTTGAAGGGTATTTCATGTCTCTATCTCCTTCAATTCTGCTCTGATCTTAGTTATTTCTTGTCTTCTGCTAGTTTTTGAATTTGCACAAGAGGTATCTTTTTTTTTTTTTTTTTTTTTTTTTTTTTTTTTTTTTTTTAGATGGAGTCTCGCTCTGTCACCCAGGCTGGAGTGCAGAGAAATATCTTAAGGAATTCAGAAGAATTGATAAAAATATTAAATATCATAAAGTGAATTTGGAAAATAAAATGAGTGAAAATTTAAAAATAACTCTATTTCATCATCCAGACATAAATATTGTTAATATATGACACATAGATATCACTATTTTCAAAGTGTTTGTGGCAGAGACTGATGAATGTTCCCAGGGTCCATTCTCCTCATACCTGTCTTCCCTTTAATAATAGAATACCACTTCCTTCCCAAGTTTTAACTGGGCACATGGCTTCCTTGGTGGGGATTCCATTTTCCAGCTCCCCATACAGTATTCTTTTGGTGTGAATTAGGTGAGTTGGCTGATGAAATAGCTTTAGTCATTCAGTTGCAGGCAGTGTCTGGGTGGTGCCCTAGTTAGGGATCTATGAACTTCTACACACAGCCTGAAACAGTGTAGGAGTATATGTGGGTGTGCATTTTTCTGAGGTGAGGGTTGATAACTTTCATCGGATCTGTGAACTTCTATTTCAAATATAAAATTAAATTAAAGCCTGTGCCCTAAAGCACTGTGGGGTGTCAAGATAGAACTATGTGGGTTTCTGGAGGATATCATGGGGCCCAGTTGCCTACATGCCCTGGTCAACTTGGATGTTATGGGAGTGAAAAATAGTCTCTACCTTGTTCCAGTCATTGTGTTTGGGGTTTCTTTGTTATAACAGTTTAGTTTGTATGCTAACAAACATAAATTCCTTTATTTAAAAATATATAAACATGAACCTACATTTTAGAATCTGATTTTAAAATTAATAAAACATGAACAGTTGTCTATGCCGTTAGGATGTTTAATGTCATTTTGCATACTACTTCATTTTTTATATGGACTGGCCATAATTTAAAGATTTCCCTTTTGTTAGAGTCATAGGCTGTCTATAGTTCTCTGCGGTAAACATTGCTTAGTTTATAAACATTGCTGAATTGCTAAATCATTGTTTACATTTGTCAATATTTCTTAAGAATAAATATGTAGAAGCAAAATTACATTTTGGCTTGTTTTAGGCCTGTTATTTATTTTCTTCACTGTATGTCAATATTACTGAGAAATCTGTTATATAACTGGTAGTTTCATCCCATAACATCAACTAGATTTGTTCTAATTTATGCAGAGATGCTCACCCCACTCCATCGGTGATTCTGAATTTAACTGAAAACTGGCCCCTAAGTCCCAACTATACAGGTTAATAATTTCCCTATCAAGTCAGAAATGTGAATCCACAGCATTTTTTTTCTCAGAAATGAATTAATGTCTGTTTCTTGATCTAAAATGCTATGTTATCCAATGTGCTTATTACCTTATTACATTTAAAGTTAAGATTCTCTGTTATTTCTTTGCAGTGCAGATTACTTAGGACAAAGACATATAGACAATTATAAGTTTATCCCATTTACTATTCATTGGGAAATATCAAAATAATAAATTTAGTTTAGAAAAACATATCTCCTCTGGGTATATATCCAAAGAAAATAAAATGAGTATCTCGAAGAGATATCTGCTCATGCTCATTGCAGCATTACTCATAATAGCCAAGATACAAAAATAATACGTGCCCATTGATGGATAAATGGATAAAGAAAATATGGGGTACACACACACACACACACACACACACACACACACACACACACACACGGTAGAATATTATTTGGCCATAAAAAAAAGGAAATCCTGCCATCTGTGACTATGGGAATAAACCTGGAAGATATTATGCTGAGTGTAATAAGCCAAATACAGAAAGGCAAATACTATATGATCTCACTTAGATGTGGAATCAAAAAAGTCAAATTCATAGAAACAGAGAATAGAACAGTGTTTGCCAGGGTCCAGGAGATGAAGAAAATGGGGAGATAACAGTTATAGGTTGAAAACTTTCAGTTATAAGATGAATACGTTCTGGATGTCTTATGTACAGCGTGGTGACTATAGTTAGTAATACTGTATTCTATGCTTGAAATTTGCTAAGAGAACAAATTTCCTCACCACACACACAAATACACATACAAAATAGTTAACTATGTGTGGTGATTGATGTGTTCATTAATTTGATTATGGTAATCATTTCACAATGTACATGTGTGGCATATTAAGTCAACAAATTATTATAACACCTGAAATATATACAACATTTATTTGTTAATCACACCCCAATAAAGCTGGGCAAAAAATGAAAAAATGTATCCCCTTTAATTACAGACTAAGTAAAAAAAATCAAAAGTAGAAAATGTCCAAAATTAGCTTGGAATTTCTTTTAACTCTTCTTAAATAAATATTTTTCAATTTTTCAAAAAAGTTATTGGTGCTACTTTTATCATATCTAAATAATATAGAATTATAACAAGGAATGATTATTGCATTACAGTAATTCTTAAAAGCAGTTTATCTTAAAGTAATATATCAGATGAATTCCTTTCATTTTTATAAATTTAGAATAGTAGTATGGGAAAAAAGGAACTAGAAAATATTGAGTTAAGGTGCACAATGAAAGAACAGAATTGTTGACTTAAAAAAAACTTTTATTTTCATTTCAGGGGTCCATATGCAGGTTGGTTCTATACATAAATTTTAAGTCACAGGGGATTGGTGTGTGTATTATTTCCTCACTAAGCATAGTACTCGACAGGTAGATTTTCTGTCCTAATCCTTCTCCACCCTCTACCCTCATGTAGGCCCTGGTGTCTATTGTTACTTTCTTTGTGTTCATGTGTACTCAATGTTTAGCTCCCACTTATAGGTGAGAAGATGTGGTATTTCACTTTCTGTTTCTGGGTTAGTTTGCCTAGGATGATGGCTTCTAGTTCCATCCATGTTGCTGCAAAGGACATGATCTCATTCTTTATTATGGCTGCATGTATTCTATGATGTATATATGCCATATTCTCTTTATCTGGTCTACCGTCGCTGGGCATTGATGTTGATTCCAAGTCTGCTATTGTGAATCGTACTGTGATGAACATGCACGTCTCTTTATGGTAAAATGATTTATATTACTCTGGGTATATATCCAGTGATGGGATTGCTGGGTTGAATGGTAGTTCTGTTTTTAGCTCTTTGAGGAATTTCCACACTGCTTTCCACGATGTTTGAACTAATTTACCCTCCCACCAACACTGTATAAGCATTCCCTTTTCTCTACAACCTCTCCAGCAAATGTTATTTTTTGACTTTTTAATAATGGCCATTCTGACTGGTATGAGATGGTATCTCACTGTGGTTTTGATTTGCATTTCTCTAATGATTAGTGATATTGAGCATTTTTTCATATGCTTGTTGGCTGCTTATATGTCTTCTTTTGAAAGTGTCTGTTCATATGCTTTGTCCACTTTTTAAAGGGGTTGTTTGCTTTTTGCTTGTAAATTTGCTCAAGTTCCTTATAGATGCTGGATATTAGGCCTTTGTCAGAGGTAAAGTTGTGAAAATGTTCTCCCATTCTGTAGGTTGTCTGTTTGCTTTGTTAATAGTTTCTTTTGCTGGGCAGAAGCCCTTTAGTCTAATTAGATCCCATTTGTCAATGTTTACTGTTCTTGCAATTGCTTTTGGTATCTTTGGCATAAAATCTTTGCCCATTCCTATGTCCAGAATGGTATTGCCTAGGTTGTCTTCCCAGATTTTTAGAGTTTTGGTTTTTACATTTAAGTCTTTAATCCATCTTGAGTTAATTTTTGTATATGGTGTAAGAAAGAGGTCCAGTTTCAATCTTCTGCGTATGGCTAGCCAGTTATCCCCACACCATTATTGAATTGAAAATACTTTCCCCATTGATTGTTTTGGTCAGCTTTGTTGAAGATCAGACGGTCACAGTGTGCAGCATTATTTCTGGGCTGTCTATTCTGTTCCATTGGTCTCTGAGTCTGTTTCTGTACCAGTACCATGCTGTCTTGGTTACTGAAGCCTTGTGGTTTAGTTTATAGCCAGGTAACATAATGCCTCCTAAAATAGTTTTTTCTAGTTTTGTGAAGAATGTCATTGGTAGTTTGATAGGAATAGCATTGAATCTGTAAATTTCTTTGGGCAGTATGGCTATTTTATGATATTGATTATTCCTATTCATGAGCATAGAATGTTTTTCCATTCATTTGTGTCATCTCTGATTTATTTGAGTAGTGTTTTGTCATCCTCATTGTAGAGATCTTTCACCTCCCTGGTTAGCTGTAGTCCTAGGTATTTTATTTTATTTTTGTGTGGCTATTGTGAATGTGATTACATTCTTGATTTTGCATTTAGGAAGGACCTTATTGTAGTACAGAAATGCTACCGATTTTTGTGCACCGATTTGTATCCAGAAACCTCGCTGAAGTTGTTTATCAGATCTAAAGGCTTTTTGGCAGAGACTATGAGCTTTGTTAGGTATAAAATTATACCATATGCAAACACATAGTTTGACTTCCTCTTTTCCTATTTGGATGCCTTTTTTTTCTTCCTTTTGCCTGATTGCTCTGGCCAAGATCTCTCACTTTTTTCTTTGCAGTTTTCAACAATAAATAGGTACTGGTGAGCTTCATATCAATCACATCAAAAGTAGATTAAAAGTGACATACTTAGAAATGATATATATTTTTCTTGTAGTGGTCTCTTAAAAATTTCATTTTGGTAGGCATGGAAAAATGGGGCTTGTGCTAATATATTTAGTAATAATGAAAACAGTTAAAATTGAATTCTAAACTTAAAACAAATCTGGTCAATTTTCCATTCAGTCATTTATTCATGGAATAATTGACTACTGGGCAAAGCATTGTCCTGTAAGTGAGACAATGTCCAGAAATAAGTACAGTTTAGGGTGAAATTAAATTATGAATGTCATGCAAATAAAAGTGTTAGTTGAAATTTTAAGAGGAGGAGAATGGTTCCCGCTGAGGGGAAGGGGGAAGTGATGTTTGAAATATGCTTTGAAAGACACATAGCATTTGAACACTGACGACTCAAAGAACAAACAAGAATATGTAAGAACATTGTTAAAATAAAGACCAGGAACTACATGGGGACACTCAATTATTTGGTGAAGGGAATGTCATAGGTGTGAGAAGAGCATTGATAAAGGAATTTGAAAAAAAGAAAACAAAAACCATCACTGGGACAGACTGAGGAGGGATTGAATGTAAGGCTAAGGATTCTAAGAAGTTCCATGAGGTTTTTCAGAAGTTCTGCCCTGTTATTGATTGCTATTACTTTGCGTATTCTGCCAAAAAAAAAAAAAAAACCAAACAAAAAATACAAGAAAGAACATTTTATTCCTTTATTCTTATGTTTAGCCTACTGTTAGTTTTCTAAATTAGGATTGCTTTTAAACAAAATACACACATGTTAAATAAAGCTGTCAAAAACAGTTATAATTTTAAAGTAGAGTTAATTGAAGAAAAGATGGTATAAGCAGAAAAAGAATCTGAGCTTAACACATTATAGGAAAATTGTAACTACTGTGGATTATTTTTTCAAATATGTATATATTTTGAGTACTTATTATATGTTAGGATTTGTGCCAGGTACTGATTGTGCTATTTAAAAATTTGGTTTTCCTGAAACATATGTTCTGCCCTAGAGAGGTCCACCTGGGGTAAAACGAGAAATTAGACCATCATGGGACACTGAACATCAGACAGAATATGGGGTTTGGTGTCCTGACTTGGAATTTAGGACACAACTCTGATACAAAGTTGTGTAATTTGGGGAAAGTTGCTGAGACTTTCAGAGCTTTAGTTACTTTATCCCTATTCTTTTTGGGATGGAGTCTCCCTCTGTTGCCCAGGCTGGAGTGTAGTGGCGCAATTTCGGCTCACTGTAACCTCTGCCTCCCAGATTCAAGTGATTCTCCAGTCTCAGCCTCTCAAGTAGCTGGGGTTACAGGTGCCCACCACTCCCTGCTAGTTTTTGCATTTTTAGTAGAGACGGGGTTTCGCCATGTTGGCCAGGCTAGTCTCGAACTCCTGATCTCAGGTGATCCACCCACCTTGGCCTCCCAAAGTGCTGGGATTACAGGTGTGAGCCACCATGCCCGGCCACATTATCCCTATTCTTATCTTTATACTCTTACAATCGGGCAAGGACTCCTTTCTCTACTTATCTCCTGGATCATTGGTACTTTCCAAGGTAATAATAAAAGTGAAAATAAATTTAATTTCCTTATTATCCTTGTTACCCTGGGAATCTCAACTCTTTCTAGTTACATATCCAATTTCTTAATCTTACTGTCTTTTATTTGACACAACCTTTCTTAAAAATATTTCCATTTAAATATTGAAGTCTGAGAAATCTTGAAGTTCCAAGGAAGTAAACTGACAAGTTCTGAGGAAGTAAATTGCCTCTTAACCCTAAGAGGTTAAGTCACTTTATCTTCTGGTCTTTAATATCCCCACCTGTATGATTAAAGCATTCACAAATTAACTGCACAGCAGAATCACCTGATGAGCTTTTGAAACCATCAACTCTTTGGCCCCACTCCAGACCTATCAAATCAGAATCATAGAATATTATCATGGGAGATAGGAATATTTAAAATGAGTAATAAAGACAACAATTATAATCATAATCAGAGATATAGATTTTGTCTATAAAACACTAGAATTACACCATGCCAATTTTTATAAGCTCTCTAAATTATCTGGATGCATGATTCCCAATTCTGTTCTCCGATTCTATGTAAGTCTCTAGAGCCTAACTTCAAATAGGAAATAGTCTGTTGCCCAACACACATCATACACTCAGTTTATGATGCCTAGGACACATCATAAAGACACCGGATGTCTTTATTAAGAAGTGTAATGATAATATACATAACAATAATAATAGTAAACACATTTAATCAGTTCAATGTCTTCGGGATATAGAGTGTGATATGACATCAGATTAGTTACATTATAACCCCCTTCGATTGACAAGTCAGAATGGCTGAATATTATCAGACTTTACATTAGAGAGCCCAGTAGGCTGTTCTTCAAAGTGTAGTTCTGATTTTGGTGGCTTCTGTTAGTAATTTAAGCTTTTTAGCCTACTTATGCCTTAATTATTATGTTTAATGATATAAATTTAAGAACTTGAGAAAACGAAAAATACAGACTCAAAATTATTATTTGGCACTATAGAACATAAATTTAGCTTTTAGTGATTTCGGACTATTAAGAAGCAGTTAACCTTTAGAGAACTATGCAGACATGACCAAAATGTGTAGACATTAGTCCTCTGATATTAGGTATTACTATCTAGCAAAGTATGGTTCATTTTTCTCCTTAATCCAGGTTTACTTTACATTTTAATAAGAAAAGCAGAGGGCATCTTAAAAATAGCAATAAAGTTTATCTTTAATTGGGGTACCTATTAAAAGAACAGAGTTAGAAGAGCAAATGGTTTTTTATGATTTTACTCATTTCAGATTTAAAAAATCATTGATCTGGCAAAAATGCTTTCCTGAACGTTTATTATTTAGAAATGGTGGTGAGCTTTTGCTTGAAATGCATATTACAAGGCGTGAGGAAAATATTTTAATTTTGAAATTTCAGATGGGTTCCATAATTACCTCAGGCACTTTTCTGTCTGAGTATAGCAGTAACAGTGCTATTCCCAGAACATACTGATGACAAAGTAAAATCACACCACTCATTAAAGGAAAGGAAGTGCAGATGGCCATTATTAATGATGAGGATAGGGCACAATAATCATGAAAGCTCTGTACTTAAAAATAAGTATTAAAATGGCTATGGTATTAATCATGCCAGAGACATAGATTATATCCACATAAACCAAACATCAGACAAAGAATAGGAACAAAACCATTCCTTGTTGATTGTTTTGACAACATCACACCATCTGGGTAATTGACTTTGTAATTTTCCTCATAATTTCAAACCAGTAAGTTTGATGTAAGAATACTTACCAACACTTTATAACTTTTTTTATCTGTAAAAGAATACTATTAATATCTACTAATTTTATTTCTCACAGAGATGAGGCTTAATTAGAATCCTCAAGAAAAATTAACAGAAAAATACAAAGCTTTTTAAATAGATAATTTAAGTTAAAGTTTTTTTGAAAAAAGAAATTAAGACAGAGGGCTCATGATTTCCACAGCACTTCCACTAATATCTAGGTGAACTTATTAAAACAAAAATAGAACAAAGAACAGCAATAAAGAAATCTACATTATTTTTCCAACTGGGTAGATGCTTTTGTCATTATTATTTTAAAAATCATATTTGCCATCTCACGTGTACAATGCTTCTGTCAGCATCGTCTGGACAAGGTAGCCCAAATTCCCACTGCCTTAATACATATTTGCACAGCCAGTTGGTGTTCTCATAGAACCATAAAGTTGCACATTATGTCCTAAAAATATCCAGATGCAAAGCAATGAAAATGTTGAAACATTAAGAGAACAGGGGAAGCTTTTAAATTTTATAAATGTAACTAGAACAAGCTGATTTTACCCCAAAAAGCACAAAACATACTTTATAATAATGTAAAAGTAAATAAAATTTTAAAATGGCAAAAGGGAAATGCATTCCTTTTATCATTATATATCCTTTGAAAATAAATAGTCTACATTAGATCATCAATAGAAATATAGGTGTGGGTGTGTCTGTTACATAACATTGTTGGTGGAGATTTTGCCCGCCACCCATATTTAGAAATGCAACACAGCTTACACTAGAATACCAACCAATTTAAAAAAAATACGACTTAGAATCTGACATTTCCCTTCAGAGTGTGTAATTCTCAAAAAAAATTATTTTAAGGCCAAATGCTAGCAGGGAAAAAAATCATTAAAGTCATTATTGGTCTAAACTCTCCCCTTTCTGAATGAGAATGTAAAACTTTGAATCATCCTCAATAAAAGGGCTTGAAAAAGGTCAAACACTCAATTCACCTTTTGAGTGGAGGTAGGTGAAGTCTACTTTGCCCTTACTGCAGCCCCTATGACTCCTCATGTGAGAGGCTCTGTGATGTTGTTTTAAGTCAGTGATCCTCCAAGTGTATTCCCCAGACCAGCAGCATCAACATCCCAAGGACTTACTAGAAATGCAAATTCTCAGCTCTGCCCCGGACCCACTGAATCGAAACCCTGGAGGTAGGGCCCAGCAATCTATGGCATAATGACCTCCAAGCCTCAAGTCTGAGAACAGCTGTTCTAAATCATCTTGAAGACGGTACCAGGTGGAGATCAGTATGTTCACAGAGCTTCTTCAGCTGGAAGAGATCTCAAGGTTAAATGTCTTCCTTTTACAGATAAGAAAATTACAACTCACGTAGTTACCGGCTAAAGTCAGTGTGGAACTGAGAACATGAAGCTAGGCCTCCTGAAATCAGGTATGGGTACTGCTTTACTCCCTGTCATGATGACTCCATACCCTAGACTACCATCTTTGGTGTTAAAAACACTACTGACATTTGAGAATCACTAAGTGTGGTATTGTCTCTTCTTGTATGAGGGTGAATCTATTAAAATATTCTTTAAGTTATGCAGAAAATTCTCTGCTAATTACATGTGTCCACTACAATAGTGATGGATATTTTGATATCATAAATATTTTAATCATATCATTTTTTAAAAAGAGAGCTTGTTTGATTTTTCTTGGCAATTTTCTGTCCTTCAAGTCTGCCAGTAAGAGAGTAGGCTAGTCAATAAAAATATAATGTGAGCCACATAGGTGATTTAAAATGTTCTAGTAGCCACATTTTAAAACGTAAAAAGAAACAGATGGTAAAGTTAATGATATATTTTATTTAACTCAATCATCCAAACCATTATAATTTCAAAATATTTTTATGGTACTAAGTCTTAAAAACTTATTGCCTGGTTTTGCCTACAGAACATCAGAATTTGAGTTGGCCACATTTCAAGTCCCAATAGCCCCACGTGACTATTGGCTACCATATTAGACAGCAGAGATAGAGCTTTCTGCTTAGAATTCATGTCTGTCACATGCCGGTTGTGTGATTTAGAGGCTTTGTTAATGCTGTTTTCTATTCTATGAAATGAGTATAATGAAATTTTTACTTCATCAGGTTGGCATGAGAATTAAAGAAATTCTTTAGATAAAGCACTCTTCACACTACTTGGCAAAAAGTAATTTCCCAAATGTTAGTTTGTGTTGTTATTGGTTCATTACTATGGAAGGGCTAATGATATAACAACATGTTGAGAGGAGTTTAGAAATATTGTCTTACAAATGGACAAAAACAATTTTTGATCATACGTTGACCTTTCAATGAAAGAACATAGGATCTCACACTCTACCTTTAAGATGACACAGTGTAAGAAAATTTGAACTAAATAAAAAAGATTATTGGATGTCTCCTATGAAAAACAATACATTATTTAGATTAGAGCAGATTTGTCTTACCAGCTTGGACTGCTATAACAAGATACCATAAACAGAGTGGCTTGCAAACAAGTGAAATTTATTTTTTCACAGTTCTGGAGGCTAGAAGTCCAAGATCATGGTGCCAGTAATGTAGGTTTCTGTGGAGAGCTCTTTTGTTAGTTGTAGATGGCTGACTTCTTGTATCTTCACATGGTAGAAAGAGCTCTTTGGGGTCCCTTTTATAAGGGCACTAATCTCATTCATGGGGACTCCACTCTCATGACTTAATTATTTCCCAAAGGTTCTACATTCAAATACCATTACCTTGGGGTTAGGTTTTCAACATATGAATTTTGGAGGTACACAAATATTAAACTCATTGCAATGCACTTCCAGGTTATCTAAGTCTAGCCTTTGCAGTATTTTATAACTTTGCAAATTGTAGATAACTGATAGCAATGCGAAATAATTCATGTTCCTAGAAATGCAAATGAATTATGTCTGGTGGGGAGGTTCAGTTGACTTTCCTCCATTCTCCTCTCATGGAAAAAAAGCCAGTTGCATTGTTTTATCATTTAAGTTCAACATTTCTTTACTGAGGAAAGTTTACTCTATACACATTTATTCTTGTTTTACTTCTCCATTGAAAAGTTGTGACATCTGCCTGATTCTCTAATTTATAGTTAAATAAAATATTTAATAGTGCTCAATTTCTATCCACATGAGAGTCATGATTTTACCCTCTTTGTACAATTACCCTTTAAAATACTTATCTAGCATTACAGTGTCAAATTTATAAGCATCACTATGAGCTCAACAAAAATCTAGCAAACTAAAGTATTAGGGATCATCTCTTTTTCTTGATTTTGGTTGTGAATATACATTGTTAGAATCTTTTCTGTGAAAGCTTCTGAGGTTTGGAGACACAAATAGTATACAATCTTTGCCTTCGAAGACATCACAGAACACAAGAAGAGGAAGTTAAATAAATAATTATAAAGCAAAGTGTTCCAATGGAGGGATGTACAAGTTGCTGGAAGTCATTAGCTGGCAGAAGTGATGGGTAGAGGGGTTCAGGAGACAGTTCACTTGAGGCAGAAATATTTGAGCTAGTGTTGAAGGATGAAAAGGAAATCTTAGGGTAAAAGTAAGAGAAAGGTCATTTTGGGCACATGCTCTGGTGTATGTGAAGCTTGCATTTCTTCTCTGTCTTTGAATTTATACCTGAATTGCTTAATTAAGAAAATGCCTCTGTAAGACTCTTTTGCTTTTATGGCCTAAATGCATAAATCTGACAAGTGCATACAACCTTTTATAGCAATTCAAAACTATTAGGGCTATTTCCTCTGACTTGCATCAAGCTGAATAAACACACTCTGTTCAAGTGGAAACTTGTTATGCTGCCTTTATCTGCCTTTCAAAGTAATCAAAGCAGGGTTCTTGAAGCCTGAGTATCTCACCTGTGCCTCCTAATGGCTCATTTATTTTGTTTATCCTGCTTTTGGGAAAATCAGAGGTAGCTTGACATTTGCATTGCTAATAAATGGATTTAACATTGCATTGGTACTTCATGTGGTTCAGATTGGCAACTTGCATTTGAACAGGGCCATCTGGTCAGTGCCGTTAGGAATACCTATTTTCAGAGTCATATTTTAACATAAGGGATATATGCATATGATGTCTTTGTGCTCACTATAGAATTTTCTTCTCCATTTTAAGTTCTTATGTTACCAGGTCTACAGGACACTGTATTTGCATTTTGCATCGCTGGGTTAGGCATTCTGTAACAGTAGGCAGCTAGTCAGACATGAGCAGGGCAGGAGAGGCCCCCCCACCACAAAACCAGGAATGTCAGGCGACCATCAGGTGGTTGATAACTCTCTCTCTAAGATGATAATTGTACCTAGAAGCAGATTCTGCACTCCTCAAATTTGCCCTTGGTTTGGCCTGCCTGCCTCCACTCTTGCCTTCACCATGTCCATCAGGGTGACCCAGAAGTCCTACAAGGTGTCCATCTCTGGTCCCCAGGTTTTCAGCAGCTACTCCTACATGTGTGGGCCTGGAACAACTCCTTGAACTTCTCCTGAATGGGTAGTAGCAGCAGCTTCTAGGGTGGGCAGGGAACTGGCATGGGTCTGGGTGGAGACTATGGTGGGGCCAGTGATATGGGGGGTATCATAGCCATCATGGTGAACCAGAGCCTACTGAGCCCCCTTAAGCCAAAGGTGGACTCCAACATCCAGGTCACATACACCCAGGAGAAGGGGCAGATCAACACCCTCAACAAGTTTACCTCCTTCATCGACAAGGTATACTGCTGGAGCAGCAGCAGAAGATGCTGAAGACCAGTGGAGCCTCCTGTAGCAGCAGAAGACAGCCCAGAGCAACATGGACAACATGCTTGAGAGCTACATCAACAACCTTTGGAGGCAGTGGGACACTCTGGGCCAGGAGAAGCTGAAGCTGGAGACAGAGCTTGGCAACATGCAGGGGCTGCTGAAGGACTTGAATAATAAGTACGAGGGTGACATCAGTAAACATACAGAGGTTTAGAATGAATTTGTCCTCATCAAGAAGGATGTGGAATGAAACTTGCATAAACAAGGTAGAGCTAGAATCTCTCCTGGAAGGGCTGACTGATGAGATCAAGTTTCTCAGGCAGGCAGATGTATAAAGAGGTTTTCTGTGAGCTGCATTCCCAGATCTCATACACATCTGTGGTCCTGTCTATGGACAACAGCCACTCCCTGGAAATGGACAGCATCATTGCTGAGGTCAAGACCCAGTATGAGGAGATTGCCAACCATAGCCTGGCCAAGGCTGAGCGCATGTACCAGATCAAGCATGAGGAGCTGCAGATGCTGGCTGAGAAGCATGGGGATGAGCTGTGTCACACAAAGATGGACATCGCTGAGATGAGCTGTAACATTGTTAGTGGCAGGAGGCAGACAAATCCTAGGAATACAGGGGCTGGTCCCTGGTGAAACCCAAGTTTCAAGCTGAACACAGTTTAAAGCCTAGCTACAAGTCCCTGGAAAGTCCACAGACCAGATTGAGAACCTTTTCCCATTTGGCATGCTTTCCTCTGTTTGATCCCTACCTTTCATCTATTTTACATATAGCTACTCTTCCCTAATTGTTTTTTACACTATTGTACCCACCTTTGACTGTAGCTTTTGTTTTAGCATTTTTTGCACACTCACAAACCAATCAGCATGCACTCCCCCATTCTGAGCTCATAAAAGCTCTGGACCCAGCCCTACGGGGAGACTGACCACCTGACTTCTGGTGGGAGACCACCCTGCATACCCTCTCCACTAAGAGCTGTTTCGTCACTTAATAAAACTCTTCTCCACAGTCCTCACCTTTCAATTTTCAGCATAACCTCATTCTTTATGGATGTGGGACAAGAACTTGGGACTCACTGAATGTGCATAGAAAGAAGGCTGTAACACTGTGACCCTTTGCCCTCTGCTGGCGGAGGGCAGCCATCCCACACAATGGGAAACAGCGACGGGTTTAAGCCAGTTCCAGAGCCATGGGAGGAAGCTATTAGCATGCTGTAACACCCCATCTAGAGTTTTGGGATCACAGGCACGCCGGTTTGGGTGCCACTGCATTCCCCTCACCTGGACACCAGAGTCCACCATAGGAGTTGTTTGTGACACACCTGGTCCAGCTGCAAGTCCTGCTTGGAGCAGCTGGCCAGACCCTGCATTCTTGCTCATACACCCCCTCCTGCCAGGGGCTGAGTGCACAGTCTCAGTGGCCATGGGATCCACGCCAGCATGCAAGCCAGGCATGGCCTGGTTGGCTGAGTAGACAGGGTGTCTGTCTCCTGTGGTGAGCCCATGCCTGAACAGGGGCATCACCAGCCAGAGGTCTCTGATTGGCAAAGTGGCCGAGAAAAATCCTGTATCAACATCAGTGGGCTCCAGGCTGAGACTGAGGGCCTCAAAGGCCAGGGGGCTTCCCTGGAAGCTGTCGTCATGGAGGCCAAGCAGCATGGGGAGCTGGCTGTTAAGGCCACCAAGCTGTTGGAGCTGGAGGCCATCCTGCAGTGAGCCAAGCAGGACATGGCACACAGCTGCATGAATACCAGGGGCTGATGAATGTCATGCTGGCCCTGGACATTGAGATCGCCACCTACAGGAAGCTGCTGGAGGGAGAGGAGAGCCAGCTGGAGTCTGGGATGCAGAACATGAGTATCCATACGAAGATCACCAGTGTCTGCTCAGGTAGGCTGAACTTGGTCTACAGAGGCCTCACAAGCCCTGGCCTTAGCTATGGCCTGGGCTCCAGCTTTGGCTCTGGCACAGGCTCCTGCTTCTTCAGGAGTACCAGCTCCTCTAGGGCTGTGGTTGTGAAGAAGATTGAGACCCACGGTGGGAAACTGGCTCTGAGTCGTCTGATCTCCTGCCCAAGAGAATGGCCATGGCAGCCCTTCCCAGCCTACCCCATCCTGTGGCTGCCCCACAGCCTGTGGCAGAGGCTCTTGTTCAGCGGAGCACAGGGAACAGGAGACCCAACTGAGGCAGACACTGGCGGTCCCTCCCACCATGGGTGGGTTGAGGGCTAAGGTCTTCACTGGGCTCAGCCCTAGCCTTCGGCCTACCCATCAGGGGAGTTCGCTGCCTGGGGTACCCCCTGCCCATGCCTCCATCTATGAAACAATTTTTTCTTCCAAATGAAGCCTCAGCTAGCTCTGCCAAAAATGCGATACAATACAATACAATACAATACAATACAATACAATACAATACAATACAATACAATACAATACAATACAATACAATACAATAAAATACAATACGTCTCAGCCAGTGCCAGGGAAAGGCAGTCTCCTGATAGATAATAACACCTGAAATGTTTTCAGCAGCTTCCTAATAAGATCTCAGGAGTTGAACAAGTGGGCTCAAGCATGGTCACTAAAAGACAAAATAGTGGAGTTTAACTGGCATGTGACCTTCTAGGAACATTCAACTGGTAGGGAAAGAATGCCTCTTGTGAGAATGCATACAACTCCAGTAAACACACTGTATATTAATTTATTAGCTATTTTCTGTGGCTTTAGGCTTTCCCTTTTCCATCATCATGCAAATCTATGCTTCCCAATAATCTTTACTTCATGCCCCATGTAGAAAATAAACTTGCAAAGCACACTGGGATAAACAAAGACGTCTGTTCATATTTGAAGGCCTCTTGTCTGGAAGGCTTTATTCTTTCTGGGGACCGAGGGGAAATATCTATTTCAAAGCAATTGAAACCCTTGCAGGCAAAATAACATGCTGCTGTATATTGATTTGGGAAGCTTTGCTATGAACTAACACCAAGTTAATTAATTACATTTCCACTGTATACATTTTTAAATCCTACATTGAATTCTCATCGCTAAAAGAATAGAGTTCAGAGTTACCGTTTTACTATTTTCTAATTTTATTTTATTTTTAAAATTGTCACATAATAATTCTACACATTTATGGGGTATGTAATAATGTTTCAATACATATAATGTATAGTGATCAGATCAGGCTAATTAAGATATCCATTATCTCACGCATTTAGCATTTCTTTGTGATGGGAACATTTCATATCCTCCCAGCTATTTGAAACTATATGTTATTAACTATAGTCATCCTAGAGTGCTATAAAACACTAGAACTTATTCATCCTATCTGACTGTAATTTTGTATTATTTAACAGATCTCTCCCAATAACCTCTTTCTCACTCCCCTTCCCAGCCTCTAGTATCCTGTTCTACTTTTTACTTCTATAAGATCAACTTTTTTTAGCTTCCACACATGAGCGAGAACATATGGTGTTTAGCTATCCATTCCTGGCTTATTTCACTTAACATAATGTCCTCCAGTTCTATCCATGTTGCCACAAATGATGGGATTTAATTCCATTTTATGGCATAATAGCATTCTATTGTGTGTGTGTGTGTGTGTATATATATATATATATATATATATATTATATATTTAAATATATATAAAATATATATATATATAAAATATATATATATATATAAAATTTCCTTTTCCATTCATCTGTTGTTAGACATCTAGATTGATTCCATATCTTGGCTATGGTGAATACTGTAGCAATAAACACGGAGGTGCAGGTGTCTCTTCAATATACTGATTTCCTCTCCTCTGGATAAATGCACAGTAGTGGGACTGCTAAATCCCATGGTAGTTCTAGTTGTCATTTTTGTTTTAGGAGCCATCATATAGTTCTCCACAGTGGTTATACTAGTTTAAATTTTCACAAAGAGTGTAAAAGTGTTCCCTTTTCACTGCATGCTTGCCAGCATTTGTTATTTTTTGTCTTTTTGATAATAGTCATCCTAACTGTGGTGAGATAGTGCTTCACTATAGTTTTTATTTGCATTTCCCAGATGATTAGAGATGCAATTTGTATATATTTGTTAGCTGTTTGCATGTCTTCTTTTGACAAATGTCAATTCATATTATCTGCCCATTTTTAAATTGGGTTGTTTTTTGCTGTTGAGATGTTTAAATGTTTATATATTCTGGGTATTAATCTTTTGTTGGATGAATAGTTTTCAAATTCTCCCATTCTGTAGGTTGCTTTTTGACTCTGTGGATTGTTTCCTTTGCTGTGCAGAGGTTTTCTGTTTGATATAATTTTATTTATTTATTGTTGCTTTTGTTGCCTGTGCTTTTGAGGTCTTATTCATAAAATCTTTTCCCAGGCCAGTGTCCTAAAGCATTTTCCCTATGTTTCCTTCTAGTAGTTTTATAGTTTTGGGTCTTACACTGAAGTCTTTGATCCATTTTGAGTTGACTTTTGCAAAGGTTAAGAGGTGAGGATCTAGTTTTAATATTTTGCACATGTATGTAGTTTTCCCTACACCATTTAGTGAAGAGACTGTTCTTTCCCTGATGAGTGTTTTTGGTACCTTTTTCAAAAATCAGTTGGCCATAATGTGTAGACTAATTTCTGAGTTTTCTATTCTGTTGGATTTGGTCTATGTGTTTGTTTTTATGTCTCTACTATGCTGTTTCGGTTCCTACAGCTTTGTTGTCTATTTTGAAGTCTGGTAGTGTAATGTCTCCAGGTTTGTTCTTTTGGCTTAGGATTGCCTTGACTATGAGGGGTCTTTTGTGGTTCCATATGAATTTTAGTGTTTTGTTTGTCTCTTTATGTGAAGAATGTCATTAATATTTTAATAGAGACCACATAGAGTCTGTAGATTTCTTTGAGTGATACGTCATTTAAAAAGTATTAATCCTTCAGATTCATGAGCATGGGATGTCTTTCCATTTGTTTGTATCATCTTCATATTTTTCATCAGTCTTTTGCAGTTTGCCTTGTAGAGGTCTTTCACCTCTTTGGTTAACTTTATTTGTGTATTTTGTTTTATAGCTATTGTAATTTGGTTTGACCTCTTGAGCCATAATTTCTAATCTTATGGCTGATTTTTTATTTTTACGAAGGTGGTCTGGTCCCCAGCAAAGAGGGAGTTTGTTTTGGGGAGGGGCTGTTATCTTTGCTATCTTAGTTAAATTATAAACTAAATTATTCCCAAGGTTAGTTTGACTCATGTCCAGCAATGACTAAGGGCAGCTTGAATATTAATGGCAAGATGAAGTTGGTGAAGTCAGATCTTTTCCTAATTCTTAAAATATTTGCAAATACAGTTTCAGTCCCCATTTTGGGGGTTTCAACACACCTTATTTTTAAGGTGTGAGCAACAGAGATGGGAAAAGTCAAACAACTACTCTAACTTCTTCCTGCTGACAGGGTGTAGTGGGATAGGATTTGGCCCCAGAACAAGAGGAGTAAAACTGCCTTTCAGCTGCCTGCATGTATTTATAGGTGCCTGGTTGGGGTTCCAAGGCTTGCATGACAAAGACATTAGTACTCTCATCCACAGTTTTAGTAAAGCATTTACGTGAGCAGCAGACTATAGGATAATGAGTCTTAATATACGGAGTACAAATCCTAGCTTCAAGAAGTCTTTGCAGAATTAATCTGAAGCCCTGAGGGAGCCAGGTGAATAGCCCTGAGAACCAATCAGCCATGTGGTCACTGGGTGAGAGAGATTTGGGTCAGAGGTTGTTAGAAAGACAAATTGGGATAAACAAGAAAGAACAAAATCAAGTATACCATCCCATATCCTTTGAGTCAGTTTCCTAGTCCTGAGAATAGTTCAGTGCAGTTAAACAGCTGTTTCCCATTTCAGGAGGTGGCACTGCAGATGAGCTAGGCCTTTATATGTGATGAAAGCAAATGGATTTTTAATAAGAGGCATTTCCATGGAAACAGAAAAAAATAAAGGTTAATGTTGGGTACAATTTATCCAGATGTTAGACTCAACGGATATTTAGTTATAGAGGAGGATGGAAGTAGCAGTCTGACAAATTTTTTTTGCCTGCACCACAAGCAAGTTTGCAGGGCTTCAGGAAGAAGTTAGTAGCCATTTTATTTAGTCCAAGTCAGAAAAATGGAAGAAAAATTTGAAAATATTAATTTGAGGACTTGTAGCCCAGAAAAAATTCAGGATTCAGTCCAAATTGCAGAAAATAATAAAAACTCAAAAACAATAGAGAAGACTAGAATCTATCAACAGGTATACTCTAGTTATTTTTTGTAGCAATAATTTTTCTCTCTCCAGTCTTCATTTTTATTATAGACAAATCATAGTAGGACAAAGTTATTTGTGAAATAAGCTTTAGTCTTATTATACTTGGCCTGATTGTCTGCATAAAGTACAGCAAGAATAATTATTTGCCACACAGGCTTTTTTTTTTTTTTTTTTTTTTGAGATGGAGTCTCGCTCTGTCTCCCAGGCATGAGTGCAATGGCATGATCTCTGCTCACTGCAACCTCTGCTCCCAGGTTCACGCAGTTCTCCTGTGTCAGCCTCCTGAGTAGCTGGGATTACAGGTGCCTGCCACCACACTTGGCTAATTTTTTGTATTTTTAGTAGATGGGGGTATCACCATATTGGTCAGGCTGGTCTCAAACTCCTGACCTCAGGTGATCCACCTACCTCGGCCTCCCAAAGTGCTGGGACTACAGGAGTGAGTCATTGTGCCCAGCCCCACATAGACTCTTTTTAAATTGGCTTTTCTGGAATGTTTTTTCATAAGGAACCTCAGCGTAGACTTTTTAGAGCCTTGTTCCAGCAATGGATTTATTTGTGCCTGCAAATACTTGTAGGAATTGAATGAATTCCTCTCCTCTCCAGGTCCCAAGATAACTTGGGGCCCCTGGACCTGTGAGAAAGTGACATTCTTTACTAACCAAAGTTAAGTCAGGAAGCCTGTACAGGGACTATGTAGACCAAGTATGAGGCCGTTTTCCCAAGGAGCTTTTATCAGCTCTGTAAGTCAACATGGATTTCTTAAAGAAGTCTGTTTATATTTGGAGGCATACCATTCTAGTCAAAGCCTTGGTAAAATAATCAGTGTTTTCAAATGTGTCCTGTTACATAAAA
Organism: Homo sapiens; assembly: GCF_000001405.40. NCBI lineage: Eukaryota > Metazoa > Chordata > Mammalia > Primates > Hominidae > Homo > Homo sapiens. The sequence continues at coordinate 89,407,573 of NC_000008.11, read as the reverse complement.
ACCCAGATATTTATTGTATGTGTGCAAATAACTATATTGCCATAGTTAAGAATATTCATAGTTTCTAAATTCTGAAGAAATCAGGTAAAAAGAAAGAAATGTGCTCCAGATTTTGCTCATAGGAGTATAGTTTACCCAATAGCTAAAAACTGTAAATAGATTAGAAGAAAAATAGGTTTTTCTGGACTACAAACAATAAAAGAATTAGCAACATTTTAAACAAAAATCATGAAAAGATTATTTTGGTATTTATTAGTTCAGTCCCTGTAATTATGTCCTGTTCTGCCTGATACTGAACCAACAGTCCTCATGAACACATGAGCTCTCCATGAGAATCTTCGAATATTTTCTTTTCTCTCTATTATAAAGGCATAATTTGCAAAGTTGTCTGAGACCAGTATTCAAGAGCACTCTTCATAGTCTTATAGCTGATTATAAACTACCTTTTGAAAAAGATCAAAATAAGACAGTAATTATTTGTGGATGACAAAATCTTAGGTCATCTATCCATGGTTAAAGATGCAACCAACAAGGAAATCTTGTCATCTCTGTGGCACACGACAATTTAAGATAACAATCATAATTACTACTGATAACATATACTGAGACATATCAGACTAATAGGAATATTATACAATTTTAGAAAATATGAAATTAACACATTTATATGAATATAACCCAAAGAAAGTAAAACACGATTTTACATTTCAGAATACTTCCTATATAATTTTAAATAAACTGAGTATGTCTCTTGGACTTCAGAGACCCTAATACTTAAAAGATTATTGAAGCAAAAAAAAGACAATTAAAAATCTGATTTTGGAAAGCTTGTTTTAAAACACTTGATGACAAAGTTTTAAAACACTTGATGTCACAAAATGGAATCCCACCATCATAAGTCACTTATTTTGCCAAAATGATAACTTAAACATTTCAAAAAAGGCAAAAACTTTATTAATTGGTAGAGGGGAGACTCAGTTTTACAAACAAGACTCAATAAAGAGGGCATGGGGCCAACTTAACCTGTCTCTTCTCTCTCCCTTGTAGTTTATTCAAAAAGCAAACAAAATTTATTATCTCTCAATATTACATGAAAATCTTGTTCAAAAGGAGCCCAATTTCACCTTTGCATTAGTGTACAATTATATTAGTGTTAAACCCAATTCTTAATAAAACTATATAAGCAAATCTATCTAATCTTAATTGTTGGACCATAGGTAAGGTTTTCATAAAACTTTCATAACCCTTTATAATTTTCTGATAAAGAACAGATCAATATTCCAAGAAAACCCTGTTTATTCAACACTCGGGCTTAGATTCTGGCTCTGAATCAGTGTGCTTTTATTTTAATGTTCAATTGATGGAAAAACTAAATAATACCCTTTTAATTATAGCCCACTTGCTCACACACAGTATTTTTAAAATAAGGTAAATATTTCACAAATTTTCTATAGCTTGCTTAAATCTTTAATTTTTTTGACTTAAAACAATTTTTAAGCTCTCTAAACTGGAGAAAGTTATCTTATAAAAATTACATTTCTATGTCATTATCAAAAACACATAACTTTTATTTTTAGTGTAAGCAATTTTAATTATGTACCAGGTGCAGAGCCTAGGACATGAGACAGAACTGTAAATGAATGTCTGATTCTTTCCAGCATAGCTAGGTATGTCCCCAGGCCTTACCTAGAATCCAATGGCTGTAAAGCAGGCAAGTTGAACAATAATAAAATGTCATAGCAGCAGTTTATAACCTTAAAGCATCTAGCAAGGCAGTATCTGCCTTGCCTAATTCAGACCTAATGTCTAAATTTTGAAGACTGTTATTTTATTAATAATATTAAAATAATTTTTATTTACCAAAGATTATTAGGGTCACATGAATTAAAAGGTATTAAATTTTCTATTTTTCTGACAAAATATTTGATTTAAGCACTTATTTATCTTTAGGCCAACTAATAAGAGTTCCTTTATATAATTTGGTAGTGAAACATCACACACACAAAACAGAAAACGTAGAGATAGAAGATTTTTCATTTGTCAGCCTTTAAGTTTCTCTTCCCCATTTTAGACCATTAGTCTCTTGATTACTTGTTCCCTGCTCTAAACAATTGTCAGCTAGACAACTCAAAATTTGCATTTCTAAAGGAGTAATTCTTGATGAAACAAGATAGATAATTCATACTTAACTCAAACTGAAGAAAAATTGTGTAAGTAAAAGTTGAGTTAAGATAGGCAGAAAAATAAGACACTCTTACATATGGAGAGTTCTTTAAAGTTGTAAATTAATTGGACTACTGGCTTTAGGGTAGAGCCTTTTAAGAAACAGGGGAAATAAAGCATGCAGTTTTTAGGGCCTAATTGGTGGGCACAAGAAGAAGAGATAACAGATCCCCCCAAATCAAGCATCCCATTTTTTCACTGAAACCTGGATCCCCCAAAAGAAGGGAACACTATAGGACCAGACAGTGTCACAGTTTTATTGTGCAGTTCCCTGCAAGGACATCCCCCTGAGGCTGGTGGGCAACCCAAGCCAGTCAGCCCATTCCATATTTAGTCATCCGTTCCATATATTTTAGGTGTCTAAGAGCACACTATTTTTATTTAAACACACAAAGAAAGGAATATTATTCTGTAGTAATAATTATTCACAGTAAGCAACTGCCATCAACTACTTAAAAATTTATCTCTTATCTAGCTATTATACATCAAGGTTAAAATTTTCTTATAATGCAAAGTAATTTCTGGCCCCCCAAAAGTAAAAAAGTTTAGATACAAGAGGAAGTAGGAATAGACAAGGGTAAGAGGAGAATCAGACAGAATTCTGTTGACTAAAATGTCTTTTACAGAGGGAGAGCAGGGGCTTTAAAACAATATCTGTATACATATAGTCCAAATATCAGCCTTAATTAAGTAAATTTTTTATTAGAGCTCTTAAAAAATCAATTTTATTTTTTTATTACCAGATTTTAGCTGAGACAAACAGCCAATATTTCTGGCTTTTGAATTTTTTACTAAAGGTAACCTCCCAGGTGAAATCAATAATCCTCAACTAAGGCTATGACTTAACCATGGATGCATGAGGTGTTTTCAAAGAGATAGTAAGTGGTTTTTACAAGATATAGAATCACCCCAATGGTCACTCAGAAAAAAGAAAATTCAAGATAGGAAATCAAGAAGCTGTCCATGAAGGGAAAAATAATTAATAAATGGAAAAAGTCCTACAGATATTAAATCAGAAGTGACCCACCTCCTAAACTTGGAATTGAACCCAGGCCACCACTGTGAAAAGGCAAAGCCTTAGCTACTGAGCTACAGCATGGGGCAATTGTCTTTTCCCAGAAGGAGTCTGTGGTGGTGATTTTGAGCTTGCAAAGGATTTTAACTGCTCAAGAGAAATCTTAAAGCTAACCATGACATGAACCCCCAAATTCCCACCCTCTGGATTGTGTAGAGCAAGAGAGAGTACCCCCACACGGTCATAAAGTCAAGTTTTTAAGACACAACATGAAAGAGAAACCTCATTTGGTTTTTGTTTCAGCGACCTCAGCAAAGTTTGTAGCTGAGCAGTCTTTAGGGCTGGCTGAAACAGCAGACTTATAAGGGTTATAGGCCTGTGTTCTATCTTGTGGTACAGAATGACGCAGAAAGACAAAAAGATGACTCATACAAATCCTTTTTCCTATTAATCAAAACGTTGTAGAAGGGACAAACAGTGACTTTTACCATTCATTCAACTGGTTTGTACAGAGAGAGAGACCAGAAGCCTGAAGATATTCTTTCTCTGAAGCTTCCAGAAGAATGGAGTGGCTTTTGAGGACCCTGCATGCTGCACCATAGCTAGAGGGGTGTATTAGTCCGTTTTCACACTGCCGATAAAGACATATGTGAGACTGGGAAGAAAGAGAGGTTTAATTGGACTTACAGTTCCACATTCCTGGGGAGGTCTCAGAATCACGGTGGGAGGCAAAAGGCACTTCTTACATGGTGGCAGCAAGAGAAAATGAGGAATAAGCAAAAGCAGAAACCCCTGATAAACCCATCAGATCTCGTGAGACTTATTCACTATCATGAGAATAGCATGGGAAAGACCAGCCCCCATGATTCAATTATCTCCCTCTGGGTCCCTCCCACAATATGTGGGAATTCTGGAGATATAATTCAAGTTGAGATTTGGGTGGGAACACAGCCAAACCATATCAAGGGGCCAAACCACATTACAAAAGAAAATCATTCTTTTCTGTTTTATGGAACCATAGGCAAAAGCCTTTCAATTTTACAAGATGCCACCCAATGGGCTATGTGGGGGAGCTGAATTAACTTTTCCTATTTTGGCTGGAGCAAAATACACGTGACAAAACACAGACACTAATCACCCTACTCAGTGCCCAAATATCAATCTGCAAGGCTCAAACTTGTCTTCGTTGGTCTCTGTTATATTTGATCCACTTAAGGTAGGCAGAGATGACCTCTGACCAGGAGTTTCAGTGGGTAGTCTCTGGGCAAGATGGAAGGGCAGAGAGTTATCCTTATGAGACCTGTTGAGCTCCAGCTAACGGTTCCTTCAGCTCTCACCAAATATGACTGGCCAGACAAATTAGGAGAGCCTGATGGATTTCTGGCAGCAATTCCGTCAGAGATCTTCTCTACATATACAAATGCACACAATGAAGTAAATATGAACAGAAGGCCTTCCAAACCAGGATTCCAGACCAGATGACAAACCAGAAGAATATGCTTCCAAACAGGTCCCCTATTCTCTGTTTCTTTGGGGAGAAATCTTCCCAAAATGAGACTCTTCCTACAATCAAGGGAGAGATGAACAGTCCCCATAAGAGGGCCACAGAGCCAGACAGTCCCTATAATGGGGCTACATACAGTGCCTCTAGAGATATCAATAGACTCAGGGAAGGAAGAGGGTGTTGGCAGCACCTGGTATACTCACCAAATCAGGTTACAAGATGTCTTTGAGGAAATATTTCTCCATTACAATTAGATCCATGCACTATGGGTGGATAGCACTCTGCTGGTAGAGTTGGCACCAGGGGAGTACTTATTCCAAGAGAACTATGTGGCTGCTTGAGCTGGCCTCTGGATCTGTCACTGGTAAGGAGCTGCTGAACCATGGGCAGGTACCTTCAAGGGCTATCCCAGTGATTAGCCCCCAAACTTGTAACCACCGAAAGGGTTCTTCTTGCCTGCTGCCAACATGAAGCCAATTTACCAAAACAGGAGAATTACAATAAACAGTTCAATTATTGAGTCAGCTAAATTAGAGACCATAGTTTTATGGTTACTCAAATAAACCTCCCTGAAAATTCAGATGTTAGATTTTTTTAAAAGATAGATTGGGGAGCAGGGGGCTATGGAATGAGGGATGTTGATTGGTTGGGTTGGGGATGGGATCACAGGAAGTTGGAGCTGTCCTCTTGTGCTGAGCTGGTTCCTGAGTGGGAGCCACAAGACCAGATGAGCCAGTTTACTGTTCTGGGTGGTGCCAGCTGATCCATCAGAATGCAGGGTCCAAAAAATACCTCAAATACCAACCTTAAGCTTTACAATAGTGATGTTATCTGTAGGAGCAATTGGGGAGGTAAGAAATCTGGTGCCCTCTGGCTGCATGACTCTTGAGACATAATTTCTAATCTTGTGGCTAAATTTGTTGTTTTTCCAAAGGTGGTCGGGTTTCTAAGCAAAGAGGGGTTTGTGGTGGGGAGGGGCTGTTACTATCTTTGTTTCACTGTTAAACTACAAACTAAATTCCTCCCAAAATGAGTTTGGTGAAAAACCAAGAATGACCAGGCTTGGAGGTTAAAGATAAGATAGAGTTGGTTAGGTCACATCTCTTTCATTGTGATAATTTTCTCATTGTTATAATATTTGCAAGGGCAGTTTCAATACTATTATTATTGTCATCATACAGAGGAGAAAAATGAAGCCCAGAAATTAAGTAACCTGGTTGGGGTGGGGTGGGCAAAATTATGGCTCATGGAAAACAATCTTTAAAAAATAAATGGGAGAGAACAAAAAGATAAAAGTAATTGATTAAAAGTCAAATTATTAGGGGTCTGATATTTCACCCTTCTTGGAAGATAACAGGTTGATCATTTTGTCATAGTTTTATGGATGGTAGGAGACGTAAGATTAATGGTTCAGAGACAAAGAACTTAATTATTTACAAGTTATTTACAGGCCAGCAAGCCATATGACCTTAATACTTATGTTGCCCTGACCCCTGTAGGGAAGGAAAAAGTTTTTCCCTGTACCCTCCTACGTTCTATGGCTGAGGCCTATGAATTAAACTGGTAAGAGACATATTAAATAGATAATGATAAAAGACATATTAAATGGATAAAACTCTACAAATTTAATTATGTACATGTGCATGGGAATTCACAAAGAAATGACACTGAAGTAGCTGGCCAGAATTTGAGAGCTTATGTTTTGTCTTAGGCCAAAGTAAAAAGAGTTTTGAGCTTCTATGGGGGAAAGAGGAGAATAGTTAAGGGAAGATGAGGGGAAAAATATAAGGTTGCTTAGGTTGATGGGATACATTTAAAGAGTGGGCAAGTGACATTACATTGCCTCTTGTGATATAAAATAAAGACTACAAAACCACTTATGAAATAGTCTTGTAACATGTTTAATTTGAATGAAATCAACCATTTAGAATAAATTATTGGAATACAGGGAATAGAAAAGAAGTTTAAATAGCATTCAGAAGAAATAATTGGATAAGTCCAGGAACTGGGAGATTCTACCTGACAACTGGCCTGGATCTTTAAAAAATCTTGAAACAAGTTATGGTTCTTTGTAGAATAAAAGAGACCCAAGAGACATTAACAGTGTGTGAACCTAAATTGCATCCTGGAACAACAACAACAAAACTTCAAATATATTTTTGAAAAATTAGAGAAAAATAAATATGGACTGGATATTAAATATTAATATAAATAATAGTACTGTGTGACTATGTTGGAGATTACTTATTCTTGGGAATACACTTAAAGAAAGATGAAATAAAGATGGTAAAATAAAATATAGATTATGTCTATATGTAAATTAGTAAATAGAAATAGAGCAAAAAATAAATGGATAAAGCAAATGTGACAACATAATATTTATAATTCTAAGTGAAGACCATAGCCTGTTCATTGCTCTACTCTTTTAATTTTCCACAGACTTAAAAGCTTTCATAATGAAAACTTTTGGGAACAACAGAGATCCAAAAAGTGGAAGCAGTAACATGAAAGGATCAGTAACAGACATTGAATTCATTTAAATACAGAACTAAGCAACGGTGTATATTATATATTTAAAATATCCTATAAAGGTTATATACTCTGAAAATGTAAAATATTTATATACGTTAACAAAAATCAGGAGGGAATGGGGAGGTGACCAGAAATACAAATGTATGAATTTCATTATCTTTCATAGTGGAGAAAAAATACATAGTTTCAAATATTAAGAAATCCATAAAAGAGGCTAAATATTAAAAGCCCCAGAAGTAGCCACTGAAATGTTGAAAGTAGGCTATAAATTAACAAATGGAAGGGAAATCCTCCCCAGTGGATCCCCATAAAAAGACAGAAAAAATAAAATTAGGTGAAAAATACAGACCATAGTACATATGTATTGTATCAATCAATGAAAATGAAGAGGTTCACTGATTATTAGAAAAAAAGTAGATTCGATTAAAAAAATCCAACCATGTATTTTATACAGAGCTGTATATAAATAAAGTACCTCCAAAATCTTCAACAGTGATAATTGAGCACCCAGCACTGCAAGGTGATACAATGATGAAAAACAGAATTTGCACCCAGCCTCATGGATCTATAGTTTAATTAAAATTAGAGTTCAACAAAGTGAAGTAGCATAGAGTATGGTAAGGTGCAACCAAATCAAGCAAAGTAAAGATTGAATGTGAAAAGTAAGGCCAAGAATACACCAGGAAAACACAGAGACAAACGTCAGACAGGGTTGCCTTCAAAACAAAACATATTCAGCAAGGTAACAGAGGTCACCAAAAAGCTCTGCCATGAATCCTAATGTTCAACAGTATAGCATGACATTCATAAAGCAAAAGCTGCCAAAATTTCAAAGAAATACAGCATGACAAATTAAACAGCTGAAGAGTACTTATGGACATATTATATATATATATATATATATATACTACAGATGTTAATTCTTTCTCAATTAACCTATGAATTCAGTATTGTCCTACATGACAACAGGGATAAAGAGAGGTTCTTACATTTTACTTTAGATTCTTCTTTTGCCTTGAATATTTACAGAATGAATAGATTACTACTATAATTCCAGATAAAGAATAAAATTAAAACAAACCAACAGAATCTTGAAGGACTTTTTAAGTGTTAGCAAATGTCATAGCTAATAGCTAACAGCTAATACTTTTGAAGTATTTACCATTTCCAGATTCTGTCCTAAGTGCCTTAAGTGGATGAATTTACCTAATGCAGAGGTATTACCAGTTCTTATATAGTAAATCACAAACTGTAAGAATGACTATTTTACCAAATTTTTATATCAACCATAGCCTCATTTTTATGAGTGAGAAGTATTATATACAATCCTACATTCAAAATATCTTTATAGACTGTCATTGTGTTAATAAGTTATTTGAAGAAAACATTTTATGTTAATTTTTGTTATCATACTATCATGTCAGATTCCAACTTCACTGCAATTAGAAATATTTCTCTATCCTCTCCTTTTTGTTAAAAACTTTGTCAGGAATCTTAGAAATGAATAAATAGCCTACTTTAGGGGAATGTTGGAGAAATTCATGAGCTAGTTTCTTTGGTACCAGTAGAATTCCGTCGCCAAGAGACCATATAAGAATTAAAACTATATTTATAGATAAGTTGGAATCTGGGTATCTTATGGCTGTTTTCTTATGGTATTGACAATATGATCACAGTAAGATGCCTGGTGTGTTCTTTCATATCCAGTCATATCACTACTCTTTTCTCATCTAGCATTTTAGATAATGCATTTAGCTTCTTTTAGTTCCCTAAGGCTGCTGAATACTGCATGTAACAAACTGACAATTATGATGTAAATGTGAACTGTCATGTCTTTACCTACATTAAGCATATGAATTTTGATTGGAGGATCTAGATCTGTGTTAAACCACCTATACCTATAGATAAATGAAATGATACATTTTAATATTAGCAGCAATAATCTTTTGTTGACAAGATTTTATTAAATAGATTAAATATTTTTCTAAACTTAAAAAGATAAAAGCAATACTAAGATATTTTGAGCACTTGCTTTGTATTGGGTATTTTCATGTGTAATTGTTCTAATAAACCTCTAAAATAGTATTGGCTAAATTTTGGTGAAATTCAATTTGTCTTTTAATCAAGGAGTTCTTGTGTTTCAAAATGCTTTCCTTCCCTCAGATATAATACAAAGAGCCTAGATTCTCTGTAAAGAGAAAATGGAAAATTGATGAAAACTACTCTCCCACTTTCCATTTGTAGTTTTTAGCTTGCAAATTATTCTTCTACTTCCCCACTTGGTGGTTGTTATCCTCCATATGTATTTCTTTCTGTTATATTTAATAAATATTCGGATAAATTTTTACCATTTAATTCATAAGTATGGTCTTTCAGTGACCAAATCCAATTCTCTCTGATCACTAACAATGTCAGTTTTTCTTTCATGAGAAACAGTGAGTAGCTGGCAAATTAAAAATAATGGTGGCCTCAATCATTCCAATGGCTTCTCCTAGCACTGAGTACAAACCAGTTCACCTGAGCAAGTGGAAGCTTTTGTGACAATTGCCATTGTTTCTTTTCGTCATATTCCTTTCATACTACTGCCCTCTATCTGATGACAGATACAAAAACTCAAGAATGTCTGCCACAGTATAATGTAGCAACAGACACCAGCTTTTATTCACTTCCCCACTGAAAACGTGATTTGCCTTTCATTCATTCAACACATCTTTATATACGATTTATTGAGTCCTTCTTATCATCAACATATTATACTAGCTATTACAGGGAGAAGGATATAAAAAGGGACCTGATAGCTCATTGAGAAGGAAGAAGCAAACCTAATACATACAATAGAATAAAAAGAAAGATTATTTTGTTTTATAAAAGCTGGTCACAATAGAGTGCAATAAGCCCTCAACAGAGGAATGTACATTGAGTTGTCATAATGGGAATATAATGAATAATTAATTCTGACAGGGGCAGTGGGGAAAGACTCTATGATTGAATTGAGTCTTGGCAGATAAGGATTTCAATAGTATTTCACATTTAGGGATCACTATGGACACAGACATATGATTCTGAGAATATTAGAAAAATTATAAGTAGTTGGGCACGATGTCAGGTACAGTAGGTGGAGGAGTGTAGCTAATAAGGATGCTAGAAAGGTAGTTTGCAGCCAGATGATGAAGTGCCTTGAGTGCTGTGTAAAGAAATGTAAAGCTGAAAGGGGGATATTGTTCTTGAGGAAAAGATGTGGACAACAGAGTTCCAACAAATGCCTACTTAGCCTAGTACAATTGTAACTGTGGGGAAATAATATGTGAACATTATTAGATTTTTTTAATTGTAAGAAAAACAGAATGTGGACGTTTTGAGGCCAGCAGACACTGTTGATGTCCATCCTATATTCACACATGATGACTTTAACGGCCCATGTCTCAGTGCTTCTCTGCCTAAGAGCTTTAGCTAGTGCTATAAGAATTTATGTGTCCATGCACGGGGCAGCCTGGAAATGAGAGAATTAATGCTCACAGGGGCAAATTTCAGGAAGTAAGAGGAAGGAACTGGTGGATAAATATTTCAGCTTTCCCATTCTTTGAGAGAACATTCTTAGGCAGATTCTTAATGGATTCTCAGACAGTCCCCAGTGGATTGAAACTCAGTTGCACATCATGGTAGTCCACTAATTAATGTAAAATGTATTGGGTTTTCTACCTTCTCTGTTTCTTTTTCCCACTCCTTTCCTCATGCTTCCTGAGATAATTTCCAAATAAACTACGTGCACCCAGGCCTCATGTCTCGGTGTTTACATTTGCGATAACCAAAATTAAGATAGTTTGTATTAGAAGTTGCCCTAGGGAGCACACTTCCAGCATGGAATCCTGGAAATGGATCAAGAGCCCGTCAGAGGACAAGGAATCCTTTGAGGGTGAGTGGGGTGGCTTGCAGTAATACTAAGATTTCTAAGCCTCCTCACTTCTTGGTGGATTGGGATGATGTACAAGTGGAAGGAAAAGCACTGATTCAGGCAATATCTAGAATATGGGAAAATAGAGGAGCCATGGTTTTTTGTAGATTATGGAATTGGGGAGGACTTTTTCATACATACTCTGGAAAACCTGAGGAAAGAGAATGGCACGCTCAGGCTGGCCAACTATTTACTCATTGAAGGCTGTGATTATAGAAGATCCTGATGGTGGAAGATCCACCAGTTCCTTCCTCTTACTTCTTGAAATTTGCCCCTGGGGGCGTAAATTCTCTCATTTCCAGGCTTCCCTGTGCATGGACACATACATTCTTACAGCACTAGATAAAGCTCTTAGGCAGAGAAGCACTGAGACATGGGCCCTTTAAGTCAGCATGTGTATGAATATAGGATGGACATCAACAGTGTCTGCTGACCTTAAAACTTCCACATTCTGTTTTTCCTACAATTAAAAAAAATGTTATTTAAATTTTAAAATTTGCTGCCACATTGAAAAAATTCCTATTTCTCTCCCAATGTTTCTCTCGTTGATGCACTGGATGCACTGGTGCAATGCATGGATGCCACAGAGTGGATTATATTCTCTATGATGATGCAGAGATGGGTCAAATTAGTGAGGATTTTAGGGGGCCCAATGATCTGAGGCATGCTAGGGGAGCTCCCTAAGGCAGGAGTGTCAAATATTTTGGCTTCCCTGGGTCACATTGGAAGAAGAAGTATTGTCTTGGGCCACATGTGAAATACACTAACACTAACGATAGCTGTTGAGCTAAAAAAAAAACAAAAAATGAAAAACAAAAAAACCCAAAATCACACTAGTAAACCTCATAATATTTTAAGAAAGTTTACGAGTTGTGTTGGGCCACCTTAAAAGCCATCCTGAATCACATCAGGCCATGAGTTGGACAAGCTTGCCCTATGGAAAAAAACAAGTTGTTTCACCTTGAACCTTCTACCACCTAAAAATAAGTGCACTTTTTTGTTAGATTCTTTGTATTTTTTGAGGAATACTTCAACCCATTTATCAAGTGACTTAGAGTGTTGACAGTTTTGAGAGGGATCTAGAGGTTGAGAGGGTTCTGCAGCAGGTAACAGAGTAAGGCCATACCTTATGCAGAAGAGAAATAGCTCTTGATTTGAAAAGCATCTCTGCTTTGCTCTTGGGAGTTAGTAACAAATGAGAACTGGATCACTGGGCATGAAGCTGCTTTGAGAACAGAGCTGCCTATCATGAGCCGGGATTTGTCAGATCCACCATGGTCATAAGTTGGGTGGGTATAATAGCAGCCCATCATGTGCTTTATCATACTGCATTTGAGGTTGGGTCTGACTAGACCCACAGCACGTGATTCAGGTAGATGAACAACAGCCAGGTACATGAACAAGTAGATCGGTCCTTTATGTCACCTAACTCTGTCAGTGCCTCTCTCTCATCTAATAACTATTTATCCATGAGGGTCCCCTGTAGCCAGCCACGTAGGAAGAAATCCAGGCCTGGTCTTTGGATGGGTCTGCTCGATATTCTGATATGAGCTGAAAACGTCGGCTACTGTTGTCATAAAGCCTCCTCTGTCCTAATGACCACCTGGGATAATTTCCAAATAAACTATGCACACTCAGTTGAGTAAAAGTACTCAGCTGTTGGTCAGGGCTGAGAACAAGATAGGAAGATTACAGATAAGATAATGTGGGGAAAAGATGTGTGGATGGACCTTGAGAAGCTGGCTCCAAGTGTTTAGTGTATAGATGCCCCCAGAAGCCTGCACTGCAGATGAGTGTAGTTTGATGATCATTTTGACCGTATGACGATTCTGTTCTTGTTCACTCCATTTTGTTTTTTTATTGCACTGTGGGCCCATGAAAAGAAATATGATGAGAACAAAGGCTCAATCTGAGCTTCCTAGCATGGCCTGCCATTGCCACCACTAAAACTTAAATCTAGAGTCTCACAAGTGTTGTAGTATGTGCAGAATTGATTTACCTATGGAGTTTAAAATCTGGCCTCCTGATTTGTGGATCTAGTTGAGAAGCAGAAGAAAAATAGCAAAATGTTCTTCTGCTTAATGCCTAAGAGTCTTGCATGCTAGAAGAATTTTTTTCCTCTAGGCAACTTTTACCTCATCTGGCCTATATACAGAGATCTGTATTCCTATATTTTTAAGGTCCTATTTAAGTGAGCTTTGAACATTTAAAATAACCACCCGCTTTTGGATAAAGTTGACCCAACAAAACAAATTCTTATATTGTTCATACTCACAAAGTCAAAGGCTAATAAAAGCCATGTGGACTAGAGTATAAACCAGCTGTGAAATGTAATATAGTGTGTTGCAAGCAACCATGTTTGAAAACTTTTATGGTCCTGCTTGCTAAAACTCAGAACCTAAAGTCATATATCCTGGCCTCATCAATTAATCTTCACAGACGTTACTTTGTTTTTCACCTACCAGTGTTTGTATACAATTAGCAAATTTCCTAGAGCAAAACATCAGATATTCAAGTTTTATCCTTTCAATAATATCAATAGTATCCCATTATTTGAATATAATTAAAAGATAAACAGGTAAGATGAAATCTCTAGATTTATTACTGCAAAAGTTAGTTTAGACGGTTTGACTGAATTCTTTGGGTTTCTAATACTTCACCAATGAATTGGACAGACATTGCAGGGATAGCAACCTTTGCCTGTAAGACTGAGGAGAGAGACCTTAGTATATGGTCTCACCAAAAATGAGTACTGATAAGGGAGAGCCAAGAAATGGCTGAGATCTGCAAGACGGATCAGATAAATTATTCCTTCTCCCCTAGAGACAATTGGATAAAGGGCAAAGATTGGTCAAAAGTGTTCTTCTAGACAAGCAACTTCACATGGCAATATGAGGGCTAGGCTTCCATTCTAATACAGACCACTATTTTTAACCAAAGTACTCTATAGAGGTTATTATACCTGTGCTCTTTACCAATGATTGGTCACCTACTAGAAGAGGAATTGTTTACTTGCATTGCTATTCACTCAAAGGGAAACTAAAAGCATTTGATAAGATTTAAGAAGAGTAGATGACTCGCTTTTGCTTTATTTTGTAATCCATGCTATTTATTTTAATTTGGCATGTAAAATTAATATGAAAGCATTAACTTAGGAAATAAATGATCTGAGCCATCTACTCTACAAATGCTTAATTCACTTAATGCTTTTTCTTCCCCCAGTCTAATTTTTCTTATATCTGAAATGAGAATACATCCTCTGCTTGTCAGCTATCTATTTTGAAAATTCAATTAAATAACATCTATAAAACAATGTTATAAATAATAAAGGATTAAATATAAATTGTGAATGGCAATGGTACATATTTGATACTAGATACTTGTTTGATCTAAATACACATGACTGGATAAAAATGAAAACTAAGGTCATTACTAATAGTATTCATAATTTCTGGGACAAATTATACTTAGAATGTGTTTTAGTAATTTCTCCTATATTTTAAAAAAAGCAAAAATCATCAGAAATCCCATCATACAGAGCTAAGCATTGTTAATGTAGTTTCCTAGAAAAGCCACAGTAGATCTTCAATAAATATTAGTTAAGAGAATAGTTGAATAAATAAATTTAAATATTTAATATACCCAGAATTTTTAAGCATGTCTATTAACTTATTTACAATGTTTCTATAAACACCAGTGTCTACTTCTAAACTTTCTACTGTGCTCCACTGATCAACTTTATTATTCCTATTCCAATACACCACAGTTGTGACTATATATCTCTCAGTTGTTGGAGGATTTGCCACATTTGGAAGGATCATAACAAATTCCCACAGCCTAGAACATGATTGGTATTTCCATTTGTTTAGATGATTTAAAAATGATGCCTTAATTTGTTTTTGTTAGGCCTGTGCTTTTATTTACTTATTTCTCAATATTTTACAATGTCTAAGCTACATATAATTTCTTTTTACATCCTCTTTCCGAAATGTTTAGAATACTTGTAGTTTATAGATGAAGAAATTGGTGCAAAAAGAAGGCAGATCTGGACCCTGTCTGTGAGTCCTCTATGAAATAGACCCATTTAGTTATTAGAACTGAACCTCCTCTATTATTATTGACTAACTAATTACCATTCATCTGACCTACATTTAAGACCTCCCCAGGAACATCTTCCAGGTTTTGTCTCATCCATTCACATCTGTTTTCGCTTTCTCCTGACCTTCTTTTTTTTTTTTTATTTTACTTTATTTATTTATTTTTTTATTATACTTTAAGTTTTAGGGTACATGTGCACATTGTGCAGGTTAGTTACATATGTATACATGTGCCATGCTGGTGTGCTGCACCCACTAACTTGTCATCTAGCATTAGGTATATCTCCCAATGCTATCCCTCCCCCCTCTCCCCACCCCACAACAGTCCCCAGAGTGTGATATTCTCCTTCCTGTGTCCATGTGTTCTCATTGTTCAATTCCCAACTATGAGTGAGAATATGTGGTGTTTGGTTTTTTGTTCTTGTGATAGTTTACTGAGAATGATGATTTCCAATTTCATCCATGTCCCTACAAAGGACATGAACTCATCATTTTTTATGGCTGCATACTATTCCATGGTGTATATGTGCCACATTTTCTTAATCCAGTCTATCATTGTTGGACATTTGGGTTGGTTCCAAGTCTTTGCTATTGTGAATAATGCCGCAATAAACATACGTGTGCATGTGACTTTATAGCAGCATGATTTATAGTCCTTTGGGTATATACCCAGTAATGGGATGGCTGGGTCAAATGATATTTCCAGTTCTAGATCCCTGAGGAATCGCCACACTGACTTCCACAATGGTTGAACTAGTTTACAGTCCCACCAACAGTGTAAAAGTGCTCCTATTTCTCCACATCCTCTCCAGCACCTGTTGTTTCCTGACTTTTTAATGATTGCCATTCTAACTGGTGTGAGATGGTATCTCACTGTGGTTTTGATTTGCATTTCTCTGATGGCCAGTGATGATGAGCATTTTTTCATGTGTTTTTTGGCTGCATAAATGTCTTCTTTTGAGAAGTGTCTGTTTATATCCTTCGCCCACTTTTTGATGGGGTTGTTTGTTTTTTTCTTGTAAATTTGTTTGAGTTCATTGTAGATTCTGGATATTAGCCCTTTGTCAGATGAGTAGGTTGCGAAAATTTTCTCCCATTTTGTAGGTTGCCTGTTCACTCTGATGGTAGTTTCTTTTGCTGTGCAGAAGCTCTTTAGTTTAATTAGATCCCATTTGTCAATTTTGTCTTTTGTTGCCATTGCTTTTGGTGTTTTAGACATGAAGTCCTTGCCCATGCCTATGTCCTGAATGGTGATTCCTAGGTTTTCTTCTAGGGTTTTTATGGTTTTAGGTCTAACGTTTAAGTCTTTAATCCATCTTGAATTGATTTTTGTATAAGGTGTAAGGAAGGGATCCAGTTTCAGCTTTCTACATATGGCTAGCCAGTTTTCCCAGCACCATTTATTAAATAGGGAATCCTTTCCCCATTGCTTGTTTTCCTCAGGTTTGTCAAAGATCAGATAGTTGTAGATATGTGGCATTATTTCTGAGGGCTCTGTTCTGTTCCATTGATCTATATCTCTGTTTTGGTACCAGTACCATGCTGTTTTGGTTACTGTTGCCTTGTAGTATAGTTTGAAGTCAGGTAGTGTGATGCCTCCAGCTTTGTTCTTTTGGCTTAGGATTAGCTTGGTGATGCGGGCTCCTTTTTGGTTCCATAAGAACTTTAAAGTAGTTTTTTCCAATTCTGTGAAGAAAGTCATTGGTAGCTTGATGGAGATGGCATTGAATCTGTAAATTACCTTGGGCAGTATGGCCATTTTCACGATATTCATTCTTCCTACCCATGAGCATGGAATGTTCTTCCATTAGTTTGCATCCTCTTTTATTTCCTTGAGCAGTGGTTTGTAGTTCTCCTTGAAGAGGTCCTTCACATCCCTTGGAAGTTGGATTCCTAGGTATTTTATTCTCTTTGAAGCAATTGTGAATGGGAGTTCACTCATGATTTGGCTCTCTGTTTGTCTGTTATTGGTGTATAAGAATGCTTGTGATTTTTGTACATTGATTTTGTATCCTGAGACTTTGCTGAATTTGCTTATCAGCTTAAGGAGATTTTGGGCTGAGACAATGGGGTTTTCTAGATATACAATCATGTCGTCTGCAAACAGGGACAATTTGACTTCCTCTTTTCCTACTTGAATACCCTTTATTTCCTTCTCCTGCCTAATTGCCCTGGCCAGAAGTTCCAACACTATGTTGAATAGGAGTGGTGAGAGAGGGCATCCCTGTCTTGTGCCCATTTTCAAAGGGAATGCTTCCAGTTTTTGCCCATTCAGTATGATATTGGCTGTGGGTTTGTCATAGATAGCTCTTATTATTTTGAAATACGTCCCATCAATACCTAATTTATTGAGAGTTTTTAGCATGAAGGGTTGTTGAATTTTGTCAAAGGCCTTTTCTGCATCTATTGAGATAATCATGTGGTTTTTGTCTTTGTCTCTGTTTATATGCTGGATTACATTTATTGATTTGCGTATATTGAACCAGCCTGGAAGAAGTTGAATCTCTGAATAGACCAATAACAGGAGCTGAAATTGTGGCAATAATCAATAGTTTACCAACCAAAAAGAGTCCAGGACCAGATGGATTCACAGCCGAATTCTATCAGAGGTACAAGGAGGAACTGGTACCATTCCTTCTGAAACTATTCCAATCAATAGAAAAAGAGGGAATCCTCCGTAACTCATTTTATGAGGCCAGCATCATTCTGATACCAAAGCTGGGCAGAGACACAACCAAAAAAGAGAATTTTAGACCAATATCCTTGATGAACATTGATGCAAAAATCCTCAATAAAATACTGGCAAAACGAATCCAGCAGCACATCAAAAAGCTTATCCACCATGATCAAGTGGGCTCCTGACCTTCTTATAAGCTGTTCTACGTACCTAGAAGTTCTTCCTTCCTTCCTTGCCTGTTTAATATCCTTTAGATCTCTGATAATTTGCCACTTCCTCAGGGAAATGTCTCTTGTCTTCTCCAGTAATGCCAGTTCCTATGATGAGACATGCTTTTAGCTCCCTGTACCTCTCTCTCTTAACACTTCTCAGAATTGCAGTTGACATTTTTTGAAATTATTTGATAAGTGCCACCACATAACTTTAAGTTCTCTAAAGTAGGAAATGTGCCTGGTTGTTACTGAATATCCTGTTTGCAGCACCTAGTTTAGCATCTGGCTTAGCAGATGTTTTCAATTAATATTCATTGACCAAAAAGACTGGGTGCTAAACATCAGATACACCCCATTAAAATATAAAGTGGAATCCAGCCTCTAGCAAAATTTCTATTTTGTAGATCAATATCTTCCTCCTGTATGGCATTCTCAAAGATACTCTGTCCCCTCAATAACGTCTATTAATAAAGATCCAGGTGAATTAGAACTACATAGAATTTTTGGAAAATAGGCAAATACAAAAGTATCTAACATGATGTAAACTCTTATCTGAATGCCACCTATTAGGAAACCAATGCTGCTCAAAAACAGAGTGCTGACTAACTTTCAAGAGTGGCAAATTCAGCAATGCTCTTTAATGAGCCAGGAATTGCTAGCAATAAGCACTCTTTGGCCTGCCTTGACCCACAATGCATTAAGTTTGTTTTTCATTTTTATTATTTCCTACTTAGAAAGCTGTAATAATTTAATAAATAATCTGATTATATGCTGTATAAAGATCGATTCATTTAAAATTCTGCTAATTACTTGTCATTCATTTGGAGAACATTGGTAAAAGTCTGCTAATTTTAAAGAAATGACAGTGTCTTCCAAATCCCTATGGGATTACTCTTTAAAAGATTGTTTACAAATGCAATTCTTTTTTCAATTGATCATCTTTAGCTAGCAAATCTGAGTGACAGCAAGATCTGCCAGTTTCCTCAAATCTGTTTTTGTTTTTTGTTTGCATTTTTCCCCAAAACAGAGCTCTTAGTGATATTATATAATGTGTTTCTGGAATAGCTGTCTAATGAAAATTGGCTTTGGAGAAATGCTTAGGTTTATTTCCCTCAAAACTCTCTATTTTAATAGTATCACATTGCAATGGAGCTTTAGTATTATGAAACGTTTCAGGAAGTATCTTTAAAATAATTGATGCTGGTTGCTTGTCAAATGAATATCTATTGGCATTGCCATAGCAAATGTCTACCTTACACAGTGTGAAAACTTTGAAGTTATGGAATTCTTTTTTTTTTTTTTTTAACACGGTCTTGCTCTTGTCACCCAGGCTGGAGTACAATGGCATGAGCTCAGCTCACTGCAACTTCCACCTCCCAGGTTCAAGCGATTCTCCTGCCGCAGCCTCCCAAGTAGCTGGGATTACAGGCAGCTGCCACCATATCCGGCTAATTTTTTTGTATTTTTAGTAGAGACAGGGCTTCACCATATTGGCCAGGCTGGTCTCAAACTCCTGACTTCAGGTGATCTGTCAGCCTTGCCCTCCCAAAGAACTTATGGAATTCTTATGTGCATTTCTATTTCAAAAATTTTAAGGTTTGTTTCCAAATAACTACAAATGTCTTGTCATTAGTAAGAATGTGAACTCTGAGCTTTCTATATATTTGCTTTTCTAAAAAAGAGAAAACAACTTAAAACACCAAGTATTTTGACTATGAGCAGCTATAAAAAAATCCATTTTACATAATGGACCAAGACTAAAAGGGAACAAATCACTTCCACTATAATTCAATTTAACACTCTGTGCCAGTAGCAAAAAAGAAATTCATTTGCAAATTTTTTGACCACAAGAAAGGAAAGGCAATATTTAACATATATTGTGGACTGACTACGTGCTAGAAATTCTGCTATAGAGCCTATAAAATTTTTACATACCAGTCTTGATAATAGAAACACAACTCAATTAGAATGTAGTAAAAATAAAAATTGATTTTTAGTTTAAGGACTTTTTATTTTGAAATGCACCTTAAGGAATATTATGCTTTTTCATACTGCAATAATATAAAGGGTTATACTCTATTTACAAACTTAACCCAATAATCTAGTCCTATTCTGCAAAATGCTATATCTCATATATTTTCAACACTTTAGGAAACTTAGTCAAAAGAATATGGTTTCATATTTGTTGATTAATAGGAATAACGATACATAAATTTTGATTTTAGAACCAGGATGTAATAATAATATGCATATACCAGTCTCAAGTAAATACATTTGACACAGAATGTTTAAATAATTCTTGTGGACATTAAAATAGCACATGCAAGGTAAGAATCATGATGAACTATGGATCCATTTCATGACTTTTAGAAATATGTTTTTTTTAAATGGGTAGAATTGTATCCCACGAAAAGATATGCTGAAATCTAATCCCTGGTACTTATGAATGTAACCTTCTTTAGAAATGGGGTATTTGCAAATATAATCAAGTTAAGATGGAGTAATATTCAAATAGTATGGTCTCTAATCCAATATGACTGGTGTTCTTATGAGAAGAAAAGAGACTTGGTTGGGGGAAGGTTGTGATAATGGAGGCAGAGATTGGAGTGCTGTAGTTTCAAGTCAAGAAAGGCCAAGGATTCCTGGTAAGCCACCAAAAGCTGAGAAGAGGCAAGAAAGGATTCTCCCTTACAGATTTCAAAGGGAGCATGGTCTTGCTGAAAACTTGATTTTGGACAACCAGCCTCCAGATCTATGGACAATAAATTGTTTTTGCCTTTATAAAAGGTGTCTAGCATGATACTTTATCACAACAGCCCTAGAAAACTAGCACATGGTTAAAAGGTAAAAGCTGCCTGCATAATCTTTTGGAGTATCATCTCTAGTAAAATTTGATTTTATGGTATGATTCTCCTACCTGAAAGAAACTGCATGGCTTGTGTTACTATATTTTAGATTATAATAAAATCATATTAATTCAATTTTTAAAAATTTATTCACACTTTTTGAGATATCTTCAGGCATCCTACCAGTAATCCAAGCTACTGAACATTTGCAGGTTCTGAATTTGCCATGATGTCACATTTTTCACATGCTGTGTCCTCTTTAATTCTGGAAAATTCTCACCATTCTTTGAGTATCACTTCTTACATAAGCTCTTCATTGTCACAGAAATATTTCATAATGAACGATGACAAAGCATGTGTGGCATACCACAATAAACATTTTTATTTAGATCATGAGCTGTGAGGTTCATCTGGTTGGGGCTGAGCTTGACTTATTTGGGCTGGGCCACTGGGGCATTTGTGATCAGCTGTGGGTTGTCTTGGTATCTTTCTGTATCTCTGCTAGGTTTACTCACATGTCCAGGAGTCAGCATTCTGCCAGATAATGTAGGATGACCTTGGGATGATGGGTGACTTGGCTTTGTGTCATACATCCCTCATTTCCCAGTAGGCTGGCTTGGCTCATTCATCTGTCCATCACAGAGCCCACAGGAGATAAACAAAGTGTAAGCCTTCTTTTCCAGTCTTTGCTTGTGTCACATCTGCTAAACCCATTGGTTAAATTAAACCACATGGCTTAACTCAGAAACAAGACATAGGAAAATATATTCAACCCCTTTATGAAAGGAGTAGCAAAGTCAAATGTGGAGTCTAGATACAGGGAGAATTGGGGCAATTAGTACAATTGATTCGCCACTGTATTCTTTGTATTTGTTCCTCATAGAACCCCTTTTGGATGAATAATTAACTTTCTTATTTTAATAATGCTATAATATTTCCTAAGTTATTGTCTTTCTTTTTTCTTTGTTTTTTAATATATTTTTTTGAGACGGAGTCTTGCTCTGTCACCCAGGCTGGAGTGTAGTGGCATGATCTCGGCTCACTGCAACCTCTACCTCCACCCACTTAGAACCTCCACCTCCACCCACTGAGTGATTCTTCTGCCCTAGTCAGTCTCCCAAGTAGCTGGGACTACAGGTGCGTGCCATCACGCCTGACTAATTTTTGTATTTTTAGTAGAGACGGAGTTTTGCCATGTTGGTCACACAGGTCCCGAACTCCTGACCTCAGGTGATCCACCCGCCTTGGCATCCCAAAGTGCTGGGATTACAGGCATGAGCCACCACACCCCGCCAAGTTATTGTCTTTCTGTAATGCATAGCTGATGATTTCTATACTCTTCTACTTCACTAATTTTCTTTTCATAGATGTCTAAACTATAACTGAATTCATTCACCAAGTTTTGTTTACATTGGCTATAAATTTTTCTTTCTAGAATTTATACTAGTTTCTTTTACAAATATGTCATTTTTTAAAGCACGGGATCCTCTTTTATTAGATATTTTGCTTCTTTATCTCTTTAAGTCCTGTAAATAAACTTATTTCATACCTCTTTATGGTTGGTTGTTATTATGTTTTGTTTTGATACTATTTACCCTGAATGAGTTTATATGTATTTGTTTATTTATCCGAGAGCTCACCTTTAGTAGGGATTACTATTATGTGTACCCTAGATTATAGGAGTAAGCCTCCTAATCAGTTCTGCCTTGGTTTTTCATTGTTACTGCAGAAATCCCTGCCATATTTCTGGTTTTAGATTTGTGTTTATACTAGTTTTCTAGGCTAATCTTTGCATATAAGAAAATAGAATTTAGGACATTAGCCAGGCGTAGTGTAATCTCAGCACCTTGGGAGGCTAAGGTGGGATGATCACTTGTGGCCAGGAGTTCAAGCCCATCCTGGTCAACATAACAAGACTATGTTTTTACAAAAAATGTTAAAAATTAGCTTGTAATGATGGTGCATGCCTGTAGTCTCAGTTACTCTTGAGGCTGAAGTGAAAGACTCTCTTGGGTCCAGGAGCTTGAGGCTGCACTGAGCCATGATCACACCACTGTACTCCAGCTTGGATGACAGAGTGAGAATCTGTTTCTAAAAAAAAAAGAAAAAGAAAAAGAAATCAGGATGCCACATCTTAACTGGCATCCTATAATAGATTTGCTTAATAAACGTTATTGAAGGACACTTTTCAGCATTGAAATTCACACGTTTTAAAATGTATATGCCCTGGTAACCACTACCCTAAAGAAGATAAAGAATTTTTCCACCTCCAAAAGTTTGTATTCAATCTTGCCACCCTAAACTCTCACAACAAATAACCACTAATCTAATTTTTATTAGCGTATAGTAGTTTTACCAGTTTTAGGACTTCATATAAATAGAGAAACATATAGTACACAATTGTACAGTATATATTCTTTTGTTTCTCTCTTTCTGTGGGGGTGGTTCAGAATAATGTCTGTGGAATCCATTCATGTTATTGTGTGTGTCATTAGTTACTTGCCATGAACATTCTGTACAAATCCTTTTATGGACATATGCTCTTTCCTTTAGGTAAATACTTAAAGTGGAATTGCTGGGTATTATGGTAAGTATATGTTTATCTTTACTAGGAGTTGCCGAACTGTTTTCCAGAGTGGTTTTAATATCTTTAATACTCCAACCGGCAATATATGAGAGTCCAGTTGCTCCCCAACTCATCAACACCTGGAATTATCTATTTAATATATATGCATGATTGGGTATGTGTTCTTGGAGATGTACTTTGCAATTCTCTGATGACTAATGCTGTTAAGAATCTTTTATATATTTATTGGCCATTTATATGTCGTCTTTGGTAAAGATTTTATTCAAATTATTTCCAGACTTCTATTTTTATTTCTTATTGTTTTAATTCAACTTTTATTTTAGATTCAGGGGGTACATGTGCAGATTTGTTACATGGGTATATTGCATCCATTAGTGAACATAGTACCTAGTAGGTAGTTTTTCAACCCATTTTCTCCTCTCTACCTCCCCCCTCTAGTTGTCCCCAGTGTCTATTGTTACTATGTTTATGTCTATGACTACTTAATGTTTAGCTCCCACTTATAAGTGAGAACATGTAGTATTTAGTTTTCTGTTTTTGTGTTAATTCACTTAGGACTATGGCCTCTAGCTCCATCCATGTTGCTGCAAAGGATATAATGTGTCAGAAAACTAACAAAGGAACTATGGACTTAAACTTGACACTTGACCGCTTAAATTAAATGCTTGGCCAAAGGTTTTTATGGCTGTTTAGTATGCCATGGTGTTAATGTACCAGATTTTCTTTATCCAATATGCCATTGATGGGCACCTAGGTTGATTCCATGACTTTGCTATTGTGAATAGCATGGTAATGAACATATGAGTACATGTGTCTTTTTGGTATGATCTATTTTCCTTTAGGCATATACCTAGTATTGAGATTGCTGAGTCAAATGGTGATTCTAAGTTCCTTGAGAAATCTCCAAACTGCTTTCCACAGTGGTTGAACTAATTTACATTCCCACCAACAGTGTATAAGCATTCCCTTTTCTCACAGCCTCACCAGCATCTGTTGTTTTTTTACTATTTAATAATAGCCATTTTGACTGGTGTGAGATGCTATCTAATCTTGGTTTTGATTTGAATGGCTCTGATAATTAGTGATGATGATTATTTTTTCATGTTTGTTGGCCACTTGTATGTTATCATCTTTGAGAATTGTCTGTTCATGCCCTTTGCCCATTTTTTAAATGGGGTTGTTTTTTGCTTGTTTAAGTTCCTTATGGATTATGGATATTAGACCTTTCTCAGATACATAGTTTGCAAATATTTTCTCCAATTTTATAGGTAGTTTCTTAACTCTATTGATAGTTTCTTTTGCTGTGCAGAAGCTCTTTAGTTTAATTAGGTCCCACTTGTCAATTTTTTAGATTCACAAAACAAGTTCCTCTTGGCATATGAAAAGACTTAGACAGCTACACAATAATAGTGGGAGAATTCAATATCCCATTGAGCATGAGACAGATCATTGAAGCAGAAAACTAACAAAGAAACTCTGGACTGAAACTCAATAGTTGATTAATTGGACCTAATAGACATCTACACAACATCCCAGCTAACAACCACAGCATATATATTTTTCTCATATGCAGATGGAACATATTCTAAGATCAACCACATGTTGTCTCATGAAGCAAGTTTCGATAAATTCAAAAAAATTAAAATCATACCAAGAACACTCTTAATCAATACCACAAAGATTTTTCAAAGCCATACAAATCCATACAAATTAAACTACGTGCTCCTGATTACTCCTGAGTGAACATCAAAATTAAGACAGAAATTTAAAAACATTTTAAATTAATAAAAACAAGGACACAACAAAATCCCTGGGATGCAACTAAAGCAGTGTTAAGAGGAAAGTTTACAGCACTAAATACCTTCATCAAGAAGTTAGAAAGATCTCAAATTAACAATCCAATTTTGCACCTAAAGGACCTGGAAAACAAAGAACAAACCAACCCCAAAGCCAGCAGAAGAAAAGAAATAACTAAAATTAGAGAAGAACTGAATGAAATTGACATGCAGAAATCCACACAAATATTGATTAAATCGATAGTTGGTTATTTGAAGAAATTAATAAGATGATAGACTGGTAGCTAGATTAGCAAAGAAAAAAAGAGAAGATCCAAGTAAGTACAATCAGAAATGACAAGGATGACATTACAACTGATCCCGAAGATGTACAAAAGATTCTTAGAAAATACTATTTGACAGCTCTGTGCACAGAAATTAGAAAATCTAGAGGAAGTGGATACATCCCTGGAAACACACAATCTCCCAATATTGAACTGGAAAGACATTGACACCCTGAATTGATCAATATCAAGCTCTGAAAATGAATCAGTCATAAAAATTCTAACAATCAAACCAAACCAAACCAAGCCGAACAAACAAACAAAAAACAAACAAAAAAAGACCTGGACCACATAGATTCACAGCAGAATTCTACCAGATATACATAGAAGAACTGTTATCAATCCTACTGAAACTATTTTTAAAAAAATGAGAAGGAAGGCTTCCTCTGTAAGTCATTCTACGAGGTCAGTATCAGCCTAACACCAAAATCTGGCAGAGATACCACAGCAGAAAACTAGACTATTGGGTTGGTCACCTTTTAATTGAATTGTAAGAGTTCTTAATGTATTCTAGATACAGTTCTTTTTCAGCTGTACATATTATAAATAATTTTTCTCATTCTCTAGTTACCTTTTTATTTATGTAATGTTATCATTTAAAGCAATGAAGTGCTAATTTTGCTGAAGTTTAATTTTATCAATTTTTTTAAAATTTTTATTTTTTTTATTATACTTTAAGTTTTAGGGTACATGTGCACAATCTGCAGGTTAGTTACATATGTATACATGTGCCATGTTGGTGGGCTGCACGCATCAACTCATCATTTAACATTAGGTATATCTCCTAATGCTATCCTTCCTCCCCACCCCACCCCACAACAGGCTCTGGTGTGTGATGTTCCCCTTCCTGTGTCCATGTGTTCTCATTGTTCAATTCCCACCTATGAGTGAGAACATGCGGTGTTTGGTTTTTTTGTGCTTGTGATAGTTTGCTGAGAATGATGGTTTCCAGCTTCATCCATGTCCCTACAAAGGACATGAACTCATCATGGAATGGAAGTTGAGTCCACTCATCTGAAGTTGTAATTATGTCCAGTATTTACTGTCTCAGGTTAATATTGGTTTGCAGGCCAGAAAACAAAATAAGCCAGAGGATGGGATTAAATATTTTCTACTCTAGAGTAAGGGCTGCAGAGATAGGGAATCTGGAAGAATTCAATACTAATATCTTGAATTGTGTTTGTTTTCAACCTGAAAATATACATGAAAATAAAGAGACAGTGAAGTTTTAGCCTCACTATTGTAATGTCATTTTTCAAAAAATACTATTAAAAAGTTTATTACAGGCTAGACACAATGGCTCATGCCTGTAATCCCTGCACTTTTGGAGGCTGAGGTGGGCAGATCACTTGGGGTCAGCAGTTCAAAACCAGTCTGGATAGCATGGTGAAACCCTTTCTATACTAAAAATACAAAAATTAGTTGGGTGTGGTGGCACACACCTGTAATCTCAGCTACTTGGAAGGCTGAGGCAGGAGTGTAGCTTGAGCCTGGGAAGTGGAGGCTATAGTGAGCTGATATTGTCACTGCACTCCAGGCTGGGTGACAGTGAGAACCCGCCTTAAAAAAAAAAGTTTATTGCATTCTCTGTCAGATTGAGAAATTATTATCTGGCTGTTTACTTGCTGTATAGTTTTACTATTATTACAGATAACGAAGGAAATTGAAATGCTATTGGAAGAAGGGAAAGGGATTAATAGCCACTCACACTTAGTAATTACTGCTAATTTTTTTAAGTTTTTTTTTAATACTTTAAGTTTTAGGGTACATGTGCACATCGTGCAGGTTTGTTACATATATATATATACATGTGCCATGTTGGTGTGCTGCACCCATTAACTCGTCATTTAACATTAGGTATATCTCCCAGTGCTATCCCTCCCCCTTCCCCCCACCCGACAACAGCCCCAGCTGTGTGATGTTCCCCTTCCTGTGTCCATGCATTCTCATTGTTCAATTCCCACCTATGAGTGAGAACATGCAGTGTTTGGTTTTTTGTCCTTGCGATAGTTTGCTGAGAATGATGGTTTCCAGCTTCATCCATGTCCCTACAAAGGACATGAACTCATCATTTTTTATGGCTGCATAGTATTCCATGGTGTATATGTGCCACATTTTCTTAATCCAGTCTATCGTTGTTGGACATTTGGGTTGGTTCCAAGTCTTTGCCATTGTGAATAGTGCTGCAATAAACATACGTGTGCATGTGTCTTTATAGCAGCATGATTTATAATCTTTTGGGTATATACCCAGTAATGGGATGGCTGGGTCAAATGGTATTTCTAGATCTAGATCCCTGAGGAATTGCCACACTGACTTCCACAATGGTTGAACTAGTTTACAGTCCCACCAACAGTGTAAAAGTGTTCCTGTTTCTCCACATCCTCTCCAGCACCTGTTGTTTCCTGACTTTTTAATGATCGCCATTCTAACTGGTGTGAGATGGTATCTCATGGTGATTTTGATTTGCATTTCTCTGATGGGCAGTGATGATGAGCATTTTTTCAATGTGTCTTTTGGCTGCATAAATGTCTTCTTTTGAGAAGCGTCTGTTTATATCCGTCGCCCACTTTTTGATGGGGTTGTTTTTTTTTTTCTTGTAAATTTGTTGGAATTCATTGTAATTCTGGATATTAGCCCTTTGTCAGATGAGTAGATTGCAAAAATTTTCTCCCATTCTGTAGGTTGCCTGTTCACTCTGATGGTAGTTTCTTTTGCTGTGCAGAAGATCTTTAGTTTAATTAGATCCCATTTGTCAATTTTGGCTTTTGTTGCCATTGCTTTTTGTGTCTTAGACATGAAGTCCTTGCCCATGCCTATGTCCTGAATGGTATTGCCTAGGTTTTCTTCTAGGATTTTATGGTTTCAGGTCTAACATGTAAGTCTTTAATCCATCTTGAATCAATTTTTTATAAGGTGTAAGGAAGCGATCCAGTTTCAGCTTTCTATATATGGCTAGCCAGTTTTCCCAGCACCATTTATTAAATAAGGAATCCTTTCCCCATTGCTTGTTTTTGTCAGGTTTGTCAAAGATCAGATAGTTGTAGATATGTGGCATTATTTCTGAGGGCTCTGTTGTGTTCCATTGGTCTATATCTCTGTTTTGATACCAGTACCATGCTGTTTTGGTTACTGTAGACTTGTAGTATAGTTTGAAGTCAGGTAGTGTGATTGATACCTCCAGCTTTGTTCTTGTCTTAGGATTGACTTGGCGATGCGGGCTCTTTTTTGGTTCCATATGAACTTTAAAGTAGTTTTTTTCCAATTCTGTGAAGAAAGTCATTGGTAGCTTGATGGGGATGGCATTGAATCTATAAATTACCTTGGGCAGTATGGCCATATTCACAATATTGTTTCTTCCTACCCATGAGCATGAGCATGGAATGTTCTTCCATTTGTTTGCATCCTCTTTTATTTCCTTGAGCAGTGGTTTGTAGTTCTCCTTGAAGAGGTCCTTCACATCCCTTGTAAGTTGGATTCCTAGGTATTTTATTCTCTTTGAAGCAATTGTGAATGGGAGTTCACTCATGATTTGGCTCTCTGTTTGTCTGTTATTGGTGTATAAGAATGCTTGTGATTTTTGCACATTGATTTTGTATCCTGAGACTTTGCTGAAGTTGCCTGTCAGCTTAAGGAGATTTTGGGCTGAGACAATGAGGTTTTCTAGATATACAATCATGTCATCTGCAAACAGGGACAATTTGACTTCCTCTTTTCCTAATTGAATACCCTTTATTTCCTTCTCCTGCCTGATTGCCCTAGCCAGAACTTCCAACACTATGTTGAATAGGAGTGGTGAGAGAGGGCATCCCTGTCTTGTGCCCATTTTCAAAGGGAATGCTTCCAGTTTTTGCCCATCCAGTATGATATTGGCTTTGGGTTTATCATAGATAGCTCTTATTATTTTGAAATACATCCCATCAATACCTAATTTCTTGAGAGTTTTTAGCATGAAGGTTGTTGAATTTTTTCAAAGGCCTTTTTGCATCTATTGAGATAATCATGTGGTTTTTGTCATTGGTTCTGTTTGTATGCTGGATTACGTTTATTGATTTTCATATGTTGAACCAGCCTGGCATCCCAGGGATGAAGCCCACTTGATCATGGTGGATAAGCTTTTTGATGTGCTGCTGGATTCGGTTTGCCAGTATTTTATCGAGGATTTTTGCATTGATGTTCATCAGGGATATTGGTCTAAAATTCTCTTTTTTTGGTGTGTCTCTGCCAGGCTTTGGTATCAGGATGATGCTGGTCTCATAAAATGAGTTAGGGAGGATTCCCTCTTTTTCTATTGATTGGAATAGTTTCAGAAGGAATGGTACCAGCTCCTCCTTGTACCTCTGGTAGAATTCAGCTGTGATTCCATCTGATCCTGTACTTTTTTTGGTTGGTAAGCTATTAATTATTGCCTCAATTTCAGAGCGTGTTATTGGTCTATTCAGAGATTCAACTTCTTCTTGGTTTAGTCTTCGGAGGGTGTATGTGTCGAGGAATTTATCCATTTCTTCTAGATTTTCTAGTTGATTTGCATAGAGTAGTTTATATTATTCTCTGATGGTAGTTTGTATTTCTGTGGGATTGGTGGTGATATCCCCTTTATCATTTTTTATTGTGTCTCTTTGATTCTTCTATCTTTTCTTCTTTATTAGTCTTGCTAGTGGTCTATCAATCTTGTTGATCTTTTCAAAAATCTAGCTACTGGATTCATTGATTTTTTGAAGGGTTTTTTGTGTCTCTATCTCCTTCAGTTCTGCTCTGATCTTAGTTATTTCTTGCCTTCTGCTAGCTTTTGAATGTGTTTGCTCTTGCTTCTCTGGTTCTTTTAATTGCGATGTTAGGGTGTCAATTTTCGATGTTTCCTGCTTGCTCTTGTGGGCATTTAGTGCTATAAATTTCCCTCTACACACTGCTTTGAATGCGTCCCAGAGATTCTGGTATGTTGTGTATTTGTTCTCATTGGTTTCAAAGAACATCTTTATTTCTGCCTTCATTTCGTTATATACCCAGTAGTCATTGAGGACCAGGTTGCTCAGTTTCCATGTAGTTGAGCAGTTTTGAGTGAGTTTCTTAATCCTGAGTTCTAGTTTGATTGCACTGTGATCTGAGAGACAGTTTGTTATCATTTCTGTTCTTTTACATTTGCTGAGGAGTGCTTTACTTCCACCTATGTGGTAAATTTTGGAATAGGTGTGGTGTGGTGCTGAAAAGAATGTATATTCTGTTGATTTGGGGTGGAGAGTTCTGTAGATAGTCCATTAGGTCTGCTTGGTGCAGAGCTGAATTCAGTTCCTGGATATCTTTGTTAACTTTGTGTCTTGTTGATCTGTCTAATGTTGACAGTGGGGTGTTAAAGTCTCCCATTATTATTGTGTGGGAGTCTAAGTCTCTTTGTAGGTCACTCAGGACTTGCCTTATGAATCTGGGTGCTCCTGTATTGGGTGCATATATATTTAGGATAGTTAGCTCTTCTTGTTGAATTGATCCCTTTACCATTATGTAATGGCCTTCTTTGTCTCTTTTGATCTTTGTTGGTTTAAAGTCTGTTTTATGAAAGACTAGGATTGCAACTCCTGCCTTTTTTTGTTTTCCATTTGCTTGGTAGGTCTTCCTCCTTCCCTTTATTTTGAGCCTATGTGTGTCTCTGCACGTGAAATGAGTTTCCTGAATACAGCACACTGATGGGTCTTGACTGTTTATCCAATTTGCCAGTCTGTGTCTTTTAATTGGATCATTAGGCCATTTACATTAAAAGTTAATATTGTTATGTGTGAATTTGATCCTGTCATTATGATGTTATCTGGTCATTTTGCTTGTTAGTTGATGCAGTTTCTTCCTAGCCTCGATGGTCTTTACGATTTGGCATGTTTTTGCAGTGGCTGGTACTATTGTTCCTTTTCATGTTTAGTTCTTCCTTCAGGAGGTCTTTTAGGGCAGGCCTGGTGGTGACAAAGTCTCTCAGCATTTGTTTTTCTGTAAAGTATTTTATGTCTCCTTCCCTTATGAAGCTTAGTTTGGCTGGGTATGAAATTCTGGGTTGAAAATTCTTTTCTTTAAGAATGTTGAATATTGGCCTCCACTCTCTTCTGGCTTGTAGAGTTTCTGCCGAGAGATCAGCTGTTAGTCTGATGGGCTTCCCTTTGTGGGTAACCCGACCTTTCTCTCTGGCTGCCCTTAACATTTTTTTCCTTCATTTCAACTTTGGTGAATCTGACAATTATGTGTCTTGGAGTTGTTCTTCTCGAGGAGTATCTTTGTGGCATTCTCTGTATTTCCTGAATTTGAATGTTGGCCTGCCTTGGTAGATTGGGGAATTTCTCCTGGATAATACCCTGCAGAGTGTTTTCCAACTTGGTTCCATTCTCCCCGTCACTTTCAGGTACACCAATCAGACGTAGATTTGGTCTTTTCACATAGTCCCATATTTCTTGGAGGCTTTTTTTGTTTCTTTTTATTCTTTTTGCTCTGAACTTGTCTTCTCACTCCATTTCATTCATTTGATCTTCCATCACTGATACACTTTCTTCCAGTTGATCGAATCAGCTACTGAGGCTTGTGCATTCATCACGTAGTTTTTGTGCCTTGGTTTTAAGCTCCATCAGGTCCTTTAAGGACTTCTCTACATTGGTTATTCTAGTTAGCCGTTCGTCTAATTTTTTTTCAAGGTTTTTAACTTCTTTGCCATGGGTTCGAACTTCCTCCTTTTGCTTGGAGTAGTTTGATCATCTGAAGCCTTCTTCTCTCAACTCATCAAAGTCATTCTCCATCCAGCTTTGTTCCATTGCTGGTGAGGAGCTGCGTTCCTTTGGAGGAGGAGAGGCACTCTGATTTTTAGAGTTTCCAGTTTTTCTGCTCTGTTTTTTCCCCATCTTTGAGGTTTTATCTCCCTTTGGTCTTTGTTGATGGTGATGTACAGATGGGGTTTTGGTGTGTTTATCATTTCTGTTTGCTAGTTTTCCTTCTAACAGTGAGGACCCTCAGCTGCAGGTCTGTTGGAGTTTGCTGGAGATCCACTCCAGACCCTGTTTGCCTGGGTATCAGCAGCAGAGGCTGCAGAGCAGCAGATATTGGTGAACAGCAAATGTTGCTGCCTGATCGTTCCTCTGGAAGTTTTGTCTCAGAGTAGTACCCGGCCGTGTGAGGTGTCAGTCTGCCCCTACTGGGGGATGCCTCCCAGTTAGACTACTCGGGGGTCAGGGACCCACTTGAGGAGGCAGTCTGTCCGTTCTCAGACCTCCAGCTGCATGATGGGAGAACCACTACTCTCTTCAAAGCTGTCAGACAGGGACATTTAAGTCTGCAGAGGTTTCTGCTGCCTTTTGTTTGGCTATTCCCTGCCCCCAGAGGTGGAGTCTACAGAGGAAGGCAGGCCTCCTTGAGCTGAGGTGGGCTCCACCCAGTTCGAGCTTCCCTGCTGCTTTGTTTACCTACTCAAGCCTTGACAATGGTGGGCGCCCCTCCCCCAGCCTCGCTGCTGCCTTGCAGTTTGATCTCAGGCTGCTGTGCTAGCAATGAGCAAGGCTCTGTGGGCGAAGGACCTCCAAGCCAGGCGCGGGCTGTAATCTCCTGGTGTGCCCTTTGCTAAGACCATTGGAAAAGCACAGTATTAGTGTGGGAGTGACCTGATTTTCCAGGTGCTGTCTGTCACCCCTTTCTTTGACTAGGAAAGTGAATTCCCTGACCCCTTGCATTTCCCGGGTGAGGTGATGCCTTGCTCTGCTTCGGCTCATGCTTGGTGGGCTGCAGCCACTGTCCTGCACCCACTTTCTGACACTCCCCAGTGAGATGAACATGGTACCTCAGTTGGAAATGCAGAAATCACCCGTCTTCTGTTTCGCTCACGCTGGGAGCTATAGACTGGAGCTGTTCCTATTTGGCCATGTTGGCTCCACCTCCCAATTTTATCAATTTTTTTAGGATTTGTGTTTTGCTGAAGTTTAATTTTGCTAAAGTTTGTCAATTATTTTTATTAAGGTTTGTGGGATTTTTGTTTCCTAAGAAATCCTTGCTTATTCCAAGTCACGAACATATTCTCCTATGATTTATTCTAAAAGTTTTATAGTTTTATGTAAAATAACTATAAAAACTATATTGTTTATGAGCCATTTTGAGTGAATTTTTGTGTATAATATAAGGCAGATGTAAAGGTAGAAGTAAACTAAGTTTCCCCTTTTCTCCCCATATGGACATTCTGTTGTTCTAATACCACTTTTTAAAAATACTTTGCTATTTAATTTCCTCAGTACTTTTTGTCAAAAAGTTAATTTTACATATATTAAATTATATAACATATATTAAATATATAAATATATATAATTGCATATTAAATATATAACACCTTTATATAGCAGATACATACATGTACATATATACTTATAATAATGTGTATATATATATATATGTCTTTTTATGGACTTTCTATCATTTTATTGCTATGCGTGTTCATCCTTATACTAGTACAACACTGTTTTAATTACTATTGTAAGTCTTAAAATTAGATGCTATGGGCCAGGCACGGTGGCTTACGCCTGTAATCCTCACACTTTGGGAGGCTGAGGCAGGCAGATCTCAAGGTCAGGAGATCGAGGTCATCCTGGCTAACATGGTGAAACCCCATCTCTACTAAAAATACAAAAAATTAGCTGGGCATGGTGGCACACGCCTATAGTCCCAGCTACTTGGGAGGCTGAGGCAGGAGAATCGCTTGAACCCAGGAGGCAGAGGTTGCAGTGAGCCGAGATTGCGCCACTGCACTCCAGCCTGGGTGACAGAGTGAGACTCCGTCTCAAAAAAAAAAAAAAGTGTTATGGTTTGAATATGTTCCCCAAATTTCATGTATTGAGAACTTAATCCCCATTGTAGCAATATTTAAAGGTAGATCATGTAAGAGGTGATTGGATCATGAGGGCTCTGCCCTTATAAACAGATTAATTAATTCATGGGTTAATGGATTATTGAGTTATAGAAGGAAACTGTGGCTTTATAAGAAGAGGAAGAGAGACCTGAGCAAGCATGATAGCATGCTTAGCTTTCTTGCCAGGTGATGCCCTGCACCGCCTCTGGACTCTCCAGAATTCCCACCAGCAAGAAGGGTCTAACCAGATTTGGCCCCGACCTGGGACATCTCAGCCTCCATAACTCTAAGAAATACATGTGTTTTCCTCACAAGTTACCCAGTTTCCAGTATTCTGTAATATTACAATGTTTTGTAGGTTCTATATGCTATGGTCCAAATGTTCATGTCCCCCACTCCCAAATTTATATGTTGGAACCTAATTCCCAATTTGATTTTATTAAGGGGGAGGGTCTTTGGGGGATATGATTAAGTCATAAATGTAGGGCTCTCATGAATGGGATTCGTGTCCTTATAGAAGAGACTCCAAAGACCCCAGAGAGCTACCCTGCTAGAAGCTGCCTTCTGTGATGAATAGGCCCTGAGCAGACACCAAATCTACTGCTACCTTGTCCTTGGACTTTCTAGCCTTCAGAATTGTGAGGAAATAAATGTTCATTGCTTATAAGCCACTTAGTTTACTGAGGTTTTGTTAGACTGTACAGACTAAAACACTAAATTTATCAAATTTACTTCTTAAATGTTTTATGATTTTGATGGTACTGTAAATAGTAATTTGGCAATTCTATTTTATATCTGTTTATTAAAACAAATATTAAAAAAGAAGTACAATCCTTTGAATATGGACCTTGTATCTATGACTCAGGTATATTCAGTTATTAGTTCTAATTCTTTGATAGATTTTGTAGGATTTTTTTTTTTTTTTTTTTTGAGACAGTCTTGCTCTGTCGCCCAGGCTGGAGTGCAGTAGCACGATCTCGGCTCACTGCAAGCTCTGCCTCCCGGGTTCAGGCCATTCTCCTGCCTCAGCCTCCTGAGTAGCTGGGATTACAGGTGCCTGCCACTAAGCCCGGCCAATTTTTTGTATTTTTAGTGGAGGCGGGGTTTCACCACTTTGGCCAGGCTGTTCTCAAACTCCTGACCTCAAGTGATCCACCTGCCTCGGCCTCCCAAAGTGCTGGGGTTACAGGCTTGAGCCACTGCGCCCAGCTAGGATTTTTATAAACATTATTATCTTGACTGAAGAAAATGTATTTCTTTTTCAATCTGACCTCCCTCCTGTTTCCTTCCCTCCTTTCTCTCTGTGTCTCTTGTCTCTCTCTCTGTCCCTCTCTCTGTCTCTCTCTCTGTCTCTCTCTGGCTCTCTCTCTCTCGCTTGCTCTCCCCTCCCATCCCTTCTTTTTGGACTGGCTAGGATCTTCAGTAAGAAGTGGAATAGAATTAGTGAGAGTAGATGATGTTGCCTTGTTAATTGTCCTTAGTGGGAAAGCTATCTGTCTTTCATCATTAAGTTTGACATTAACTGTAAATTTTTCAGTCTTTTTTTAATTGGATTGAAAGTATTACTTTCTAATCATAGTTTCTTAAGACTTTTTAAATTATGAATGAATATTATAAAATGGCTTATGCATACAAGATGATCATCTGTTTTTTATACTTTTAATCCATATTGTAAATTATATTCTATTTTAAGCTGTTAAAAATCTTGCATTTTTGGAATAAATTCCAATTTCTTGTGATACTTTATCTTTTACATATATTGCTGGATTTGATATGCTGATATTTTGTTAAGGATTTTTGCATCTATGCTCTTGAGGGATATTGATCTACTGTTTTCTTTCCTTGTAACATCTTTGTCTAATTTTTGTAAAAATCAGAATGATGTGTTTCTCATAAATTTCGTGGATAGTGTTTCTTTTCTTTTACTTATCAATTTTGTTGAATGTATTTGCTGTAAGTTGTTCATGATACTGTCTTATTTTAGGTTGGACATCCCTTATCCAAAAGCTCCAAAATCCAAAACGTTTTGAGCACTGACATGACACTACAAGTGGAAAAATTCCACAGCTAAGCTCATGTGATGAGTTACAGTCAAAATGCAGTCAAAACTTTGTTTCATGTACAAAATCATTAAAAATGTTGTATAAAATTACCTTCAGGCTGTGAATATAAGGAGTATATGAAACATAAAATGTGATATTAGAAACACTTCTGGTCCGAAGCATTTTGGATAGGAAGTACTCAATCTGTATTCTTCTAATGTCTATCAAATATCTTCTGACATCTCCTTTATCATCCCTTATATTAGTAATTTATATTACCTTTTTATCTTTTTTATTGATTAGTCTGATCAAGGTTTGTCCATTTTATTAATTTTAAAAAATAATCAATTTTTTCTTCATTTTTTGGTGTGTCTTTTAATTCATTGGTATCTACTCTTATTTTCACTATTTCTTTATGTCTGCATACCACAGGTACAATATACTTTTCTTTTCCTAGCTCCTTAAAGAAGAAGCTTACCTTATTGACTTTAGACCTTACTTCTTTTATTGTGTAAGACATTGAACCTATAATTATTCCTTTAAGCATATATTTAACTGTATATGAAAAATTTTGATATGCTATATGTTTACTTCATTCAGTTAAAATATTTTAATTTTTCTTTATGATTTCTTAAGTTATTTACAAGTGTGTGATATGATTTTAAAATATTTAGGGTTTTTCTTATGGGTCTTATTTCTAAATGAATTCTGTTGTTATCAGAAAATATATTTGATTTAGTCCTTTAAAATTTATTGGTACTTGTTTTTTGGCCCAACATGTGGTCTATTTTCATGCATATTATATGAACATTAAAAATGATGTGCATACACACACATAAGACACTAATGAGCACTTGGAAAGACTTTTGATATGGTTGGTTAAGTAAAAATACAACCATTCAATTTTATCATCAGCAGGAAATGTCTTTCCTCTGATCTTTACCTGAAGACTTTGCTCTAAGCTCCAATCTAGAAATTTTGTTTAAATAAAGAGTTAGGCCTGCATAACAAAGTTTATACAAAATTCTATTTACTATTGATACCCAGAGAAGTAAACTATAATGCACATGCTTCAGAAATGACATGAAAACAACTACTGGGACCCCTTTATTATCCAGAAGCACAGAAATGTATACAGTGTACTGCAGAGCCAAGATCCAGTGAGGCAAGACTTAATTACATAGAATTGAATAAAATAATGAGATACATGTAATTGTGATTGTTTTGGAATTTTTTTTGCTATCATTTTTAATATTCTATTTCCTACTAGATGTATGAGGAAGTATTTTTCACCTCAACTTGTCTCTAACCCTCAAATTAGACTTTTTTCATACTTATTATGAAATATTCTCTAAATGATACCTATTTTTACTGACCCTTCAGAATTTTGAAAGAAATGCTTCTCCTGAAACTCTGTAATTTTATTGATAATGTTATTATTTGCATAGATTCAGTAAGAATTTGTCTTCCTTGTTATCAGAACATAAATCAAATAATCAATTTTGCATTGAGGTGTCATATTTGAGAGTAAATCTCATACTTTCATTTAAGCCAGAATTATATTTCATATGCAGGACATTTGTTTATAAAGCCCTCCCAAGAAACTTATCAGGTACAGTTGTGTGGCTCATAGGGTCTCTGCCTTACAGATGGTAAGAGAAATCCCTTCTTGGCAGGCCAGAAACTTTAGCTGAGTATGGGGACCTTGAAAAGATAATATACTCAAATTTATAGATAATGCAGGCAAAACTGATGCCTATGAATTTCTTGAGTTTTGTTTTCTAGGCTTTGCAGAGAGAGCGAGAGAGAGAGAGAGAGAAAGAAAGAGAAAGAGAAAGATCTCTAAAGTGATGGAGACTATTATAAATAGCATCCTAGATTCCTTATGAAATCTCCAGATAGAAGATAATTTTCTGCACTTAGTAATTGCGTGTCAACCTATGGCTTTAGATGTGCTGAACATATCACAGGGAAGTTTAAGCATGTTAACAAATTTTACAACACTTATGTCTATAAAGCAAGCTGGAAAACCATCTAGCATTTTTGTGATCAACATTAATCTTTGAAGATCATTTTTTTAATCACAGAGGAGAAACGTAAAGAAATAAAGAGCTAATATTTGCAAATAGGCAAAAAGATAATTGCATATATTTTAAATGTTCTACTGGAGAATTATCTAATAGGCCTACCTAAGGTTGTCTAGTTCTTCAGGATTATGTGTGTTAGTTTAACATACTTCCATTAGGATATTTATACCTCTGTAAGGCTAGTTGTTAACTTATAGAAAAAATAATGATGCAATTCATCATTGTCTAATAGATAATAATGCAAATAATTTTTTGCAGTAGGAATGTAAATGCTTACAGAAAAGTTTACAATGTAAACTGTACAGTGCATTGCCCTAGAGAGCATTAACCAGTTTTGTATCTAATTTAGCAATTTTATCCCAGGCATCTTTCTTTTAGTGGCTCTAAATTCGTGTCTCTCATTTGAACTAGATTTGCCATCTTGCTTGGCTCCTCAATGATATGTTAAATAAATCTTTAATAAATATTTAAAAGCCAAAAAGGTTTTTAAATAATACACGATTATTAACTATATTCACTACACTGTGCAATATATCTAAAAAAAAAAATCTGCAACGAAAAACTCATTCCTCCTGCCTAACTGAGGCTTTGTACCCTTTGACCATCAGCCCTCCATTCCACCAATTTCCCTAGTCTCTGGTGACTAACCACCATTCTATTCTCTAGTCATAAATCATAACATCATTTTGTACCCCATAAATACATCCAATTATACTTTAGCAATTTACAGTTACAAAAAAGAGAACACTGAAAGAAACCAACAAAGTAGAAAACTGAATACTCTACTGCATTTTACCACAGCTGGTTCTAACCATCTGAAGCTGTGAAAAGACCACAAAGTTTGAGTTCCCGTCTTGTGGAAACTTCCACCTTAACTGAACCCAATTGAAGACTCTTTTCTGATGCATGAACAAAGGGGTGATTTTAACCAACAGTGTACTTTTTTTTTTTTTTGAGACGGAGTCTCGCTCTGTCGCCAGGCTGGAGTGCAGTGGCGTGATGTTGGCTCACTGCAATCTCCGCCTCCCGGGTTCAAGCGATTCTCCTGCCTCACCCTCCTGAGTGGCTGGGACTACAGGAGCATGCCACCACATCCAGCTAATTTTTGTATTTTTAGTAGAGACGGAGTTTCACCATGTTGGCCGTGGCCAGGATGATCTTGATCTCTTGACCTCGTGATCTACCCGCCTCGGCCTCCCAAAGTGCTGGGATTACAGGTATGTGCCACCGTGCCTGGCCAACAGTGCACATATTTATGGGACTCATATCATTCATACAGAATGCAAACTTTCATTTTTTTAATTAACATTAAGCTAATGGATCTCCACCCATTTCTAGCATATATCCACTCTTGTGATATCTTCTTCTAAATGAGCTACTTAAAAATTTTCTTTACTCAAGTGTATATCCTGTTTCTTTACCTAACAAGTAAGTAAACTCAGAATTTCTTTTTTCTTTTCTTTTCTTTTTTTTCTTTCTTTCTTTCCTTCCTTCCTTTCTTTTCTTTTCTTTTCTTTTCTTGAAACAGAGTCTTGCTCTGTCACCCAAGCTGGAATGCAGTGGCACAATTTTGGCTCACTGCAATCTCCGTCTCCCAGGTTCAAGTGATTCTTCTGTCTCAGCCTCCTGAGTAGAGTAGCTGGGACTACAGTTGTGCGCCCCCATGCCTGGCTAATTTTTTTGTATTTTTAGTAGAGACAGGGTTTCACCATGTTGGTCAGGCTGGTCTCGAACTCTTGACCTCAAATGATCCACCTGCCTTGGCCTCCCAAAGTGCTGGGATTACAGGCATTGAGCTACCGTGCCTGGCCCAGAATTTATTTTCTTAAGTGGACAATTTTCATTACCTGTGCTTTATAATCTCATGGGGCATGGTTCCAAAATGCATATATTTATACCTGCTGTTTAATTTTCACGTCATGTGGTATAATAGCAATAAAATAAGTTTTTTAACAAGAGAGATGTATGTTTGGATGCCAGAATTCCTCAGGCAAGCCATTTACCACTTTAATTTTCATTGTTTCCCCTCCAACATTGGACAAATATTTCTATCTCTAAGACTATTCAGAGGATTATGTGAAATAGTTTGTGTCAGATGTCTGGTGATGAATAAATAGTTCTTTTCTTCCTTAAAATATAACAGCATGTAGCTTGAAGCCTCCTTCCACTCCTCAACCAAAAGAAGTCTTTTTTCATTACACCATTGAGATTACTTTACATTATTATTATTTATGTTTTTAATTGACAAATAAAAATTGAATGTATTTATGGTATACAACATGTTTTGAAACACGTATACATTGGCTGAACCACACTAGTTATCACATATATTGCCTCACATACTTAGCATTTTTGTGATGAGAGCACTTAAAAAACATACTGTCTCAAAAAACAACTACCAGTTATTTCTCAGAGCAAATCTTCAGATGCTGAAGCAAACCTATCTCAACCTGGGAATCAAAAGTTTTATTATTTTAGGAGGGGTATCCCATAAATACAGGCAGCTCTTACTCAGTTGATAGGACTGATTTGGCCAACTTGAAAGGAGAGCAAATGTCTAGTATTTGAATGAAATACATTACTTGGGAAAATTGAACTAAGTTAATACAGAGAAACATCAAGATAAGGGATAACTGTTTGACAAGGGTATCCCTGAAAACAGCTTTTTCCCTTTCCTCTCTTGGATTCATATGAGCACTGCTAAGGAAGGTTAGAATGGTGGTAGATTATACAGTAGGAACTCCTCCAGGAGAGAAATCAGGCCTTATTGATCTCTTGCAGTTCTCAGTATTATTTTTAATTATAATAAGTTATTGATGAATGATGAAATGTGGTAGTTCATTGTTCTAAATTTGTCAATCTAGGAATAAACAGATAAAGTAGCTTGATATCTTTAGTCAGTCAATTCAAACATGTGATTGGATGGATGGCTTTCACTAACGTCAGAAGGTTTGCATCATTTGATGGCTTTTTCCTGGTGTCAACACTTCTTTACATAAGCGGATTAACATATCCTGGTCTAAGCAAAGAACATATCTTACTCCCCTCGCCCCCACTCCCCCCAAAAATCCCTCAACATGTTGTATGGTCTCCAAGGAAAAGTATTCAAAAAGTATTCAAAGTCAGTGGTGCTTTAATATCTTTTTTTTTTTTTTTTTTTTTTTTTTTTTTTTTTTTTTTTTTTTAGCAATCCTGTTCTGGGCAAGAGTTCAAAGGAAGTGTCTGTTACAATGTTAGACACTTTCCAACAGAGTGGAAAAAAAAATTCCAACCAAAATCTTATATTTGACCAGGTGCCATATCAAGCAATGGTATATTTCAGTTTTTAATCTAAATTTTCTTGTTTAAAAGAAAGAGTTTTAGCTACCATTTAGATACTAGTGGGAATGATATATCTGAATTTCTCAATGGGTGAAAATTTGTTTTGAAAATACAAAACAAATAGGGAAGCCTACATTTGAGAGGTAAACTGAATTCAGAAGTTTCTGGTAAGTGTGATAAGGAGCTAGCCAATAATCTTAACCATTCCTTCCAGAAAAGAAGTATAGAAACTAAATACTTGGCATTGGACTACATTTTGAGGTTTTAAAGCCACTTTAGTTTGAAATCTTGGTTCAAGGTAACCAAAATTAGATGATGCAGCAGTAGTATTATAAAATTAGCCCTTATTTAATTAAAATTTATTTACATAGCTAAATCAGTCCTCAGACTTTTTCTTCTTAATCCATCTTATATCTACCTTGTACAAGAAGTATTTCTTGGAAAAGTTGAAAATTAGAGGAAGTATTTACTTAACCAAGAAGAAATAAACATTGATCCATGGATCACAAATCCTGGATTGTCCAAGACAGTATTGATTTCCTATGATTATAATTTTAAAGTAAATATAATGAGTTACATATGAATCAAAATGTAAGTTAATTTTTTTTACCTTTTGTAAGAGTTAAGATAAATTAAGAGTAAAGATAAATTAAGATAAAAATGTTGTTTGTTTTGGAAACTTGATATTTTTGTAAGAAAAGTAGGAAAAGTAGGTAGACAAGGAGAGGAACATTTTTCAAGCAGAATGAGTTGTTACCAACTAATTTCTTTACACTTCCCCACAGGACAGTCTTTGTAATGGATATACTCTGTTTACAAAATTTGGACTGTGATCTGAGATTACAAATTCTGTAGTTCTGTATTTAATCCTTGCATGCATTTGTTACCTTTTCAATATTGATTCTGAAGTTTAGAATCCAATTGTTTTTCTGAGAAGTGTGATTTGAGATTGATTTTTTGCAAAATGAAAAATAAAAGATGCACCATCATGGGGAAATGAATGAAAGAAGCTTACTTGCTCTATATGAATCCTAATTGTAATAGTTTATGCTAATGTATCTTTATGACAAAGATCTGTGGTGAACTTTGACTAGCATTGGGAGTGAAAATGTTTGGTTCTCAGTTTAAATTCTAAAGAGCAAAATGCATCTGCTAACTTCTGAATAGCAATAGTACCAAATTTGGTGCCTGCTGATTGAATTCAGATGTGGTTGCAGCTGGAAATCATTGTGGCCTCTTAGTTACTAGATGACTGAGGATATTAGACTGTGACAATCTTGATATTTATAGAAAATATAAAGTTTTTTAAATTTATTTTTCCACACTCTTCTTTTTTTCTTACCTATTTCACTTCTCTCCTTCCTGTTGAATTCTAAGAAAAATATATGCCTGTAAAAACTCTATTTCAGGAGATCATTTAGTAAAATATCAAAGTCAGTTTTCTCCATCCTACTTTTCCCAATTCTACTGTTAAGTGGCTTTCACACACTGTACATTATACCATGTATTTCACAGGTGTTGAAAATATTTTATTTTTTCTGCCCTGTTTTTTGTATTTTGATTTTGTTGCGATATAAAATTTGTACTTGTTTGTAGTAAAACAATTTTTGGCCTTCTGGGCTAGTATCATACTTAGGACAGCTTTCTCTATCTGAAACTTATAAAATACTGTGCCCATGTCTTTTCTATTATTTGTGTTTTATTTTTAAAATTTATATCTTTAATCTAGCTAGAATTTTATTTGTTTTTTTTTCTTCTTCTTCCCCTTTTTATTTTTGTTCTGAAAGGTCTGAGGAAAGGACATTATGATCTTTTTCTTAAATAATTGACTAGCCAGTTGTCCTCTCTCTTTTATTTTACTTTTTAAATATCACAATGTTCTCTGCTGTAAGTTCAAACAGGGGAAAACAAAGCTTTATGTGGTCACTATCAACTCTTCCATTTTTTGATCTCACAACAAAAGTTTGCAGTATCTCAGTGGTATTAATAAACACAGCTCCAGGGAAAATTGTCATAAAAGAAGGAATTTATTGCATATTCAGTCTGCTTTTTATTTGAAGTAGAATGCTCTTCTGATTTATTTTGAAGTGCAATAGGGTAGTTGAGGAGAGCTTTTGATGGAGAATTTGTTGACAACTGAATTTTTATAAAGCCATAAAATGGTGGATTCCTGGTTATTTGAAAGTTTTGTTTTGTCCAGTTGGAAGATGAAGTGAAGCAGACAGTTTTACAATTCAAAAATCTTAAAGCAACCATCGCATTGAAGCTATATAAGGAATACGGATTTTATTAAAATTTTAACTATACCTGGAATCCTAGATTCTTGGCCGTACACTAGATGATGGTGGGAAAGCAATTTTCTGTCTTGGCTCTGTGCATGGTTTCATGGAGAAGCCAATCACCCCTATCTG
The DNA here is from genome assembly GCF_000001405.40 of Homo sapiens. NCBI lineage: Eukaryota > Metazoa > Chordata > Mammalia > Primates > Hominidae > Homo > Homo sapiens. Next base: position 89,363,097 of record NC_000008.11, on the reverse strand, counting down.
TCTGCAAACTCAAGGAAAGAACTGATTGCTACAGTCACCCGAAACTCATTCAAAAACTAGTTAATAATAATTAAATATCCTTTTTTAGGTCCCTTTTCTATCCCCTTACCATGGACTCCTTTACTAGTAAACTTCTGATGAAAGTGATATGGGCTAAAAGATTGTTGTAGGGAACAGGAAATTTGTAGCCCTGATGATTTAGTCAAGGAAAGTAAATAAGTCAAAAATAAATCACTGCCCATTGCAAGTAGTGAATTCAGTGAAAATGAAGGAATAATAGATCAGAAGCTTCAAGTGGCAAGATCCTGCCAGAGATGTGGAATAGTTTAATGAGTTAAAGGCACACACTCTGAAGTCTACCTGGGCTCCAATTCTGGCTCTACGGTTTGATGTGGTGTTTATTATTTATTGGCAACCATGTTTATTTAGCCTCTGTGGTTTGCAGTTTCCTCTTCTGTAAAAACAGGATTATGAGGCTAAATTAATACAGGTAAAACATTTAGTATTCAATAAATGCTAGTTAATACTCTTTAAAGTTTTTGTTCCCTAAGAAGGATGTGTCTTTCAAAATCATATGCTCAGCATTCAACATTGTAAAATATTAAAAATAAAGTTGTGCTTCAGGTGATTTGAGGCTTTGAGAAAAGTTATACCCTGACACAGCCTTCATGTGTCTTCTTTTCATTTTTCTATCTGGATTCAACTTTCTTGAAAGTACTTTGCAATGACTAGTAAGGCCTAAGAAGTCCACCTTTAGAGTCTTACGTTTCTTAAAAGTGTGTTATTTTCCAAAATATATAAGGAATACATCATTTTGAAGAGAATACAATAAAGTATAAAAAAGTATAATTCTACTACCCTGTAAAAAGCCTAATATAAGATTTAATATTTACTTCCACACTTTTCTTAAGATTCATAGCTATTTTTCCATACCATTATATATTTATAAAAATGATTTCCAACAGCTGTATAATATTCTTTGCTCTTTTAATCACAGTGTTTCTAACCATTCAGATATATCTATATAACTATATCTATTTTATAGTTCTTCTTGCTACAAATAAAGCTAGTAAGAAATCCTTTTTGCGTCTTTGTTTGCCAAGGACAGATTTCTAAAACAGACTCTCCTCTGATGGTATATATATTACCTAGGACCTTGGTATATATTGCCAAATTGTTTCCCAGAAAGTTTGTGCCGGTTTCTATTTCTACCAGCTGTATTGCTGCTACATTTAAGATAACATTTTTAAAATTGTTGACACTCTGATAGATTATTTATGTCTTAATTTGCATATCTTTGTTTAATAAGTATGATTTTTACAAGTATTTTTTCTTAATAATCTAGTTGTATGCCTTTTTAATTAAACTTATATTTCATGAATTTCTAAAATGTTGCCAATTTGTGAGTTAGCCATCAAGATTAAAGTTAATTGTCATTTGCATTTATGCAGCTACTTGAAATTAATCTCTTATGGATGAAAATGTTTCTCTAATACAACTATGCCATTTAAGTGCAAATGCTTATTTGGGGCTAATTTTAAATCTAGTTGCATCTGCTATTCCAGGCTTTTTCCTCTTATTTAGATGCCCACCTTCAAGGCTCTATATTTGCTGGATGCTTGCACCTGACTACACATTATCTCCTAAGAATCCTACCTAGACTTACTTTCATAAATATTTCCTTAAACTTAGCCATTTCTTTACATACTTACTGTGTTAGTCCATTTGTGTTGCTCTAAAGGAATACCTGAGACTGGATAATTTATAAAGACAAGAGGTTTATTTTGGCTCATGATTCTGCAGGCAGTACAGGAAGCATAGCACTGGCATCTGCTCCAGAAGACGGCCTCAGGAAGTTTTCAATTGTGGTGGCAGGTGAAGGGGGAGCAACATGTCCCATAGCAAAAGGGTGCAAGAGAGACAGAGGAGGAGATGCCAGAACCCTTTCAACACCAAGCTGTTGCCTGAACTATGAGGGTGAGAACTCATTACCATGGGGAGGGCACCAAGCCATTCATAAGGGAGTCATCCCCATTACCCAAAAACGTCCTACCAGTCTCTGCCTCCAACACTGGGGATCACATTTCAACATGAGATTTGGAGGGGACAAACATCCAAACAATATCATTTATTCCATTAAATTCTACCTGGCTGACACACCAGTATCTCCAGGCAGAAGGATGTAATATCCTCTAATTAGATTACAATGTATTAACAGTCTTTCTCTCCTAGATTGGTAAGTTGTTTGCATTTTAAGGAGTGTTTATAACACTAGGAATTTCAGACACAGTATTTGGTAAGTAGAAGAGATGTATTTAGGTTGAGAGGTGTTTTGACTCAGATGAGACTTGACTATCAGGTAGATATTAGCAGCCTACATAGCTATAGAATAAGCCCTTAGTTGATTTTTATTGACAATTTCTCAGATCTTACGTGATTTTTCATTGATTTCTGCATGCTGCATAAATCTTTAAATGTCAGCATGTTAACAATGTTAGATCCCAAATAGAAGGAAAAACCTGGCTTTGACAGAGTTAAAAAGACCATAACTAAAAGACCTAGGAAGTTCACAGGAAGGACAATTTAAATGATCAAGGAGGCTGAGATTCTTAAACTCTCTAAAATGATGAACTTAGAAATACTGAACTCCAGTCTAAAAGATCAAATGCTGATGTATAAGGAAGATCAAAGTATATACAATCGCAAACATAATAAAGGATTGACAGGGAGATTTGTTCAAGCTCAGTATAGAATACCTATCAAATTCACGAATCACAATTCTAAAGAATTATGAGGAAAAGTATATAGCACAGCATAGTTAATAAAATTAGAGAGTATAAAATTTCGAGATGAAAAACTCTTAAGGGGCTAGAAGCTGTCGGTGCTGGGTCATGTCTTCCTTGAGGCCGCCTTTAATGATGATTTCGTGAAGGGATATTTTTCTCTCTTACTTCTCTTTCCTCTCTCCTCTCAGTAGAACAAGGCTAGGTGCTATTGTATGAAGTTTGTTTAGGGCCAGTGTCACAACTCTTATAGTTTATGTTAAATTTAGTGGTCCCCAATAAATATGTATTAAACATAAAATAATCAAAAATGGTTGTAAAAGTTGACAGCTTATGGTAATTTAGGAAACCATTAATTCTAAAAGAGCAGCGATTTTACAGAGTTTGAAGGCACTTAGGTAGTTTTCTTAGAGTAGGAAAAAAGCTATCATGCTGTATGTGTAATTTTCTGCAATTTTACCACTTAAACTAGATGTATCTGAAAATGGTTTCTATATTCAATAGTCTATGAAATAAATTGCCTTTTCTGGGATAATGTAAAGGTCACTATCGTGCTTTAGACTTTTAACAACTTTCATTGTGCTATAAATAACTTTGGCTAGCATTTTTATTTTATGAAACATAAGTTGTATAAATTGGATTTTCAGCTGTATATGGTAGGTGAATTATGTCAAAAATGTGTACCCAGCACATTGCTACAGGACTCTTTAATTAAAGTCCTTTTTTGAGGTTTCTGCTAATGTTAAAGCTAATATCTCTTAACATCTCTAGTTATTGAATTTTGAGTTTAGTAATTATGAGATAAGAAAATTATGTGAAAGTCGTCAGAGAAATTTAAACAATCTTATCTGTGTTGGGCTGTTCTCAAATATTTCAAAAACTCTTCTTAAGAATAATTTCTTCAGATTATTCTTGATATAGTTCTACCTTCCATGTAACACTGATTTTTTTTTAATGGCAGATACAGGGAGTGTCATTGTTGACAAGGTGTCAGAGCAACATCAGCATCTTGCTGACCAGCCCAGCTGGATTTTGACAGCTTCACTGAGAAAGGCCACAGTGTGATAAAGATAACAACATTAAGAGTGGATACAGAAAATAAGAGGTGACACAGTTCATTCAGCACATACCCTAAAAGATTTCAGAACCATATTCAGGTTTCATCTTTAAATTGTACTACCCAAAAACCTCTTCTTTAAACTTGTTCAAAAATTATTATTATTATTATTATTTTATTTTATTTTTATTTTTTTTGAGACGGAGTCTCGTTCTGTCGCCCAGGCTGGAGTGCAGTGGCGTGATCTCGGCTCACTGCAAGCTCCGCCTCCCGGGTTCGCGCCATTCTCCTGCCTCAGCCTCCCGAGTAGCTGGGACTACAGGCGCCCGCCACCACGCCCGGCTAATTTTTTTGTATTTTTAGTAGAGGCGGGGTTTCACTGTGTTAGCCAGGATGGTCTCGATCTCCTGACCTCATGATCCGCCCGCCTCTGCCTCCCAAAGTGCTGGGATTACAGGCGTGAGCCACCGCGCCCGGCCCAAAAATTATTTTATTAATTGGTTCACTCATCACTTTTACAGAATAATCACTGTTAGTGAACATTGCCTGGCTCTATGGTAGAAATAAGGTGGCCAGGCATGGTTCCTGGCTTTAAGGGGCACAGGACAATTATGCAAAAAACATATAATGCAAACATTAACCCTAAGAGAAGCTAAAATCCTTATGCACATTCAAAGGAAAGAATGATGAATCATTTTTGAGAAATTAGAGAAGAATTCAAGATGGAAAAGAAATTTTGAAATTACTCCATCTATAAGCAGAGTTAGTGGCTGGGTAGATGGTCTTCTTGAAAAATATAAGAATACCAGTGAAGTCAATGGAAAAAAAAGTGAGTAGTTTTGATTTGCTAGATCACAGAGTGTATGTATTTATTCACTTATGCAACAAATACTTAATGAATGCCTAGTTTTGAGGCTGTATTCTACTAGGTGGCCGGTGTACATGGATGAACAAAACTGACTTGGCCTAAGCCCTTATGAAGCAAATTATAACCTAGTGAGAAGGCAGGCAGAAAGCAGTAAACAAGCTATCATTATAATAGTCAACTGGTAACAGGGGCTACAAAGCTATAAACAAGAGACAGAGAGTGAAAATAAATAATAAGGGAGGTTTATTTCATATCATCAGAAATGTCTAAAGAAGAGGTATTTAACTTCAGACCTGAAAGATGAAAAGTAGCCAGCCAAGGAAAGAAGAGTATAATTCCAAACAGAGAATACAGCATGTTGCAAAAGCCCTGAAGGAGTATAGAGCTTGTGTTTGAGAAACAGAAAGTCAGTGCACTGGAGAGTAGTGAGAGAGGAACTTAGATTGAGCTGAGACTGGAGAGGGAGACAGGGACCCAGATCAATCAGGAGCTTTTCTTAGAAAGTTGTTTGTTTGGAACTAAATATGAGATGGGAAGTCATGAAATAATTAAACAGATCTGTAACATGATGTTACTCTGGATGCCATATGCAAACTAAATGGACAGAAATAAGAAATGGAAGTGGGGAAAATTGCCAAGAGGCTATTGTAGTAGTCTGTGTGAGAAATGGTCGTTTCAATTGGAGTGCTTGCAGGTGAGATAGAGGTTTTTGAAGCCAAGACGTATTTACCAGGACTTGCTGATGGCCGTTGAGACATGAAGCTGTTAAGGCTGGTTAGGTACTGGGCATGGGGCAGTCATGTGATTCAGCTTCACATCTTTTACTTCTGGATGCTTTCACTGACCTTTGCAGGTTGGGGCAAGTGTCCCCTGTGCAGTGCTTGCATAATAGCCATAGGTATCTGGCATTGCACTGTCCACATTATAGTGTAATTACCTATTTATGTGTTTGTTTCCCCAATAGACAGTGAGTACCTTCAGGCCTCAAACCATATTCATCATTGTCACTTCTCACTTATAAACTCAGAACAATAATTGGTTGAAGAAATGAGGTTAGGCTGAATTTGTTAATATTTTTTGATTTTCTGAGAATATTAGAGGGCAAGGTATGATAAAGAGATTCAAACAATATCAGTTTAAAAGAAAATGTTTAAAGAGCAAGACAGTAAATTAATCTGTATTTTAAGCTGTAAATAGTTTAAAAATTAGTTGGGCTTGTAATTTTTAAATTATTTAACATGCCAAAAAACCTGTTTACTTTTAAATATACTTCGGAGTATTTGAATCAAATACTCTTTTACTAAAATTTGTTTATCCTCTAATCTACAAGTATCATATGATTTGATCAAAGCCCTGTAAGTTTGGTGATTTACCCAAATCAGTTTTAAGTCCCATACATAATTTGAAGTAGAAGGATATTACAGAGGCAGAAGACCTGGTTTATATTCATGTTTCACCATTAACTAGGGTCAGTTTATCCCTGCAGACCTCCTTTATCACTTCTAATATTGTTTGAGCATGTTTACATTGTGTTCAGAGCTCTCCTAAGCTCTGCAGGTGTTTAGGGAAAGTGGTGGAGGAAACTGCATTCAAATACTTTACAATCTACCCTGGCATGTGCTTCTGGCACTCAAGTAAGTTTGAATTGCTTAAGTATAGTCTCTTGAATGGGGAATTGTTAAAGGCCATTTAAAGAAAAAAGTTCTCATGCACCAGCAGGAAAGATGCATGTGGAGTAAAGTGAGTCTGAGGAAGATTTAGGGAAAAAAATAAACAGGATTCAGTCTTCAAGTATTTATGAAGATATAAGGAAGAAACCTGATTCAGTTCCCTACTGAATTATGTTAAGTGAAAGAAATACTTAGCAAAAAGCAGCATAGGTATTTGCAGTAGAAATACCCACTTTATCCTACCACCCACTTCCCCTTCTAATGAAAACTGCCCATTTCCAATCATGGTTTCTAGGGAGTCAAGTTTATACCCCATAGTCCTTCATCTCTGCCTTTCTCCCCAATTGATAGAAACTGAGATGCCTGAGAGAGCAATCCTGTGTGAGTGGTTCTTAGAGCTGCTTTAGATGTAGTCCTTTAGTGTTATCAAGTTTCAGGTCTGGTCGACATATGTTCCTAAAATAAACTCCCATCTCGTTGAAGTAGATTGAATTAGTCCCCATTTGCCACCAAAAGAGCAAAACTAAAAATAGTGTTGATCAGTTATGTATGATAAAATTAAAACCCATGTTTGAAAAAAGAATTAGGGAGAAAGAAACCTATTTCCAGTTAGAGTTGAGGATGGCTCTAACTTATTTTTCATTTAGAAGTGACCATCTCTGGGGATGTTAAGGTTCTTAAAGCCCTGACTGCAGCTTCCAAATGTTGTCTATAGTTTCAGGTCTTGCCCTAGATCTCTGGGTGCTAAAGCTCCTGGTGCACCAGAGCCACTCTGGAAAGCCTGATGCAAATATTGATTCAAGGACCTCATCCGCAAGGATTATGCAGGAAGTCTGGGGTATACGTAGGCACCTCTAATTTTAACAAGCTCCATAGGTAATTCTGACACAGCCAGATTTTAAAGCCATGCCCAGTGACCTCAAGCAGTTTTGACTCAGGGTTGCACTCATATAGTTTGAAATGTATGGCCTTCTGCTAATATATCCCTCTGTTCTTAGTTCCTAAATTAAAAACAAAGATTTCTTTTTCTTTCTCTGTGTACTCTGCTGATAATAGCATGATAACATTTGAGTCTTTATATCTGGTCTCGCTGTTTTTGCTTCCTATGGAAATAAAAAATAAGTGACTTCTCATTCTTGGAAAATTTAAATTGATATTGCAGGGAAAGCTTGACATCAGTGAGTCCCATATGAACTTTCCCCTTCTGAAAAGATCAAGCGCCAGAGCTTCTTAAAAAATTATTAGTATTCTTTTTGGTTGACAAATTATAATTGTATACATTTATGAAGTACAATGTGATGTTTTGATATATGTATACAAAGTGGAATGAGTAAATCAAGCCAATTAACATATTAATCACCTTGTCACCTCACTTACCTATCTTTTTTTAGGGTGAAACATTTGAAACTGAATATCTTAGTGATTTTGAAATAAACCATACATTATTATTGACTACAATTACCCTATTGTGCAATAGATTTCAAAATCTATTCCTCTTGTCTATCTGAAACTTTTTACACTTTGATCAACAACTCTCCATTCCCTTTCTCTTCATAACCAAAACTCCCAGCCGCTGGTAAGTTGTGGTCCTTCTACTTGCTACTTCTATGATTTCAAATTATTTAGATTCCATGTATAAATGATACCAGTTGTCTTTCTGTGTCTGGCTTATTTCACTTAGCATTATGTACCTCAGATTAATTTGTATTGTTGAAAATGACAGAAATTCCCCCTTTTATGGTTGAGCAGTATTCCATTGTGTGTGTATACCACATTTTTTTATACATTCAGAAACTGATGGACATTTAGGTTGATTGCATATCTTAGTTATTGTGAATAATGCTGCAATGAATATGAAGGGCTAACCCTTTGACATGTTGATTTTAGTTTCTTTGGATATATATTCAGAAGTATAAGATTACTGGATCATATGGTAGTTACATTTTTAGTTTTTAAAAGCATCTTCTTATCATTTTCCATAAGGGCTGAACTAACTTACATTTGCACTAACAATGTACAGAAGCTCCCTTTTCTCGGAATCCTTGACAACACTTTTTTTCTAGCTTTTTGATGAAGGCCATTCTAACAGGTGTGAGGTAATACCTTATTGTAGTTTTTATTCGTGTTTAGCTAATGATTAGTGATGCTGAGCATTTTTTAAATATACCTATTGGCCATTGATGTGGTTTGGCTGTGTCCCCACCCAAATCTTATCTTGAATTCCCACTGTTGTGGGAGGGACCCAGTGGGAGGTAATTGAATCATAGGGGTAGGTCTTTCCTTTGCTGTTCTTGTGATAGTGAGTAAGTCTCATGAGAGCTGCTGGTTTTATAAGGGGGAATTACCCTGCCAAGCACTCTTTTTGCCTGCTGCTATCCATATAAGATGTGGCTTGCTTCTCTTTGCCTTTTGCCATGATTGTGAGGCCTCCCTAGCCACGTGGAATGGTGAGTCCATTAAACCTCTTTTTCTTCTCAATCTCAGGTATGTCTTTATCAGCAGCATAAAAACAAACTAAAATAGTAAATTGTTACCAGTAGAGTGAGGTGCTGCTGTAAAGATACCCAAAAATGTGAAAGTGACTTTGGAACTGGGTAAAAGGCAGAGGTTGGAATAGTTTGGAGGGCTCAGAAGAAGACAGGAAAATGTGGGACAGTTTGGAACTTCCTAGAGAATTGTTGAATGGCTTTGCCCAAAATGCTTATAGCGATATGGACAATAAAGTCTAGGCTGAGGTGGTCTCAGGTGGAGATGAGGAACTTATTGGGAACTGGAGCAAAGGTGACTCTTGTTATTTTTTAGCAAAGAGACTGGCAGCATTTTGCCCCTGCCCTAGAGATTTGTGGAATTTTGAACTTGAGAGAGATGATTTAGGGTATCTGGTGGAAGAAATTTCTAAGCAGCAAAGCATTCAATTGTTAAACGCATTCATTTTTATATGGGAAGCAGAGCACAAAAGTTCAGAAAATTTGCAGTCTGATAATGTGATTAAAAAGAAAATCCCATTTTCTGAGGAAAATTCAAGCCTGCTGCAGAAATTTGCATAAGTAACGAGGAGCTGAATGTTAATCCCTAAGACAATGGGAAAATGTCTCCAGTGCAGGTCAGAGATTTTCATGGCAGTCCCTCTCATCACAAGCCTGGAGGCCTAGAAGAGAAAAATGGTTTTATGGGCTGGGCCAAGGGTCCCCGTGCTATGTGCAGCCTAGCGACTTGGTGCCCTGTGTCCTACCCACTCCAGTCATGGCTGAAAGGGGCCAACCTAGAGCTCAGTCCATGGTTTCAAAGGGTGCAAACCCCAAGCCTTGGTAGCTTCCATATGGTATTGAGCCTGCAAGTGCACAGAAGTCAAGAACTGGGGTTTGGGAACCTCCGCCTAGATTTCACAGGGCATATGAAAATGCCTGATGTCCAGGAGGAAGTTTGCTGCATGACTGGGGCCCTCATGGAGAACCTCTGCTAGGGCAGTACAGAAGAAAAATGTGGGGTCAGAGCCCCAACACAGGGTCCCTATTAGAATACTGCCTAGTGGAGCTGTGAGAAGAGGGTTGTCATCCTCCAGACCCCAGAATGGTAGATCCACCGCCTCCGACAGCTTGCATCATGCACCTAGAAAAGCCAGGCTGTACCCTGCAAAGCCACAGTGGCAGAGCTTCCCAAGACCATGGGAACCCACCTCTTGCATGAGTGTGACCTGGATATGAGACATGGAGTCAAATGAGGTCATTTTGGATCTTTGAGATTTGACTGCCCTGCTGGATTTTGGACTTGTATGGCCTTGTAGCCCCTTTGTTTTGGCCAGTTTCTCCCATTCAGAATGGCTGTATTTACCCAATGCCTGTACCCCACCCCCCTGCCCACTGTATTTAGGAAGTAACTAACTTGCTTTTAATTTTACAAGCTTATAGGCGGAAGGGACTTGCCTTGTCTCAGATGAGACATTGGACTGTGGTCTTTTGAGTTAATGCTGAAATGAGTTAAGACTTTCAGGGACTGTTGGGAAGACATCATTGGTTTTGAAGTGTGAGGACATGAGATTTGGATGGGGCCAGGGGCAGAATGATATAGTTTGGTTATATCCCCACCCAAATCGCATGTTGAATTCCCACTGTTGTGGGAGGGACCTGGTAGGAGGTAATTGAATCGTGGGGGCAGGTCTTTTCTGTAATGTTCTCATGAAAGTGAATAAGTCTCATGAGATCTGACAGTTTTATAAGGAAAAGTTCCCCTGCACAAGTGCTCTCTTTGGCTGCAGTCATCCATGTAAGATGTGACTTGCTCCTCATTGCCTTCTGCCATGATTGTGAGGCCTCCCTAGCCATGCAGAACTGTAAGTCCATTAAACCTCTTTTTCTTCTCAGTCTTGGGTATGTCTTTATTAGCAGCATGAAAATGGACTAATACAGCCATTAAACACCAGAGTTTCTATGTCTGGTTTCTTTCCCTCTGACTACCCCAATTCACTCCACCTCCTCTTCCAGGAAGTACAGAAATTGCAAACAATAGAGATGTTCATTGGTCAAAGCTCTTACCTTAAAAAGTATTTGCTTTTTTGCCCTACTATTTTGGACATACTGAAATATACCTGATATGGTTTGGAGATTTGTTTAATCCAAATCTCATGTTGAAATGTGATCCCCATTGTTGAAGGAGGGGCCTAGTGGAAAGTGTTTTGGTCATGGGGGTGAATTCCCTTCTGAATGGCTTGGTGCCTTTACTGAGGTAATGAGTGGGTTCTTACTCTATTACTTCACACAGTGCTGGTGGTTGAAAAAAGCCTGGAACCTCCCCAACCCTTTCTTGCTCCCTTTCTTGCCATATGAGATGCCAGCTCTCCTTTTGCCTTCCATTATAATTGGAAGCTTCCTGAGGCCTCACGAGAAGTCAAGCAGATGCTGGTGCCATGCTTGAACAGCCTACAGAACCATGAGCCAAATAAACCTCTTTTCTTTTTAAACTGCCCAGCTTCTGGTATTACTTCATGGCAACTCAAAACCTCAAAATGCAATACCTAAACACAGAACACTTCTAAATCACAGGACTGTATAGTTTGAAATAATTACAAATTTCTGGTCTCCAGCCTTGTTTAGGTTCTAATTATTTATTTCTTCATTCTCAACAGCTATAATTAACCATAGTGTCATCTAGTATGGCTAATCTCCTGGTTTCCCCAAGACTGAGGGTGTTCCCAGAGCATGGACTTTCAGTGCTAAAGCCAAGTAAGTCCCTGGCAAGCTGGAATGAGGTAGTTACCCTAGACTCCTGGGACCTTCTCTTTGACTGAATTTTCCTTACTTCTGATAAGAGGTATAATTTCTTACTTATAGAGAAAATAGAGGCTATCAGGTAGAAAATTTCTCAATATCCTTTCCTACCCATTAAAAAATATCTGGCTAGGGACCTGCTTTTATTAGTTATCTCCACTTTTCATGTCTTATTCACATCTAACCACTCATCATATCTAATAATTCTTTTCCATCAGTGTAGTGTTAAAGAAAAATTTGCCAAGTTCAATCATGCACTTAGGAAACTGTCCCTACATGACTCTAAACTTGGTAGAACTTTTTTTCTATGTCCACATTTTTTTTTAACTTACAACCAAGCATGACCAAATCCAAGGGAGGGGGATTATTATGTTCTCTTTTTAATTTTTTTCTATGTGAAATAAGCTCCCCTTTCTATCCTTATATGTAGTGCTTTTATTTTCAGCCTATACACTTCTTGAGTGAGCCTGCTCTCCTTTGTCTAGCAGGCAGATAGACCCTGCTTTGTTTTGTGTTTCAAATATCTGGCAGCCTTTGTTGTTACTTTAACAATATAAACATGGACAAGTATTGCACATCTTAAACACAAAGCACACTGTTTCTACACTCAACCATCTCTTATCCTGTCTCTATCCTTCCTTACTAGTTATTTAGTTTGAGAAAGAAGTGTGCCTTTTCGCTTCACTTTCTCCATGAACTGCACTTTCATTGCCATTTCAATGCACTTCAACCAATCTGCTCTTATAAAATCAACAATGACCATCTTGCTGCTAAAAATTATAGAAAATGCTTACCTCCTATCTGTGACTTACAAATGAGTTTATATTTAAAATCATATAAAAGATTATAAAAAAATCATAGAAAAATACAAAGATTGGTTTTTTGAAAGAATAAATAAAACAGATACATTGCTAACAAGGGTAATAAGAAAAAAAGAGATAAGATCCAAATAAACAAAATCAGGAATGACAAAGTGGTTATTATCACTGACCCCACAGAAATACAAAACTGTCAGAGACTGGTATGAACACTTCTATGCATGCAATCAGAAAAGCCTGGAAGAAATGGATAAATTTCTGGAAACATAAAACCTCCCAAATTGAACCAGGAAGAAATTGAATTGCTGAACAAACCAATAATGGGTTCAAAAATTGAATAATTAATAAAAACTCCAGAAAAAGCCCAGGACCAGATGATTTATGGTTGAATTCTACCAGCTATATAAAGAAGAGGTGGTACCATTCCTACTGAAACTATTCAAAAAAATTGAGGAGGATAGACACTGTCATAACTCATTCTATGAGGCCAGCATCATTTAATACCATTTAATATCATTTAATATCTGGCAGAGACACAATTAAAAAGAAAACTTCAGGCCAATATCCTTGATGAAAATAAGTGCAAATATCCTCAGTGAAATACTAGCAAACTGAATCTAGCAGTACATCAAAACTCTAATCCACCATGATCAGGTAGGCCTTACCTTGGGATACAAGATTTATTTAACATACTCAAATCAATAAATGTTATCCATTACATGAACAGAACTAAAAACTAAAACCACATGATCATCTCAATAGATGTAGATAAGGCCTTTGATAAAATTCAACATCTCTTCATAATAAAAAATCTCAACAAACTAGACATTGAAGGAATATACTTCAAAATAATAACAGCTATCTACCAAAGACCACAGCCGACATCATACTAAATGGAAAAAAGCTGGAAGCAATCCCCTTGAAAACCAGAACAAGACAAGGATGTACTCTCACCACTCTATTCAACATAGTGCTGAAAGTCCTAGCCAGAGCAATCAGGCAAGAGAAAGAAATAAAAGGCATCCAAATAGGAAGAGAGGAAATCAAACAATCCCTGTTTTCACATGATATAATTCCACACCTAGAAAACCCCATAGTCTCTGCCCAAAGCTTCCTTGATCTGATAAACAACTTTAGCAAATTTTTGGGACACAAAATCATTGGACAAAAATCAGTAGAACTCTTATACACCAACAGCATCAAGTTGAGAACAAAATCAAAAACGTAATTCCATTTATGATAGCCACAAAACAAATAAAACATTGAAGAATACAGCCAACCAGGGAGGTAAAAGATCTCTACAATGAGAATAATAAAACACTACTAAAGAAAATCAGAGATGACACAAATAGAAAAACATTCCATACTCATGGATAGGAAGGACTAATATTATTGAAATGGCCATAATGCTGAAAAAAATTTATAGATTCAATGCTATTCTTATCAAACTACCAATGACATTCTTTACAGAATTAGAAAACACAATCTTAAAACTTACACGGAACAACAACAAAAAAGAGCCCAAATAGCCAAGGCAATCCTCAAAAGAACAAAACTGGAGGCATCACATTACTCAAGTGCAAATTAGACTGCAGAGCTTCAGTAACCAAAGCAGCGTGATACTGGTACAGAAACAGACACATGGACCAATGGAACAGCATAGAGAGCCCAGAAATAATGCCGCATGCCTACAATCACCTAATCTTTGGCAATGTTGACAAAAACAAGCAATGGGGGGAGGACTGCTTAGTCAATAAATGGTGTTGGGAAAACTGGCTAGCCATATATAGAAGATTGACACTGGACTACTTCCTTACACCATATACAAAAATCAATTTATGATGGATTAAAGAATTAAATGTAAAATATAAAGCTATACAAACCCTATAAGATAACCTAGGAAATACCATTATGAATATAGGCCCTGGCAAAGACTTCATGACAAAGATACCAAAAGCAACTGAAACAAAAACAGAAATTGACAAATGGGACCTAATTAAACTAAAGGGCTTCTGCGCAGCAAATGAAACTATCAGGCAACCTACAGAATGGGAGGAAATGTTTGAAAAGTATGCATTTAGCAAAAGTCTAATATCCAGAATCTGTAAGAAACTTAAATTACGAAGCAAAAAACAACCCCATTAAAATGAGCAAAGGACATGAACAGTTTTCAAAAGAAGATATGCATGCAGCCAACAAGCATATGAAAAAATACTCAGCATCACTAATCATTAGATAAATGTAAATCAAAATCAAAGTGTGAGATACCGTCTGACACTAGTCAGAATAGCTATTACTAAATAGTCAAAAAATAATTTATGCTGGTGAGGTTGCGGAGAAAAGGGAACACTTATACACTACTGGTGGGAATGTAAATTAGTTCAGCCATTGTGGAAAGCAGTGTGGCAATTTCTCAACATACTTAAAACAGAATTACCATTCAAGCCAGCAATCCCATTGTTAGCTATTACTGTATACCCAAAGGAATATAAATCATTCTACCATAGAGACACATGCATGTCTATATTCATCACAACACTATTCACAATAGCAAACACATGGAATGAAGTTAAATGCACATGAACAGGAGACTCAGTAAAGAAAATGTGGCACACAGATACACCATGGAATACTACTCAGCCATAAAAAATGAGATCATGTCTTTTGAAGCAACATGGAAGAGGCTAGAGGCCATTATCCTAGGCAAACTAACACAGAAACAAAATCAAATGTCACAGGTTCTCACTTATAAGTGGGAGTTAAACGCTGAGTACACATGGACACAAAGAAGGGAACAATAGTCACCAGGGCCTACTTGAGAGTGGAAGGTGAGAGGAGGTTGTTGATGGAAAAACTACCTATTGGGTACTATGATTATTAGCTGGGTGAGGAAATAATATGCACACCAAACTCCCATGACTTGCAATTTATCTACAGAACAAACATGTATATGTTTCCCTCAACGTAAAATAAAAGTTTTAAAAGTTTTTTTAAAAAAAACTAGATGACCAGAACTTACAAAGAATAATAAAATATCATCCATAATTCTTACATGCAGAACTAAATAGTTCTCTGAGGTTTTTGTCACTATCTACAATTCTACAAATCAGTTACAACTCCTTTCTTAAAATGATTCTGGTTGTATTTATAGTCCTGTGGAAGTTCCCTCTCAGTCTTTTTGTTAAACCCTCATCTGGTACCCAAAATGTACTCAAATATTGATGTTTCCAGCTTTACAACCTCATATCACTGTTGCATTTACACTATAGATTCTCCCTGGCTGAGTAACTTTTTCTAGCATCATGGCTGTATCTACAACCTAATTCTGAAATCTGCCAAATCTTTCTCTACATACTAAGTTCCATGTGACTTTTCTTCAAGTGCCGCAATCTCAACACTCCCTCAAACTGATTTTATTGTATTCCAATTCCCCCATCAGAAACATCTTATACTGATGACACAACCATCAACCCAGTTAATTGGTTATTATCTTTGATTTCTCTGGCTAACCGTTCATGTGCAGCCAGTTATTAACTCTATTAAGTCTCTTTTAAATTTTTTAGCTCTTTCACTCTGCCTGGGAGTGGGCTCTTACTTAAAAACTGTATTTGTATGGTAGTCTTCTAAATGGAGTCTTTACCTCTATGCTTGGCCCTCTTCAATCAATTTTTTACACTGCTGCTAAAGTGATTTTTTGAAAACATAAATCTGAACATTGTGGTTAAGATCATGGGCTCTTGAATTAGACAGATCTAGATTTATACTAGTAATAATAGTTACTCACAATAACCTTGGACAAGTTGTTTAACCTCTTTAAGCCTCAATTTTGTCACTGGTAAATTGGGATAATAGTACCTATATCAGAGTGTTATCTTGAGAATCAAATAAGTAATTGATATGGTTTGGCTGTGTCCCCACCTAAATCTCATCTTGAATTGTGACTCCCACAATTCCCACATGTCAGGGGAGGAACATGGTGGGAAGTGATTGAATTATGGGGGCAGGTCTTCCCTGTGCTGTTCTTGTGATAGTGAATGAATCTCACGAGATCTGATGGTTTTAAAATGGGAGTTTCCCTGCACAAGCTCTCTCTTTGCCTGCCACCATCTATGTAAGATGTGACTTGCTCCTCCTTTCCTTCTGCCATGATTGTGAGGACTCCCTAGCCATGTGGAACTGTAAGTCCATTAAACCTCTTTCTTTTGTAAATTACCCAGTCTCGAGTATGTCTTTATCAGCAGCATGAAAATGAACTAATATAGTAATCTATTTAGCACAGTGCACTGCAAATAAATAGTACTCAATATATGGTTGCTTCCATTACCATGATTATTATTCTTATTGTCTTTGTTGATACTTACTATAGCTCTGTGTGGCTGAATTTCTTCAATGTTTTCTCATTGAGTTTATGATAAAATCTTAACCCTTGGGTGATATAGAAGGCTTTTTCTAATTATGTCTTGTTTGGCTTCTCTAACCTCATTTCCTGTAGTTTCCTTTCTCACTCTATCCTTCAGTCATAGTAAATTATTTACATTTTTTTCCCGCAGCACTCATTTATATTTCTTTCTCTTCTTTTTGTATTTCTTCAATATTTCTTGCATTAACTGTTGTTTTCCTGGCTAAATCCAATGCATTCTTGAATGTAAGGTTCTATTTTAATCTTTCCTAAAGAACTCCTCCTTCCACCATTTTTATCATAGTCTGTATCAAGTATCCTATTTACTCTGTTAATTTCTTGTGCACATATGAGTCTATCATACCATGCTATTCAACATATATGATTATCTTCCCCAATAGGCTGTGAATGTCTTGAAGCTACCCACAGGGTCCTATTAATCTTTGTGTTACCAATTTCCATCCAAAAATGGGCAAATAGTAGTTAGTATTCAAACATTGAATGGTATGCAGGTTTTAGATGTTCATAATGATGTTATTCCAACATGGTGCTGCATCACATTATTAATGATTATTTTAAAAAGAAATTGATTATTCAATACCTAAATGAGTTCCATAAGTAGAAAATTGTATAGTAGTTGAAAACTTGGTTTAAAAATTTCAAGGAAAGGGTGATATTTGAACTTTATGGTACAAGATTTGACTAAGTGAAAGAAACAGAAGCAGATATTTAGGAAAAAGGAACTATAAAAAAAGGACAGAAGGAACTAGTATATAGCAAATGTTCTCTGTGTGCTAAGCACCAAGTTGGCCCTGAGATAATGGTTTTTGTTAGTTACTTTTTCACTTAACTCTCACTTACTTTTTGAGATGGATAGCTGATAACGCTAATGGTCAAAAGATTTAAGTAAATCGATCATGTTCACACTGTGTTAGCTAGTGAAGATGGGATTCAAATACAATTCTGCCTGACTTTGAAGGATTGCTTTCTCCACAATGGGCTTATGCACCACATATAGAATGACCATGTGAAATCGGAACAATGAGAGTAAGTAATCCTGAATTTAGATTATGATAGAAATTCAAAGTCAGCCCAAGGAAGCATTTGGTATTCCCTATTAAGTAACTGTAACATTCTTTCAGCTCTCTATACAGTGGAATTGTAGAGGCTGTATCAAAATCAAGAACTGGCAAAAATGTACAGGAGGTCTGCTAATACTATCCTTTTCTGCACCCATGGTAGGCAATGCTATTAGATCATATGCTATTTCTTACTGGGCCTGGGTATAGCCTCAAAACTCTTATTAACGAATAGATATTCATTAGAAGATTTTAACTGATTTAGAACAATTTATTCTTCCTAGGATCACTTTAATTTTCTTATAGGGAATTACCACACCACCATTTTAAGCAAGCTGAATAAAATTGCAAATCAAATTAAACCATTATTTTTATGGAGGATGAAGGGTTTTCTAGAGGCTATAACAGGTTACTTCTGCCAGATCTTACTGCCTCAGTAGGACCAAAAATTGAGCATGTGACTTAAGCTTGACCAGACAAAAGCCTTCTGTTCAAAGAGTTAAAATCTCAAGCAAAGTTATTCAGGATTAAAGTAAGAAAAACAAAGAAACAACCCCACCCTGCTGTCCCCCCAAAGAAAAACCCCAAAACAACTACATTCCTTTCAGAGCAAAAACCCTAATGATTAGAGGCAGTAGAGGGTGACCTGCTACTTTTCTGGTTTCTTTTTTTATTTCTAAGCATCTTTTCTACCCTTCCTATTTATTCTTTGAGCTTTCTAATAATATTTTTCCAGTAAGGTTTTTTTTTATGCATAAGTTAGTCAGTCAATTTCTGTGGCTTGCAACCAAAAAAATCATAATCAATAGCATTCTTATTCAGTCAGAGTTGGCAGATGATTTAAAAATCAACAAGCCCATGATTTAATACCAATGGCATGTGGTGTAAATCTAATAGGATTTAAATATGGAAAATATGCTTGGTGTTTTTTATAATAGTCACATTGGCTAAGCTGAAACCATAGTTTCCAGAATTCTCTTGCCCATATGGTTCCAAGTTAGAGTTGGCCAAAAGAGAAAATTTTGTGAGATTTGGAAGGTAGAAGTGAATTCGAAGCCATTATGAGCTAAAGATCTTTGTGGTTACTAATAGTGAGAGACAGTTGCAGATGTGTCCTCATTCTTTTGTTCATATCTAGATCTTTTTCACAAATGTTGTCTCTGAACCAGAGACTCCAGACATAAAAATAAATGTAGAATCAGGAGCCTCCCATCTTATTTTCCACTACCTTTTCTTTATACTCCTATTCTGGCAGTTGGATATACCTGGTTTTCTGCATTCCTTGATAAACTCCAATTTGCCCACACATTCCAGTGCTTCAGAAAGACACTTCTCTCTAATCCTCTAACTTCTATTTTTGGTCTGTTATTCCAACTTCTCCATCAATGCATAAAGTTTTATTCCTATAATAAATCTTTTATTTCATAATACCCATGAAGATTATGTTTTCATGATTGAATCCTGACTGCTATAATTATTGGCATCCGAATTGTTTCCAGGAGATGAGAATAGTAAAGATAGTAATCTATAATTGGTTCTCTGGTTTTATCATATTTAAAGACATTCAAATGGAGGAATGGAGCAAGATAGCAGAATAGAAGGCTCCAGTGATCATCCCCCCCTGCCCTCCTAAGGCACTAATTTAACAACTACACAAAAGAAGCACCTTCATAAACACCAAAAATCAGGTGAGCATTCATGGTATCTGTTTTTAACTTCATATCACCGAAAGAGGCACTGAAGAAATAAGAAAAACAGTCTTGAATCCCCAACGCCACCCCTCCGCCATCCCCCAGCTGTGGCAGCATGCTGCAGAAAGCATTCCTGTTCTCTTGGGAGAGAGCATTTACACCAGCCCCACCTAGAGGGGAATCGTTAATCCTTCTGGTGGGAACTTGAGTTCCCTCAAGCCTCGCCACCACTGACTAAAGTTTCCTGAGACACAGAATAACTCCAATTTGCCCACACACTCCAGTGCTTCAGAAAGATCTTCTGAAAATGCCTTTCACTTTCAATTTTAAAGGCAGTTTAGTCCACAAGGATTGCATCTCCTGGGTGTTTCCTAGTGTGAAACTGGGCCCAGAGCCAGAGCACTGTGGGGCATGTGATCTACTGGGACACCAGTTGGGGAAGCTAAAAGAGTGCTGTCATCACTTCTCCCCTAACCCCAGGCTGCACAGCTCAAGGCTCTGAAAAAGACCCCTTTCTTCTGCTTGAGGAGAGGATGAGGAAGAGTGGGGAGGACTTCTTGCATCTTGAATAGCAGCTCAGACACAGCAGGATAGGGCCCTTGTCAGAGTCATGAGACCCCTTTTCCAGGCCCTAGCTCCTGGACAACATTTCTAGACATACCCTGGGCCAGAAGGGAACCCTCTGCCTTGATAGAAAGGATGCAGTCCTGGCAGGATTCATCACATGCTGACTGAAGAGCCCTTGGGCCCTGAATAATCAACCAGCAGTGATACCCAGGCACTACGTTGAAGGCTTTGAGTGACACTCTCAGACTTGCTGGCTTCAGGTGAGAATCAGCATATTCCTAGCTGTGGTGGCTATGGGGCAAACTCCTTCTATTTGAGAAAAGCAGAGGAAAAAGTAAAGGGGATTTTGACTTGCACCTTAGGTACGAGCTCAACCACAGAGGTGGAGAGCTCCAAGAAGGCTCTTGGGGTAATTGATTCTGGAATTGGCTCTTGAGTGGCATTTCTGGACCTGCCCTGAGCCAGAGGGGAGTACACTGCCCTGAAGGGTGAGTCCCAGGCCTGGCAGCATTCACCATAAGCTAACTTAGGAGCCCTTGGGCCTTAAGGGAACATCAGTGGTAGTCTGGCAGTAATTCCCAGGGACCTGTGGTGGTGGTGGCCATGGTGTGAGGTTCCACTGCCTTTGAAAGAGGAGGGAGTATGAGAAGGACTTCATCTTGTGGTTTGAGTGCCAGATGAGCCTCAACACAATAGAACACCAGGTGAACTTCTAAGGTTTTTGACTCTACTCCTGGGCTCCTGGACAACATCTCTGGACCCACTTGGAGCTTGGGGTGACTTGCTACTTTGAAAGAGACACAGGCCTTGCTGGCTTTGCCACCTGCTGATTGTGGAACGCCTGGATCCTCAGCAAACAGAGGGAGTAGTGAGGGAGTGATTATAGCAGGCCTGGGGCAAGACCCATTGTTATGCTGGCATTAGGTCTGACTCAGTGCATTCCCAGTGGTGGTGGCCACAGAGTGGCTTGTGTCTCTCTACCCCCAGGTCTGGGTGGCTGATAACAGAGAGAGAGACTCCATTTGTTTGAGGAGAAAGGGAGGGAAGAGAACAAAAGTCTCTTCCTGGTAATCCAGAGAATTCTCCCAGGCATAGTCTGAGACCATCAAGGTGGTACCTCTACAACTCTGCAAGAACCACAGTGTTGCTGGGCTTGGAGTACCCCGTAAAGCAGATACAGCTTAGATCATAACACCCAAGTTCTTTCAAATATCTGGAAAACCTTCCCAAGAAGTATAGTTACAAGCAAGCCCAGAATGCAAAGACTGCAGTAAATACCTATTTCTTCAATGCCCAAACACAGCTGAACATCTACAAGTTTCAAGACGATCCAGGAAAGCATGACCTCACCAAATCAACTGAATAAGCCAGCAAGGACCAATCCTAGAGAAACAGAGATATATGACCTCTCAGACAGATAATTCAAAATAGCTGTTTTGAGGAAACTCAAAGAAATTCAGGACAACACAGAGAAGAAATTCATAATTCTATCAGATAAATTTAACAGGCTGGTTGTGGTGGCTCATGCCTGTAATCCCAGAACTTTGGGAGGCTGAGGCGGGTATATCTTCTGAGGTCAGAAGTTTGAGACTAGCCTAGCCAACATGGTGAAGCTCTGTCTCTACTAAAAAAACAAAAATTATCTGGGTATGGTGATGCGTGTCTGTAATCTCAGCTACTCAGGAGGCTGAGGCAGAGGAATCGCTTGAACCCAGGAAGCAGAGGTTGCAGTGAGCTGAGATTGCTCCACTGCACTCCAGCCTGGGCAACAGAGTGAGACTCCATCTCAAAAAAAAAAAAAAAAAGTTAACAAAGAAATTGAAACAATTAAAAAGAATCAAGCAGAAAGTCTGGAGCTGAAAAATGAAATTGGCATACTAAATAATGCATCAGAGTCTTTTAATAGCAGAATGGATCAAGCAGAAGAATTAGTGAGCTTGAAAACAGGACATTTGAAAATACACAG
Source organism: Homo sapiens (assembly GCF_000001405.40). Lineage (NCBI taxonomy): Eukaryota > Metazoa > Chordata > Mammalia > Primates > Hominidae > Homo > Homo sapiens. The sequence goes on along the minus strand of NC_000008.11, from coordinate 89,340,935 downwards.
AGGAGACAAAAGAAAAAATAAGAAAATATGAGGCATGCTTACAGGATCTAGAAACTAGCCTCAAAAGAGCAAATCTAAGAGTTATTGGCTTTAAAGAGGAGGTAGAAGAAGAGACAATGGTAGAGAATTTATTCAAAGGGATAATAACAGAGAACTTTCCAAACCTAGACAAAATATTAATATCCAAGTACAAGCAGGTTATAGAAAGCCAAGCAGAATTATCCCAAAGAAGACAAGGCATTTATTAAAGCATTTAATCAAAGATCAAGAATAAAGGAAGAATCCTAAAAGCGTCAAGAGAAAACAAACAAATAACACACTGGAGAACCAATACATCTGGCAGAAGACTTTTAGTGGAAACCTTACAGGCCAGGAGAGAATGGCAAAACATGTATAAAGTGCCAAGACCAAAAAAGGCAAAACAAAAAACAAACTTTTACCTTAGAATGTTACATCTGGTGAAACTATCCTTCAAACATGAAGGGGAAATAAAGACTTTCCCAGACCAACAAAAGTTGAGGAATTTCATCAACACCAGACCGGTCCTACAAGAAATGCTAAAGGGAGAACTTCAATCAGAAAGAAAAGGACATTAATGAGCAATGAGAAATCATCTGAAGGTAAAAAACTCATGGGTAATAGTAAGTGTACAGAAAAATACAGAATATTATAACACTATAACTATGGTATGTTAAGTATTCTTACCTTATGTAGAAAGATTAAATGATGAAACAAGCAAAAATAATAACTACAATGACTTTTCATGACATTGTACGATAAGATATAAATAGAAACAACAAAAAGTTAAAATGGGGGGGGAATGAACTTAAGGTGCAAGTTTTATATTAGTTTTCATTTTGCTTGTTTGTTTGCTTGTTTATTTATACAAACAGTGGTAAGTTGTTATAAGCTTAAAACAACGGGCTACAAGATAGTATTTGCAAACCTCATGGTAACCTCAGACCAAAAAACATGCAATAGATACATAAAAAATAAAAACAAAGAAACTAATTTATATCAACAGATAACTTTCATAAAAAGGAATACAGGAAAGAAAGAAAGAAGGAAGAGAAGACCACAAAATAACCAGAAAACAAATAACAAAATGGCAGGAGCAAGTCCTTACTTATCAATAATAACATTGAAAGTAAATGGACTAAACTTTTCAATCAAAAGACACAGAGTGGCTGAATAAATCAAAAAGCAAGACCCATTGATCTGTTGCCTACAAGAAACATACTTCACCTATAAAAACACACACAGACTGAAAATAAAGAAATGGAAAAAGATATTTCACACCAATAGAAAGCAGAAAGAAGCATGAGTAGTCATACATACATAAGACAAAATAGATTTCAAGTCAAAAACCATAAAAAGAGACAAGTAAGTTCACTATATGAAGATAAAATGTTTAATTCAGCAAGAAGGTATAACAATTTTAAGAGTATATACATCCGACATTGAAGCACCCATATATTTAAGGCAAATGTTATTAGAGCTGAAAAAGAGGTCTGAGACCATAATACCTGGAGACTTCAATATCCTACTTTTAGCATTGGACAGATTTTAGAGATAGAAAATCAATAAAGAAACATTGGACTTAATCTGCACTATAGACCAAATGGATCTAATAGACATTTACAGAACATTTTATCCAATGGCTGCAGAATACACATTCTTTTCCCAGCAGATGAATTATTCTCAAGAGTAGACCATATGTTAGGTCACAAAACAAGTCCCAAAACATTCAAAATAATTGAAAAAATATCAAACATCTTCTCTGACCACAATGGAATAAAACTAGGTATCAATAACAAGAGGAACTTTGGAAACTATACAAACACATGGAAATTACACAAGTTTAATGTCTTTTAAAGTAAATACATATAATGCAGAATTTATGTGAATAAAAGACAAACTAGTAGAGAAGCAATCAATATTGTATCTGGTTACTATTTTTTAGCCAGAAGATCAGCTGCCATGTTACTTTACTCACACCAACCCTAGAGTGAATGAGATTGTCCTTAAGAACTTTCACTTAATAATCATGTTAAGGAAATGACAAGAGAATCCCAGTAAGGGTAAAATATCAGTGCCAGTGGGCCAATGAAGAAATTATGAAGAAAATTTAAAAAATTTATTGAAATAAATGATAATGGAAATGTAACACACCTAATCCTATGTGATACAGCAAAAGCAGTACTAAGAGGGAAGTTTATAGTGCCTACATCAAAAAAAGAGGAAAAACTTCAAATAAACAATCTAATAATGCATCTTAGAGAACTAGAAAAGCAAGAGGAGCCAAATACAAAACTAGCAGAAAAAAGGAAATAATAAAGATCAGAGCAAAAATAAATGAAATTGAAAGGAAGAAAACAATACAAAAGATCAATGAAACAAAAAGGTGCTTTTTGAAAACTTAAACAAAATTGGCAAACCTTTAGCCAGACTAATAAAAAGACAGAAGATCCAAATAAGTAAAATTAGAAATGAAAAAGGAGGCATTACAACTGATACTGCAGAAACTTGAAGGTTCATTTAGTAGCTACTGTGAGCAACCGTATGCCAATAAATTGGAAAATCTAGAATAAATGGACAAATTCCTAGACACATAAAACCCACACAGATTAAACCAAGAAGAAATCCAAAACCTGAACAGACCAGTAACAAGTAACAAGTTGGATAATGTAATAATAAGTCTTTCCGGTGGAGAAAAGCCCAGGACCTGATGGCTTTACTGCTGAATTCTACCCAACATTTAAAGAATAACTAATACCAATCCAACTTAAACTATTTTGAAAAATAGAGGAGGGAATTCTTCCAAACTCATTCTACGAGGCCAGTATTACCCTAATAGAAAACCAGACAAAGATGCATAAACAAACAAACAAACAAACCCCAAAAGCTGCAGGCCAGTATCTCTGATGAGTATCAATCTAAAAATCCCTAGTAAAATACTAGCAAACCAAATTCAATAATACATTTAAAAGATCATTCATCATAATCAAGTGGGATTTATCCCTGGGATGCAAGGACGGTTCAACATACACAAATCAGCATGATACATCATACCAATAAAACTGATGAAAACCGTGTGATTATTTCAATTGATGCTGAAAAATCATTTGATAAAATTTACTACAAAAACCCTAAAAATGAGAATAGAAGGAACATACCTCAACATAATAAAAGCCGTATATTACAAACCTACAGCTAGCATCATACTCAACAGGGAAAAATTGAAAGGCTTTCCTCTAAGATATGAAACATGACAAGGGATGCCTACTTTTACTGCTGTTTTTCAACACAGTACTGTAAGTCCTTGCTAGAGCAATCAGACAAGAGAAAGAAATAAAGGACATCCAATTTGGAAAGAAAGAAGTCAAATTAATCTTATTTGCACATGATATGATCATATATTTGGGAAAACCTAAAGATTCCACAATAAAAAACTGTTAGAACTGACACAGCTAGTAAAGTTGCAGGATACAAAAATTAACAAACAAAAATCAGTAGCATGTCTGTATGCTGACAGTGAGCAATCTGAAATAGAAATCAAAAATGTAATTCCATTTATAATAGCCACAAATAAAATTAAATACCTAGGAATTAACCAAAGAAGTGAAAGATGTCTATAATTAATACTATAAAACATTGATGAAAGACATTGAAGAGGACACCAAAATATGGACAGATGTTCCATGTTCCTGGATTGGAAGAATCAATATTGTTAAGATGTTCATACTACCCAAGGCAATCTACAGATTCAATCCAATTCCTATCAAAATACCAAAGGCATTCTTCACATAAATAGAAAAAAGAATCCTAAAATTTATATAGAACCACCAAAGACCCAGAATAGCTAAAGCTATCCTAAGCAAAAAGAACAAAACTCAAGGAATGCAATTACCTGACTTCAAATTATCCTACAGAGCTATAGTAATCTAAACAGCGTGGTACTGGCATAAAACCATGTAGACCAATGGAACAGAATAGAGAACCTGGAAACAAATCCACACACCTATGGCGAACTCATTTTTGACAAAGCTGCCAAGAACATACACTGAGGAAAAGAAAGTCTTTTTAATAAATGGTACTGGGAAAACTAAATATGCATAGGCAAAATAATGAAACCAGACACCCCCTCTCTCTCCATATACGATAATCAAACCAGAGTGATTAGAGACTTAAATCTAAGACCTCAAACTGTGAAACTACTACAAAAAAGCATTGGGGAAACCCTCCAAGACGTTAGCTTAGGCAAAGAATTTCCTGAGTAATACCTCACAAGAACAGAAATCCAAAACTAATATGGAAAAATGATGTCACATCAAGTTAAAAAGTTTCTGCACAGCAAAGGAAACAATCAACAAAGTGAAAAGACAACCCACAAAATGAGAGAAAATATTTGCAAATTGCCCATCTGATAAAATATTAAAAACCAGAAGATATAAGGAGATCAAACAGCTCTATAGGATAAAATCTAATAATCTGATTTAAAAATCAGCAAAGATTGAAATAGACATTTTTCAAAAGAAGACATACAAATGGCAAACAGGCATATGAAAATGTGCTCAACATCAATGATTATCAGAGAAATACAAATCAAAACTACAATGAGGTATCATCTCACCCCAGTTAAACTGGCTTTTTTTCAAAAGTCAGGCAATAACAAATGCTGACAGGGATGTGGAGAAAAGGGAATGCCTTCATACTCTGTTGGTGAGAATGTAAATTAGTACAACCACTATGGAGAACAGTTTGGAGGTTCCTCAAATAACTGAAAATAGAGCCACCATACAAGCTAGCAATCCCACTGCTGGGTATATACCCAAAAGAAAGGAAATCAGTATATCAAAGAGATACCTGCTCTTTAATGTTTGTTGCAGCACTGTTCACAATAGCCAAGATTTGGAAGCAACCTGTATCCATTGTATGTAAGTACTACATTTTCTTTATCCATTAATCTGAATAAAGAAAATGTGGTACTTATACACAATGGAGTTCTATTCAGCCATAAAAAAAGAATGTTATCAAGTTATTTGCATCAACATGGAAGCAACTGGAGATCATTCTGTTAAGTGAAATAAGCCAGGCACAGAAAGGCAAACATCACATGTTCTCGCTTATTTGTGGGATCTAAAAATCAAAACAATTGAATTTTTGGAGGTAGAGTAGAAGGGTGGTTACCAGAGGCTGGGAAGGGAAGTGGGGGACTGGGTCAGGGGAGGGAGGTGGGGATTGTTAATGGGTATAAATAAATATAATTTGAAAGAATAAATAAGACCTAGAATTTGATATTGCAACAGAGTAACTATAGTCAATAATAATTTAATTGTACATTTAAAATAGCTGAAGGAGTATAGTTGGATTCTTTGTAAGACAAAGGATAAATGCTTGAGGGGTAAGATACTCCAGTTTTCATGATGTGATTAATAATAATCTCCAAACTGCTCTCCATAGCAACATTGTATGCCTGTATCAAAACATCTCATGTACACCGCAAGTATATACACCTACTATGTACCCGTAAAAATTAATTAAGACAACATAAAAAATAGACATTGATGTATTTGCTTCCAATACATGACATCATAAGCCATGGTATGTAGTGGCAAAAAATGTTTCTTAAATTGTTATTTGTAGTTTCATCTGTAATCAAATGCCTATAGAAGGCAAGATTTTGAATCACCAAGTAGTTGCTGCTGTAGAACACTTTAATAAAAATGAATATAATGATGTTGGTTGGGTTGCATTGGAAAATGTACAGAAAGAAAATGAGTTCAGAGTTTTTAATTCCAAGATCAAGGTCTACGTAACGGATTAGAAAAGTTCTATTACTGCTGTAAGAGAAACAGCATTTCCTAGAAAATTTCTTAAAACCAAACCCAAAGTCTAATATGGGCAGTGACTGAATTATAATTCAACACAATCTTTCAGGGTTTCTTATATTAGAAATAAGGCATTGACTGAGAAGGAGTAGGGCCATGAAAATTGGGATGGAGACATAGGGCTGATTCTGATGATGTGGTGGTACCTGAACTTTTACATTTTATGGAGGCTCATTTGCCAGTAGAAGCAGTCTTTCCTCCTAAATTTGAGGAACACACCCTCCCCTTTTCTCAAGAACTTAATTGTCCTGGCCTGAGACCTTGATGTGATGAGGAATGCTGATGTCCTCTAGATATATCCTACTACCTCTCTTTGTTTCTAGATATATTAGGTTGGTGCAAATGTATTAATTTTACATCAACCTGATATAAGACTCAATTTTTTATGCTTTTTTATCAGATAACACTTATGACCAGAATAGAGGTACAGCACACATAAAAATAATTATATAACTTATATTTATTTTAACTAAAACCTGGGAAATATGTATGGAAATGAATTAAAAGGATGTTGGTCAGAATGGGTGGATACAATTTGGGTCAGGTTGAAGGTATTGAAATTGATTCACTTAAGCAAAAATTCCATATTCAATGTGCTCTAAGTGGCTGGTAAATCGTTCTTACTTTTGGCTTTGTTAGTTGACTGAAGTTGAGCTACAAGAACTCCCTTGGTGTACTATAGAAGACAGTATCAAAAGGCTTAGGGATATGTGAATGTGGGGATAGAGTTAGGTTGTAAGAACTGCTTATATACATTGGTGAAGGGAATATCGTCAGCCTTGATAAGCTCTGTAGTAGGCCAGGAATGATAATAAGTTGGCTTGCCATTAAAATAGAATCCCTGAAATAAATAGGGATGATGGAATCCCGAGGTGACTGGGGCCAAGTGGCAGCACTGAACTGCCAGAGACAACAAGCATAGAATTTGTGTAATGGGTAGCAGATTTGAAGCAGTAATAAGAATGATTTCACCTACAGAGAGTGTTGTCATTAGCTACTTGATCATGGTGGCTCAAGGACTAAAATTCATGGGGAGCTTGCTATAAAGTCTTACTCGATGTGTAGAAATGGAAAAGAGAGTCTGGTGAACAGAAGTTTAACTTAGATCATCAGATAATTTGTTTCCATTTGTGAGCCACTTCACACTTTCAGGCACTTTGGATTAAGGGGAACCAGGTTCCTTTAGGGAAGGACTCTGTGCTGCCAAAAACTCATCCAGTATATTTTTCTCTAGCTTTCTCCAAAAGGATTTGTGGCCATTCACAAGGGTGCACTGAAAAAAGGGGAAGGTACCATACTATTAAGGAATTATATGACACTGGTTCTGAGCTGCCAGGAATTCCTAGAGACACAAGATACCACTCTGATCCACCAATCAAATGAGGGACTTTGGAGGTCAGGATATTAATGATATTTTAGGTTGAGGTTCTCTCCCTGGGAGACCACTGGGTTCCCAAACCCACCCTGGGCTTATTTCCCAGTTCTGGAATGTTTAACTGGAATAGGCACACTAAACAATTGGCACAATACCCATGTTGATTTCTTGACCCATGGATTGAGGGTTTTTATTGGTAAGAAAGGCCAAGGGAAAAGCATCTAGAGGAAACTCTACCTATAAATACAGTGAGCCAAAGACATCTCCTTCCTTGAAGAGTTTCAAGATTAATGCCACATCAAAAACTTGAGAATGTAGAAATGATGATTTCTAGTATATTCTCATTCAACTCTCCTATTTAGCCTGTGCAGAAGAAGACAGATGTTGGAGAATGTCTTAATCGTGTGGTAAATTTAGTTGCGGCAGCTGTATCAGATCTGGTTTCATCACTGGAGCAGATAAAAAAATTCCCTGTCATACAGTTACTGATTTGGTGAATGGTTTTTTGTTTGTCTGTTTGTTTGTTTCCTTGCCTATTGCTAGAGACCACCAAACATAGCTTTCATTTGGCATGGCCAGCAAGACATTTTCTCTATTCTACTTCTGGGATGTAGCAACTTTCCTGCTCTCTGTCATAATCTAGTCAAGCGTCCTTGATTATCTCTTCATTTCACGGAACATTCAATTGTTCCACTATGTAGATGATGTATCATGACTGTACCTGGTGAGAAGAAAGTAGTAACTACCCTAGACATCTTGATAGTACACATGTATACCAGAAGGGAGTAAATAAATTCCAAAATATTAAAACACCTGTACCTCAGGACAATTGTTTAAGGTTACGATAATCTGGGGCGTGTCAAGATATGTCCTTCCAATGTCAAAGATAAGATTTTGTATCTGGCTCCTCCTACCATATAGAAAGGGACTCAGTGTTCCATAGGACCTTTCAGATTATAAAGATAACACATATCTTATTTATTGAGTACCTCGAAAGGCTGCAATTTTGAGTGGGGCCCAGATGAAGAAGATTCAGGACTGAGCCACGTCACACAGCAGGTCTAATGATACTTGAAATGTCTGTGACAAACAGATGATTTATGGAATCTTTGTCAGGACCTTATGGGTAAACTACAGTGAAAACATTTAGGATTTTGAAGGATACCGTGACATCTCCTTCAGTTAACAAGTCTCTTTTTGAGATACTTCTGGCTTGCTATTGGATCCCACAAGAGCCTGAACTATCATTATGGGTGATCAAATTATCATTTAATCTGACTTGCCCATCATAAATTGGGTTTTGTCTGACCCATTAAGCCCTACATTTGGGCACATAGAGCTTCATTTCACCACTAAATGGAAGTGGTATATACAAGATTGGGCTTGAGCACATCTTGAAGGCACAAACAAGTTGGATTTGCAATGACATAGATTCTCAGGGTGTCTACTCCTCTTATATATTCTCTTATCTTTCAACCCACTCTTATTGGCCAACCTACTGAGGGAAAATATTTTTTGGATTTTCAGATGTTTCTGCCTGGTATACTCACACTATCTGAAATGATAAATGATGTGGTTTATAGGGAACATGATTTGGTGTCAAGGAGATCTGCAGAAGTGGTATATGGAAAAACATCTCCAAGTGTACAGTGTGAAGATATCCTTGTCTTATGTAAGTACTCAGCAAAAAAGCATTCTTAACAGAGGGAATCTTAGTAATTGGATGGTCAAGATAATTTGTTTTGTGGATGTCAGTCACCAGTCACCTTTTTTGTGCCCAATAGGCACATAAATGAAATGTTCATTTGTTCAGCAAAATGGGCTTTTACTTACTGCGGACAATCTGGTTAGAGCTATTTCTGAGTGCCCCACATGCCAATAGTGGAGGCCAACATTTGGTTTTAGTACGGCATTATTCTCCAGGGGTACCAGCCAGTGACCTATTGGCCGATTGATTATATTGAGTAACTTCTATAATGGAAGAGACAGTGCTTTTTTTTTTTCTGGAATAGATATTCTGGCTATGATTTTGTTTCCTCATCCCAAAATGCTTCTTCTAAAACCACCATCCTTGAACTTTCAGATGCCTTATTCACTGTCATAGTTCACACAACATTGTCTTTGACATGGAAATTAAGTTTACGGCAAATAAAATGTGGCATTGGCTCATGCTAATAAAATTTATTGATGTTATCATGTCCCCATCTAATATGATTTTGCTGTGTCCCCACCCAAATCACATCTTGAATTGTAGCTCCCATAATTCTCATGTGTCGTGGGAGGGACTCTGGTGGAGATAATTGAATCATGGGGCCGGTTTCCCCCACACTGTTCTCATGGTTGTCTCACAAGATCTGATGGTTTTATAAATGGGAGTTCCCCTGCACAAGCTCTCTTGCCTGACACCATGTAAGATGTGCCTTTCTCCTCCTTTGCCTTCTGCCATGATGGTGAGTCCTCCCCAGCCATGAGGAGCTGTGAGTCCATTAAAGCCTTTTTTGTTTATAAATTATTCAATCTTGAGTATGTCTTTATTAGAAGCATGAGAACTGACTAATACACCATCAACCCGAAGCAGCTGACCTGATGGGTTAAGTGGTTTTTGGAATATTCAGTTATGGCACTGGCTGGGTGGCAATGCTTTGAAGGCTGGGATAATGTCCTCCAGGATATAGCATATGCTCTGAATCAGTGACCAATGTATAGTGCCCTTTCTCTAAAAGCTAGGATTCCCAGGTCCATGAATGAAGGGCTGAAAATGGAAATAACTTCTATCACTGTTATACTTAACAACCCAGTAGTGACATTTTTGCTTCCGTCCCTGTAACTTTGGATTCTTCTAGTCCAGAGTTCTTCCCTGCTTGATATCCAGCTCTTATTTCATAATGAGAACTTTCAAATTTGAAAGTTTACCTAACTCTTTTTTTTTTTTTTAATTATACTTTAAGTTATGGGATACATGTGCAGAACGTGCAGGTTTGTTAACATAGGTATACATGTGCCATGGTTGTTTGCTGCACCCATCAACCCGTCATCTACATTAGGTATTTCTCCTAATGCTATGCCTCCCTTAGCCCCCCACACCCCTTGACAGGCCCCGCTGTGTGATGTTCCCCTCTGTGTGTCCATGTGTTCTCATTGTTCAACTCCCACTTATGAGTGGTGTTTGGTTTTCTGTTCCTGTGTTAGTTTGTTGAGAATGATGGTTTCCAGCTTCATCCATGTCCCTGCAAAGAACATGAACTCACCATATTTTATGGCTGCATAGTATTCCATGGTGTATATGTGCCACATTTTCTTTATTCATTCTATCATTGAGAAATTACCTAAGTCTTATTTGCGTCTACCTGGGCATGGTGTTTGGGGATACAAAAGCCAAGGAGAGATTGATACTGTATATTTTAGGCTCCTCCTTTCACCTTCTACACCCTACTATGCTCAATAATCAAGTAACTTGTGTTTAAAATTTGGCAATATCCATGACAAGTCATAGACTATTTCATTGTTATGAATCTCAGAGTTTGCCAGAATTCTGCCAAAGGGCTCCTCTTTTCCTCCTCCCACAAAGACACAGATATTGCAGTGCTTTGGGCTTGACATATTCCACTTAGCTTCAACTTGTGTCTTCCTTTTCCAGGTTGAGAGAGATTTAAAAAATACACTATTCTCTTCCTTTTCTTAATTTTTCAAGACAGCTGGACTATCGCCCAGTTATATTGGCAAATCACACCCCTAATTTATGCAGGAGATGATAAAGCTCCATCCTTGCTGAGTTTTAGAAGCATATGGAATAAAAAAGTGCCAGACCCAGCTTTGCACTCCAGGAACGTGTGGGAGAGCTTACCAGCACTTATGGGGTAAAGGAAAAGGAGTCATGACTGAAATTCATAAAATAGTCTAAGTTTTCTTTCATTACCCTCACTTTTGGGTATTTTAGGATATATTTGATAAAGGGCTATATTTATGAAAATATAATACATTGCTTAAAATGTAGGAATCTTGCTATTTAAAGGAAATTATTTTTTATATTTTGGAAATCTTTTCTGTAAGCCCCCCCTTTTTAAAATGAAATGTATATCATCATCATCTCCAATCATTTTGTTTTGTTTTATTTTTGGCAAGTAGAAATAGTTTCAATTCTTGTTTTGCAATTTGGATGCCTGTTTTTATATGAATTTAAAAAATTGATGTTTAATAATTGTACCTATTTATGAGGTGCATAGTGATGTTTTGATGCATACAGTGTATAATGATCAGATCAGGATAATTAGTATATCCATTATTTCCAACATGTATCATTTCTTTATGTTGGGAACATTCAATATCCTCCTTCTAGCTATTTGAAACTATATATTCCTGTTAACTATGGTCATCTTACAGTGCTATAGAACACTAGAACTTATTCCTCCTATCTAGCTGTAATTTTGTATCCTTTAACAAATCTCTCCTTCTCCTCTCTTTCCTCTTTTTTAACAATGGCTATTTACCTTTTATACACAGAAGAATCTCGTAAAGTTGGATTGTAGTTGAGTACTATTTAATTCAATGATAATTTTTTATTTAATTTAGAAAATTGAAAAAAGGGACTATTAATTATGTAAGATTTTATTTTCTACTTTAAGTACAATACTGCTTTCTTTAATTGTAGCCTGGTGAAATACTCACCACAGAGGAAGTCTTGGATTTCCCTGGATACATTTTCACTCATAATCTCTTGTATTCGTTATAAACATTATGCACAGTTCTTTCAGCACCTGTTAACACTCATTCTCAGAACATGAACTCTCTCCATACTTGAAGTCAATGAGAGCTCTAGTTAATGGGGCAGATCTATTCCCTGGAGGTTGTACCTAGTTTTGTCCTATAAATAAATTTAAATATGTTGCCATAGTTCCAAGTAGTAAGCAAGCTTTTATTAAAACAAATGTTCCTATCCACTCAAGTGGACAAAAGCACTGAGCCTGAGCAAGAGAACTAAGAACGCTCTAATCAATCAAGAGATTGATTAGAAGAAATTTCTAGATTAAAATTAGATTCTCTTAGTCTACTTGTTTATACATATTGTATGTGAAATAATATAAATCTAAATGCAAACATGGTAGTTACTTGCAAAAATCACAGTGAAATTCTATGATATTAAAGTAGATTATCATTCATCATTGTTTATTCATTGTAGTGAAACATCTATTATATGCTTTCTAGCATATGATTTCCTCTTTCCTGCTAATAACTCTTTGATTTCCTCCAGGAAATACCCCTCCTTAATTTTCAGCCTTTTGCTTTAGGTTGGCCTCTTTCTCTGGGTCAAAAATGAAGCAAATTACCCAAACCTCAACCAATCAGCACATTGCATTCTAACGGAAGCAATGATTGGCTCAGGGATGGTTATGTGATCCTCTTAGAGTTAAGAAGTTACAATGATGCTTTTTTTAGGTGTGCTGAAATAAATACTCTGTTTTTCTTAGTGGATATGAACCTTAGAAGATTAGTGACAATTGCTGGTGTAGTCATTTTTAATCACATGGAAAATGCAGCCAACTGCAAGGAAGCAGGTCCCAGAGAAATAGAGATAATGAAAATAAATGTTGGTATCATCATTTGAGCCCTGAATGAAGATAAACCTGAATATCTATCTCATGACTGCTTAGTTATTTGATACAATAAGTCCTCCTCTCTCCTGCTTTTTGGCTTAAGTTCTTATCAACAGTATAAATAATTTAAACTGCTATATTCATCAAAACTAATGGCACTGCTCTTGGCACTGGGGATATTAACAAAGATAAAAACACTGCTTCTAACTTCAGGGAACTCACAGTCCTTGAGGTAACACACACGCACGCGTGCGCGTGCATACACACACTCTCTCTCTCTGTCTCACACATTATTCTAACATTAGATTTATGCATGGAACTTGGTAGCACAGGTTGGGACGAGAGTGGATCAGAGAAGGCTTACCAAAAATGTGACACTGGTATTAATTCTTCAAAGAAATGCACCTGTAAACCAAATTGATCTGATTTCTATCTAAGTTTGGATTGCTTCAAAAGCACATGATTTAAGTACAAGTATTAATAATTTATCTGGGAGTTAATCCCGGAAGGCACTAGTGAAGGAGAGGGGAAAATGAGACAAATGGGAGCAAAGCCAGTAAAAGGTACATTAATGAGTAAATTACTACAGGCACCTGAGACCCAGTCCCATTGTTTATCCTTCAAGATTCCATGCTAGGGAAGCCAGAGCATTTATCCATGACTCCCTTCCCTTATTGTTTGAGTGTTGCCCCAGTATCTTATTGCCCTTACACTTCTTGGCTTCACCTATGTGCAATGGAATACGCTTCTGTGTTACTGGAGAATGTCTTCAGGAAGAAGAAAACAGGCATATGTTATCAGTGTGCTGGGAGTCAGCTGCAGGAAAACTGTGGTGAGGCTAAGGGAGAATGGGTAGCATCAGCTTCATCTGCTACAACTCCAATTGTGTGTGGGAATTCTTATCCCTTCTCTATTATTTCCATGAATTCCCAGAGATGTATATCTTGACACTTTTCATTGGTTCTCAGTTGCTAACTCCAGTGATTGATCTATCTCCTTGTAGATGCTTTTTTCCTTCAGTGTGTGTGAAAGCCCATGGGAAGTTCAGCCACTGATCTTCAATTTCCCCTGAACACTTATAGAAGTTGTCTTTGCAGGGTGTGTTTTGATGGACATATGTGTGCAGCACAATCTTCAGAAAATGAGGTAATGGGAGAGTTTTCATCTCTGCAATCAAAATACTTTGAAGTTTAGTGTGACACATTCTTGGTCTTCAAAAGTCCTAGGTTGCTATCCTGGGCTGAGTTCCTTAGAAGCAAAACCTGAGACAGGGATTCTTGGGCAAAGATTTATTGTGGAAGTGGCTCCAGTGAAATCTTTAAGGTAATGAAGAAAATAGGATAAGACAAGGAAAAAGCTAGGCAAAAAAATCAGCTGGGTTTAAATGCACATTTAAACAAAATTGGTCTGATTCTTACTTAAGTTTGGACTCCTTTGAAAGCATACTATGACACATGATTTAAGCACAAGTATTAATAATTTGTCTGGGAGTTAATCCCAGGAGGCACAACTGAAGGAGAAGAAGGAAAAGAACACTTAAAGAAGTGGGTTCAACTGATGCCACAGTGAGCTCCAGAATAAAAATGGAACCCACAGTTTTATTTTTGACAAGGACAAGGGGGAAGGCTTTTTGTACCTCTTTATTAGTCAGTCACTGGCTACTGGCTACCACTTGGAGGAAGGGTGTAACCTCTCAGGCATTTCTGAACTAGGCTGCTCCTGTTGCTAACAAGCAGTTTTCAAAAGGGTGCAGCTGTGAGCTGGTGACCATTGGCTCACAAAAACTGGGGGAAATGTGCACCTGCACTTGCTTGTCGCAGGGGATCTGTGTGGGTTACTGACAGCTCTCCTATGGCCACTCTGCCATGGCAACTTATCACTCACTGGTCAGACTCCTCAAGGCCCTGGCCTTCTGCAAAGCTGCTCATCTCCATTCATCTCTCAAGACTCCCCGTGCTTCATTACTTTATGTTCATCCTTATTGCTTCTACATGAAAATCAACTTTTGATAGTGTACAAAACAATTTAGCTCTCAATCCCCTTCTAAAATAAGGCCTTCCTTGGCCTACCAAAAGGCTCATAAATGTGCTTAGCCAGCCAATGAGTCACTTGCTAGACTTGCTCTGGTTCTTGTATAATTTCATGGAAAAGCGGAGAGAGACCTTGAAATTTCAGCCTTCCCCTGTCCTTACCCATTTCTGAGTGTGGAGCTATAGTTTATCACTGAAATGAAGGCCTGTGTTAGCAGAAGAGTTGATAGTACATTTTGATTTTAAACAGCAATGATTTTATCTCTGCAAAAGATGAATAGCAACTAGATGAGACAAGTTTGCTTTTGGTGGATTAAGTAGCATGTGCAAAGATGCAGAGAAGTGGACATGGTAAACTTAGGAAATGTGCAAATAGTTCAGTTTGGCTTAAAGTCAAGTTGTGGATGGAAGCAGGGTCATGGGAAATTAGCTGCAGAGGCAGGTAGGTAGAGAACAGAACTTTAATGATTCAACACGTGATGGCAAGGAGTATAGGCCTTGCTCTGAAAGCATGGTGCCACGTTCAGACTGGCATTTTAGAAAGATCATTCTGTCTGTATTTTCTCTGTGAAGCATGGAGCAAGGCAACGCGGGGGCAGGGACATTGATTATGTATTTTTTTTTTCTAACAAAAACATAAAAATGTGTCTAAATAAAGATGATGACAATAGTGATGAAAAGAACTGTGAGTTTAAATGACATTTAAATAGTGAAAAGGGCAGAACCCGATGATTAATTGCACATAGACAAGGGGATGTTAATACTTGAGAAAGATTACCAGCTTTTTGGCTTTCATACTATCACTTTGCTAGCTTTTTTCTCTTTCCCTATTCTTGTTATTTCTACCCTCTCAATAAAACAAAAATGGCATTATACTTTATATACTGTCCTGTAGCCTATTATAGTATGAAAATCTTTCATTATAATAAACATGGCACAAGTAGCTCTTTAGTGTTTTATTATAAAAATGTAGCATAATTTATGTAACTAATAATTTATTGTGGACATTTACCTTATGTTTAAATATTGTAAACCATGTTGCTACAAGTATCTATAAAGTCAAACATTTGTTCATATTCTTAATTATCATTTTAGGATATTTCTAGAGAAGGCATTACTCAATTTTTAAAGCTTTTGATAAATATTGCTGAATTGTTCTCCAGAAGGTTTATATCTCAAGATATTCACAAAACCACCTACCCTTTGATTTGAAGTGTCTCGGAAATTCTACTTTCTGAAAGGAGCTTTCTCAGAATTAAATAAGACAATGGCAGTTACTTTTGCCTGACCTCTGAACAGATACTCAGGGTCCTTGGCAAATTTTGTGGTCTGGTCCTCACAAGACCATATTTTCCTTTTCAGTCTTGTAGATAGCTGTCATTACTCTTCCTTTTGGAAAAATAGAAAATAATCTAAAAGAAACAACTTCAAAATTCGTTTGGATAGAATTTGTTAAGCAACCAATGATAATTCGTAAATTTGTTTATCCACCTATTTAATTCAACAAAAATTTATTGAAAGCTCATTCATATTCTAGGTAATGTTGATAAAAACTCCTTCCCTTCCCTTATCTAGGTAGTTTGAACTCATCCAAAATCATGATAATTATGATGATGAGAATGATGAAGAACCTGACATTTACATGGTGATTTTTATGGGTTGAACACTGTTTTGTCAGCAAACCTATGAAGCTATTTTATTTCTTTTTTTTTGAGACTATTTTCTCATAAAGCAGACAAAGAAGAAAATAAGATACTTCAATGAAGCATAGTAGTATTATGACTGCTGCAAGTCACAAAGTCCAGTAGGAGCACACTGGAGGGTCCCAAATCAGTCTTGCAAGGGTAGGTTATAGCAAAGTCTTCCTGGAGAGGCCTATATCTAAATTGAGACATCAAGGCTAAAGTGGAGTTAGCTTCATGTGCCCTCAAAGCTTTTATTTTTATTTTTTATTTTACAAACACTTCAGGACCTTCATATTTGTTGTTCAAAGTGGTGTCTACCTGGAGAAAAGGTTGCCTTGTCCTGTGGTTTATGGTGGCAAAAGAATTCTTAAGACTCTTCTCTGAGAATGTTGTCTATTCACTATCTCTCTTCCCATTTTATATACAATACCTCCTCTCCATCTACTGCAGGGCACATACCCAGAGAAACCTGCTCTAATGAAAGAAGTAACAGCATGTAGGAATGGAATGGGGTACTCACAAGTTGCCTCTGTAGCAGCCCCACTGGGGTGTGGAATGTTTGCTGAGAGTGGAGATAGTATCATTGACAACTTAATTGTTATTTCTCAGTATCTGTAAAGAAATCCTCAGGATTCATTTTTTTTTTTTTGAAGCTGTTATAGTTGTCCTGACAGCCTCAGTCAATTTTAGTCTTTGACTGAGCTCTCGGATAATAATCTCTGGGTGATTGAATAAGTCGCCCTGAGTCCATTCTCTGATTTAGACACAATTGAATCAGATTTTGTTTTAAAAAACAGGCTTTAGAAAGAAAGTAAAATTAGAAATTAGAACCAAGGAAAAAAGTAGGACACACTATGTATGTCCTCACCAGGAAAGTAGGTTTATCTATCTGTCTTTTTTATTTTACCGTGGACACCTCTAAGAATCCTTGCAATTCAGCTGTGTTTCTCCAGTGCCTTATATGACACCTGGTGGGTAAATAAAAGAAGAAATGAAGAAAAAAAAGAAAATAAGTGCATAGAGATAAAAAAGACCACTTTTTTTTCAAAAGCTTAGAAAGATTGCATATATAAATCAACACGTAAGCAATAGTAGTGATGCTGTTCTAAGCTTTTGAAAATTTCTTTCTCTTTTGACATCACTGATCACATTGATAATATTGGTCCAAACCCAGTTCCCAATGTTCTTTCTGCTACATTCTGTTAGCTTTTGACTTATAGTGCCCTCTTTTTCATTCTTGTTCTTCTAAATTCAGATATTCTCCACCACCTGCATATATTAAGAAATCTTTTTTTATTAATAATATAATAATTATTAGAATTATTATAATAATATTCCTATTATATATTATATTATAATAGACAACCTGTTTTAAAGGCTCTCTGAAAAGCAAATGTTGCCATGAAAATAGTTATTTCTGCAGCTGTTGTACTTTTTAAAAATATATATATTTTTATATCTGAACACCCTATGCAGAGACAAAATGGCAAAGTCATTGAAGAAACTTTTTTCTTTTTGCGAAATACGGCGTGTTAAACATTTCCAGAATTCCCTGTGTTTAATCCTATGACAATCCTGAAGTGTGCTTTTCAGATTAGGGCACTTACAGAAAGATAAAATGAGAACTTTTCTAAAGGAGGAAAATAATAAAATGTGGCTAATTATACCATCCAGGTGAGAGACATCTTATGGAGGAGATTCTTGAACTTTTTGTATGTCTGTGAGATGATAGAGCTTTGGGGGAATATTTTAAAGAGTAAGGCCCCAAACCTTAGGAAAAAAATGTCTTTGAATGATATTTCCTCTCTTCTCCTGCACTCCCACGCTGCAAGAATGATTAGTCAGATCAGAGGAAGTGCCTGTTGCTCTGACTGGTGTCCCACACAAGGAAGCATTTACTTCTGCCCTGAAAATGAAGGCAGGGCTCTGGAGTAATTAGATCTGCCTTGGCAGTCAAGGGGGAAAGATTTCAGGACTGGTTCATTGTGATCTCCTAGCCAGGGGCACGGGGGAGCTATTGTATTTGTATTTTAAAGGAACCCAGCTGACATGAAACCAAAGGAAATTGTTTCAAAAAAGGGAGGAAGCTAAAATATCAATCACACAGACTAGTTTTCTCTTCTTTAATGCATTATATTATTATTATAAGTATTACTCTCAGTGTACAAAATCCACTTTAAAGATTAGTGAAACTTCTAATATGTTTAAAAATAAAGCAGGCTGGTGGTTTGAAAGTAACTCAGCTATTTCGATCAGTTTTTTTTTTTTCTGTACTTTCCTATGGAGATAATCTAAGTGCAGCATTTCTGCTAAAGACGAAATCCTATTGACTTCAATGGGCTTTTGGATCAATGGAACCATCAAGGAAAGCAGCACTGATTTAACTTCCCTTCTTTACTCTCACATGGGTAGCAACAGCCTGTGGAAAAACACAAAGAAATATTAATTAGCATGCTGCTATGTAATAGTTTGTTTCTAGACTAAGAAAAAGACAATTTTATTCTGTTGTAATATATTTTACTATCCAAAATTATGAAGTGGTTTACTAATTTTCTAGTAAGAGCGACTTATTTGATAGAAAATTTATTCTGCAAAATGTTATCAAATTTGGAAATTGTGTGGTTCATAAAGTCTGACAGTAAAGTACATCTTTTAAAGACTGGACAACTTTTTATTACAGATAGATGATCATATATCTTTATTTTCCTTTAAAAGATTGTATTCATTGTATAGGCTGAGTATTTATCCTCAATAATATACAATTCTCTCTATATATACATATACACACACACATATATGTGACACCCATACAGATATGTGTTGTATATCTGTATGTATATATGTATAGATCTGTATGTACAGGTATACACATATACATATCTGTATGTATAGGCGAACACATATACATATCTCTATGTGTATATACACATCTGTGTAAGATGTATATATATCACATGTATACATATACAATATATCTGAGTGAGATGTATATATATCACATATACACACATATACACATGTATATGTGACACACATACAGATGTGTATATATATCTGTATGTGTATAATATCTGTATGTATGTCTGTATGTAGATATATACATATATACACATATATCTGTATGTGCGTATATATACATGTGGGTGAGATGATTCTTGACCTTTTTTTGTGTGTGAGAGACAGCTTCAGGGGAATAATTTAAAGACTATGACTCCAACTCTTACAAAGAAAGTATCTTTGAATACACTTTCAGTATTATCATTGTATAGACACTTTCTGTATTATCATCTGTATGTGTGTATGTGTGTTATAGTCTATCTGATTTTCTGTTTGAGAATATACACATTACTTCTTTTATTATAGAGAAAGCAAGGTTGAACATTCAGGACAGTAGAAAACATACAAACAAATCACTTAAGGAGAAAGTAGAAAAAAAGCTGTATTTTAACAAAGAGGTATTCTAATCGGCAAGACAATGACCAACCATTACGACCAACCATTATGAGAATATAGCTTAGGGACGTTTGTGCTCAGCTCCTCTTTTACCCAATGTCAATGCCTGCCTCAGTGTATTTTCTTCTGGAGGAGAGTTTTGTGGATGCCATCTTTCCGTTATGGAAAACCAGTGGAGGAATAGACAGTTTCTTGCCATGACCCACCATCATTTAAACAATTGGTGTTTGAGTTCAGAAATAAGCTCATATATACTTGAATTCCATGGTTTAAATAAGCCATTGAGTTAAAGTGGTAAGAAATTAAAGGTAGAAAATAGAAGAATAGGGTGGGCTTGGTGGCTTATGCCTCTAATTCCAGCACTTTGGGAGGCCAAGGTGGAGGATGACTTGAGGCCAGGAGTTCAAGACCAGCTTGGCCAATATGGTGAAAATCCATCTTTACTAAAAATACCAAAAAAATTAGATGGACATGGTGGCGTGTGCCTGTAATCCCAGCTACTAGAGAGGCTGAGGCACGAGTATCCTTTGAACCTGGGAGGTGGAGGTTGCAGTGAGCCGAGATTGCACCACTGCACTGCAGCCTGGGCAATGAAGTAAGACCCTGTCTCAGAAGAAAAAAAAAAAAAAGAAAGAAAGAAAATAGAAGGATTTACCAAATTAAAATTTGATAAGCATGTAAAAATTTGATTCAAGTACTATAAATACATGGTGCCTTCTCACTTTCACCAGTATCATGACTAAATTCTTCACGTCATATTCTGAAAGCTGTTGAGTTTTCACAAGCTCATACTTAAGAAGAAACTCTGTGAGTTTGCACTTATATTCCCTTTTGTGCTAAATTCTGTACATTCTCTTAAAGAAAGGAAAGCCAAGTTGTGTGCATCCTTATTAAGTGACTTTGTACTATGAAGTGGAAATCATCTCAGCCCTCAAGGAGCTGATTCTCCTTGCTGCCGCGTGGCTGGATAACGAAACTTTAGTGCTTAGGCCCCAGCTTCCCACCTCTGAGGTTTAGGCTGGGAGAATGTTGGGGCTCACTTTAAAGAGAGGTCAATAACACTTAATTCATGAGGGCTATAGAGCCCAGACTTTCACCAAACCATCTATTTTTTTTTCTTAAACCAAATTGCCACCATAAAGTATCACTAATGATAGCTGGCGGGACAAGTGTTAAATAAAGCTCAAAATGATTGAAAGAAAAAGTAGAGAAAACACAAGCCTCCTCTTGGAAGCAAATATAGGTAGACTCCTATCCCAAAGAATCCTATAAATATAATTGTACACTTTAAAAGAGTGAATTTTATAGCACGTGAATTCTGTCCCAAAAAATAGGAAACAGAAGGAAAATACATCACTTTTTAACAGGCATGCTGTTATGGACTAAATTATGTCTCTTCAAAATTCATATGTTTAAGTCCTAACCACCAGTATTTCCGAATGTGACTGTGTTTGGAGATAGGGCCTTTAGAAAGATAATCAAGGTAAAATGTGACCAGAGGGGTGGACCCTAAAGTAAATGACTGGTGTCCTTATTAGCGGAGATTAGAGCACAGACACGGAAAGATGACCTTGTGGAAACAGTAGAAGCAGATGGCCATCTACCAGCCTAGAAGAGAGGCTCTCAGAAGAAACCAACCCTGCCGACATCTTGATCTGGGACTTCTCAGCTTCCAGAACCGAGAGGAAATAAATGTCTGTTGTTTAAACTATCCAGTCTGTGGTACTTTGCCATGGTAGCCCTAGAAAATTAATGCACATGCTATCTTAATTTTTGTTGTTTTAGTTGATTTCTTTTAGACCTAGTTATATAAGGCAGCGTGTTTTGTGTGAGTGTGTTAGACAATGTAAGGTGTCAGAAATCACTGCCCTTCTCTTTTTAAGATGTTTTATTTGTTTATATCCATTCAAATAGTGTCAGTAAGATGGTAGTCACTACTAATATACTTGAAATAATTTCTTTTGTAATTTCCCTTTCTTTGTAATTGGAGGTAGTGATTAAATTTTACCGTAAGCTTAAATGATCTATTTAAATGGTGCCTTGTTTCTTATCTATTCTCATCATTTAAATTGCCATGATTAGCAGTAACACTAAAGAAACTAGGAGTATAGTATGAACATCTGAACATAATGTAGCGGCTCTTTACTGTTTCTCCCTTGTATACAAACCCCACTTTTTGGAATGGTTGTCAGCTTCTACCAACTTCAATGGCTTTTCAGTAGCCTTGGCTTGCCTCAACATCAAAGGAAAAATAACTGAGGCCTCCTAACACTATCTAACCTTTAAGTAAGGAGATTTTCTAGAATTTGTAATGTGCTGGTTTCTTTCAAGCAAACTCAAGTGAAAGGGTGAATTACTGAGCTTTTCTTCTTTAAGAAGACAATATGCAGACCTGATCTTTATGATTTTATCTTTACTTATTTCCTATATAAGTTTTTAAAAAATCAAGAAATGTTCCAGCCAGCTGTTCTCAGAATTTTCTCAGTGTGTGACTTTGAAACATGTTGGCAGGAGAAGAAGGTGTGAATATTCAAATGAATTTTCCTAGAAAGGATATAAAATCTACTTAAATGTTTAAAAAATCTATTTAATTCAACTTTTTTTCCCAGTGGGAAAGTACAAATACATTGGATGAGAGCAAATCCTCATTGTAATAACTACTTATGGGGGATTCAGAAATATTCATACTTTTTTTATTTGTATAGTAAATATTTCTCTTCTAAGTATAGGCCTTACCATATAGACACTGGGGATGAGGTTGGGGGAAATACAGATAGAGACTAGGTTTACGAGCAGCTTATAGTTTAGCAGGGAAGACATACATTAAACAAATAATGACAAATAATAGCATATATTATAACTTAAATGACTAATTTAATTGGTTTCTTGTGGTCATAAGGAGAGAAACACATTGCTTAGAGAGTGTGGAATATTGGGCTTTATCCTGTCTATGTGCTAAATGTTTCCCAAGATTGGTGAGGAAGGCAGAGAGAGCCTAAATCACAGTGCAAGGTTAAAGATTTTGGTCTGTATGATAAGAAGAATGAGAAACCATAAAAAGACTTTAAGTAAGGGAGGGCCATGAACAGAATTGCATTTAAAACATATTACTACCACAGCAATAAAGAAAATAGAAGATAGGGAGCAAGAGGAGATGAAGGGAAGCAAACGAGCTGGTTTTCCTACCAGTCCATGCTAGAGAGGATGGTGACTTCAACATGGGTGTTGACAGTAGGGCTGTGGTACAGGGAACAGATTCTGAGATACTTAACAAGTGAAATTGACACAACTTGGGGTATGAGAGGTGAGGAATAAAGAGCAAAAAATGATACATCCATGATTTCTGGTTTGAATAATTTAGTGGATGAGAGTACCATTTATTGAAATAGAGTGTATCTTGGTTGTACTTTACTGACATGAAAGCAGTATGTTGAATGTTACAGACCCCATCAATCCAAGGTCATAAATAGAAGTTATGTTAGTACTGCTACTCATTTATCTGGAGCTCTAAGTCTTACTTATAAATTCTAGTTCTTTGTAGTATTTCTAGAAATTCCGAGGGAATTTTTTTTGTGTGTGTGTATGTATATGTGTGAGCATGTGTACATCTATATCCATGAAACAATCTAAGACACTGATATTTCCCAGATGTCAATTTGATGGCTCTACATCCTAAGGTAGAGGTCCCAGCCATCCTGTCCTTGTTACTCTCAGTTGCCCTCTGCTCCCACAATGCCCTAGTGTTCTTTATACTTGAGATCTGTTAACATGATTGACAACTGATGTGACACATTAGCTGGCAGTGTTAGCTACTCTAGACACTACTCTGAATTCCTGTTACCAGCAGAGAGTTCGCATGGCCAAAAATTGTCCCATGAATTCAGAAATGAACGCCTCTTTCTTTTTTTCCATCTCCAATTTATGGAGGGATCTACTGGCAGAATTACTCAAGTTCCAAAGCATTTCAAAATCGCCTCACTTCACACATTCAGCCTTGGGGATGCACTCATGGTTGGGTGCTGGGTTAAGAAGGCTTTCTGTTCCTGGCAGTTCTATACCTGGAATGATTCTGTTTGTCATAACGGACTTGGTTTTAAGTCAGTATCTTTGGGCATTAGTTTTTCTTGGATGCCTGGAATCACTCCTCTTCTGCATTCCACAGACCTCACATTTTAGTTAGTAAATGACTTTAGTTAGTCATTTACGTTCCTTCTTGTCTTATGTTGAATTCCCTCTCAGGGACCCTGTTGTACCTTTCTGCAGCATGGTTTATATTTTGGGCTTCCCAAGTCCATCAGAAGTGACTGTGTATCATGCATTTCTCTTTCTATAATGGCAAGTTCCAATTTCTCTTCCATAATGCCCACAGTGCTCCCCAAGCCTCTTTGGAGTACATACAAACAAGTAAATACTGTTTTTATATTTGGGAGAATGAGTGACCTGATTCAATATGGCTCAATATGTATGAGATAATTAGAAATTATATGAGAGTATTTTGCTTTTTAATTTCTCACATCTAATATTTAAAGATGACATAAGGCTTAACAAAAGTTAACTAAACCACTACCATTTTAGAATAACAACTCAACAAAGTGGTGTGTGGGTGGGTAAGTCACAACTTACTAGTGTTTTGGGAACTGGCAGGAGGTATCCAGTAAAACTAGGAGAATTTTTAAGGCTATGCAGGTGCAAATCCCGCTCCTAGCCCCTTTTTTAGACACTACTAGTAAGAATAGTATTTTGAATTTACTTTTCAGCTTACCTGAAGAAATTTAGAGTATTTTTTCAGTGTCACATGGGTTTCTATATATTTGCCATAACAGACTTGATTTTAAGTCACTATTTTGGGGCATTAGTTATTCTTGGATACTTTGGACAGGGTTTGAGCAGAAAGCTGTATTTTTATATGTTAAAATCTAAGAGGTGCCTTGGAGCCTTTAGAATCATTTAACTATTTATTTTTTGAGACTATTAAAGGTGATCTTTCTTTTCGCACTTTAAAAAACATATATAACAATTTAGGTCTCTAATGGAAAAAAATCCCAGCATTAGGTAATTATATAAAATATTAACCTGTATATTTTTCAACTCATAGGAAGCTGTAGAATTAATAATTATTGTAAAAAGAAATTTTTATATGTTTAATTTTTTTTAATTTTGAAAATGTAGGCCAGGTGCAGTGGCTCATGCTTATAATGCCAGCACTTTCGGAGGCCAAGGCAGGAGGACTGCTTGAGACCAGGCCTGCCTGGGCAACAAAGGAAACCCTCATCTATACTAAAAATTAAAAAATTAGCCAGGTGTGGTGGCATGCACCTCCCAGCTACTTGGGAGACTGAGGCAGGAGGATTGCTTGATCCAAGGAATTTGAGGCTTCAGTGAGCTATGATTACACCACTTCACTCTGGCCTGGGTGACAGGGCAAGACCCTATCTTAAAAAAAACACAACACAACACAACAAAAGAACTAATATTGTAAATTATCCATACCTTTCTATTATATTTATCTATTTATTTTTTGAGACAGAGTCTTGCTCTGTCACCCAGGCTAGAGTGCAGTGGCATAATCTCAGCTCACTGCAGCCTCCGCCTCCTGGGATCAAGTGATTCTCCTTTCTCAGCCACCTGAATAGCTGAGACTACAGGCACATGCCACTACGCCAGGCTAATTTTTGTATTTTCAGTAGAGATAGGGTTTCACCATGTTGGTCAGGCTGGTCTCGAACTCCTGACCTCAGGTGATCCACCCACCTCAGCCTCCCAAAGTGCTGGGATTACAAGCGATTATAAGCCACCATGCCTGGCCTATATTTAATAAGTGTCTATGTAATTACAGTTATAGAATGACTAATAATTTTATAGCAATAGATATACAAATAGCTTCACAACTAAAATGCCTTATGCCCTTTTGAAAATAGAAGATAATTTTTCTCTATTTCAAATATTTTATGCACTTTAGAACTCTACACTACTTATGTTTCAGTACGGTTTTTTTGAGAAAGAAATTTATGTGTCTTTGAACTTATAATTTAATTAGACATTCATTAATTGTAATTATATAAGGGGCATCTGCAATGATTCCTTACAATAACTACATTTCAGCATAATTACATGGTAATAACTAAAGTTTCAGGATAATTATAGAGGAAAAAGCAAATAAAAGGGTATGATGGCATGTCTGTACCTTGTTTGGTAAATTAAAATCAAAATATTAATTGAAATTTCATATTTTGACTGAATCCTAGCATGGACAGATAAAATACAAGGCACTTATTTAAATTTGAATTTTAGATAAGCAGTCTCTTAGTATAAGTATGTCCTAATGTTTGCATGAAACATACTTATTCTAAAAGCTTTTGTTATTTATTGGAAATTCAAATTTAACTGGACATCCTGTATTTTTATTTACTAAATCAGGTAACCTAATCAGAATTAGTGTTCAGAATGACTGTGTGTTCTAATGGTTATAATTATTTAAAATATTATTTTTTTAATCCAGAAAGTTCCTCAGTTGCCTACATTTTTCAGGTGGCAAAGTAGCATTATTAGATACAAATCTTCTTGCAGCTAAGGAATATGGGGCAGTTCTCTGGGTCAATTAATAGAGTGCTATAGTGGCCTTTGCTCGTGGAAGAATTATAGTCCCAAAAGAGAGATCCTAAAGGATTTCTCTACAAAAAATTTTCTATGATTGCATATAGCAAAAATAATTCATGTGACTCATAATTTAGATTTTTGAGTTGTTCTAAAGATTAAGAGCATTAGTTTTTCCTTTTAAAATATTAATTGGATTATGAAAATTTGTGAATTGTCTTCTACAATTTTACTGCTTGGTAAACTATTTTTTCCTGCATATTTTCTTTGTAAAACAATAGATATATACAGGAATTAAAAAAATTTCTTAGTATGTGGGGTTTCCTTGAGTGAAAATGCAATATGTCATGATGATTAAGTGTGAGGAAACTTGAGTCATACTGTCCAGGTTTATATCCTGAGTCTATATCTGAGAGCTGTGTGAACTTGAACAAATTACTTAAACTTGTTTGGCTTCATATTTCTTATTTTACTCCAAAAGATTGATGCAAAAATTAAAATCTCTCTCTCTATATATATATCTATAGATATAATATTTATGTAAAACATATTATGTATAATATATTTATAATAGTCCATGAAACTAGCAAATGCTATAGACATGCTGGCATAATAGCCTAATTTTACTTTATATTTTACAGTTTTGTTGTAAGAAAATGTGGCCTCTATGATTTCTACTTTTTAGCCTTTATTTGTGGACTATGATCACACTTAGTACAAGTCCATAAATATGTTCCTTACTCTATATGTAAAAGCCATCACTTCCTTTGCCTGGCACTATCAAAGATGAAGGGAAGCAGATCATTAGATATAAAAGGATAGATGAGGGCATATATTTTCTATCGCTTTCATTCTCCTTGAGACGGGAGAAGCAAACCAGTTGGTAATGGGAAACATGATAAGCAATGGCACAAATGTAATTGCCACTATCAAGGGGAAAATACTATGTCTATTTGAATTATCATATAGCATTGAGGGCCCCCCTCAGGCTGGAGATCATTAATTTATAGTAGAAACAGTATGCATAGCATTGCATCGTGGTTTTACTCTAACAGTGCTCAGTAATTCCATAGAAATGTGAGTCATTGGAGGATGTTGAAGTGAAAAACCCAAAACAGGTAATAAGTTAACAGCATTGAAATAAGGCAGTTGAAGTGATGGACAGGCAAGAAAGCAAAGCCAGCCTCGAAAAGATGGGGGATTATGATGAAATTAAAGTGCAACTATGAGTGGAGAAAGGGATGTAGGAACTGGAAGCAAAGGAGCTGTGGTCGGAGACTGGGAAATTGTTAGGCAGAAGGGCCTAAGTGAAGTTCAAAAGTACTTTGTGAAAATGTGGTGTAGGAGCAGACATGAGAGTGCATTTCTGACTGGGAATGGAGAAAGTTGTAGAAATAATTAATTGTGAGATTAGGCTTTCACTGCTCCAGGATGAAGTCAAAGTCAGGAAACCGTAAAATTTCATTCCCTTTGTGACACTGTGGAGGTCTCCCTTTCTCTGGCTTCTGACACACCATTCTCTCTTTGGCAGCTTCTCTATTTTGGCTCAGCTTGTAAAGATTTCTGAAGGCAAAGTCTTGGCTTTTTTTCTTTTTTCACTAATCAAAGCTATTAACAAATCCTAGCTGCATGGAAGCTAGTGAGTGTGGTAATTGATGAAGAAGACCCCAAAGGTGTCACAGACTTGACTACCTGAAGAAAAGGATTATAGATTAAAAAGTCACCAAAAATCAAAGCCAACAACAACAAAATCACCAACAAAAGAGCAATGATTAAACTATGCCAGACCTCTCATCAGTCACAGTTAAAATGTCAGAGAATACAAGTGAGGAAGACTTTTAAAAGTTTGGGAGGAAAATAACTTTGCGTCTACAACTATAGTCTCAGTCAAATTTTCAATCAGTTTAGAATTAAAGTCATCTCTCCATATGCAATAACAGGGAAACTTAACCTAGGCATACTTTATGACAAAGTTACTTGAGAGTATATTCCAGGAAAATAATGCTGAAAATTAAGAAAGGAAAAGATAGAGAATACAAAAGTGATAGGATTAATTGAGGCATAAAATAAAAGAAATTACAACATAACAGCTGTATAGCAGAGCTCTTTCTAAAAAGTTGGTACAAATTAGAATGGTACAGTGGGCTCTAAGAATAATGTCTTCAATAATAATATGCATTTTGAGAACTAACTAGAGCAAGTAGGAAGCTGTAGTCATTAGGGATATTATGAAGAGAATGTACATTAATTCTCTCAAAAAGAAAAAAAGACAGCCTCAAAAATATATAAGAAAAATATAATTCAAATATGAGGTAAATTAACATAAAGCATGATTTGAGCGAGGAGGATTTCCTTTTGATTTTGAGGCCAGGAATGTACTTTTTTTGAGTGGCACAGGCGTACCATGAGAACCAAAAGGAAAAAGTTGTACCATCATTATATTACTTGGTAATGAACAATATCTTCACATTCATAATAATTTAAGCACCGTTTTATTGACTTTCAACTTTAGTCAATGTACAGGTAATGTATGGAATGTATTTTGAATACAAAACAGAATGTGAATTTTATTAGCCTTGATAAGGTGGAAAATTAAATTTATAATAATAAGGTATGAGAGAGAGAAGGCAGGGTACCAGTTCTACTAACTGCTGGGAAATAAAATAGTTTTGTCAGCAAAAACACTGCCCTGCCCTCCCGACCACAGCCTCCCATGCCAATATAGGAGAAAGAGAGAACACATTTATTAAGAAGTAAACATTGGAGATTTATATGCATGTAGTGAGAGTGTGGAAATATCTACAAAGTCTAGACAGGATTTCATACAAATTTATATGTAAAAGTAGAAGAGAGAACAATTAAAACTTCTATCTCCTTGAGAGACTAGAGAACTTGCCTTGTGGTTGTTTCCTGTGTAATTTGAGAGACGTCTCTTAACCTTGGAGGTATGTGTTTGTTTACGTTCCAAATAGCAGATGGCCCACACCTTGCCTTGTAACATTAAAAGATCTGACTCTTTATCAGACTTATGTTTTCAAGGAGGCACCCGAAGGAGGAGAGGAATGGGAGACAGTCTCCTTCCTTCTAATTATTAAAGAAAGAAAGTGTGATCACCTTACCCTTACAATTTGAAAGCTTGACTATTTTGCCCTCATACAGTGTCATGTTACAAAGTGAGTTGTCAAAGGATATAGTTCACAGTTGATGAAATAAGAAATTGAAATTGAAGTATATTATATATTATGAAGGCACAGGTACTAAAAATAATGTTATAACCAGAAAAATTGAGAAGAGGTGGTGAGAGTTGTGTGAAATAAATCTTCATCAATCATAGCAGGAGCTAAAGGTGGTAAATTAAGAAGCCGCTGTATAAGCACTTATTTAGCAGTATGAAGATAACCTACCGAGGAACTTAACCCAGAAGTGCTAAAAGGTGATAGCTTTTAGAAGCATGATTGGGGTGGGGATAGATGGAACTCTTTATTATTATCACTCCTATTGATTTATAATATTTAATAAAGTAAATGTAAAAATTTGGTCATTTTAAAAAGAAGCATTTGAAAATGTAGAAGCCAATGTTCCCTGGTGCCACAAGTAAAATCATAAATGTAATGTGGCTTTGACACGATGGTCAAAGGGTACAGCTTTAGTTAGACAGGAGGAATGAGTTTCTGTTTGTTTGTTTGTTTGTTTGTTTTTTACCTTGAGATATATTGCATAGCATGGTGAAGACAATAAATAAAAATTGTACACTTTGAACTCATGAGTACATTTCAAATGTTCTCACCGCAGAAATATTTAAGGTGATGAATATGTTAATTAGCTTGATTTAATCATTTTACATTATATTCATAAATCATAACATCACCTTGTACCCATAAATATATACAACTATAATGTATCAATTTATAATTAAAAATAATACTGAAAGCCGCCCCGTCCAGGAGGGAGGTGGGGGGCAGCCCCCGCCCGGCCAGCCGCCCCGTCCGGGAGGTGGGGGGCGCCTCTGCCCTGCCGCTCCGTCTGGGAAGTGAGGAGCCCCTCTACCCGGCCACCACCCAGTCTGGGAGGTGTACCCAACAGCTCATTGAGAACGGGCCATGATGAGGATGGCGATTTTGTCGAATAGAAAAGGGGGAAATGTGGGGAAAAGATAGAGAAATCAGATTGTTGCTGTGTCTGTGTAGAGGTACACATAGGAGACTCCATTTTGTTCTGTACTAAGAAAAATTCTTCTGCCTTGGGATGCTGTTAATCTATAACCTTACCCCCAACCCCGTACTCTCTGAAACATGTGCTGTATCAACTCAGGGTTAAATGGATTAAGGGCAGTGCAAGATGTGCTTTGTTAAACAGATGCTTGAAGGCAGCGTGCTTGTTAAGAGTCATCACCACTCCCTAATCTCAAGTACCCAGGGACACAAACACTGCGGAAGGCCACAGGGTCCTTGGCCTAGGAAAACCAGAGACCCTTGTTCACTTGTTTATCTGCTGACCTTCCCTCCACTATTGTCCTATGACCTTGCCAAATCCCCCTCTCCGAGAAACACCCAAGAATGATCAATAAATACTAAAAAAAAAAAAAATAAATAAATAAATAATAAATAAATAAAAAAATAAATAAATAAATAAAACTGAAAAAAGTCAGAAAAAATTCTATAGCTCTCTCCTAAGGGAGATATTAGTGAGTTAAGTTCTATATTATCTTGTTAAACACCTTAATGTTTACTAAAATACTCATTGATATTCTGAAATATGTTTCTTTTCGTGTGCCTATAAAAGTTTTGAAATTAAATTACTTGCTTCGTACTATTTGTCAGTAGTGCATTATTTAGGAGAGAGATCCAAATATATGTATTCCAAATTCCTGTATTCTGAATTGTGACAATGATAGTTTATATGGAGAAAGGATGAGATTTGACTTATCTCTATTCTTATAAGTGAGGCAGATACTGAAAGAAAAAGAGGACAGGTAAAGGAAAATTTTGTTGACATATTTTCTAGCCAATGAAAAATGAGAGGTTATTGCCTGTGCTTGAAGGAAATAAAAGTAAGTCATTCTGTCAGAGGTGACTCTATATAATCTCCATCTATCTTCTCTATCTCTCTCTTCTCTCTCTCTCCTTCCATCTCTCTCACCATTCATTTACTACAGGTACACATGCCTTAATCCCCTTAGCTACCATAAAAAATATCTTCACACAATCGATGATGAGCAACATTTTTTAAAAGCAATAGTAATGTATTCTTCTATTTCTTCCTCTTTTTAATGCAAAATTTCAAGCAGTTTATCAATGTCAGACATACTTCCTCAGACACACTGTTTAACAAATGTATCACATAGAAAAGTTGTCTGGCTCAGTCTCCTAAGAAACCAAGGAGAAAAGAGCTAATAATTTTCTGAAAATTATAGTTGATTTCAGTAAGCAGCTGCATTTTTCTCTCCATCCCCAAATTCATCATGTATGTATAGTCCTAGTATTTTCTGTCATTTAATTGTCAGTAAGCTATATTTTTCAGAGGAGATAACTTTGCACAAATTTAATTAATGTAACGGACATGAGAATCTACTATGGAAAGATAGCACTTTTCTAATCACTGTGGTAAATAGAAGTATGTACATTTAGTTTTTGCTCTGAGTCATTTAATATGACTCAGGTAGTAAGACATACAATTAACTGTAATGAAGTATAAGATGCCATGTATCTTATAGGAATAATGTATTGTGGATGCAAGGAGGAGAAATAAGTGATTTAGGACCAAGATAAGGGATTTAGGGAGGTTTCTTGAAAGGAGATTGCACTAGATATAGCCTTTATGAGTACAGATGGGTTTGATGAGGAACATTTCCAGAAAGGAGAAATAGAGTGAGAATAAAGGTATAGAAATAGGGAAAAATGTGTTTGGGGAA
Source organism: Homo sapiens (assembly GCF_000001405.40). Taxonomy (NCBI): domain Eukaryota; kingdom Metazoa; phylum Chordata; class Mammalia; order Primates; family Hominidae; genus Homo; species Homo sapiens. The sequence continues at coordinate 89,308,405 of NC_000008.11, read as the reverse complement.
GGGAGTACTCTAGTTTGTCTAACGTTTTAGATGAAAACATGAGTTAATGAGAAGCAAGACTAGATCAGTAGGTAGAAGTGAGTTTGTGGAGGGCCTTAACATCAAGCATTTGGACTTTATTAACCAGGCTCCTTCAGAGTTCTGAACAGGAGAGTTATATAAAAGAAAGGGAGAAGAACAGCAGTGGAGAAGAATAGGCAGGCTACATTAATAAATATTTGATACTTCTAATTTTCCTTGTTGCCCTTTGTTCTCCTTCTGAATCCATACCAGAAAAGCAGATCTAAAAGTTATGCCATGTTGGGTCCTAATCTGACCAGTATGAATTTACTCCTTGAGTCATTTAAATGAAGTTAATAGGAACAAAATGAAAGCGTAACCAATTTTGCTCTCTTCACATGTCCTGTGCATTCTGATTTCTTGTTTTGAGCATCACGCAGGGAGAGACTCGCCTGGCTAGCACATTATGTTCCTCTTTGCATATTTACTTAGTTATTTCAGCAAACCGAAATCCTTCCTAGCTTTCTGGAGTTTACAACCCAATCATGTTCCTTGGTCAGGCCCTGAAAACATCATGAGTAAAACAACCTGATCCACAGTCAAAGGAACAAATCATTGTTTTTTTGTAGCCGGAAACTCATGTAGCAAATTCAATTTTGGAAAAATAGTGAAAGGGGGAGTTGATAGGTTTTTATTTTCCTAATTCACATAGTAATAGTTTAGGGGCAATTGGTATGATAATCCATTGTTTACTATTTTTCTGCAGTAACAATGTTCCTTGCAAAGAAGATGAGAAAGAGAATCAGAAATTGCATTTTATTGTAACTGCTCACAATTGCTGTAGTGACTACCTGACTTTTGATTAACAGTCTGTCAGTGATCTACTGTGAGGTTTTAGGATTGGCCTTTGATATAATACTAGATAAAAACTGAAGAAATAAGGTTTCATATTGGTAATGATTTTTGAGAAAAGTCAGCTACTTTAAACTGATTATTTTGGTATAAATTTTCAAAGTGGTGGCTCTAATAGGATTATTGAGCAGAGAATTGAGTGCTTTTTCATTTTTAAAAATGTGCTATTAAAAGTTGTGGCTTTTCAGGTGGCTTGTTATTTCCTTTGCATCTGAGTTGATGCTTTCTGTGAAAATGCTTTGTGGCTTAGCATTTACTTGGTATATTATTAATAAGCTCTGAAATTTGGCATAAAAATAAAACCGTATTTCCTTGAAAGATAGATTTGAATTTCTATTTTTTTTTAAGAAGAACGTTGAGATGGGGTAGGCATAGGATTAATCATAATGGCTCATGGTACTAATTAAAATATCTCTGATAAAGACAAATTGAGCACAGTGATTTAAAAGGCATTTCTGTTACATATGATCTTTTCTTGTCAATTTTAAAGGTGGTAATAGAGTTTATTTGGGCATACTTAACGTGTAATTTTGAGACATCTTTCTCCAGTCAGATTTATTTACATTATTTTATTTAAAACACAGAAAGAAATCTTTCATACTAATAAAATGTATAAAAGGATTTTTTACATGTTTGTGTAAAAGTTAAGGATATTTTTTCCTTTGCCGTGTTACTGAATAATAGGCATGTTTTTGTCGGTTCAGTTTTATTTTTAATTGGCAGGGCAAATATTATTTTTGTGCTGCATAGATAAGGAGACTGAGACCAAAGAAAATTAGGTGATTTGTCAACATGATGCAAAGAATAAATAAGCCTACAAGTCAAATCTTTAGACCCTGGTCAATACTGCTTTTATAAGAAATGTTGCCTCCTGCGACTGAATTTAATTTACATGGCATTTTGGCATAATACTGTAGACACTGATTTGGGAGGGAAAACAGAATAACATTACAGCAAATTCTGAAATAAAGCATGTTCTGATGACATGAACACTGAGAGTTATTATTGCAATACTTCAGTGTGTTGATGATAAGAACAAAGCATCTTGGTGAAATTAAATAGGCCAGTTATTGCAATTCTGAGATTTAATTGGAGCTATAATATATATGGTGTATGTATGCATATATACACACACACACACACACGCACATATATATACACACATACATATATATACACATATATATATACACACACACACATATATATATAAATGCATATCCAGACCATGTCACATGGATATGTAGATTATGGCAAAACTTATGATATGTTATTAAATGGCTTTATATATAAATATATGGCTTTATATATAAATATATAAAGCCATTTAATAACATATCATAAGTTTTGCCATAATCTGTGTATCCATGTGACATGGTCTGTATCTGTGTCCCGACCCAAATCTCATGTTTAATTGTAATCTCCAATGTTGGAGCTGGGGCCTGGTGGGAAGTGATTGGATCATGTGGGTGGTTTCTCATGAATGGTTTAGCACCGTCCCCCTTGGTTGTGATAGTAAGTGAGTTCTCATGAGATTTGGTCATTTAAAAGTGTGTGACACCTCCTCCCTCTCTCTGTCTTCCTCCTATTCTGGCAATATGAGGTGCTGCCTTCCTCTTCATCTTCCGCCATGACAGTAAGTTTCTTGAGGCCTCCCAAGAAGCTAAGCAGATGCTTCCTATACAGCCTGCAGAATCATGAGACAATTAATCCTCTTTTCCTCATAAATTAACCAGTCTCAGGTACTTCTTTATAGCAATGTGAGAATAGACTAATACAACATGTTTCCATGTATCATTTATGTATTTTTAATGTATCTTGCCCTAGAAAAACAGCAAGCTCTCTGGTGGGGAAAGTGAATATTGAATCTTCATGGCTTACCACTGGTGTTTATTGCAGTGCCTCTATCCATAGACCCTCAATAAATATCAGTTGAAATAATTGTATTCATATATCATTATTCAGAGTGGAGAGAGCTTCTTGGTTTACTTTTATCCCTTAAAACTCTTATGTACATTCTTTCAGTATCTGCATATGATAATGTAACTGAGAGAGGACCTCTAAAGAGTGAATTAGCTTATAAAGGCCTTTGAAATTATATGCCCTAACATTTCCTAACAGGAGATCTAAAACTGGTCAGGATCACTTTTTACTACAGTCTAAGGCCTAAGCCAGATCTTCTCTGTCTTTTCCCCCAGTGCATGTTAAATAGCCAAGAGATCCATTCTTACAATGGATTTAATATTTGACATTTTCCACCAGTTCATATTCATATTCTGAAAGAGTTCCAGTGCCACCCAGACATGCATATAAAAGTGTTTCTATCCCATATGTTCATTCTTCACGGGGTATGTATTCCATTACTTGCAATAAAAAAGTAGAAAATGTGCAAATCCCTTATATAAGGTCCTTAGCCAGAAACAATTCTATCTCCATGGAATTTCGTAAATCTTTTCCAATTTATAAGCAAGAACTATATGACACTCCAGTGCTATGTCGAAAGAAATCCCTCATCTCTCTTCTGAGATTTCTTTCTCAGTTCTTTTCAGTATTTCCAGGAGGCTCAATGTTCCCAATCAGTAGGCTTTAGAGAAATTACAATTGAATTTAAAAACATAATAAATGCCTATTATTTAAAGTATGGAAAGGTACTATTATTAACACAAAGAGAAAATAAAGGCACATGCAGCCTTTTCCCCTTCAAGCTTGAAAAAGCTTTAAGTCTCTCTTTTGCAGGCAAGAGAAGATATTCTGGTGCAGGAGATACTGTAAATATCAAGGGATATCAAGGAGGGGTAAAGAAGACAAACTATGTATTTTGGCTTAGGTTCAGTCCTAACAAATATTCCCATAAAAGGTGAAGTTAGAATCACTGGACTGGATGGGTTGTAGACCTGCAAAGGATCAAAAACATAATATTCAATAGATGAAAGAAAGAAAAAGCAAATGAAAAGTATAAATGTGACATCTCAATTTGGCTGTCTCCTGTCTCATCTTTCCCACCTCCTCAAACATTGTCTCCATTTTATTGTAACTGATATTTTTTTCAGGAAGAATTAAATGTGTTTTTAAAAACCTCATTAAGGCCAGGCGCAGTGGCTCACGCCTGTAATCCCAGTACTTTGGGAGGCTGAAGCAGGTGGATCACCTGAGGTCAGGAGTTCGAGACCAGCCTGGCCAACATGGTGAAACCCCATCTCTACTAAAAATACAAAAATTCGCTGGGCGTGGTGGCACACGCCTATAATCCCAACTACTGGGGACGCTGAGGCAGGAGAATTGCTTGAGCCCGGGAGGCAGAGGTTGCAGTGAGCCGAGATCGTGCCACTGCACTCCAGTCTGGCCGACAGAGTGAGACTCTGTCTCAAAACAACAACAACAACAACAACAAAAACCTCATTAGCCTTAAATGTTATTTATGTTTCCATCATACGTGTTTGACCCTTTAACTAAAGAAGCCTGTGTTTACTGTTGCTAGGGGCAACATCTGCTTTTAAGAGAATTGTGAGTGTATTTCAAGTAACACCTCTAGAACACAGTTAAATTCTAGAGCTTTGATTTGTAAGGAAAATATCTCTATTTTTAGAAAGAGCCACAGTTATTTTATGATTATAAAACAAATTACGGTGGCCATGATCTTAACATATGGATAGAAAAATTAGATGGCATTATTTGTTTGGATTGCAAGTTAAAAGTAAGAACTAGATAGAAGGAAATAAATATGTGTCCTTTTTTCATATAATTTATTCTGTTAGCTGAGAAAGGAGGACATTCAATTCAGGGTTCTAATAAAATGTAAGTTGAAAAACAATGTTCATTGCAGTCATATTACCGCTAACAGGGAGTTAAGCTGTACCGTTCAAGGGTCCTTTATCACTGAACAACTTGAAAATTGAGGAATACCACAAAGATGAACGTGCGATGCCAAACTTATGTAATATCTTTGAACTGGGAATAAGTTCCAAAAGAGCTGTGACTGCAAAAATGATTTCAGCAAAAGTTATAAAAACATTAAGTCAAGTCAGAGTTTAAAAAATGATTGTATACTTTAAAAAGATTTAGAATTAAAATAGGATACTGTTTCAAATATATAATCATGTTTATAAATTATCTATCAATGGATCATTATCTATCTATCTATCTAATATACTTGATTCTCATCAGTAATGGTGGTTATGTTCTATAAAGTCATTTGAACACTGAATTTGAACATTTGAATACTGAACCACTCCTCCTAAGGGAAATCTTCTGAGTTTCTGGTCATAATATCTTTGTCCACTGATTCATACATAACCTTATTTTATGTATGTTTCTGAATAAAGACATCTTATTTAATATATGTTGATTCATTAGCATTGAACTTCTGGCCAACAGCGCTATAACTCATGCCTTGACAATGCCTATCTAACGCACACATATTTTCTTCAGAAGGCACATCATAGCCTTCTTACACTTGGGAATACTAGACAGAACTACAGTACTATGCTCTGGAGTCATTTGAAACAGCAAAATCACCAATTAAAAAAAACACACAAATCTGAAAAACATGGCACTAAGTTTATCCATCAAAAGGATATTCATTTATAGTATGAGAGCTGAAAGAAGAAGGCAAAATGTTTTCTTGTTTGACTTCAGCTGGGAACATGAATGTCCCAGCTGAAGAGATTCTAGTTTTTCACCACCCTGCACATGCATGTGCCTAAGAATGAATATAAAGGTGCTGTAAGTCTTGATTTTGAGGTTATAAGTAAATTTTAACTAGTAGGCAAATTCATCAATATGGAATCTATGAATAATGAAGATTGTATGTATCTATATCTGTGTGTGTGTGTGTGTGTGTGTGTGTATGTATTTGCTAAAGAGGTTACTCACTCTCCAACGGTAAATGTTTCTGCAAAAAATAATTGTGTTAAAGAGAAAAAAACAGATTTTAAAATAGATTATGGATTTTGAAAAAAATTATACTGTCAGATGTTTACCACCACGGTTTTGTACAGAATAGTTTCACTATCCAAGAGTTCCCCTATGGTACACCTACATAGACAATCCCCCTTCCTGCCTCACAACCTCTAGCAACCTCTTATCTGTTTTCTCTACTTGTAGTTTTGCCTTTCCAGAATGTCATCTAAATGAAATAATATACCATGTAGCCTTTGCAATCTGGCTTCTTTCACTTAGTACAATGCATCTAATATCCATCCATATTTTGTCATTTTTCTTCAATTGTTTTTTTCCCTGTATTGAATGGATGTGCCACACTTTGTTTATGTGTGCATTTGTTAAAGAATATAGTGAGTACCATTTAGTTTTGGGCTACTCTGAATAAAGCTGCTTTAAAAAATTATACACAGATTTGTCTATAAACTAAAATTTATTTATATTATCTATGTCCCTAGGTATGGGATTGTTGTTCCACTTTGCATTCCCCCCAGCAATGTATGAGAGTTACAGTTACTATATATCCTCACTGGTGCTTGGTATTGTCAGTTTTTTTTTTAATTATACTTTAAGTTTTAGGGTACATGTGCACAATGTGCAGGTTAGTTACACATGTATACATGTGCCATGTTGGTGTGCTGAACCCAGTAACTCCTCATTTAACATTAAGTATATCTCCAAATGCTATCCCTCCCCCCTCCCCCCACCCCAAAACAGGCCCCAGTGTGTGATGTTCCTCTTCCTGTGTCCATGTGTTCTCATTGTTCAATTCCCACCTATGAGTGAGAACATGTGGTGTTTGGTTTTTTGACCTTGCCATAGTTTTCTGAGAATGATGGTTTCCAGCTTCATCCATGTCCCTACAAAGGACATGAACTCATCATTTTTTATGGCTGCATAGTATTCCATGGTATATATGTGCCACATTTTCTTAATCCAGTCTATCATTGTTGGACATTTGGGTTGGTTCCAAGTCTTTGCTATTGTGAATAGTGCTGCATTAAACATACGTGTGCATGTGTCTTTACAGCAGCATGATTTATAATCCTTCGGGTATATACCTAGTAATACCCAGAATCTACAATGAACTCCAACAAATTTACAAGAAAAAAACAAACAACCCCATCAAAAAGTGGGTGAAGGATATGAACAGACACTTCTGAAAAGAAGACATTTATGCAGCAAAAAGACACATGAAAAAATGCTCATCATCACTGGCCATCAGAGAAATGCAAATCAAAACCACAATGAGATACCATCTCACACCAGTTAGAATGGCAATCATTAAAAAGCCAGGAAACAACAGGTGCTGGAGAGGATGTGGAGAAATAGGGACACTTTTACATTGTTGGTGGGACTGTAAACTAGTTCAACCATTGTGGAAGTCAGTGTGGCGATTCCTCAGGGATCTAGAACTAGAAATACCATTACAAGTGGCCTGTACTTGTAATCTCAGCTACCTGGGAGGTTGAAGCAAGAGAATCGCTTGAACCTGGGAGGTGGAGGTTGCAGTGAGCCAAGATCAGGCCATTGCACTCCAGCCTGGTCAACAGAAATGAAACTCCCTCTCAAAAACAAAAACAAAAACAAAAACAAAACCTATGTAGCATGTTGGTGTACTGAATACTGTAGGCAACTGCAATACAATGCTAAGAACTTGTGTATCTAAACATATCTAAATATAGAAAAGATACTATAAAAATAAAGTAGAAAAGATACAAAGTGGTACATCTGTATAGAGTACTTACCGTGAATGGATCTTGCCAGACTGAAAGCTACACCGGGTGAGTAAGTGAGTGAGAGGCCAGTGAATGTGACAGCCTAGGACAATGCTGTACACTACTGTAGACTTTAAAAACAATGTACACAGAGACTACACTAAATTTGTAAAAAATATTTTTCTTTCTTCAACAATAATGTAGCTTACTGTAAGTTTTCTGCACTTTATGAACTTCTTAATTTAAAAAAAAGTTTGGTTTTTTTTTTTTTGTAATAACATAGCTTAAAACCCAAACATTGTACGGCTATACAAAAATATCTTCTTTGTTATATCTTTATTCTATAAGCTTTTTGATATTTTTTAAATTTTTCCTTTTTTCCCTTTTTAAACCTTTTTTGTTAAAAACCAAAACACACACATTAGCTGAGGCCAGCACAGTGTTAAGATCATCAATATCACTGTCCTCCACCTCAACATATATGACTGGAAGGTCTTCAGGGGCAATAACACACATGGACATGTCATCTCCTATGATACCAGTGCCTTTTCCTGTAATACTTCCTGAAGGACTTGCCTGAGGCTGTTTTACAGTTAGCTTTTCTTCAAATCAGATAAGTAGGAGTACATGCTAAAATAACAATAACAAATATAGTGTAGTATGTAAACCAGTAACATAATTGTATATTATAATCATCTATTATATATAGTACAGTAAATGACACTGTACTTTATAGCACATGTAATCATCTCTTATATACAGTATGGTGAATAAATAATTACTGTACTGTATATAATAGATGATGATTATATATTCCATAAAGATACATGCTCTACTTTTATTTGGCTAGCAGTGTGGTAGGTTTGTTTACACTAGCGTCACTACAAACATGAATAATGCATGGTGCTATGATGTTATGGCAGCTACCATGACATCAACAAGGTGATAAGAATTTTTCGGCTGGGCACTGTGGCTCACACCTATAATCCCAGCACTTTGGGAGGCCGAGGTGGGAGGATCACCTGAGGTTGGGAGTTCGAGACTAGCCTGAACAACATGGAGAAACCCCATCTCTACTAAGAATACAAAATTAGCTGGGCATGGTGGCACATGCCTGTAATCCCAGCTACTCAGGAGGCTGAGGCAGGAGAATGGCTTGAACCCGGGAGATGGAGGTTGTGGTGAGCCAAGATCACGACACTGCACTCCAGCCTGGGCAATAAGAGTGAAACTCCATCTCAAAAAAAAAAAAAAAAAGGATGTTTCAGCTTTATTATAATCTTATGGGACCACCATCATATATGAGGTCTGTTGTTGATAAAAATGTTATGTGGTGCATATCTGTTTTAAACCACCACAGAAAGCTTTCCCCTTTTTCCCCAATATAAGCATTTTAATGCTGTAAATTTCCCGCAAGAACTGCTTTGGCTTCACAAAAATTTCATATGTTATTTTTATTTCCATTAAGTTCAAAATATTTTCTAGTTCCCTTTGTGTCTTCCTTTCTTTCCCTTGAATTATTTAAATGTATGTTGTTTAATTGCCAAATATATGAAAATTTTCCAGTTATTTTTCTATTTGCTGATTCTAATTTAACTCTGTTATGGTCTAAGAATATATTTCCTTTTACATTTGTAATGTCTTGTTTTGTGGCTAAGAATATTGTCTATGTTTGTGAATGTTCTAGGTATACTTGAATGTATATTCGGCCATCATTGGGTGTATTCTATAAATTTTAATTAGGTCAATTTAGTTAATAGGATTTTTATATTTTCAGTATTTCTGCTTATTTTTCATCCACTTGTTCTATCAGTGATTGCAAGAGGAGTATTGAAGTCTTTGGGTATATGTGTCTATTTCTCTTTTCAGTTTTTATTAGATTTTTGTTTTATGTATTTTGAAGCTTTCTTACTAGGTGTGTACACATTTAGGATTTTTATTTATTCTTAGTGAATTAAGCTGTGGTAAATATGTAATGACCCTCTTTCTCCTCAGTAATTTTCTTTGTTGTCAGATTTACTTTATGCGGACATTAACATAGCTACTCCACCTTTCTTTGTTTTTAGTTTTAATGGATATTTAATAGTTCTACATATTTTGGGGGTATATGTGGTATTTTAATACAAGCATATAATGTGTAATAATCAAATGAAGGTAAATAGGATATCCATCACCTCAAGTATTTATCATTTCTTTGTGTTAGAAACATTCCAATTCCATTCTTGTAGTTTTTTGACATATACAATAAATCATTGTTAACTATAATTGCCCTATTGTGCTACCAAACACTAGATCCTGTTCCTTCTATCTAACTGTGTTTTTATACTAATTAACCAATCTTTCCTTATCATCCCCTTCCCACTACCCTTCCTAGCCTCTGGTAACCATCATTCTACTCTCTGTCTCCATGAGTTCAACTGGTTTTTAGCTCCTGGATATGAAAGAATTGTGAGAAAATAAATGTCTGTTCTTTGTAAATTATCCAGTAGCAGATATTTTGTTATAGCAGCACAAATGGACTAAGACATTCTAACCAATATTTATTTTACTTTAATGTAATTTGACTTTGCATATTAAATTTCTAAATTTTTGATTTTTTTTTTTTTTTTTTTTGAGACGAAGTCTCACTCTGTCACCCAGGCTGGAGTGCAATGGCATGATCTCAGCTTACTGAGAGCTCTGCCTCCTGGGTTCACGCCATTCTCCTGCCTCAGCCTCCGGAGTAGCTGGGACTATAGGTGCCTGCTGCCATGCCCTGCTGATTTTTTTTTTTTTTTTGTATTTTTAGTAGAGACAGGGTTTCACCATGTTAGCCAGGATGGTCTTGATCTCCTGACCTCGTGGTCTGCCTGCCTCAGCCTCCCAAATTGCTGGGATTACAGGTGTGAGCCACTGCACCCGGCCAATTTTTGATGTTCTATATACCTTTGGTTCAGACTCTTATAGAGAATATGACAAAAATGTTTATTTAACTTACCTGATGTGGTTTGGATATTTGTCTTCAAATCTCAAATTGAAATGTAGTCCCCAGTGTTGGAGGTGAGGCCTGGTGGGAGGTGTTTGGATCACGGGCGAGATCACTCATGAATAGCTTGGTTCTGTCTTTGTAATAGTAAATGAGTTGTAGTGAGATCTGGCTGTTTAAAAGTGTGGCACCTTCTCCCCTCTCTTGTTCCTGCTCTCACCATGTGATACACCAGCTCCCCCTTTGCCTTCTGCCACCACTGTAATCTTCCTGAGGCCCTCACCAGAAGCAGATGCCAGCATCGGGCTTCTTGTGCTGTCTGAAGAACTGTGAGCCAGTTAAAATTCTTTCTTAATAAATTATTCATTTTTAGGTATTTCTTTACAGCAATGAAAAAATTGCTTAATGCATTACTCTTCTATATATCCTGCAAAATAGGTATTCTCCTTATTTTTTGATAGACTACCATGTCAAGAAAATCATGGTCACAAGCTCTGTCTGCTACTGTTGTACAATTCCCTGTTTGGTAGATTGAATAGCAACTCCTGAAAGATGTCCTTGTCTCAATTCCCCAAATCTGTGAACATGCTTTCTTAAATGACAAAAGGGACTTTACAGATGTGAATAAGTTAAGGATCTTGAGACAGGGATATATATATAATTTTTTTTTTGAGATGGAGTCTCGCTCTGTCGCCCAGGCTGGAGTGCAGTGGCATGATCTCGGCTCACTACAAGCTCTGCCTCCCAGGTTCACACCATTCTCTTGCCTCAGCCTCCCAAGTAGCTGGGACTACAGGTGCCCACCACCACGCCCAGGCTAATTTTTTGTATTTTTAGTAGATACAGGGTTTCATCGTGTTAGCCAGGATGGTCTCGATCTCCTGACCTTGTGATCCACCCGCCTCGGCCTCCCAAAGTGCTGGGATTACAGGCGTGAGCCACTGCGGCTGGCCTATTATTCTTTACTCTCTAAGTGGGCCCAATATAATAAAAATGGGCTTTAAGAGGAAGACAAACACAGCAGAGTGAGAGACAAAGATGTGAATAGATGTTGGGGTGATATAATTGCTGGAAGGGGACCATGAGCCAAGGAATGTGGGCAGCCTCTAGAAGCTGGAACAGACAGAAAAAGAAAGAATTCTTCCCGAAGCCTTCAGAAGGAATGCAGCACTGCCAACCATTTTGGACTTCTCACATTGAGAACTAAAAGATAATACATTTGTGGGTTATGGCATTAAGCTTATGATAATTTGTTACAGCATTAAAGAAAACCAATACAGTGATTAAATATATGGATATTCTGCTAAGTCTCAGAAAATAATATAAAGAGGAATGCAAATGCAACCACTAAGCACTGGCTCAAAATATTTTAAGACAAGATTCAGTCTGTAAAATAGAAACTTGTGGGATGATCTAGCTAATCAGATGAATGGCTTACTAAACAATTGACATAAAGGAAGCCTTCAGGAAAATAGTTTGTGAATCAGGTTTACTGTGTACTTGTTACCAAGTGCACTTGTTATCTGAGTGGTATAAGCATGAGCATCCCACTCCCCCCACACACAAGCTATATGAAAGAGATTTATTACTTACAAATGGGCAACAAGGGACACTAGAAGCCAGGATTCAGGATAAGCCAGTCCACTAAGACACAGAAAGCTTCCCAGGGTGGATATAGTCTCTCAACTGTTTGTGCCCCACTTGCGCTGCAGATGAGGGACCTTGGAAACCAGCCCATCCTGGGTTTTATATCCTAGGTCATGTGACTCATTGGGTTAAAGCATTGAAGGACATTCTGATTCTAGGAGGGACTGGAACAGAGCCTAGGATGTTCTAGCCAGTTCCTCTTTATCTCAGCACATTTTACAGTTACTTTGGGGAACTATAAGTAAAAAAATGGGGAGAACTAGGTCATCCCAGCCAACTGGAAAACTGTCCTGCATGGTTACATAGCAAAATAAATTTTAATAAAAATAAAAATTTCATGTTTTGAAAGCTGTATCTTTTAAAAATTAAATTTACTCTGATTTTGTATATGTATATATACATACACACATGATATATGTATGTGTATGTGCATGTATTATGTGTGTACACCAATATTTCTACATATATACCTATATACAGACACCACAAACATACATATATACACATACACTTATTATCTGAGATCTCAAATTTGCCAATCAGAGGTGTGCAAATTATGATATTTTTCAGGAATATCACCTACAAAAATTGGCAGAATTGCCTTAACTTTTGTATCAGTGTTTCTTTTCTATTTCCACCTCTTTAGTTATTTATTCCTTTGTTTATTTACTCAACAAAATTTCACTGATCACCACTTTTGTACAAGTCGTGTATTAGATACCGTGAGCAACAGAAACCAAGGCATATAGCCCTCGCTGCAGAGTATTTTCTAACTTAGTGGGAGAGACCCAGATTTAACAAATAGCATTAACAACAAAGCAGAACTGAAGCAATATCACATAAAAGTATGTGCAATGGGCTTTGAAAGTATAAAGGGAGTAATTAACTATGCTTGGAAAGATAGAGGGAGAAGGAGGCACTTAAGTTGGATCCTTAGAATGTAAAGCATTTCAACAAGTAGAGAATGGAGAACGAAGAGTTATTTAAATTTTCCTACTTCTTACAGTCAAGTTTACTCTATTTCTTTTATATCATTTTCCTATGTTATTGCTATAGTTCTCAAAAATGTAATATTTATAAAAAATAATCATAAACCATACTTTGCTATTTTATGTATTGTTAGGGCCTAATTAGACACTTGTAATAGAATGGAAAAAAGATAATTAGGCAATAACTATATGTTTTTATATACACATGATGTATAAACCTTCACTTAGAGTTGGTCACTGTCTTAGTCTGTTCAGGCTGGTGTAATAAACTACCGTGGACTGTGTGGCTTAAGCAACTCAAATTTGTTTTCTGATAGTTATGGAGGCTGAAAATTCCAGGATGAAGGTTCTAGCAGAGTTCTGTTTCTGGTGTGGGCTCTCCTCTTGGCTTGCAGATGTCTGCTTTGTCCTCACATGCTTTTCTTTGAGGGTGCAGAGAAAGAGAGAGAGAGGAAGGAAGAAAGAAAGAGAGAGAAACGGAGAGAGAGAGAGAGAGAAACAGGGAGAAAGAGAGAGAGAGATCTTTCTCTTTGTTTAAGACCACCAACTCTATTGAGTTAGGACCTCACTCTTATGACCTCATTTAATCTTAATTACCTCCTAAAAGTCCAACTCCAAATATAGTCACATTGAGCATTAGAGGTTCCATATATGGATTTTGTGTGGACACAGTTTAGTTCATAGCAGTCACAAAAAGTCAAATGGAATGAGAATATATATTTTAAAATGTAGTAAGTGCCTACCCTACAATGTGCCAAGCACCATTTTTGACATTAGAAATAACCACAGAGACACCCCTAGTTATATGGATTATTATTTTGGCAACAAAATTGCCAAAGATTAGATGATGATAACTAAATAAACAAAATGTTTGTGGCTTCAAACAAATTCTATGAAGTAAATAAGTAAGGTGATAAGGTAAACTAACTAGGAAGAAAAAGGACTCCTGCTTTAAATAAGTTAAGACTTCATACCCTCTCTGAAGCAGTAATGTTTGAACTGAGATGAAAAGAATGAAAGAGAGCCAGCCAGATGAAGATAAAAGAAAATAATTTTCTAGTCAGAGGAAGCAAGTGTATAAAGCCTGAAGAGGGTTTATGTTGTAGGAAACAAAAAGCAGCCAGTCTGGCTGGAATATGATAAACCAGTAGAAGACAGTTTGGGGATGAGCTTGTACAAATGGGCCAGGGTCAGGTTTTGTAAGGTCTGAGAAGCAAAGGGAATTAGAAATTTTTTCAGGGTGTAATTAGAATTCAAAGAAAGATTTTAAGCAGAAGATTAACACAACCCTATATCAGTTTTAAAAAGAATACTCTGGGTTGCTGTGTGGAGCATGGGTTGTAGGGCGGACAAGAGAGGAAACAGATACCACTAACTCATAAATGCTTTACTGTAAATTAGAAAACGGTGTCCATTTCAAGAGGCACTTTACCTCCATCTGTCAGAAAACTATACTATACAGATTTTACTAGAATAAGACACCTTATTTCTACCTTAGGAAAAGTGTCATTATAAAAAAAATACCATGTCAATTATGGTAATGGTTCCTTTCATGTGTGTATGAGCAATACACTTGGAGACATTGATGGAAGCAAAGGGACCAACTGAGAGTCTGTTGCATTTATCCAGGGGAAGAGTGGGCATAAGATGCATTTCTATGTCCTATTCTCTAGTGAAAATGGAAAGAAGCAGAGTGATTCAAAACACATTTGGAAATAAAACTGCAGGGCTAATGAAGATTGAAGTTAGATGAGGAAAGAGAGAATCCAAGACTATAATTAGATAGAGATTTGAGCTACTGACAGAAAATAAATTAAGATTTTTTAAATTTTATTTTTGTTGTTGCTGTTTGTAGTGGAGGAGGAGGAATCAATACTTTTTTGAATCCACGATTATTGAAGGTTTACTATATCAAGAGAGCCATATAATTTACCATATAAATCACTGCTATTGAATATTGACAGAAATACGGTAATGTCAGAGTAACCAAAAACCTCACATCAGTTAGGAGGTAAGAATTATTATGAATAATATAACAAATTATTCATTACAAGCTGTAGGATATTTGCAAAAGGGAAATGTAAGATAATCTTTGCATTCAAAGATTTAACATTCTGAATGTTACAATCTGTAAGCAGGTAAACCATTTAAATTTCGTTGAAGAACAAGATGAAGAAGGAGGTGCTATAGGGCTGGCACACAGATGCCCATCACACTGCTGAAGTCTATGTCTTGCTGGTGCCCAGAAATCTCAGTTCTGTGTCAAAAAGTGACCTAATGAAATCCTCATCATATTAATAACTGTGAAAAGTGTTATTACTTACATTTAACAGGTAAGGAATTTAAGGAAATTGTATGCTATGATGTTAGTCACAAAACCAGGTCATAGAAGATCTTTGGGCAAATCTCTTGCTAATTACAAGGACTTACTAATCAAGGTATTTTTGTGCCACCTGAGAAATAAATAGTAGAACTTGCACTTCTGAATCATTTGACAAGGCTCTGTCACTGAAATGGGGCTTTGATGGAAAATTTTTGCTATCATGTATGGTTTGGGTACATTCTAGTTAAATAATACACTAGTCCACTGGGATTCCATCACGGTCAGATTTCTTAAACAAAAAGCACTGATGAAAACCCCAGATCCTTGCAAAAATGTTTCTGGGTATGCTGAGGCCTGGTTTTGCTTAGTATACAAAAAACTTTAATACACAATTGAGAAATGTTTTTCACTGAAAGGAAGAGCTTAGATGATCAAATAAGTAGGGTATCAAATACAAATGTTTAGAAGTTGTCAAAACAAATATTGTATTTACTAGAAGTGAAGTCACTCTCACCTAGAATTTCCCATAAGGGATTACTGCAAACTTATATTAAGATAGTATAGTTGGCTGCAAAATTGAAGAAAAACAAAAGACTTCTTTTGGACGAACAATAATTTGGTAAACTAAACATAAGGTTTAAAAAATTCTCATCAGCATTAAATACCTTATAAAACTTTCTGGAAGTATGTTTAAAGCTTTACTGAAGGTAAAAGAAAGTACACATAAAGAGAGGTTCTACCATCTTTTTTCTCTTGCTGTGAACTATGAATACAGTCCCAAAGATATCGATAAAACAGTTTTTATATTTATTCTTATCAAAATGAGGATTTTAGTTTGGACTCTAATGTCTTTATGGGTATGACTTTACGGCATATCTCCATAAAAGGAAAAAATCTGCTCTTGCGAGGGTTATGTCAAATCTTCAAGTCAAAAACTATAATAAATTCTGCATATGAAATTGGAAATGTTAATCCATTATGATTTTATAAGTAACTCCATAGCCTCACTTTCAAAAAGGAAGAAAAAGAAAACCCTTGACAATTAACATTTAGTTCTTTCTGAAAAAGTAGCTTTAATTTTTTTCTGATCTTTTTTACATTATGACTTCCTAAAATTGTGCTCCAAGTATAAGACCCAGTACCTGCATAGACTGCATAAGACCTAGTACCTGACTCAGCTAAGTTATGAGGCTGCTGGAACCTGGAAAGATAGCTTTATTATCATTATTATTATTATTATATATTATATCTTTAATATATCACATATTTCTTACACATTCATCTGTTGATGAACACTTAGGTTGACTCTATATCAACCTAAGTTGGCTTAGGTTGGCTATTGTGAATAATACTTCAACATGGGCATGTAGATATCTCTTTGATGTACTAATTTTATTTCCTCATAGTTTATACCGAGTAGTGGGGTTGTGAATCATATGGTAGTTCCATTTTAATTTTTGAGAAATCTTCATACTGATTTTCATAATAGCTGTACTAATTTACATTTCTACTGACAGTGTGCAAGGATATCCTTTTCTGTACATCCTTACCAACACTTTTGACCTTTAGTCTTTTTGACAGTAGCCATTTCAACAGATGTGAGGTGATAGCTCATTGTGGTTTTAATTTGCATTTCTTTAATGATTGGTGATGTTGAGCATGCTGTCAGAAACCTGTTGATATTTTGTATGCCTTCATTTGAGAAGTGTCTATTCAGGTCCTTTGCCCATTTTTTTTTTTTTTTTTTTTGCAGATTATATGTTCACTTGCTACTGAGTTGCTTGTGTTCCTTACATAAAGAATAAACCCCTTATCAGATGTATGGTTTACAAATATTTTCTCCCATTTTATAGGTTGTCTCATCACTCTGTTGATTGTCTCCTTGGCTGTTCTCTTTCCAATTTGGATGCCTTTAGTTCTTTTTCTTGCCTAATTTCTCTGGCTAGGACTTTCAGTAGTATGTTAAACAGAAGTGGCAAAAGTGAAAATCTTTTTCTATCTTGTTTCTGATCTTAGAGGAAAAACTTTCAACTTTACCTCATCAAGTATGATGTTAGCTGTGGGACTGTCATATATGACCTTTACTGCATTGAGGTACATTCCTTCTACACCCAATTTATTAAAATTTTTATCACGATAGTGTATTCAGTGTTGTCAAATGCTTTCTTTTCCATCTGTTGAGACAATAAAATAGTTTTATCATTCATTTGGTTAATGTGTCATATCAGATTTATAGGTTTGCAAAAGTTGAGCCATCCTTACATGCCCAAGATAAATGTCACTTGATCATGGTGAATGATTCTTTTACCGGTTGTTGAATTCAGTTTGCTAGTATTTTGTAAAAGATTTTTAAGTCTATGTTCTTCAGGGATATTGGCCTGTAATTTTCTTTTCTTGTAGTGTCCTTGTCTGGCTTTGGTATCAGAGTAATACTGGCCTCATAAAATGAGTTTGGAAGTGTTCCATCTTATATATCTTTTTCTAAGAGTCTGGGAAGGATTGGTATTATTTCTTCTTTAAATGTTAGAGAGAATTCAGCAGTGAAGCCATAAGGTCCTGGGCTTTTCTTTGATAGGTAAGATTTATTACTGATTACATTTCCTTACTCATTAATGGTCTCTTCAGATATTCTATTTCTTTATGATTCGGTCTTGGTAGGTTGAATATTTCTAGAAATTTATCTATTCTAAGTTGTCTAAGTTGTTGGTGTTTAACTGTTAATATTAGTCTTAGGATCTTTTGCATTTTCATGGTTTGAACTGTGGTCTTCTCTTTCATTTACAATTTTATTTTTTGACATTACTGTCTGTTTTCTTACTCTAGGTTATCTTTTCTATTTTTTTTTTTTTTTTAGTTTCAGTTTCATTTTCTACTATGTTATTATTTCCTTCCTTCTACTATGGGCTTAATTTGCTCTTCTATTTCTAGCTCCTTGAGGTGTAACATTAGTTCATTTATTTGTTAGATCATTATTCTTTTTGGATATACACATTAATTACTACAAACTTCTCTTTTAGAACTGCTCTTGCTGCATCATATGTTTTGATATATTTTGCTCCCATTCTCATTTGTCTCAAACAAATTTTAAAATACCTTTCAATTTCTTCTTTGGCTTCTTAGTTGTTCAGGAACATGATGTTTTATTTTCATACATTTGTGAATTTTCTGAAATTCCTCCTGTTTTTGATTTCTAGTTTCACACCATTGTGGTCAGAAAAAATAATTTATGATTTTAATCTTCTTAAATTTGTTAAGACTTATTTTGTGGCCTAATATATAATGTATCCTGGAGAATGTTTCATGTGGGCTTGAGAAGAATGTGTGTTTTGCTGCTGTTAGATAGAATATTCCATATGTCTGATAGGGCCATTTGGTCTGAAGTCTAATGCTTTATTATTGATTTTCTGTCAGGATGATTTGTCCATTGCTGAAAGTGGAATATTTAAGTTTCCTATTATTATTGTGCTGCAGTCTATTTCTTCCTCAATTCTGTTAACATTAGCATTATATATTTAGGTGCTCTGATGTTAGGTACATATGTATTCATACCTGTTACATCCTGTTGATGAATCGACCCCTTTGTTATTACGTAATGACCTGTGTTTTTGTGACAGTTTTAGACTTGAAGTCTATTTTGTCTGGTATACGTATAGCCATTTCTACTCTCTTTTGGCTTCCATTTGTGTGAAATATCTTTTACTATTCTTTTACTTTTGGTCTATGTGTATTTTTTTTTTTTTTTTTTTTTTTTTTTTGAGACAGAGTCTCACTCTGTTGCCAGGCTGGAGTGCAGTGGCTCGATCTTGGCTCATTGCAACTTCTGCCTCCTGGGCTCAAGCAATTCTCCTGCCTTGGCCTCCCGAGTAGCTGGGACTGCAGGTGCCCACCACCATGCCTGGCTAATTTTTGTATTTTTAGTGGAGATGGGGTTTCACCATGTTGGTCAGTCTGGTCTCGAACTCCTGACCTTGTGATCTGCCCGCCATGGCCTCTCAAAGTGCTGGGATTACAGGCATGAGCTACCGTGCCCAGCCGGTTTATGTGTATTCTTAAAGGTGAAATGAGTCTCTTCTAGGGAACATATAGTTAGGTCTCATTTTTCAATTCATTCAGCCACTCTATGTCTTTTGTTTGGAAAGTTTAATCCATTTATATTCAAGATAGTTATTGATAGGTAAAGACTTACTACCGAGGTAAAAATCTGAAGAATAATCAAGGTAAAGTTTTGAATTAAAACATTTTTAGGATAGATTACACGGCTACACATAAACGATACACATATAAATGTGCATTTGTGCCACATTTATATAGCTAGATAGATGTGAGCCTTCTTCCCCTATCCATGGTCCCCTTAGACCCAGAATAAAGTTAGAGAAGCCCACTGTTTTACTAATCCACCATCCCATTTTAGGAATTCTTAATGAAGAATGAGATAAAAGGTCATAAATTGCCATTAGGATTTAGATCAGGGAAGAGTAATTTGAGCATTTCAGATCTAGAGGCTATGCATTTGGAATGTTATTTAATTTATTTGAGCCCCAATTCCCTAGAAAATTAGGAGTTTTTCTTAACTAAATCAGCTATGCTCAGCATATGTCAGAATTGGCTTTCTTTTAACTGTGATTTACCTGAGAACACATGAAGATGTAACTGTGTGTGTGATTATGTGTGTGCAGTGCTGAGTACAGAGTAAGTATAATATTTCAATTATTTGATGAGCAAATGAAAATACATGAATGAAGGTATGTATGTACATATGTAATCAGGTAGTCTACATCAACTAGTAGGATACAATAATTAATGGGATATATTCACTCACTGTGATACTTCTAAACGACAAAGTGTGTGCCATGTTAGCATAACTCAGTTTTAAGAGAAACTAAGCTGTACATAAATGCTGATCACCAGAGATTTTGAAGTGAATATGGTGCTTGAACTAGAATTGCATTGCTGGCTATGTGACCATGCATCGGACTCCATAAAAGTGTGTAAAACTTCTGCTCTAACAGGCAAGCTGTCTGTCCTAACTCAGGGAAAAGACTACAGTGAGGTTCAAACCAAGAAACACTGAGCTGATACGGGCCTCAGTCAAGGCAAAGCTTAATAACTCACTGCAATTAGCTAAGGGGTTATATGGGCAACCTGTATTGTTTAATAAATTTCATTCCTTTCTTTTTCATGAATGAGTGAATTACAAATTGATCCCAGTAAAATTATGCATTAGGCTTTGGGTTTTAAAATTGTAAATAGCAGGTTCAGTTGTTTTTGTTCAAGCAAGTATGTAAATCTTACAAATAAAATTTTCAAAAATTTGAGTAGAAAAGGAAATTTACTCTTCTACTCTTATGTCTATTTCAGGAATAAAACAGACAATGAGAGCTTTGCTTTACAATATACTGTTCTCCTGCAGACAGACAGTGAGACCTAGATCTGAATACACATGGAAGTAATAGCAGTATTATTAGGCTATCTCCCGAAGACAATTTTTCTACTTCTTTTAATTAAACAATTTTATCAGTTCCTTTGTGCTTATTCCAAATAATAAGAAATGAAACAGAAGAAACCCCAGCAGTTTATCAGTGTTAGTGGATATGCATTTCTCCTCCAGTTGCCACAGATTGCTTTTATATCTGTAGTAACATTTCTGTAGCTTAAAATGTAATTTAATAACAATCCCTTGCAATAGATTTTTTTAAGTTTGCTTAAAATTTTCATCCCCTTCTGCTTCCTACTTGATTCTTTCAAAATTCAAATAATATGCATCAATCCGTTTGTGACAAAATAACTTTGAAAGTCCTTGAAATTTGTATAGCTGTTCATACTATCTGTGAAATAATTTAAAAATATATATTAATATCATAAAATAATTCTCATAATTTTTCAAAATTATGTAAGTAATATATAAACACAATATTTAAAAAGTATTATAATGTCATGGATAAGGCTAACCATCCTACATATCCACTTCTCTTTTCCTTTGATATAACCATATTATAACTTTGATGTATATAGTTCTAGTCCTTTAAAAGTGAAATTTATAAAGCTATGAAAAGAGGATTTGTAACATTGTTTCAAGTGATTTATAAATTTGCCTAAATTTTACTATGAATCTCCTCAATGAATCTGTTTTTTTAAAATTTTTTTAGATTTATCTGTGTTGAATTAGCTCATTTATTTAACATATATATGTATTTGTATGTACATACCAGCTTTTATTTATCTAGTTCTCATTTGATAAATGCTTAGTTTGTTTCCAGTATTACTCTATTACTATGTGGCAGTGAATATCCATGTGTATGTCTTATTATTTTATTTGCCAGGAATGTTTCTAGGGTTAGATACAAAGATGGGGAATTAGTCACTTTTTTTTTAATAGTAGTCACACCTTCAACTTTTCTACACATTGCTAAATTGCCTTCCAAATTGATTGATCAATTTCTATTCTCAGAGGAAGGACCTGACAACATTTGACATTGTACTGACTTATCAATTTTTTTCAGTTCTGTGGGCAAAACTATTATCTTTTTGTTTTAATTATTTGCTGGCTTACCAATGAGATTGACTATTTATTTATTAGATATTTGAATTGGATTTTCTAAAACCATAGGTTCATATACCATGCCAACTTTTTGATAGAGTTTTTCATTTATTTCATGTTTATATGTATGATTAGAACAATGATTTACAGATAATCTGTGCAGCAAGGATTTTCTCCCAATCTGTGGTTTGTTTTAAAACATGAAGTTGACTTTATTATAAAATAAAACAACTTTTCAGTCAAACTTATATCTGCATTTTCTTTATTATTTAAACTTTCTGGGTTTTTGGTTTGTTTGTTTTGTTTTTTAAAGAAAGCTTTGTCTGTCATGGCCAATAGAGTCTTTCAGAGCTTAAGCTACTGAGACAAGAATACGTGATTTTGGATTCTAATTCTGTCTCTTGTTAACTGTGACACTTCAATAAGTTTATTAACATCTCTGTACCATAATTACCTTTCCTGTAAATGAAATAATAATAAAAATAATAATTGGACTTACCTTACTCACAGAGTAATAGGATTATTGATAGAATTAATGCCTGAACAGCACTTACAGTGTCTAAGATATAACAAATATTCTGCAAGTGTTAGTTAGCAAGGTATAGTATCATTAAAAGCTTTTTCTGCCATCTTTGAAGGTATTAATTCATCTTAAATAAAGTTTTGGATATGTTGTATTATGGCCATATAATTTCATTTTCTCTTATAGATGTATTATGGCCATATAATTTCATTTTCTCATATAAGAACATATATTAAGCAGATAATTATTTGACCACTGCTTAGTGAATCCTATTCTGTTATTGATTGCCATACAGGCATAGATTAATTTTTGGTTCATTATTCCATTCCAGCAACCTGTCTACTGATGTGGCAATATGACACTGCTTAAAATGTTAAAACTTTATAAAATATTTTTATATCTGGCAGGGCAATTTTGTGCCACTCCCAAAAAACTTTGTTTTTATTTTTCAAAAATGCTATTCTCTTTCTTTGTGTATGTATATAATATCAATTGCTACATAAATCTTAAAATTCACATAATTTTATACATTTTATAATAAATTTTGTATAATGAAAAAAATCCCATTAAGATTGAGATCACATTAAACTTACAGATTAATTTGGGAAGAGTTTACTCTTTACAATATTTAGTCTTCCCATAAAGCATATGATAATTCTCTATTAAATTAAAAAAAAACAACTTTCTAGGCCTAAAACTTCAACTCTAAATCATTGATTTATGTATGTGTAGAATAAAAGTGCTGAGAAAAACTAGCAGATACCAATCCTACCCCCTTTTTTGACAGATGAGAAAATTGAGGCTGAATGAAGTATATAGGTGTATTAGTCCATTCTCACACTGCTATAAAGGACTGCCCAAGACTGGGTAATTTATAAAAGAAAGAGGTTCAATTGACTCACATTTCTGCATTGCTGGGGAGGCCTCAGGAAACTTACAATCATGATGGAAGGGGAAGCAAACATTTCCTTCTTGACATGGTGGCAGGAAGCAGAAGTATGACAGCCAAGCGAAGGGGGAAGATCCATGTAAAACTGTGAAATCTTGTGAGAACTTACTATCATGAGAATAGCATGGGGGAACCTCCTCCATGATTCAGTTACCTCCCACCAGGTTCCTTCCACCACACATAAGGATTATGGAAACTACAATTAAAGGTGAGATTTTGGTGGGGCCATAGCCAAGCCATATCATTTTGCTTCTGTCTCCTTCCAAATCTCATGTCCTCAAATTTCAAAACACAATAATGCCTTTCCAACAGTCCCCCAAAGTCTTAGCTCATTCCAGTATTAACCCAAAAGCCCAAGTCCAAAGTCTCATGTGAAACAAGGCAAGTCCCTTCTGCCTATGAGCCTTAAAATCAAAACTAAGGTAGTTATTTCCTAGATACAATGCAGGTACAGACATTGGTTAAATACACCCATTCCAAATGGAAGAAATTGGCCAAAAGTATAGGCCAATTTCTTGGGGTCTATGGGGCCCAGGCAAATCTGAAATCCAGTGGGGCAGTCAAACCTTAAAGTTCCTAAATGATCACCTTTGACTCTATGTCTCACATCCAGGTCACACTGATGCAAAAGGTGCATTCCCATGGGCTTGGGCAGCTCTGCCTCTGTAGGTATGCCATGTATAGCTTACCTCCTGGCTGCTTTCATGGGCTGCCATTGTGTGTCTGCAGCATTTCCAGGTGCATGGTGCAAGTTTTTGGTGGATCTACAATTCTGGGGTCTGGAGAATGGTGGCCCTTTACTCACAGCTCCACTAGGCAGTGCCCCAGTGGGGACTCCGTGTGGAGGCTCCAACCACACATATCTCTCCCACACTACCCTAGCAGAGGTTCTCCATGAGGGCCCCTCCCATGCAGCAAACTTCTGCCTGTACATCCAGGTGTTTCCATACATCCTCTGAAATCTAGGTGGAGGTTCCCAAACCTCAATTCTTGACTTCTGTGTACCTGCAGGCTCAACATTACATGGAACCTTCCAAGGCTTGGGGTTTGCACCCTCTGAAGCCATTGCCCAAGCAGTACCTTGGCCCCTTTTAGCCATGGCTGGAGCTGTTGAGACACAGGGCACCAAGTCCCTAGGCTGCACACAGCAGCGAGGCCTTGGGTCTGACCCATGAAACCATTTTTTCCTCCTAGATCTCCAGTCCTGTGATGGGAGAGGCTGCCATAAAGGTCTTTGACATGCCCTGGAAACATTTTCCCCATTGTCTTGGTGATTAACATTTGGCTTCTTGTTACTTATGCAAATTTCTGCAGCAGGCTTGAATTTCTCCTCAGAAAATGAGTTTTTCTTTCCTATTGCATTGTCAGGCTGCAAATTTTCTGAACTTTTGTGATCTGCTTCCCTTTTTAACATAAGTTCCAATTCCAAACTACATCTTTGTGAATACATAAAACTGAATGCTATTAACAGCACCCAAGTCACTTGTTGAACACTTTGCTGCTTAGAAATGTCTTCCACCAGATACCTTAAATCATCTTTCTCAAGTTCAAAGTGTCACAAATCTCTAGGGCAGGGGAAAATCCTGCCGTTCTTTTTGCTAAAACAGCAAGAGTCACCTTTATTCCAGTTCTCAACAAGTTTCTCATCTCTATCTGAGACCACATCAGCCTGGACTTCATTGTCCTTATCACTATCAGCCTTTTGGTCAAAGCCACTCAACAAGTCTCTAGGAAGTTCCAAACTTTCCCATATCTTCCTGTCTTCTTCTGAGCCCTCCAAACTCTTCCATCCTTTGCCTGTTACCCAGTTCCAAGTTGCTTCCACATTTTTGGGTATGCTTATAGCAGCGCCCCACTCCCAGTATCAATTTACTGTATTAGTTTGTTCTCATGCTGCTATAAAGGACTGCCTGAGACTAGGTAATTTATAAAGGAAAGAAGTTTAATTGACTCATACTTCTGCATGGTTGGGGAGGCCTCAGGAAACTTACAATCATGCAGAAGGGGAAACAAACATGTCCTTCTTCACATGGTGGCAGGAAGAAGTATGAGAGCCTAGTGAAGGGAGAAGCCCTAATAAAACCATCAGCTCTCATGAGAAATTGCCCACTATCATGATAGTATCATGGAAAAAAACCACCCCCATGATTCTATTACCTCCCAACATGTCCCTCTCACCACACGTGATGAACTTCAATTCAAGATGTGATTTGGGTGGGGACACAACCTACCCATATCAAAGGTTATTTTTCAGAATCAACAAAATACTTAATGATCTCAGACATAAACCTAGATCATCTAATTACTTCAAAGTTTTTGAAATTTTGGATTATATTTGGCCAAACTCTTTTGCTTCCTATTTAAGGTGCCATACCCACCCAGTGCTTAGTGGGTCTATTCATAGCAGATGAATAAGATACTACTGTTCCCATTGAGAAGAAGTGATAATGAGAGAAACAAGCAGATACATTCAGTGCTATATGGTAACTATTAATAGTGACTAGGAAAGGGGATCTAGCAAGGAAGTACTGACAGAAAAAGGCAAGCTCTAAAATATTTAAAGATTATCTAGCCAAAACCATGGCTCATGGAATAGCCTCAAGACGTCCTAAGAACATGTGCCCAAGGTCACTGGGTTACAGCTTGGTTATATACATTGTAGAGAGATAGAAGTTACAGGGAAAGACATAAATCAATACATGTAAGGGGTACACTGATTTGGCCTGGAAAGCTGAGACATTTTGAGGTGGGGGTTCACAGGTCATAGGTGGAGTCAAAGATTTTCTGATAGGCAGTTAGCTGAAAATCTTAAGCTTTGCCTACAGAATTGAAGCCAGCAGTAAGAAATGCTTCAGATAAAAAAGGGAAGTTGTGGAAACCAAGGTTTCTGTTATGTATATGAGGCCTCCAGGTAGCAAACTTCAGAGGGAATAGATGGTAAATATTATTTATGGAACTTTAAATCTCTCTTAGTTAAAATCTCTCAGCTAAATCTCTCCTGGATCAGGAAAGGACTTGGAAAGGGAAGGAGATCCTCTAAAGAATGGAAATTTCCCCAAGAGATGGCTTTGCAGGGACATTTCAAAATATATCAAAGAAATATATTTTGGGGTATAATACTTTGATATCCTTCAGGATGTGCTATCTGTCATGTGATGCTATATTGGAGTCAGGTTGGAACTGGGTATATTATTGCAATAAAGAGTTTGTTTTGTCAGTCTTAAGATCTCTATTTTATTGTTAATGCTGGTCAGTTGTACCTAAATTCCAAAAGGGAGAGGATATAATGAAGCATTTCTGACCACCCTTCCTGTCCTGGCCTGAACTAGTTTTTCAGGTTTCCTCTGGGATCCCCTTGGCCAACAGGGAATTTCATTCAGTCTGTTGAGGGGCTTAGATTTCATTTTTAGCTTACAGGAGGAAGCAATTGTTAGTGGAGTAATAGGGAAGGGAATGCCATTTAATACAGATATTGAACAATGGCTGGGCTTTCTTCAAAGAGAAGGTGAGGGGAAAAGCAACTCACATAGTGTACTATGAATAAAATCATGACTGACTAGACAAACATGTTGGGCTCAGAGTTAGAACAAAGTTTGTCTAAAGGCCTAGGTGAAGTGTGGAGGAAGCGAATAGGCTTAGGACTGATGGAGATGCGTAACATGTCTTTTAAAAGAGTTTGGATTTTTAAAATAGTTATTGGGAAGGTACTAGAAATTTATAGAAAGCAGTGACATAGATTTACAGTTTAGCAAAACAGGAGGATGTGGAGCAGGTGACGTGGAAAGAAGAATCTGTAGGTGGAGAGGTAAGTTAGGTGAGAGGTAACAGGTCCTTCTCTAAGGCATTTGTAGCAGAAATGGAGAAGAATATGTTATTTTTATTTTTTATTGTTACTATTTGTAGAGGTGGGGTCACACTATTTTGCCCAGTCTAGCCTCAAACTCCTGAGCTCAAGTGATCCTCCTGCCTCAGCCTCCCAAAGTGCAGGTATTAGAGGCGTGAGCCACCATGTTTGGCCTTAAGACTGTGTTTTGATCTGAGCAGAATATATCATTTGCAGGCTTAGAGAGTAGATAGAATGTCTATGGATGAAGATGGCATTTGCCTTAAATGAACTGTTATTTGATGAAATAGGGATTATGAAAGAGTGTTTTAGGAGATGGAGGAGGGAAAGAGAATAATAAGATTGATTTAATGCAGGTAGAGTGTGAAGTACATTTAAGTCTTCCAGGGTTGTGGTCCAAGTAGGCAACTGGTGAAGCGGGTGTGGAGGACTCACCTGGGGAGCTATTAGCATAGAGACAGATTTGAAATCATGTATGTGACTGGCATTGCCTGAGAGAAAAAGGGTTAGATCAGTAAGAAAAGTGATCTATATATATGGGATCCCAGGAAAATTCTTAGCATGTAAGCGCCAGAGAAATAGAAGTGATTAAAAGGCCAAGCAGAGGAGTAGAAGGATTAACAGGGAAGAATTCAATTGTAGGAGCAAGATAGGCAACAACCATTGTATTGTTAACTTCTATTTTCAAAAGGGCTTATACTTTTATGCAGTGAATATATCTAGAATAACGAATTCATTGACTCAGACAACCTGCACAGCAAGTTCTCTTTAGAGTTCAATGATGTGGATTTTGGGACATTTTAATTCTAGGCTTGTTCATAAGATGACCATAATTTATCTTCTCAATTCCTTTTTCTTGCTGCAGTAGAATGTTACATATCCTTTAATAATCATGCTTCATACTTTTATTTTTAACCCAAGTTACCAAGTAGCACATATTTTTTCTATTCAATTTTCATATTTGATATAGTGACATAAGGGCACTATAAATAATACATATGTATATTTCTACATAATATATCTACATCTAGTGTATGACATTACTATTGTCATTATGTTACCAGTAATTTATGCCTTCCTACAGATGGAAGAATTCTAGCACAGGATAGCTGACCAACTTTCTACTGGTAGCAAGGGTGGGTGGTAGAGCCTTGTGGGTTCTTAATCCAACAGACTGTGCTGTCTCTGTTGCTCTTTTCTTGGTAATTGGGTATGTAACACCATCATTTCTAGTACCTCGGTCTTTAAATATGCAATTAGAAGCACACTAATAGACACAAAAGCCTTCATTACCCCAATAGGCTTAAATCATTTCCCTAATAGCTCCTCTGCAGTGCAGTAAGAAACCAGTCTTGGGCAATGACTAAACATCTTGAAGTTTCTGAAACTGTTCATTTAAAAAATTCGGACAATTTTATACCTCTCTAATGAAAATGTTTTTCTGCACATTCAGAATCACATTACCCTATTTCTTCAGGCAAACTTTGCAAGCAAAGCCCCCACAGGCAGGCCTACTGAGAAACAGGCTCACAGTCTTGGGAGGTAAACAGCTCTTTTTCCATAGCCTGCTGGACTGTTACTTGAGACATTCATTAAAGAAGGTGCTTGAAGGCTACCAGGTTGGGTGGTTTTTGAGACAATTGTAATTCTCTGTTATTTTATTCAAGAACAGCCTTGTTATTATTTCTGTCTCTGGTGACAGTTGCTGATTGAATCAGCCTACACCAATATAAATGGCTGACCTGCTAAATCTCTTCCAGAACATTTCTATGCTTTACGATTTGTTTTGATTTTCATGAAATTGTTGCAACTGTGGTCATAATAGTACCACTTGGGCTAGTAACTTCTACTTAGTCATTTCAAAATGGTCCCATTTTCCCATCTTATGAAACTCCTGAAATTTAACACCCTGGGTGCTTAATACGAGAAGTGATTGGCTAGCTCTGGTTAAATACAGGCACAGTAGAGAGAGTGTCAGTGAGGGGCTTCTGCTGACCTCTTCCAGGCCATCTGTACTAGACAGCTGCTGCTCATGCCTGCCTAGAATCCATTCTCCCTTTCTCTGCTGTCGGCATCTAGATTTTTTATTTTCTTTTTCAGCAAACATCCCTCCTCATATCTTAGTGTATGTGATTTGTGTGAGACTAAATTTCCAGGGTGGATATGTGACCAGTCATTAGGCAGCACACAAGAAATTGATTCAAGGATGGTAAACCTACAGGTAAATCCGAATGTATGTAGCCCATACAAAAAATGTAAGAAGAATGCCTAATTTGTCGAGTTAAAAAGTGATACAAGCACTGGCAAAGATAACAAACGTAAGGAGAAAGTCTTAGAAATTAAGGTATTTATGCTGGATGTGGTAGCTCACACCTGCAATCCCATCACTTTGGGAGGCCTAGGTGAGTGGATCATTTGAGGTCAGGAGTTTGAGACCAGCCTGGCCAACATGGTGAAACCCTGTCTCTACTAAAAATACAAAAAATTAGCTGGGTGTGGTGGTATGTGCCTCTAATCCCAGCTACTCAGGAGGCTGAGGCAGGAGAATTGCTTGAACCTGGGAAGCGGAGGTTGCAGTGAGCTGAGATTGTACCACTGCACTCCAGCCTGGGTGACAGAGCAAGACTCCATCTTGAAAAAAAACAAACAAACAGAAAAAGAAATTAAGGTATTTAAAGTCCTCATTTCATTCAGAAAGGGAATAAACACATTGACTGAATTAAAACTTTTTAAAGTTAAATGTACCTATTAAATTTTTTGAGCAAACTTTAAAAATATAGAAATAGCATAAGTTATACATTAGTATAAAAAAATGAAGTGAAAAAGATACAAATTCCAAAGGAAGTCCATAAGAAAGAAAAGAGCAGGAGAAATAGAACAAAATTAAATGCTTGATAAGATTAATGTGTTTTAGTAATCACAATAAATTTAAATGGATTAAACTTGCTGGAGTTTCTATATCTCTAAAGGTATATTTGTTATATACTGATAATTCCAATTAATCAGCATGATATAGGAATTTTCAATTTAATGTGCCTACTAAAATATTTTATTGCCATATTTTCTTCCCTTTGTTTTTTGGGGAATTTATTCCTCTATTTTCACAGTTTTCAAGATGAATGATTTAAATTTTAATATTTGTCATTTCCTGTGTTAGCAGTTTTCACACTGCTATAAAGATACTACCTGAGATGGGTAATTTATGAAGGAAAGAGATTTAATTGACTCACAGTTCCACATGGCTGGGGCCTCAGGAAACTTACAATCATGGCAGAAGGTGAAGGGGAAGTGAGTACCTTCTTCACGGGGCAGGCAGGAGAGAGAGAGAGAGAGAAAGAGAAAGAAGGGGGAAGCATGAGACACTTATCAAACAACAAGATCTGGTGAGAACTCACTATCATGAGAACAGCATGGAGGAAACTGCCCCATGATCCAATCACCTCCCTCTAGGTCCCACCCTTGACATGTGGGGATTACAATTCATATTACAATTCGAGGTGAGATTTGGGTGGGGACACAGCCAAGCCATAACATTTGTGAACACTTCAGACTATAATTCTCTAAGTCCCAATTTAGCTGTGTATCATAAGTTTTGAGATGTAGCATTTTCATTATACTTTGTTCTACTTCTCAGCATAGTTTTTCCTATAAAGAGAAAAAATCTTCCCAGAGGAGAGTAGGGCTTAGAATAAGAAAAGAGAGAACCAAAGAGGAAATGTAGTCATCTATAGTATCTATATTTGACAGAATAGAATAAAAAGACCAGGAAAGTTCCTGAAAACACTGGGTAAAGAGTGAGAAAACAACAGCAATAACAACAACAAAAACAAACAACGGAGTATTATAGAGGTCCCAGTCAGAGGAATTTGCCATGTGTGTGGGGAGCTTGCTGAATGAGACTTCTGCTCCTTATTCCAGGAGGCTCACTGGCTTGCCTCTATTGTAATTTCCATGTTCTTTTCGTCTCCACTACCATCTTAATGAGTATTGCACCTACTTTATGCAAGTACAAATTTTCAAGGCCTTTCTATCATTCATAAACGTTTTGTGGCTAACACCCCTTAACATACTATTTTCATGAATCTCGCCATTCACTTGGAAGTTGTTCATAAGTGGCAACTACACTTTACTCAGGGAACATAGGCTCAAATACTTTGGTGGCCAGGCATGTGCATATATATATATAGAAAATAACTGTGAAATAAGAGAGATATGGTCACATAAACAAGTTACCATGTAGAAGCATTTGAATGACATAAAAATACCCAAGCCAAGTACTTTTTTCGAGTAAAGTCAGTTGCGTTCCAAACTTGAACTACTGACTAGAGGGGGAGGATAGGAAGAGACACCAAGGATGGGTAGTTAGTAGGGTAATTGGGGATCCTCAAAGGCTAAAGATAAGAAAAATGTTCCTACCTATCCTTTCTTTGCTTTCTTTGTAAGAGAAGGCAGTTGATGAAATATAAAGCATAATGAAAAAATAGAAAAATCATTTTTATCATTATTAATGATCTAGGTATCGCAATGTAATTTAGATGGAGAAAGTGGATTAAAATAAATTAAATTTAGTAAAACAAAGCAAAATGGTTGATGGATTTCAGTAAGTAGATTGCTTGAGTGGTGGGGAGTGTGTAAGAGCCAACATCTTCATCTGCATGAGAAAATTACAACCAGATCAGCTTCACCTAAGATATTTAAACCCACATTTAAAAATCATTAATGTTTACCAAAGTTAGAAAAATTTTCTCAAACTCCATGAACAGTTTTGTTCCTCAAGTACTAAATAAACACTTTCAGATAATGAATCAGACATGGAAAAACTGAGAAAAACAGAGTAGATACTCAATAGTAGGTAGTCAGTAAGTTCAGTCGAATGACTAGACTTCCATTTAGACATGGTTCCAAGGCCCGACTATTACTAGCTTCATAACCTTAGAAATGCCACTGAACTGTCTTTATTCTCAATTTTTCATTCTGAAAATGTATGAGATTTTCAATATTTTCAAGACTATAGAGACTCATGCAAGTAAAAATGATTTGAAATCTATCTATTGCTATATATATTAAAATATTAATGCTATGTCAAAAATGCCTTGTAGCCAGCTGTGTTTTGAAATTCAAATACTTTTGAATTTTAGATAATATATTATTATTTAGTACCAACAACAAGGACTGATGGCATTGGATAATAAACACATTAATGAAGTATTTCTACAGGAAAATTTGTGAGCATTCACACTAAGTAGGATAGGTAAATGTTATCAATAATTTTAATCATGTCAGTATGAATAATTTTGTCAGTATAAATCAGATTGCATAGGTATTGACTCAAATAAGTTATACTTTATTGTCAATTTTCTCAGATTTTGGTATCAAAATTATAAGTGAGATAGGCAACCTCAATTAAAGTTAAAATAAAGAGGTGGACTCCAGGAGAGTTTCAATTAACTACTGGATCGCTCATAACATATTATCACTAAAGTTTGTATAAAGATGGATTTGGACATTTTTAACTCTCTTAAGTCTTAAGTGTCAGTGTGTGTGCATGGCTCTCTTGGTTATATCAGAGAGTCATCTATATGCCCTTTTTCCTTCTTTTATAAAAGTCTATTTTCCTTTCCTTTTAAAAATCTGATACAGATAGTGAAAGTTATCAAATTATTGCCTCAAATATTTTTTAATAAGTGGAAAATGAAGTATGATTTTAGTTCGCTTGAGACTAAAATCTGGTTTGTACAATTGTTTACCAGAATATAGTAGTGTTTCCTCTTGAGTTCCTTGGAATGGGGCTGTTGAACAAGGATTGTAGTTTATTATTGAACAAGGTATTGCCTCGCTGGAGTTATGCAGCTATAGTATAGAAACATAATCTCCAATTGCTTTTATAATTAATTTTGCTTGCCTTTGTAAACATGAGTAGCAATGAAATCTTTTTGATAGATGTACCGTACACAAATATTTCATTTTCTGTGTAAATCCACATCCACATCCAATTCAGGGGCAGAGAAGAAATAAAAATTTTGAAGAACTAAGTGAAGAGAATGTAAATTGGTAACAAGCAAAGGTAAGGAATAAAATGAAAATCATATCAAATTTAAGTCAGTAAATAATATATTTTTTAAGGAATTACAGTATAAGGCAAAGAGATAAAGCAAAATTCTTTAGGTAATGACATGGGAACATTATGGGCAGAAGCAGCTAATTAAACAATGTAATTATTTCCCCTCAGAGTTAACAGATTAAGAGATAAAAGGACAAATCTAAAATATCAATCTCCAAGGTTGATATAGAGAAAATATGGAAGAAATGAAATAATGCACAACTGAAAAACACAAAACCTCTGGGCATTTATAAATTTGGTTCTTGAATGCTGATGAAAGAATACCTGAGTATAGAAAAGGGACAATTGCAAGGAATTTGTATGCACCATGCAATGACTATAGTTCCTTGATTAAGGCTTTTAAGATCTTGTATTACCCCTCTTCATTTGCTGGATATAATAAAATATTATATTTAGTATTCCATGACTGTTTGTATATCTTCTCTCCAGTTAGATTTGATATTTTTTTTAACATAGCGCTATTGATGACAGAATGATTTTATAAGAAAATTGTGAATATTATGGACTATTCACTCTGGCATAATAATTCTGAAGACATAAATGCATATCCTCAGTCTGAGTTTTCTTATTTGTTTAGTATAGAGCCGCCCATTTGAAACCTTCACTTTGTGTTACAATATCTTTTTGTCTGGTGCATCATTCTTAGTCAGGATGTGGACCTGCATAATTCTGAGTGTTTGAAAAGCTTGAAACTGAGACATGTGGTCTGACAGGTAGTCAGTCTAAAGGTTATTTTGGGGAAACTGGTCTGGGTTACCTTTTATTGCTATTAGAGCAGAAGAAAAGGAAAAGTATTGCTATTACTGATTTATACAATCCTTTCTCATCACTATGTTTAAGTCACATAAAACATAATTTAGGCTAGAAAATTCATTTGTTCATTCATCCAGCAAAACCTCTGTGTGTGTATGTGTGTGTGTGCAAGGTATTCTATTAGGCAGGCACTTACGGAATTCTAAGTTGCACTTACTCTGATCCTGATTTCAAATAGCTTAAAGAGATTTCGTCTAGAAGAGAGACTTCTAGTTTTCTATAAAAGTTTCCAGCAGAAAGGTTTCTGATGAACAGAAATCATGTATATTTGGCATTCCAGGTGGGTTTACAAAATGCTTCTGGCTTATTGGCTGACATGCAGAGAGAACAAAGCATATGGGTATGCTTAGCAGTTTTCCCATCTACTGTTGCAGATTTAATTTGAGTGGTAAGGAGAGAAACTCTCAGCAGTTAATTTGGTCTCTAGTTGCAGTGATCACTTACATAGCATAATAAAATGCACAGGACTTTTCAAATTCAAAGCATTTCACCAGTGAAATACAATTACCACATGTATATGATATGGCTATTTTCCCTCTGGACTAGTTTGCACCCTCCCATTAGGTTTATTCTTATTTTTTGTGCATTAAAACTTTGGCCTTGTAAAGTAACTATGGATTCTTTCCATTTCAAGTCTGTTACTCTAAGATTTTCTACAGGTTGGAAACCCTTTTAAAATTGTTTTGATTTAGTGGGAATGGCAATGTATCTTGTGTTCTGTGGCCTTCAATACACAGTCAGAGTAATAGGAAAGCTTTTTCCTGAGAGCATCTTCTTCACTGAGAGCAAATAAAATTTTCAAGGTTATGAGACTACTATGTAAAGGTGTTACTTAGTAACACCAGTAGGGCATAGACATTCAACAACTGATAAACCATACTCTCTGCTCATGAGAAACATGCCACTAAAACGGCAGAGTGCAGGATGAGCAATCTGTAAGTCAAAATAATACATCAACAGATAAGTCAGCCTCAGCATTTGGCCCATTATTTCCTGCTAAATGTGTGGTCCTCTTATCCTGACTTTTGTCTTATTCTCAATGTCCTACCTTTCTTCTTTAGAATTCCTCTTTATCCTTGAAGCTTTCCCCAATCCTGTGGCAAGTAGGTAATGCCTCCACCCAATATATAGCATTATAGCTCTTGGATTACCAAGTAGCCTAACAACAACAAAAGAAAAGAAATGTCATCTTTCATATTTAACTGTGAATATTTCCATCTATCTGTCTTTTCTCACAATGTCTGGATATTTGGTTATTCTCACTTGTAGATGAGATCCATCAGAGGACACTCAGAGTACTTGTGGATGCAGAGCATAGGTTTTACTGAATAGTCTTTTGTGATTATTTCAAGCAGATGTGTTCATGTCTACAGTTTTTTTTTAAAACAAGTGTTACTTCTTATAGGAATGTGACCTTTTGATTTATAACTAAAAAGAATGGTAGAAAATTGTTTATCCATCAGGTTTTAAAATTAATGTTGCCTATTATGAAAGAAGAGAACAAATATTTGAATGCTTTATTTCATTAAATTTTAATGGTAAGGAGAGAAACTTTCAGCAAAGTTAATTTGTATTGTATTATAAACTATTTTGTTTGTTGATTTTAAGAATACATTAAGCCAATTGTTTCATATTTGAAATCCATTCAAGATGTCTAATGTATTAAGAAAAAAAAGGCAGCTTTTAGCCCATTAACATTATTCATCTATTACTGGATTTCAATTGGCTGATAGCCCTCTAATGAACTTAGTCACTTTTTGACATTTTTCATAGGTGGAGGTAAAATTAACAATTATAAACAGTGCCAAGTCCCAATAATTCACTAAAGACTCATATATTTAAACAATGTTATCTAAATCTTCTCTATCTGGGGACATCACTAAATGTTGCCTAGCTGAGTAGCTTGTCAAGTATAATAAATAATACCGATTTATTTTGTATTAAAAAAAATCACAGCCCATTTTTCAAAGATGAAAGCTTGATATTAATTCATTGCTAAGTAAATGACAGGGTGATTCCAAAGTAGCATAGAAGCACATTGCTGAATATGTAGTCAGCCCCCAAAAAACTAGGAAAATCCACATGTGATGGGAGAAGAGGCATAGTTGAAAGAGCAAGTTCCTTTTGTATAAACTTTTAGTATGTAATATTTAAAATCAACTTATCTTTTAATACATTGAAAAACTTCAGAAATACAAGTCTGAAAATATGACAAATTTTTTTCCAGCAAAATCTAACACTGACATATTTCAAATTTAATACTTTGTACAATCCCCTGGCCCAGACTTTACATCTCTGAACCTAACAACTCATTTTGCTTATAAAAATTAAGTTCAATAAAGTGAGGAATCTTCTGTAGGGAGAAAAAAATGTGCATCGGGAACAGCTCTGCAAATATAATTTTCATATGGGAAGTAATGCTTTTTGTCTCCCTGCATTTTTTTTCTTTCATTAGAAATATTTTCTCTACTGGTGTCAAAAAGCTATTGGAGGCCAGGTACTCTGACAAAAGGGACTCATTGACTTTGCTTGGTGGCTATCTTGACATATTTGTTTATACTTTATTTTATACTTTATACTATATTTATTGTTTCACGAAACAATAAATAAGGGAATTTATTTTAAAGTAAAAACACCTCATTGCATCCAATGCTTATTTATTTGGTAGAGATGTGTAGAGGAGGAAGAGAATCTAATGTGTATCAAACATCCAAAGGCCTTTGGACTAGGTTGAGATTCACAAATAACCCACCATATTGGTTTCCATTTTTCTCTTTCTTCACAGAAGTTAGCAATTGGAAAGGAAAACATCTGTGTACATATAAACTGCAAAATTGCTAGTTGTTAAAATTGTGAAAAAATCATTTAATTAGTTCCATAAATTACAAAACTGTTCAAAGTAGGAAAAGGTGGAGACAATATTTTTAATTAATTAATTAATTAATATTTTAATATTTTAAATAATATTTAAAATTATTTAAATAATTAAAATTATTAAATAAATTTAAAATTATTAAATAATATTTAAATAACTCCCTTTGTAATAAAAAACATGTGTCTGCTCATTTCCAAACTCAAAAGTTTTATTTTTCCATTTTGTGGAGCAAATATTAGATACAATGAAAAAAAAAACACCCCACAAACTGTTGTATGCCTGAAGAACAAAGAGGAATGCTATAGAATTATGTTTTAGTAACTTACCTTTAAAGGAAATATTTATAATAAATATTCATTGCTTTTTACTCCAAGTGAATCCATTCAGACATTTTTTTTTCTTTTAAAATAGTTATAACGGATTTAAACCAATAGGGAAATGGGAAAAAATAGACAATACTTATATACAACAATAGGAACTCTATACAATTTGAATAGATAAAACTTATAGTGTTGTTAATTGATTGATTAGCCATCAGTGCGGGTGACTGAGGACTGTATTTGCCATATTTGTCCTCCTTCCGGCTCAAAGTATTTGAAATGCCAGCTAAAAATGGCCATGACACCCAGAAAAAATGAGGAATCCATAATTTTTTGGAATTTAATGTTAAAAGATAGTAGGGAGTATCTATCTGAAATTATCTTTGTATCTCAAAACATGTATCATATTATTGGATGTAACAACCCTTGTTTCCATGTAACAAGGGTTACATGGAAAGGTTGGCCAGGAAAACCTTAGCAAAAATTTCGTTTGCTAAAATCTCCTTAGCAGCCCCTCAGGCAACACATACAGGAACATTTCCCTGTGCTGGATCCCATCTTACCTATGCTCTATCACATGACTCCTGGTAAGAACCTCTCACCTTGTACTGAAAGATGTTTAGTAATTCTTTCTATGAAGCTTTTTAATAGTCCATTACACCAAAACAAAATAATCATTATCCTAACCCATTCATTTTAGTCATCCCACTTATTATGTGATTGTAATTTACCTGTGTGTCACTTATGCTGACCCTATCATGAAGACAGTCTTTTGTAAGCCAACTCAACTCTTTCTTTTCCTCTGTATCTTTCATGTACAGCTCGCCACCCTTTCTCTCATAGACTGCTCCTTCAGGATGGCAGCAGTGTCTCATGCCTTTGACCCAACTGCTCTTTGCATGTACATATTTTTATTGATTAACTTGGCCTCCTTCCCTCATTCATCTTTACCTTATCTGCAGAAAATTTACTAATCAATTTGTTCTTGGATCAATTATTAATCAAGAAACAGTGTCTTAGTTGAAATTTTAAAAATGACTTTCAGACATTGTATACTCTCATTTTTTCCCATAAAATTATTAGGAGGCTTTAAAATAATATCATAATTAATTCTATGTTATACTCAACATACTGATATTATTTTTTGAATTAAATACTCACTTTTCTCTACAAACGTGGGACACCTTCTATGTTGCTTTTAAAAAATTAATATAATACAGTCTCCAAGTGACTTCTTTCTGATGTAATCACATTTTTATTTTCACCTTATAAAGACCTTTACTTTCATTAGTTTATCGCAAGTACATTTTGTATCCCTGTGTTCACAATCATTTATGTGTGTGGGTTTTTAAAAAAATTCCTTCTAATAAATGATTGTTTTTCTACTCTTAATGAGACAGGAATGGAATAATTGAACTGTCATTCATTTATTTAGCATACAGATATTCAGCACCTATTTGGTGCTAGCAGACTTTATGTTTTCATGGATATTGTGTTTGTATTACAGAGGCAAATAGCCAAACTGGGAGCTAAATATTGGATAAGTTGAAGCACATAATGTTTTGAGACCATGTATGTGGATCATTAATTCTAGTCTTGGGAGAAAATTCTAGTCATGGAAGAAAATCTTGAAGAAGTATGTTTTTAAAATGAGTCCCAAATAACACATACAGATTCATATTGTGTTAACTTGCTGAACCTTAACTATCTTTCCAAGATCCCTTTCCCCAGCATTGTTTTGGATTACAGATGGCTGCAAGATGCATATGCATGTGACTTGGCAGGAAGAAGTGAAAGAGTGATAATAGCATTTTATTTTTTGAAGGTTATTGAAGGGTGTCCAGCACTGTGGCAGTGTTGGCTTATCTTGTTGGCATGGGTAAACCTGCAGCCTGCAGCTCCTTTCTCTCCTGCTGGGTTTTCTCCCAAAGGTTCTCAAAATTCTAGGACTGGCATACGAGCAGATCTATAGTCAAGGGAGACAGCTTCTACTGTGGATCAGTCCTGGCATTAAAGCTGACAGTAGAACCTATAGATTGATGAAGGTTCCAGCTCATCTTTGTGGTTCTAGTTTCTTATTGTTCTCCTTTATATTCAGCTTTTCTTTCTGTCTGATGGCCAAGATCATCCATACCTCTTCAGGCTCAACCTCAACTCAGAGGCGATAGCCTGTGTAGAATTCTTGACCACCTCCTATACTTACTAAGATCTGAATTCCCTGTATTAAGTACCTTATTCCATATTATTTGTAGTAGTTTTGCTTATCTCATTGAACCCTTAGTGATGCAGAGAGGGTTTTTTTAAAAATTGGGTGTCTTGAGATTAGAGATAGTTTGAAATGAGGATGACAGAATTTCAGACTGAAGAAGTAAATATGATAGAGGTCATAAGACACCTCATATTTCTTGATAAATTTGTATAAATTTTGTACAAGAAGAAAGTGATCATTTTCATTGTAACCCTAAGAAGAAGAAAGGAAGTTGGAAGTGGGTAAATTTGCAGGTAAGTGTCAAGCATTTGGGAGAGTGCCTATTTTCCCAATGAGGTAGAAGGTGATAATTAGTGGCACATTTTTTCAGAGAAGAAACATAGAAGTGGAATTGTATAATTTTGTTTTAGATAGAACTACGCTTAAATTCTTTTCTAGTATAGAGTAGGAAATGATTAAATTAGATTTAAGGTGACATAATAAGGACTGTGCTGTGATTGACAGGTTTATAATAAGCATCAAATTAATTATCACAGTGCCTGGTACATAGTAAGTTCTCAAAAAATGTTAACAATATTAATATATTGCCAACTGATCTTTGTTAACACATTGTTACAGTGATAAAATAATAATCATATTAAGCAGTTCCCACTGAGGAGTAGAGAAATTCTAAACACTATGCCAATTCACATTTACAACTCCTGTCTATATATTTTACATTTTTAATTTTCTTTTTTTCCTTAATGTCTACTGAATCAATCAAGATTCAGGTAACAGAAGGTACTCCAGGAGTGCTAAGCAGAAAAGCATTTTTAAAGGGGGCTTAATTGATTTCAAAATCATCAGAATTCTTGAAGTAAAAGTCAAGTGGTCACTGCTCTGCTTCTGATTTCAATTTTAGTATATGTGCTGCTGAAGCAAGCATTCTGCTTCTGATTTAAAGGGCAAATGCTACTATAGCTATAACCCAGAGATCAGGAACTGGTTGTTGTCTTGACCATCACCCCTATTGATGTTACAACTTCTGCATACCCGACTCTGGTAAGATGGAGAAGAACATGGAATCCAGCTGCTGCCTAAGCCCATTTGACCAACTGCACCATCTCAGAAAAGAATAGTCTCCGCATCATTGACACTTTCCAAATTTTATGGGCATTTGTCTCATTGAAATAATCTAAACTGCATTGAGAAGTCTAGGTATAAGGAAGTTTGGCAAAAGCAGCTTTAGATTTTCCATTTCTATCACATTCAAGGGTTGGGGAAACAGAAGAATATAGAAGTGGATGCCAAGTGCAGACTGACAATAACTAGCATGTGGAGCATTCTTATTGCACCTATTAGAATGCCAACATTAAAAAGATGGCAATTCAAATTTTAGAGAGGACATCAAATAAGTGGAATTCACAAACATGTTATCAAATGTTAAATGATACAATCAGTTTGGAAAATAGTTTCACAAATTGTATAAAGTTAATAATACACTTACTATGCACCCTAGTCACTCTACTTTTGTTTATTTACCCAAGAGAAATAAAATTTGTTTATACATGAAGACTTGCAAATTAATGACCTTAGTAGCTTTATTATAGTGGCTCCAAACTGGAAAACCTCCTAGGTGCCTTTCAATAGCAGAATGCATAAACACATAGAATATTAATATACTGGAATACTAAACAGCAATTAAGAAGAATGCATTAGTGTAACAAGAAATGGCATGGTTGAATCTCAAAAATATTATGATGAGTGAATTGCATGATTCCATTTATATGAAACTTTAGAAAAGATTAATATAATCCATAATTATAGACAATATATCAGTGATTGCTTCTATCTGAGGGTCTAGAGGAGATTGACTGGGAATAAGCAAAAGAGAGCTTTTTTGGTGATTGAAATATTCTATATCATGATTGTGGTGTTGGTTACACATGTCTATATATGTATCAATGCTCATAAACACTACATTTAAAATAATTTCATTAGATGTAATTTATATCTAAGTAAAGTCAGAAACTGTGAATGGACTGAGATTTTATCTTGCTTGCAAGGTAAAACTTTTTACTTTAAAGTAAAAAGTAACTGCACACAAACACACACACACACACACACACACACTTACTACTGTTCCCCCCATCCCTGAGTATTATAGCTCAGGAAATCTAAAGCTGCTTTTCCCGAACTTTTCCTTCCTTCCTTCCCTTCCTTCCCTTCCTTTTCTTTTCTTTTCTTTTCTTTTCTTTTCTTTTCTTTTCTTTTCTTTTCTTTTTTTTCTTTTCTTTCCCTCACTCTGTTGCCCACACTGGAGTGCAATGGCACGATCTTGGCTCACCACAACCTCCGCCTCCCAGGCTCAATTGATTCTCTTGCCTCAGCCTCCTGAATAGCTGGGATTACAGGCACGTGCCACTACCACCCAGCTAATTTTTGTATTTTTAGTAGAGACTGGATTTCACAATGTTGCCAAGGCTGGTCTTGAACTCTTGACCTCAAATTATCCACCTGCCTTGGCCTCCCAAATTGCTGGGATTACCGGCGTGAGTCACCGCACCCAGCCTCCCAAACTTTCTTATAGCTAGTGTACTTATAGTTAGTTATATATGTAGTTGCTGAGTTACACACACACACACACACACACACTCACACATTTATATATATTATTATATATGTTTATATATAATATATATTATATATTTTATATATATTATATATATTTTATATATATATTTATATATTATATATATTTTATATATATATTTATATATATATAATCAAAAGACATCTGGGTCAGAGACAAAGGCAGTTTATTACTCACAGCAAAAGCATCATCAGGAGTAATGTTATTGTACCATTTCCAGTTCCTTGAGTCCCAGTCCCCACAGGGTGGTGTGCTGAAGTTCAAATCATATCTGCACATGTAGTAGGGTAAATTAAAGGAGAGAATGCCCAGAATTAGGAAACTCGAATCGTATATACAACTACTGGGTAACTGAGCACCCACTCCAGAATGAGAGACACCTTATCTTTACTCTGGAGTGTAAACAAATCTCCTCTGGAACATCTCAAGGGCGGGAGACAGCTCTAAACTTTACTATCTTGCAGTGTCCCCTTATATTAAAAACATTCTTAAGTTGACTGTAAATATCTTCTCAGAATATCCAGATCATGCAAAAATGTGAGATATTCATGGATAATTTTTTCCCAACATAATGTTGATAGAAAAGCTGACTATAATAATTGACCTGAAACATCATGTTCTCTTAGTTCAATAAAAAATTTTAAAGAATATCTACAATTTAAATACATAAGGCGATTTTGTGCCAATTGTTTGTGTTTTATATTCAGGAAGTTCACATTACCTAATTGCATTTCCAAATGCTACAAAATGGCATCTGGATTATTAGAACTTTGGCAATTCCTTGGATCAGTCACTAATTTCCCAAGAAATCCTCTATTCAATTTACTTTATAATTGTTTTCAGAATTAAAAAAAAATCTCATCATGCGTTTAAAATGAGAGAATTTCTCCTTCCTTTATGCTTATTCCTTTTTGTGGATAAAAGTTATGATTTGTAAAGCAACATCATTAAACACCTGAAAATATTGCAGTATTGTTTCTCATATGAAAATGTTTGAATAGCTGATCTTGTGTGTTTTGTAGTCATTCAACACTGTTTATTTAACTGAATGTATAGTATGCGTCTGGGCTAAAGCTTGCTTCTAAGGGCATTTCCCTTTAGAGAAGTATTGGGTAGTCAGGTCACTGGGGGCTCTTTAATTTGGAGGAGTGGTTCCCATGGCAGCCTGAAGTAGTACAGCTTGGATAAAAGAAAATGTGGCTGGAGAACCAGAATGTTTTTCAAGT
Source organism: Homo sapiens (assembly GCF_000001405.40). Lineage (NCBI taxonomy): Eukaryota > Metazoa > Chordata > Mammalia > Primates > Hominidae > Homo > Homo sapiens. The sequence continues at coordinate 89,264,863 of NC_000008.11, read as the reverse complement.
GAACCAAATTTCAGAGCTGAGAAGGAAAATCACAAATGACTAAAGCAAGGTTGAAAACTTGCAGGTAACTTAACAGGTTTGTGACTGGTACATATGGGAGTTGGAGGAAATAAGTTTTGACAACTGGTTAAGGCAAAATGTGAGTAAGGGATTTGGGATTAAATTGTGTGTCTGGCTACCCCCTAAGGAGGTTGCTATCTAGGGTTGAGGAGTCAGGTAGAACAGCCCTGAGGAGTCTTAAATACTAAACTAGAAACCTCAGGCACAGGGGCAGTGAGGGAAGGGAGGTTAGGTGTTGAGGGGCATGTTGTAGCTCTATCTGTCCTTTGGACTTCTGAGGCTGAACTCATCATGGAGATAATGAATAACATTTAGAATAGGTAGACTAGGGATGTGTAAGAAAGAATAAAGATCCTAAGGATTGGTAAAATGAAGGGAATGAAATGGAATCATGGATAAAATGTAAAGGTGAGCAATAGCATAGCTATTTAAATGGCCTTTTATTGACCAGTGATGGCTAGGAGTTCTGGATATTCATAATGATATGAACACAATCATATTTTCCTGGTGTTTACCATATCTCAGGCAACATTCTGTAAATTTTATACATATCAACTTATTTGATTATCAGAAACACCTGTGTGATAAGTACTGTTATTATCCCCTTTTTACAAATGATGAAACTATGACAAAAAAATTAAGTAACATGCTCATAATCACATAGCTAGTAACTGAAAGAATCATAGCATGTTCTGGTTTATAACCCCTTTGAAAGAGCTGCCCCTGCTTATAGAAATCTTTAATTGCTAAAAAAAAATTGCAGCCCAGTTTATATCTAAGATGTACAAAATATATACCTTAGATGAAATCCCCATCTAGAAAAGTACAGGACAATTGGTACTACTCCCTTCCTTGTTCCTGGTAGTTCTAGCTGCCTAAATGTTTCCAAACTAATTTATATCAAGATCTGTCTGTCAAGATATTAAACCCAACCACTGATTGTTTGGCATATACCTTTAAGGCTCAGAAGGAACTAGGGAGCACAGAATCCCTTTCTCAGGCAATATTTACTAAAAATTAAATCCTATTGGATTTTTGTTTTGTTTTTGACATAGTACTGAGCTAGGCCATTAAAAGCATGAGCTCCAGAGCAAAATTATTTAGTTCAAATTATGGCTTTACTACTTACAAACAGTTAGCTTTTGTATGCCACATAGTACCAGTATTTACTTTAGAACGGATGTTGTAAGAATTAATAGAAATGTAATACTGCATTTAGAATAGTACTAAGTACCTATTAAGCATGCAATTCACTACCATTACCACTTTTCTCTCTAAATTCTATGAACAGGCTTACTTCTAGTGGCAACAAAAATTATGTTTCAATCCTTTTCTTTGAATATTAAGAATATATTAGGTATCTGAAGAACTTTTGGAAATTGTAGCTACTTATTATTTTATGGCAAAATTCAAGAAGTTTCCCATTTTGCTGGATATGTTTGATTCTGTGGCTGCCTCACTCTTGGAATGCATCCAGAAAAACTATATAAAGTGTCTATTAGTTGGAAGCACACAGGCCAAGTGTGAGCTGAGCAAGTTCTGTGTGGGCCTCTATGTGGCCCAGTTTTATTTTATTTTATATTTATTTTAGTAGTTTTCGAGGTACAAGTGGTTTTTGGTAACATGTATGAATTATGTATTGGTGAAGTCTGAGATTTTAGTGCACACATCACCCTAGTAGTGTTCACTGTACCTAACATGTAATTTTGTTTTTATCATTCAGCCCCCTACCACCGTCCCTGCTTCTGAGCCTCCAATGTCCATTATACCGCTCTGTCTGCCTTTTCGCACCCATAGCTTAGCTTCCATGTGTAAGTGAGAGCATACAGTATTTGGTTTCCATTCCTGAAGTTACTTCATTTAGAATAATGGCCTTCAGCTTCATCCAGGTTGCTGCAAAATACACTACTTCATTCTTTTTTGTATGGCTTGGTATTTTACGGTTTATATATACCACATTTTCTTTATCCACTCATTGGTTGATGGACACTGAGGTTAGCCCTGTATCTTTGCAGTTGTTAGTTGTGCTGCAATTAACATACATGTGCAGATATCTTTTTTATATAATAATTTCATTTCCTTTGGGTAGATACCCAGTAATGTGATTGCTGGATCAAGTGGTAGATCTACTTTTAGTTCATTGAGAAATCTCCAAACTGTTTTCCATAGAAGTTGTACTAATTTACATCCCACCAGCAGTGTATAAGCATTTTCTTTTCCCTATGTCCACGCCAACATCTATTGTTTTTTGACTTAAAATAATGGTCATTCTGGGATAATGTGGTATCTTATGGTGGTTTTAATTTGCATTTCTCTGATGATTAGTGATGTTGAGCATTTTTTCATGTTTGTTGGCCATTTGTACATCTTCTTGTGAGAATTGTGTATTCATGTCATTTGCCCACTTTTTCATGGAATTATTTGTTTTTATCTTACTGATTTGTTTTAGTTTCTTGTAGATCCTGGATATTAGTTCTTTGTTGGATTCATAGTTTTCAAATATTTCCTCCCATTCTATGGGTTGTCTGTTTACTCTGCTAAATTTTGTTTTGCAGAAGCTTCTTAGTTTAATTGGGTCCAATTTATTTGTTTTTGTTGAGTTTGTTTTTGGGGTCTTAGTCATAAATTCTTTACCTAGGCCAATGTCCAGAAGAGTTTCTCCTAGGTTTTCTTCTAGGATTTTTATGGTTTCAGATTTAAGTCTTTAATCTATCTTGAGTTCATTTTTGTATATGGTGAGAGAGAGGGATCCAGGTTCATTCTTCTACCTGTGGCTATCCAGTTTTCTTAGCACCATTTATTGAGTAGCGTGTCCTTTCCCCAATTTATGTTTTTGTAATTTTTGTCAAAGATCAGTTGGTTGTTAAGTATTTGACTTTATTTCTGTTTTCCTATTTCATTCTATCTGTGTATGTATCTACATTTATACCAGTACCATGCTATTTTGGATACTGTGGCCTTACAGTATAATTTGAATTCAGGTAATGTGATGCCTGCCTCCAGATTTGTTCTTTATGCTTAGGATTACTTTGGCTATTCCAGCCATTTTGGTCCCATATGAATTTCAAGATTTTTTTTTCCTAATTCTATGAAAAATGGTGTTGGTATTTTGATAGTAATTGGATTGAATCTGTAGATTGCTTTGGGCAGTATGGTCATTTTCATGATACTGATTCTTCCAATTCATTGGCATGGAATGGATTTGCATTAGTGCCAGTTTTATAATTTCTGTAAACTGTGGTTCTTGTACCATTGATTCATTTAAAAGACCACTAGACCCTTGTCAACATAGGTGTATTATTGATTATCTCCTTATTAGCCAGTGTTTAAGTGGAGACCGTCTTTATAGGATGGGACATCATTGGACAAAGCCATATCCAGGTAAGAGGTAGAGGATAGGCATGCATGAGGGCAACTATCTAGTAAATAGACAAGGGAAATGATTGCATGACAGACAGCACTCCCTCCTCTGGCCTGAAACCAGGGGAAACATGCATAATCAAATCCAAGAGCAAGAGTACCTGTGCCTTCACAAGTGTTGAACCCCACAGATAAGACACTTCTTTGAATAGTTCTATATCCAATTATTGGTGGCATTCCTGAAGAAGAACATTTAGGAATTACCCAGACATATCAGAATTGTTTTGTAGGTGCTGCTAGGAAAATGAAGGTTAACTCTTAGAAAAGTCTAGCACTAAAAAGGTCAAAGTTAGAAGCATCTATTTTGCAGAAAGTACCTGTTACTCCCAGAAGAGAGAGAAGACACCCAACTGAACGAAATCACCATAATGATAGAAATATTACACTAATGAGAGGGCCTCTGGCCTAATGCACGTAATAAACTAACTTCAGGATTTCCAAATCTGTGCAGATAGGCTCTCTTCTGGGTAGATGGAAATGTTATTTGTTTATTTGGTTTTAATTCTGGGGAAAACAGGCCCTAAAACTGCCCATCTCAAAGAAGAGAAGAGAGCTTCAGCCTTTTCCTTAGCTGAATGAAGATTTTACCAAACACCGAAGAATATGCCCCATACGAACAATAATATATCAGATATCAGGTGATATAACTGGATTAAAGCATTTATATCAGCATAGAAGATTGAAACAAAGGCAAAGTCAGGGTCAGAGACTCATATAGTAAATTAGCCTCCAAGAGCGAATGTGATGTTAATAAGAGGGCTATAATAAAATGAAGGATAATGGGGTGAGAACGAAATAAGCTATATTTTTCCAAATGAAACCAAGACTGTGTCCATTTAGGAAATTATCCATTGAATAAACACTGACAAACTAAGAAATTTACTTTTTAAAAAATGAATACCAAATAGTAGTACCCAAATAAATTGTTTAATTTTACTTGACTGACTTACTTTACTTGACTGACGCACTTTACTTGACTGACACATAAACTGAAAAACTATTACTATGGCACTTTATTGTATGTTACTTAGACACAGCTAAGTAACAAAGACACAGTCAGTCATGGTGTTTGGAATCATCTGGATATCTTTTGCATCCTTTCCTAGGCTCCGGAGGACAGACAGGGTTAAGTTCTGGGAACTCTTGCTCTTTCATGCCCCATATAGCAAAATTCTTGGATCACTAATTTATAATGATTTTATAGCATAACTGAGCACAGGCAATTGACTGGAGACAGCATTAGCTATGGGTTTCTTTACTGCTTCCTTTAAAAATATTTTCTCAATATAGAATTAAATTGCTTCTGCGTGGAGGGAATCTTACATACAAAGTGAGCAAATCAGTTGTACAAGTGAAAGAAGATACTTCAGGATTTCATGATATCGAAGTCCTTGAGTCATAATTAGGAGTAACAGTTAATTATATTTGTTGTTAGAGATGCAATGCTTTGTGGGTTAGATTTCATTTAATCTGGCTGCTGTATACTGTATACGGCTGATTGATTTCAAGTTGGTAATTAAATCAATTAACCCCTGAATCTCAATTACTGAACATTCCATCTGCCATAAACATGGATAAAGAATGCCACTGTTCCCAATCAAAGATCTACTTTTGTGCCATCAACCAACTGGCCAGGCTCTCGGGCATTTAAAATATTTAAGCAACTTAGAAGTAAGAAATGCTCAATATATTGTTCAGCCTGGAGACATACTGCCCTCTAGTTAAATGGTTTAGTTCCTGGAAAACATCTTTGTTGGAAGATGTAAATAAATATTCTGTCTGTTTCTGTAACAGACCCTTACTCTTATACATAATAAATTACAAAATTCTGGCTTACCAGCTTGTCTCTCTCTTTGTCCAGATATAGCAAAGGTTATGGATATACCCTTTCTTTTCATTTTTTTCTCCTCTACTTTCTTCTGTATTTCCACTTGTTTCTGGTTCTTTTAGTTTACCATTTATCTTTAGTATGGGAACTTCAATAAGTGAGATGTTTTTTGCTTTTTAAATTTGTTTAAGGCAGTTTCTGTAGCAGAAGAACTTAATGAAAAAAATGAACTTGTGGCATGCTACCATTTTCAGTAAAACTACAACTAATTGCAAGGAAAGGTAATTTTAATAAAACTTACATCTGACACACAGAAATACACACATACGCACATGCATACACATGGTGGTATATATTTCCAAAATAAATGCAGTGATATTCTTTTGATGCATATTGTATAAATAGAACTAAGATGGAAGAAATAAAAATACATAATATAAGAGGTTGTTTAGTTGTTCAAGTTAGATAAAAAGGTAGTATTTAGTTGTGGTGACTCTTTTTCAAGGCTTGACTTTGAAATTTGAAAATCCAAAATTTGACTAAATAATATTCCAGGACAACATGGTATTTCCGATTAGGAGCAAACTTTTATGCTGACCATAATAATTCTTTCTCTTATGAAGACCTCTATGGACCTACTACTTTAGAAATTAGGAAACTGTTTTTGCAACCACATAAAGAGCAAGTATGCTGATAATAGAATTAGTCAGGTTATGACAAAGCCTAGTTAAACAATGCTCCCTTCTCAATAGAGAATACCTCTCTGAATACTTGCGTTCCTACATTACAGTGTGTCTCACTATTACTCATAGATGGGAACAATGAGTGAACAAATGATGACTCCGAAAGAACAAAATAGAAACTCTAAAAGTAAAATTCCTATTATCCAACTTGTGTTCTTCGTGAATACTGTAAGATGTTTATTCCAATATTATATTAGATATATTTCTATATAATTGATAAGATTACAGCTTTCTTTGGTTAAATAATTCTATTCATCTTAATTTTACCAAAGGGATTCAAAAGTTCTTACAGATGCTTATACATAAGTCTCCTGTGTGTTTTGAAATTTAGAAGATGACTTTAATTATGATTTCTAATGTCATGCAATTCCTTTACTAAATACAATGGTTAGAAATTTGTAATTAAGATATCAAAGCGTCAGTTTAACTTGGACTGGAATATAATTATATTAAAGTTATGTAGAATTTTTTTTTATTGATAAACATTGTCATTATAAAATGCTTTTAGAACTCTTTTACTCAATAAGTCTTCTCAGGTAATGCAAATGTAACATTCAACTCGATACTTTATACTCAATACACAATTCTCATGAATTCTGAACTAATGAAGTATTCAGAAATAAGATTTAAATATATCATTTTCATTTTCTCTAACAAACATAACTATGTTTGAGTTTTAACCATTTGGCTGTGCTCATCCTGGCTAAACAGCTTGAAAGAGGAATAAAGGCTGAAAAACTATAAGGTAATATATCGGTAAGAGTACAAAATACTAGTTCTTTGCAACAGATCAGTGGAATCTGGTAAGAAAGAAAAGCAGCAATCCTTTTTGTATTTGCTGTGTGCGCTAAAATAAGCAAAGATAGGGGCTAAAATATAGGATGGGCTCAGAATCAGCTATAGAAAAGAAATTACATCATGATTTACCAAATATTAAATGTAAAGAAAGGTGGAAATTTAGTAGGATCATTGCTTATCTATTTTAACTTTTTAATAAAAATTAATTGGCAAATCAAATAATATAACTATAGTATAGAGTTCTAAAAGCATTTCATATATTGAGGTTAAAAATGGCAGCATCTTTAAAAAATGGAGAAAATTTGTCAGAGCAGTTAAATATGTTCAAGTCTTATTGCATTAAGAATAAACATAACTCCAAAAATAAAATAATTGTTGATTATAGGAAAATACTTTGAAGAAGTTTATGAATGCAAATTAGGTAGCTACAAATTAAATGAGCCCTAATTGTTTCAACTGCTACTATTTTGGATCTACCACTATGTTCTGGCCAAGGTCAACTTCACTTGACTGCTCTTTGCCAGTGACTGAAAACAGGAAGGTACTAGTGCCACCTCATTCCAGCATTTCAAAGAATTCCTCAAACAGCATTTTTTTCTTGAGTTTGCCCATTCTGCCTGGATGAGACTTTCTTAAAGCCACTGATTCGGTTTGGATTGCTTCTATTGGCTTACCATTAAACAAATGTATCATCTTTTTTCATTAGTGTCCAATCTGTTATTAAGCTATCCAACAAAGTATTCATATCTGGTACTGAATGTCTTTTTATTTCTGTTTTTGCTATAGAAATCTTTCATTAAATATACAAGAAACTTGAAGAATTTAGATAGTATAATTTCTTACTTCCTTACTATGATAATAGTGAAACTGCTGTGTGTGTGTGTGTGTGTGTGTGTGTGTGTGTGTGTATCAGCAGCTTGTTTTTATTGTTGAGGAGCATTCCATTATATGAGTGCTTTATAGTTTTTTTTTATAATTTCAACTTTTATTTTAGATTCGTGGGGCACATGTTCAGGTTTGTTGCAAAGATAATAGAGCGTGATGCTGAGGTTTGGGGCATGAATGAGGTAGTGAGCATAGTATCCAATAGGTAGTTTTTCAGCCCTTGCCCTCCTCCCTCTCTCTCACCTCTAGTAGTCCCCAGTGTCTATTGTTTCCATATCTGTGTCCATCAGTACCCAATTTTTAGCTCCCACTTATAAAGGAAAACATGCAGTAGTTTGTTTTCTGTTCCTGCATTAATTCACTTGGAATAATGGCGGTCTAGCTGCATTCATGTTGCTCCAAAGGATGTTATTTCATTCTTTTTTATGGCTGTGTAGTATTCCATGGTGTATATGTACCATATTTTCTTTATCCAGTTCACTGTTGATGGGCACATAGGTTGATTCTGTGACTTTGTTATTGTGAATGGTGCTGTGATGAACATACAACTGCATGTATCTTCTTGGTAGAACAATTGATTTTACTTTGGTATATACCTAGTAATGGGATTGCTGGGTTTAGAATTTTCACATTTAGAATTTTCCACTTACTTCTTTTTGGAGTTCCTATTTTGTTTTTTGAGATTCACTATATATTCACTCACTAGTCTCATCTATTCCTTTAAGTAATTGAACATGTTTACATTAAATTATTTGTATCTTTATCAGCTAAATTGCAACATTAATCATTTCTGAATCAGTTTTATTGAGTTTTTTAGATCAAGTTTTCCCGTTTCTTTTCATGACTAACTTTCAAATTTTATTCTTAACATTGGAAATGCAGAATTGTTGACAGTCTCTAATTTGTTGTCCTTCTTATATTGGGGTGGTAAATTTGTTAGTTAACTACCTTTTTGTTTTATGCATTCATCGTGTTTCAACTTCACAGAGATAATCTTCATATTTTTTTAAAAGCTTCTAAAGCTTTCTTCCTCCACTATTCACCTGGATTTGTTAAGTGTATATTGTGAATTAAGAATCTAAATTTATCTTATAAGTAAAATCATTTGCCTTAGCAAAATTTATTCTATTAAAAACGTTAAAAATTAAGCAAAAGACTGTGAGAAGATACTTGTAGTATGTATAAGCACAAGCTTTGCTATATTTAATTAAAAAACCCTCAATAATTGGGGACTTCAGCACCCAACTTTCAGCAATGGACAGATCATCTAGAACAGGGGTCCCCAAGCCCCAGGCTGCAGACCCTGACCAGTTATGTTCCATGGCCTGTTTGTAATCCAGGTGAACAGCAGGAGGAGAGCGGCAGGACAAGGAAGCATTATGGCCTGAGCTCCACCTCCTGTCAGATCAGCAGCAGCATTAGATTCTCATAGGACCAAGAACCTTACCGTGAACTGTGCATGTGAGGGATCTAGGTTGTGTTCGCCTTATGAGAATCTAGCTGATATGTTTAGGCTTTGTGTCCCCACCCAAATCTCATCTTGAATTATAATCCCCATAATCATGACATGTCAAGGGAGAGACCAGCTGGAGGTCATTGAATCATGGAGGTAGTTTCCCGCATGCTATTCTAGTGATAGTAAGTTCTCATGAGATCTGATGGTTTTATAAGTGTTTGATAGCTCCTCCTGTGTTCATTCTCCTTCCTGCTGCCTTGTAAAGAAGGTGCCTTGCTTCCCCTTTGCCTTCCCCCAGGATTGTAAGTTTTCTGAGGTCTCCCCAGCCATACTGAACTGTGAGTCAATTAAACCTCTTTCCTTTACAAATTTTCCAGTCTCGGGCAGCTCGCTGTAGCAGTGTGAAAATGGGCTAATATACTAACTAATGCCTGATGATCTGAGATGGAACAGTTTCATCCCAGAACCATCCTTTCCTGACTCCCTGGTCCGTGGAAAAATTGTCTTCCATGAAACCAGTCCTGGCACCAAAAAGGTTGAGGACCACTGATCTGGACAGAAAATCAACCAAGAAACACTGAAGTTAAATTGCACTGTAGACAAAATGAACCTTACAGACATTTACAGAACATTTTATCCAAAAGCTACAGAATACAAATTCTTCTCTTGATCACATGAATCATTATTTAGGATAGACCACATGTTAGACCACACAGCAGGTCTCTACAAATATACAAAAATTATAATCATAACAAGTATGTTATCTGACCACAATGGAATAAAACTAAACATCAACAACAAAAGGAACATTCAAAAATATGCAAATATATAAAAACTAAACAACACGCAACTGAATGATCAGTGGGTAAAGAAAGAAATTAAAACTGGAATTTTAAAAACTCATTGAAACAAATGAAAATAGAAACATAGCACACAAACATCTATGGGACACAGCAAAAGCAGTATTAAGAGGTGAGCTTAAAGCAATAAATGCCTATGACCAAAAGGAGAAAGATTTTCACTAAGTAATTTAAAGAGGAATCTCAAAAAACTAGAACACAAGAACAAACCACACCTAAAATAAGTAGAGGAAAAGAATTAGTAAAGATGGCCAACCAGATGCAGCCAGGAAGCACTGCTCCCACCAGAGAGTCCAAAAATTTGAGTAGACAACATAATTTGAACAGATCTGCAAAGAGAAAATGTTGAGAATGGAGACATGATGCAGACACTGAGGCTGAAGAGGGAGGAAGCTGGCAACCCTTCATGGGGTACCTGAATGCTAGAGCTAGTTCCTGGCCCCAAACAGCTCCTGAGGAAATGGTGAGTTAAAGGACTGCCCACTCATGACATGGACCTCAGAGAGACTGGTTACAGAGGACCTGATTTCCCCTACGGATGTTTGAGCTGGCAGGAGGCTCTGCCTGGAGAGTAGACAGAGACATGGTTTCACCCAGCATTAAACTGAGGTCCTTTGTGCCAATAGGCACCCATCCCCTGGGCTCTATATCTCCCTCTGAGAAGCTCTAGCCCCAGCTAAATCACTGGGCCAGGAGAAAACAGGGCCAGATCCCCTGTAGGACTGGGGTATGACTGTTCTGCAGGCCCTTCTGTCCATCACTTCCTTCCAGGGCCCCTGCCTGGCCAGTCCACAGAAACATGTGCATAGTGCAGCTTCTGCTGGCCAGCCTGGGTGCTTCCCTCCACCTGGTTACATTCCTGGTGGCCTGACAGCACATCAGATCCCTGAAGGCACCTGGAACCTGATCCTGAGGGTCTGGAAGATGGAGCCACAAGCTGATCCTGGTACCCTAGGACTGTGACACACGGCTCAGGAGTGCTGAGCTGAGATCTGTGGCTGGTACACAAGCTGGGGAGTACACCATGCTCTCAGACACTGACAGGGGTGAGACATGTGGGTTCATGGTTTGGCATGGAAGCAGGACATGCCTCTCTCTACAGGGCCAGTCCAGGAAGGTGTCCTATCTGCTTGCCATGGCCCCTGCCCAAGGTCACCCTGTGGCCCAGAACACTTAACAAAAGAAATACCAGCTCAGTGCCAGTTATAAAAGGCGACTCTGCCAAGTCCCAGGAGCAGACTTGGTGAAGGAGTCACCTCTCTCCCTCCTACGTCTAAGAGCATTGCTGAAAATCAATACAAAGGAGCTGCAAGGCTAAGAGCCTATCTACTGCCCATGACACTTATGTGCCATCTACTGGATAGTAATTCAAACTACAACACCAAAATATTTTGCTAACCCTCCCCTGTGAAACCAAGAGCATAATTCAGCCACAAACAAAGACCATGGACATACAGAGTCTTGCCCCTCTTAACATACAGAGCCTTGCCCCTCTTAAAACATTCTGGAAATGAAGCCAACTGAGTAAACTTACAGCTGAGTTAAAGGAACACAAACCTACTGAGATGAGAATCAACACAAGAACTCTGGCAATTCAAAAAGCCAGAGTGTCCCCTTACCTCCAAATGAGTCTACTAGCTCCCAGCAATGATTTCTTAACCAGTCTAAAATCTCTGAAATGACAGACATAGAATTCAGAATCTGGATGGCAAGGAAGCTCATCAGTACTAAGTAGAAAGTTGACACTCAATCAAAGGATATCAAGGAAAGTAGTAAAATGATTCAGGAGCTGAAAGACAAAACAGTCATTTTAAGAGAGAACCAAATTGAACTTCTAGAGCTGAGAAATTCACTATATTAATTTCATAATGCAATCAGCAGTATTAACAGCGGAATTGACCAAGCTGAGAAAAGAATCTCAGTGCTTGAAGGTTACTAATTTGAATCAACTCAGTCAGACAAAAATAAAGTTTAAAAAAAAAGAATTTTAAGAATGAACAAATACTCTCAAATCTATGGGATTATGTAAAAAGACCAAATAAATAACTCATTGGAATTAGTGGGAGAGGGGAGAGAATAAAAAACTTAGAAAATATATTTGTGGTTATAGCCATGAAAATTTCTCTAATATCACTAGAGAGGTTAACATGCAAATTTAAGAAATACAGAGAACCCCTGCTAGAAACTATACAGTAATGACCACCCCAAGGAACATAGTCATCAGCTTCACCAAAGTCAATGCAAAACAAAAAATCTTAGAGGCAGCTAGAGAGAAAGGTCAGGTCACCTACAGGGAAATCCCATCAGGCTAGCAGTGAACCTCTCAGTAGAAACCTTATAAAACAGAAGAAATTGGGGGCCTACTTTCAGCATCCTTAAGATAAAGAAATTTCAACCCATAATTTCATGTGCCACCAAACAAAGCTGTATAAATGAAGGAGAAATAAGATCTTTTTGAGACACTCAAACACTGAGGGAATTTGTTTCAATTAGATCAGCCTTATAAGAGGGCCTTAATAGGATGCTAAACATGGAATTGGAAGAATGACACCTGCTACCATGAAAGCATATTTAAGCACATAGCCCACAGGCACTATAAAACAACTATACAATCAAGTCTACACAACAACCAGCTAACAGCACAATGACAGATTCAAAATCTCACATATCAATACTAACCCTGAATGTAAATGGGCTAAACATCCCAATTAAAATACATAACAATGGCAAGCTGGAAAAAGGCAATACCCAACTGTTTTTTGTCTTCAAGAGACCCACCTCACATGTAATGACACTCACTGGCTGAAGGAAAGGAAAGGAGAACGATCTATCATGCAAACGGGAAACAAAAGATATCGGGAATCACTATTCTTCTACCATATAAAACCATTTAAACCAATAACAAAAAGGATAAAGAATACCATTTAAACCAATAACAAAGAAGAGCATTGGATAATGAGGAGTAAAATCCAACAAGAAGTCTTAAATATCCTAAATATATACAAAGCCAACATTAGAGCACACAGATTCATATAACGAGTTTTTCTTGACCTACAAAAAGATTTAAACAGACACATAACAACAGCAGGATAACTATGAAAACTCTCCCCAAACAAATTAGAAAATCTAGAGGAAATGAAAAAATTCCTGGAAATACTAAATCTCCCAAGATTGAACTGGGAAAAAAGTGAAAACCTAAACAGACCAATAATAAGTTCCAAAATTGAATCAATAAAAAAATACCTACCAACCCCAAGCAACCTTGGACCAGTGAATTCATAGTCAATTTCTACCAGTTGTACAAAGAAGAACTGGTACCAATCCTAGTGAAATCATTCCAAAAAATAAAAACAGAAGGGGCTCCTCCCTAATGCATTCTATAAAACCAGCATCAGCCTGATACCAAAATCTGCCAAAGATACAATGAAAAAAGAAAAAAATTCGGCCAATATACCTGATAAACAATAAACATAGACACAAAAATCCTCAATAAAATACTAACAAACCAAATTCAGCAGCACATCAAAAAGTTAATACACTATGATCAAATAGAATTATTTGATTCTACTGGGCATTATTACTGGGCTGCAAGCCTGGTTCAACATAGGCAAATTAATAACTTGATTCACCACATAAAGAGAATTAAAAGCAAAAACCATCTGATTATCTCAATAGACACAAAAAAGAATTTCAATAAAATCCAACAAACGTTCAATAAAAGCTCTCCACAGACTAGGCATCAAAGAAAAATATCTCAAAATAATGAGACATCCATGACAAACACACAGCCAACATCACACTGAAAGGGCAAAAGCTGGAAATATTCCCCTTTGAAAACTGGAACAAGGTAAGGATGCCCACTCTCACCACTCCTGTTTAACATCTTACTAGAAGTCCTAGCCAGAGTAATCAGGCAAGACAAAGAAATAAAAGGCAACCAAATAGGAAAATAAGAAGTCAAACTATTTCTCTTCACTGACAATATGATTGAATATCTAGAAAACCCTAAATACTCTGCCAAAATCCTGCAACTGATAAATTACTTTAGTAACATTTCAGGATATAAAATCAATGTATATTAATTCATAGCATTTTTATACAACAATAACGTATAGAGTGAGAATCAAAATTAAGTACACAATTCCATTTGCAATACCCATAGAGATAATGAAATACTTGGGAATACAGCCAACCAAAAATGTGAAAGATATCTGCAAGAACTATAAAACACTGTTGAAAGATCAGAGAAAACACAAATAAATGAAAAAAAAATTTCATGCTCGTGCATTGGAAGAATATTGTTAAAATGGCCATACAGCCCAAAACCATTTATATATTCAACATTACTCCTATTGAACTACCAATGTCATTCTGCACATAATTAGAATAAACTATTCTAAAATTCATATGAAACAAAAAAGAGCCTCAATAACCAAAACAATCTTAAGTGAAAAGAACAAAGTCGGAGGCATCACACAACCCAACTTCGACTATACTATAGGGCTACTGTAACCAAAACAGCATGGTACTGGTACAAAAATAGTCATGTAAACCAATGGAACAGAATAGAAAACTCGGAAATAAAGCCATATACCAGCAACCATATGATATTTGACAAGGCCAATGAAAATAAGCAATGACGAAAGGACCCTTTATTCAATAAATGGTGCTGAGACAACTGGCTAGCCATAGGCAGAAGAATGAACCTGGAATCCTATCTTTCACCACATGTAAAAAGTAACTCAAGATGGATTAAAGGATTAAAGATTTAAATGTTTTACATTACAGTTTAAATGTCAAGCCATAAAAATCTTAGAAGAAAATCCTGGAAATATCTTTCTCAACATTGACCTTGCCAAATAATTTTTGGCTAAGTTAGCAAAAACAATTGCAACAAAAGCAAGAAATTTATGAGTGGGACATAATTAAATTATAGAGCTTCTGAACAGCAAATGAAACTAGTAACAGATTAAACAGATAATTGACAGAATGGCAAAATATTTTCACAAACTATGCATCTGACAAAGGTCTAATATCAAGAATATATAAGGACCTTAAACAGTTAAACATGAAAAAATAAATAACCCATTAAAAATGCTCAAAGGACATGAACAGACATTTCTCAAAACAAGACATACAAGTGGCCAACAAAAATATGAAAAAATGCTCATCATCACTAATTGTCAGATAAATGTAAATCAGAACCACAATGACATAAAACCTCATGCTAATCAGAATGGCTATGTTTAAAAACATGAAAATCATCGCTGACAAGGCTGTGAAGAAAAAAGAATGCTTATACAATCCTGGTGGGAATGTATATTAATCCAGACACTGTGGAAATCAGTTTGGAGATTTCTCAAAGAACTTAAAACAGTGCTACCATTTGACCCAGCAATCCCATATTGCATACATACCCAAAGGAAAATATATCATTCTACCAAAAAGACACATGCACTCATGTGCTCATTGCCACATCATTCACAAAGCAAAGACATGGAAGCAACTTAGGTGACTATAAATGATGGATTGGATAAAGAAAATATGGCACATATATACCGTGAAATACGATGCAGCCATAAGAAAGAATAAAACCATGTCTCCTTACAGCAACATGAGTAGAACTGGAGGCCATTATCCTAAGAGAATTAATGCAGAAATGGAAAACCAAATACTGCATGTTCTCACTTACAAGTGAGAACTAAAAACTGAGCACACATGGATGTGAGCATGGGAAAAATAGACACTGTAGACTAGTAGAGGGGGAGGAAGACATGGGGACATAGTTTAAAAAACTACCTATTAGGAACTATGCTGACTACCTGGGTGACAGGATCCATACTCCAAACCTCAGCATCATGCAATATACCCATTTAACAAACTTGCATATATACCCTTTGTTTTTAAAATAAAAGTTGAAATTTGAAAGGAAAGAAATAATAAAGATCAAATAACTAAATAATTAGAAGTAAAAAATGGAATAGATTAACAAAATGAAAAGTTGTTTTATTTGCAGACATAAACAAAATTGAAAAACTACAAGCTAGAAGAATTAAGAAGAAAAGACCAAAATAAACAAAATTGGATTTGAAGAAGGAGACATTACAACTGATACCATAGAAATACAAAGGATAATTAGAGACTGTTATGAAGAATTATACACCAACAAATTGGAAACCCTGGAGGGAATGGGTAAATTCTTGGGACCATAAAATATGCCAAGATTGAACTAGGAAGAAATAGAAAACTTGAACAAGCAATGAAAAGTAATGAGATTGAATCAGTAACAGAAAGTCGTTCAACAAAAGAAAGCCCAGGACTGATGGCTTTACTACTGAATTTTACCAATCTTTTTAAAAAAGAAGTAACAAAAATTATTCTCAAGCAATTTTCAAAAATTGAAGAAGGAATTATTCCTAACTCATTCCATGAGAGTAGCATTACCCTGATACCTACACCAGATAAGAACAGACAAAAAAAAAAAAAAGGAAACTATAAGACAATATCCTTGATGAACATAGATGCAAATATCTATGCTACAAAATACAAACAAAGCAACACATCAAAAAGATAATACACCATAATCAAATGGGATTTATCTCAGAAATGCAAGGATGGTTCAACATAAGAAAATAAATAAATGTGATACATTGCATCAACAGAATTAAGAACAAAAACTATATTATCATCTCAATAGAGACAAAAAACATTAAATAAAATTCAATACCCCTTCATGATAAAAACTCTCAACAAATTAGGTATTAAAGACACATACCTCTACACAATAAAGGCCATATATGAGAAACTGACAGCTAACTCATACTGAATGGAGAAAAGCTGAGAGCCTTTCCTCTAATGACTGAAACAAGACAAGGATTCTCACTTTCACCACTCTTACTCAACATCGTATGAGAAATCCTAGCCAGAACAATTAGACCAGAGAAAGAAATAAAGGGCTAAGAATTTGGAAAAGATGTAGTCAAATTGTCCCCTTTCATAAACTACATAATCTTATACATAGAAAAATCTAGAGACTCAACTAAAATACTCATAGAATGATAAACAAATTCAGTAAAGTTGCAGAATACAAAACCAACATACAAAAATTAGTGGCATTTCTTTACATCAATATTAACTATCTAAAAAAATCAAGAAAGCAATCTCATTCACAACAGCTGCAAAAAAAAAAAACAAACCTAGAAATAGATCTAACTAAGGAGATAAAAGATCTTTACAAGGTAAACTACAAAATACTGTTAAAAGAAGTTGAAGAGGACACAACAATATGGAAATATATCTCATGCTCATGAATTGGAAGAATTAAATGGTTAAAGTCACTATACTTCCCAAAGCAATCTGTAGATTCAAGGCAATTCCTGTTAAGATAGCATTGATATTCTTCACAGAAATAGGAAAACAAATACTAAAAGTCATATGGAACCACAAAAGATCCCAAATAGCCAAAGTAGTCTTGAGCAAAAGAACAAAACTGGAGGGATCACACTACCAGACTTCAAAATATACTACAAAGCTCTAGTAATCAAACAGCATGGTGTTTGTATAAAAACAGACAGATAGACAAATGGAATAGAATGAATAACCTGGAAATAAATTATTGTATTTACAGCCAACTGACTTTTGACAATGGTGCCAAGAACATTAACTGGGAAAATTAACATTAACGTTGTCTATTCAATAAATTGTGCTTGTAAAACTGGATATCCACATGCAGAAGGATAATACAATACCCCTACCTCCCACCATACACAAAAATTAACTCAAAATTGGCTAAAGACTTAAATGTAAAAATCCCAAAATATAAAGCTGTTAGGAGAAAGCATAGGAGAAATGCTTTAGGGTGTTGGTCCAGGCGAAGGTTTTATAATGAAGACTTCAAAAGCACAGGCAACAAAATTAAATTATACCAATGGGACCGTATCAAAGTAAAAAGCTTCCTGACAAGCAAAGGAAACAATCAATAGAGTGAAGAGACAACCTGTAGAATGGAAGAAAATATATATAAACTAATTACCCAACAAGGGACTAACATCCATAATATTCAAGGAACTAAAAGGAACAAACAGCAAGGAAACAATTGGATTTAAAAATAGTCAAACAAAACACAAAAACTGCATTCAAACAGCCAACAAGTATATGTTTTTTAAAAAGCTCAACATCACTAATAATCAGGGAAATACAAATGAAAAGTACAATGAAATATCATCTCACTTGAGTTATAATGGCTATCATTAAAAAGACAAAAATATTCCTGTCAAAAAAGACAAAACTAACAAATGCTGGTTAGGATGTGAAGAAAAGGGTATTCTCATAAACTGTTGGTGGAAGCACAAATTAGTATACCATTATGGGAAACAGTATAAACATTTCTCAAAAAAACAAAAAATGAACTACCACATGAACCAGCAATCCTACTACTGGATATTTATCCAAAGGAAGGGAAATTAGTATATTGAGGAGATAGCTGCATCTCCATGTTTATTGCAACTCTATTCACAACTGTCAAGACACAGAGTGAAACTAAATGTTCATCAACAGATGAATGGATAAAGAAATTGTTGTATATATACAGAGAGGAATATTATTTAGCCAGAAATAATTATAAAATATTGTTATTTGCAGCAGCATGGATAAGCCCAGAAGGCAATATGTTAAGTGAAATGAGTCAAGTGCAGAAAGAGAAATGTTACATGTTCTCTTGTATATGTGGGAACAGAAAGAAAGAGAGAGAGAGAAAGAAAGAAGGAAAGAAAGAAAGGGAAGGAAGAAAGAAAGAAAGAAAGAGGGAGAGAGAGAGACAGAGAGGGAGGGAGGAGAGAAGGAAGGAAGGAAGGGGAAGGGGAAGGCGGGGAAGGAAGAAAGGAAAAGAAGGAAAAAAGGTGGTCACAGAAACAGAGAGTAGAATAGTGGTTATTAGAGGCTGCAAAGTGTAGGGAAGAGAGGACGATGGAAAGAGGTTGGTTAATAAATATAAAATTACAGCCAGACAGGAGAAATAAGTTCTAGTGTTTTATAGCACTATAGGGTAATTATGGTTAGCCACAATTTAGTGTTTATTTTCAAAAAGCTAAACGAATGTTCATAACAACAAAATGATAAATATTCAAGGTGATAGATATGCTAACTACCATAATTTTATCATCACACATTGTACATACATGCATTAAAATATCACCCTGGGCCGGGTGCAGTGGCTCACATCTGTAATCCCAGCACTTTGGGAGGCCAAGGCGGGTGGATCACTTGAGGTTAGGAGTTTGAGACCAGCCTGGCCAACATGGTGAAACCCATTCTCTACTAAAAATACAAAAATTAGCCAGGCGTGGTGGCACACACCTGTAATCCCAACTTCTAGGGGAACTGAAGCAGGAGAAACTCTTGAACCCAGGAGGCAGAGGTTTCAGTGAGCCAAGATCACACCACTGCACTCCAGTCTGGGTGACAGTGTAAGACTCTGTCTCAAAAATGAAATAACATAAAATAAAGTAAAATAAAATAAAATATTACTCTGTATCTCATAAATTAGTACAATTATGTGTGAATTAAAAATAAAAGGAGTGAATTAAAAATAAAAGGAATAGAAAATAAAGTCTCAATAAAAAAATTGCGATAGAGCAATGTACAAAAGCTATAAAAGGCAGGCTATGTAAGAACATAACTCAATGCCAAGTCATAAAAATATGCTCAACCTCACTAGTAATCAGCGAAGTACACATTCGGACAATAATAAGCTATTGTTATACATCTGGTTGATTGGCATTAATTACAAGTCTGACAATCCTAAATGTTGATGAGAATATAGAGCAATTGCTGCTGATAAGAGGACACATTATATAAACAATTTGAAAATTAATGTTTCACAGTGTAATGAATTTGGAAATGAGGAGCCTCTATAACTGAACAATTTTTTTTTCTAGCATCTGCTCTAGAAAAAGTTCTCCACATGTGTACAATGAGGCACAGATAAGAATGTTCTTTAGGTAGAGTAACAAAATATTGGATGCAACCTAAAAACCAGAGAATGGTAAGAAACATAAGTTGTGTTCTAGTTAGCAATATCATATGAAGCTGTAGTTAAATTAACTAGAGCTACATGTATTGTCATAATTTTGAGCAATAAAGGAAGTACTGGATTCTGTGTATTATTTGGTATTCTATATATGCATGTGAGAGTGTTTAAATGTGTAGAGCATCTGGTTTTCTAAGTATATATGTAGTAAAATTACAAAAATATACTAAGGGATGATAAAACTCAAAATGAGAATAGTGGTTATTTCTAGAGAGGTGGAAGGAAAGGAAATATGGACCAGTCATGGTACACCTGGAAAAAAAAGACAAAAAATTCCATCCTTGTGAGGAAATTATTTTTGGTGCTGAGTCTTTACATATGTCACTGGGGGGGTATGGTGTATTATAACTCTGTGGGAAACTAATCTTGATTAAAATAGTTTTAAAATTGTTTTTCAAGTGATATTTGAGTGACACTTGAAAGATACGTGTATTCCAAAACATCCCGCCATTGCCACAGTGTCTAGGATGCTGTCCACTTTCTTTTTTCTTAAAGGCATCCCATGGAAGATATGGAGTTTAAGATTGAAATATGAATAGTTCAAGAGAAACTTCAGCTTATAGAAGGAAAATCCTAATTCCCAATCAGTTTACCTCAGGTCAGTCTCTGAAATGGAGGTGAACTCATAACAAGCCCAGGCTGTGTTATTCAGCTCCTATTTGAAACACAAGGCCAATGACTTCCCCCATGGCTCATCTGCTCCCATGGGACAAAGAATTGGTCAGAGAAAGTTAAGAGTTTTATATGTCATCTCCCACTTCCGTGATTACTCATTCAACCTGTATTTTGAAGACAAAAATGATTCCATGTTTAAAAGCTAAATTTTTCTGTTACCCCATGTATTTGTTCACTTGTCTATGCTGTCTCTGACTAAAATTGAGCTGTGATTTTTGAGTAAGAGAGTCATATAAAAGAAATATGACAACATACCACAACAACAAGGGAGCTCACTCAGTGGGTTTGATGTGGTGGATGCCGGCTCAGGAAGTTCTGTGCATGAGTGGCACCATTTCCTGTGAATACTTGTGGGAGGTTATGCCTGATCTCTACTTCTACAGAGATCCTGAAAGAAACCTAAAAAGAAAAGCAGGCTCCTGCTGAAAAGGCTGTGACCAAGGAGGACTTTTAGGATGAATGGACTGCTCCAGCTCCTGAGTTCACTGCTACTCAGCCTGAGGTTGCAGACTGGTCTGAAGGCATGCAGGTGCCCTCTGTGCCTATTCAGCAGTTCCCTACTGAAGACTGGAGGGCTCAGCCTGCCATGGAAGACTGGCCTGCAGCTCCCACTGCTCAGGCCACTGAATGAGTAGGAGCAACCACTGAATGGTCTTAAGCTGTTCTTGGATGGGCTCTTAAGCAACATGGAAATAAAGTTGATGGAAGATAAACATCAGTTTCTAAAACAAAAAAGAGAAAGAAAAAGAAATATGACATGGTCACCCGCTTTTACTTTTCAGAAAATGTTTTAGGTTTCTGGAAGCAACCTTTGTCCCACAAATAGTGGGGACCTTACAGTTAATAATTTATATCTTGGCCAGGCATGGTGGCTCTTGCCTGTAATCCCAGGACTTTGGGAGTTCGAGGCGGGTGGATCATCTGAGGCCAGGAGTTTGAGACCAGCCTGGCCAACATGGTGAAATGTCGTCTCTACTAAAAGTACAAAAATTAGCTGGGTGTGGTGGCCTGCACCTGTACTCCCAGCTACTCAGGAGGCTGAGGCAGGAGAATCACTTGAACCCAGGAGGCAGAAGTTGCAGTCAGCTGAGACTGTGCCATTGCACTCCAGCCTGGCGACAAAGCGAGACTCTGCCTCAAAATAATAATAATAATAATAATAAATTTCCAATTCGTATTTACATCTCTTTCCTCGAATGATTCAAGGCAAGAAATATTCTTTCTTTTTCCCTTTAGTTCCTGGAAAATCTTCAGATAGATAGACCTTGTGGATTATGCACCAATCAGCTGGTCTATAGATGTTTGCCATTTATTTGCTGTCACGTAGCAACAATTTGAGCAGTCAATTGCTATCTTCAGGGTAGAAGGTGAGCAATTATCTTTCAAGAAAATGGTACCTTCTACAGTAAAATACTATAAGATATAGGATACTTCTATCATGGCTTGGCTT
This sequence comes from Homo sapiens, assembly GCF_000001405.40. Lineage (NCBI taxonomy): Eukaryota > Metazoa > Chordata > Mammalia > Primates > Hominidae > Homo > Homo sapiens. The sequence continues at coordinate 89,242,601 of NC_000008.11, read as the reverse complement.
ATTATTGGTGTGGGTATTCCATGGGTAAAAGCATCTCCCCCAAAGTATAGATATGTTAAAAGCTTCATATAAAAGGTTTAATCAGTAGTGTGCCTGAGCCATCACATATCATGAGAGCCTATTTTTAGCATCTCTTCCTTATTCCATGGTCAGTGATATCATATTATAGCTTAAAATTAACCAAAACTACATAGAAACCATCAAACACTAAAATTCAGGGCTTCACATCCTCCCTAGGAATGCTGATTGTTAAATGGGTACTTTATCTTGTAATCAGTAGTACCATGCATATCATATCTGTTATTATTTTTCTTATTCACAAGATTTTCAATGATCCATGTGAGTGGTCTCTCATTGCAGCAAATGACTCCCTCAAAAACATAATCATTAATAAAAATTTAAGACACCAAATTAGAGAAAGAGAGTCTATAATCATATTTTTTAGAGACCCTATTCTTAGTTCAGGGCCACACTCATTTTTTTAAAAAAAAAATATGGTATAGGATAATTTTAGTGGTTCCCATGTAAAATATGTAGCTTAGTTCTCAAATGTAGCCTAAATTTAGTTTATTTACCTTACTAGTTAGGAATATGTAGGCAGGGTGATAGAAACAATTATGGGTCTTCATACATAAAGAATTAAACTTTGTTCTGGAGCAAATCATTCTAGAGAAAAAGGGAGTCAATTCACTTTTGTTTTCAAGAACAGTGGCCAAGGATGGAGGGATCAACTGGTTCTTAAGGTGGTATAGCATTCATTGTTTTAGTTTGTATTCCCATACAGCTTTCTTAGAATCAATTTTGAGTACTAGGGTGTACAGTCAAATAGAACTGCTATGCATTAAGAATTAAATGCATTTAAGAGCTTCAAAGAAAAGCATTAGTGATATTGGGACTTACAGCTTTGGCTATAATTGAAGACAAGTCATATGTTGACTCTGTTCAGAGGAGATGGTATACGAAGAGCTTCAGCAGCACCAGGCAAGAGTTCTCTGTGGGTAAACCTCAATATCCTCAGTAACAGATATCAGAAGCCTCAATGCAGACAACAGCAAGCACCAGTATCACTAACATGTTTGTCAGGCAGTGGAACCTTAACCATTGTAGATCCTGGCATCAGTAGTGGGGTATCAGATTCACCACAGAGAGCTGAAATGGGATCATGAGAGAAGGAGATCTGAGGGAACTTGTATGTAAAGTAGATGTGAGACATCTGGAGACTCTCAAAACTATTTGGGAGGAATTTGAGTGAAGCTGAGATTCTTCTAGTTCAGGGAAGCATTCAACTGGAGAAATATTAGTTTCAGTTTTGACCCTATTTTGACTTTCAGGTTACTGTGATCTTAAAAGTGTAAATTACATTTATATAATATAATAAGGCATTGTAGGGCCCTGGAAGTTATTTAATACAGAGGGGAACCTTGTTTGTCTTACTCTTAGGCATGTCCTCATAAGGCTAATTGTCCTCTGTAATCCTAGCTGTTTATATAAGTCCTTAATAAATATATATTACCCTCAATTTTTGATATAGTTGATTCAAATGTCCCATGACAGTTAAGTCTAATGTTCAAGAAGGGCACTATATGCAAAGTGAAATTATAAGGTAGATATAGTGACTGAACTTCATTGGTTTTTGCTCCAAAATAGATCTGTTAGCTGTATTCTATTAATGTATTCCTGTGCAATATCTCGATGCCTTCAAGGGGCACCAGGACCTTATAAGAAGTATATGTATATATTTATAAGTAAAATATGTTGAGTGAGAAGCAACTACATCTGCTTAGGACTGCTGAGTGGGACTAGCCAACAAAGTGAGATAGTGAAAGGTCTACTTGGAATAGCTCGGTGAATTCTACTATCACTTACCAAATTTTCAAACCAAAAACCCAGCAGTTTGTTTTAGCTTTTTTACACTCCCTGGCTCCACACCATCTAATCAGATACAAGCCTTACCAATTCTAAATTCTTAAATTTCCAGTTTCTTTGTTCCTTTCCATCAACACTGCTGCCCCTAGTTCAAGTATCCATAACTCTTTCCCCTGAGCAGGTGCTTCTTTGCTGTTCTTCCTGGCTCCAGGCTTGTCTCTCTAAGCCTGCCCTTCCACATGCTATCAAACTAAGGTGCAAACCTCATTTCCTTGCTCAAATTTCTTTAATGGTTCCTTCTTCATCTGGGTCCTCCTTATCTTCCTTCACTTCCTTCTATAGTCAAATCAAGACCCACACAGTGGGAGGAATAACCCCAGCTCTCAGCAATGCAGAAAAAAATAAAAAATAAAAAAAAAACTGGCCAGCAACCTAGCTTAAAGGATCTTCACATTCTGCGGCAACGACTCTGTGGACCGACCAAGGAAGGAGAAGGGGCAGGAACCAGTAAAGTACTTCCCTGGTGGTCAAATTCTAGAGGGCTAAATGTGTGTGTGCATGAGTGACCACAAACAACCCTGCTTGCGGTGTTGTTCTTGTGGATGGTGACAAGTCCTACTGCTGGACAGAGTGAGTGGGTCCTCTCTGCGGTTCCATAGCTACCTCATATGGCTTAGGGTGGATCCTGCCATGGGATTTATACTGGCACACCAACACTAAGAGGGGCCTAATTCTCCCTTGAGGGAGCAGCCAGAGAGGACGACATGAGTGGGAAGTGTGCAAGGGACCTTCAGAGGGGGAAAAGGAAGAAACAGGTCAGCCTTCCAGGGCAGCAAGGCAAGACACCCCCTGGTGTGAGAGTTTGAGCCTTCTGGGACAGACAAGGCAAGACATCCCTGGTGTGAGGGGTTGAGCCTTCCACTAATTTCAAAGGTCGAACCTCACACAAACCCCCTCTTTCCTTTCTTCTCAGGGGAGGAAAGGATAGCTCCACTCCCACTGGTCCCTCCCCTAGGGGAAGGGGAAGGGGAAGGAGAGGGGAGAACAGCAGCACATGTGGCTGGCAGAGAGAGAGGAAAGAGAGAGAGAGAAAGAGAGAGACAGAAAGAGACAGAGAGACAAAGAGGGAGTCAAAGAGAGAGAGAGGCAGAAAGAGAGAAGAAGAGACAGAGAGACAAAGAGGGAGTCAGAGAGAGAGAAAGAGAGAGACAGAAAGTCAAAGGAGAAAGAAAGAGAGAAAGACAGAGATAGAAGTATTAGGGAAAACAAACAGTGTACTCTATTCCTTTAAAAGCCAGGGTAAATTTAAAACCTATAATTGATAATTGAAGGTCTTCTCCATGACCCTATAACACTCCAATACCACCTTGTTGTCAGTGTGAACAAGGGCATAACCTGAGAGCACTGAGGCCACTGATAACCCATAGCCTTCCTAATCAAAAATCCTTAACCCAGTAACCCGTGGATGGCCCAAGTACATTCAATCTGTAGCGACAACTGCTTTGCTAACAGAAGAAAGTAGAAAAATAACTTTTAGAGGAAACCTCATTGTGAGCACACTGCACCAGTTCAGAACTATCCTAAGTCAAAAAAAAAAAAAGGGAAAAGGTAGCTTACTCACTCAAAAATCTTAAAGTATGGGGCTATTCTGTTAGAAAAAGATGATTTAACATTAACCACTGATAATTCCCTTAACCCAGCGGGCTTCCTAACTGGGAATCTAAATCTTAATTAATTACCATATAAAGGTCCAACCAGACCTAGAAGGATCTCTCAGGACAGAATGATAGATGGTTCCTCCCAAGTGATTGAGGGAAAAAAGACACAATGGATATTCAGTAAGTGATAAGGAAACTCTTGTAGAAGCAGAGTTAGGAAGATTGCCTAATAATTGGTCTGCTCAAATGTGTGAGCTGTTGCACTCAGCCGAACCTTAAAGTACTTACAGAAGCAAGAAAGAATCTATACCAGTTCTAAGTTAATATGGACTGAATGAGGTCTTAATAGCAAAGAATAATTGAAATCCCAAACTTACAAGGTTTTCAACAAAAGTAAAGTTTGCTAAAAGTTAACACTGTAACATGTATTATCCTAACTTCTAATCTTGTGGCCTTAGACAGTCTAGTCCACAGACATGAAGGAAGTTTGCTTTTGAAAAGAATGGTTATCATCTTTGGGAAAAAAAAGGAGGGGAGGGAAGAATTTCTGTAAAAGGAATGTTATATGATAAATTGTTGTCCTAAAATAAATTAACTGGTTGTTTAAAGAAAACGATGTTTGCAACAAGTCAGAAAGTTGAGGCATGTTGAAGAATTGTCTGTAAAAGTCGTGGAAAAAAAAGTTACAGAAGGGAATTTATGCAAGAAATGTTGTATGATTTAAAAGCAATTAGGCCTCCTGAATGTGAAACTATTAAAGAAACAGTTTATGTGCAAGGTGTGTAAGGAAAGTAAAATATACTTTTGGTAAAAGGATTATAATGTAACACCAAAGGTTCTTGCCTTAGCCACGCCAAAGATTTGGTGTGGCGGCAGCCGGTGGTGAGAGAGAGACACTGATTGGACTGAGAGAAAAAAACTGTAGGCTTTATTGAGCAGAGTGACAGTACAAAGCTTCCACAATGTGGAAGGGGTTCTGAGCTGGTAGCCAGTGTTAGATTTTTTGATCACCTTTTAAACTCTTTAAGGTGGGAAATAGGTGTAGTGGGAAGGTGTTACCAGAGGGAGAGACAAAGACATTTAACATTTCTCAGATCTTGAGAAAAACAAGAATTGTAACTTAAGTTTTATCTACTTTATAACCTTGCAGCAGCATGGCAAAGGAGACAGGATCTCACCGGATTTTACAAATTGTGTTTACATGGAATTGGAATTGGGAGTATAGATAAGGTCTGCTGGTCACAGAAAAATGGGCTTTTAACATTGCTTTTAGTTTCAGGGGAGGGGGAAGGGAGAGAGGACACAGGGAAGCTTACAGCAAAATTTTCGCTGTTTATAGCTTTCTTGGGGAAGAAAACACATGCACAAATTCTGATGTTAGGAATATTTTAAGCATATATCTTCAATATTATTCATCCAGAACCAAAGTAAGTCCTGTTGCAGGAAATGAGTGAGTTTCACAGATTTCTGAGCCTCTACTCGACCCAGGAAGCCCAGCCGGCACCTCCTCTCAATAAGGAGGCATAAGAATGTGGATTTTTACCTACATTAAAAGGTTAAAAAATATTTTGTTTTAAAGGTTTAAGCAAGTTTTAAAATGTTAATTGTAAAGGAAATTATGTGTGTAAACATATTGGCTAAAGTTAAAGGGGTATCATCCAGTCTTTCTGTGAACTGAACATTAAAATAAAAGCACAACAGGTTTTTCTTAAAGCATTAACCTGCTCTTGAACAAAAATTATAAAAGATTAAAGAGAGCCTATAAAAATCTTACCTTATGGTCAGATGTTAAAATTAGATAAATATGTCTATAAGGTTTTATTGAAATTGAGTTTAACATTAATAACACACTAATATAAAGGTAAAGTTTAGCTTATCTGGTATAAAGATCATACAGGAAGCAATGTCAAATATAAAATGGTGTTTGACTTTCTTTGGTCTAAAAACTAATAAAAATCGGTGCTAAAGGAAATTTCTCAGTAAGAAGGCACCGAGGACTATAAAGTCCACTGCTGATATCCCCACATTTAAAACAAATGGTCACTTTCTTACAAATTATAAACTTGGTTTATCTTCCACTTTCCTTTCCCTCAAAACTAAAAGTCTTTTAGCACAGGTACCACCCCTAGAATTTCCAGTAAACCAGCACCAGCCTGAGGATCACATTCTCATCAATGGGTGGAAAGAAGGAAAACTCGATCCAGCCTGGGAAGGACCCTACCTTGTGCTGCTAACCACTGAAACTGCTGTTCATACAGCCAAACGGGGATGGTCTCATCACACCTGAGTCAAGAAAGCACTGTCCCCTCCAGAGTCGTGGGCCATAGTCCCAGGGGAAAACCCTACCAAACTAAAGCTAAGAAAAATTTAACTCTCTTTCATCTATTCTATTACTCTTTCTTCTTTCCTTGCTTTATTGCTGACCATCTAGTTATTAACATAACTAAGTCAATTTTGCTTCAAACTATTGCATTTAATGCTTGCCTTGTTATACCCTGTGGGGACTTGCCAAGTCAAAGACAGCTCTCTACTTCAGAAAAGTACCTCTGTCCCTCCTGACTCTCCCCAGACTGTGCAATAGTGAATTGGGATCATTTGATCTGGGGAGATTTCGATAAAGACCCCAGTGTCAACCAGGAGTCTTGCTCCCTGATGTAGAGCTTTTATGCCATAGTTGGTCCAACGTTCTGTGGACCACTAAAGAGGAAGGATGGACTCCCCGAACTGGTTTTTGTAATTTCCTAAAACCAAATATTCATTTTTCTAGAGGGACAGCACCCACCCACCCCCGCCAACTGTCAGCTAAACCAGTGCAATCCTATACAGGTTATTATCTCAAACCCTCAAAGTTTTTCCCCTTTTCTAAGCCGGTTCCCTTCTTTAAGCTAGTTTTATGGTATGGGGGGCTGAGGTTTCAGGGGCAGACCCTACTGGATTCTTTGAAATGCATTTCTTTGATCCACCGCTGCCTGCACCTTCCTCTAAGCCTTCTTACAAAACCTCTCACAATGGAACAATTGCTCCTCCTCCATCTAATGACAAGACTAAGATAGCTATTGTAGAAGTTAAAGACTTAAAACAAATTTTGGCAATTAAGATAGGATACCAAGATGCAAATTGCTGGTTGGAATGGATCAAATATTCTGTTTGCATGTTAAACAAAAGCCATTGTTATGCTTGTGCGCACAGCAGGCCAGAGGCCCAGATTGTCCCTTTTCCACTAGGGTGGTCCTCCAGTCGACCAGGCGTGGGCTGCATGGTAGCTCTTTTCCAGGATTCTACAGCCTGGAGTAACAAGTCCTGCCACACTCTCTCTCTGCTATATCCTGAAGTCCGGCACCCTGCGGACTTCAGCCCCTGAGGGCCATCCAGCTTCCATCTCCCAACACTAATTTCACCTTGTGTCTCTCATGACAGGGAGGAAACTTAGCGTTCCTTGGAGACCTGAAGGGATGCAGTGAGCTTAAGAATTTTCAAGACCTTATCAATCAGTCAGCCCTTGTTCATGTGTGGTGGTATTGTGGTGGACCTTTACTGGACACTCTGCTGAATAACTGGAGTGGCACTTGTGCTTTAGTCCAATTGGCTATCCCTTTCACCCTGGCATTTCATCAACCAGAGGAAGGAAAAATAAGACATAGTAAAGCGAGAGAAGCCCCTTATGGGTCTTTCAACTCTCACGTCTATTTAAATGCAATTGGAATCCCATGAGGAATACGAAATCAATTTAAATCCCGAAATAAAATAGCTGCAGAATTTGAGTCAATATTTTGGTGGGTGACAATAAATAAAAATGTAGATTAGATAAACTACATCTATTACAACCAACAGTGATTTATTAACTACACTAGAAATGCTGTTAAAGGAATATCTGAGCAATTAGGGGCTACTAGCCAGATGGCTTGGGAAAATAGGATAACCTTAGACATGATATTAACAGAAAGAGGAGGAGTTTGCGTCATGATTAAAACTCAGTGTTGCAGCTTCATCCCAAACAACACTGCCCCTAATGGAAGTATAACAAAGACATTGCAAGGTCTGACTGGTCTATCCAATGAGTTAGCCAGCAACTCAGGGGTAAATGACCCTTTACAGAATGGCTAGAAAAGTGGTTCGGTAAATGGAAAAGAATAATATTCTCAATTCTTACTTCCCTTGCAGCCGTAATGGGTGTATTTATTCTTGTCAGATGCTGTGTCACACCATGCATCCGTGGCTTGGTGCAGAGGCTCATAAAAATGGCACTTACTAAAACCTCCCTTAACTATCCTCTACCTTATCTAGGGAAGTGTCTTCTTTTGGAGAATCAAGCAGAACAACCAAGCCAAGACATGTTAAAAAGTTTGAAAAGAAAGAACTCTAAGGAAATGCAAGAGGAGGGGTTGTTATATATGAGTTCTACATTTCTTTTCAAAGAATCAATATGTCAGGCCAGGCACAGTGGCCCACACCTGTAATCCCAGCACTTTGGGAGGGCGAGGCAGGTGGATCACGAAGTCAGGAGATCAAGACCATCTTGGCTAACATGGTGAAACCCGATCTCTACTAAAAATACAAAAAATTAGCTGGGTGTAGTGGTGGGTGCCTGTAGTCCCAGCTGCTCAGGAGGCTGAGGCAGGAAAATGGCGTGAACCTGGGAGTCAGAGCTTGCAGTGAGCTGAGATCACGGCACTGCACTCCAGCCTGGGCGACAGAGCGAGACTCCATCTCAAAAAAAAAAAAAAAAAAAAGAAAAGAAAAGAAAAAGAATCAATATGTCAGTATGTTCAATTTTTTGTCTTCTACTTTAAAATTTCATTTCCTTATAAAGCAACCTTTTTTGATTACCTGCTCCACCCTGACTCATTCCGATTACCTGCTCTGTCATAACCATTTTCCTGGCCAAACCATCTACCCCATCACTCTCTTTAAATTAGCCAATCAGAATTAGTTTAGCCTGTGCGGTCTAACCTTAGCCAATAGGGGAATGATACAGCAGCAGGGGCCACGTGTGTCAGGGATAAGAACCTCTTCCCCTCCCTTGTCCAATTGTGTGCTCACCATTGCTCCATCTGTAAGGGTGCACCCTTCTATAGAAGTAACTTGCCTTGCTGATAATTAAAAAAATAATTTTATAATCCAGTGCTATTTCTTTTGCAGCACTGAAACTTTATTTATAACAACAGGAACAGGGGAGGGGGGTGATTAGACTTGCCTCATTATACTCTCCTCCCTTTGTAGTTTAGGCACATAACTGGTGAGTATTAACATTAAAATAGAGGTCCTAAAAATGACAGAACAGACTCTTCGTCTCAATAAGATATCAACTCCAACCTAACACTGGTATGAGATCACCTGACAGGTAACAGGTCCTAAAAGGAAATCAAGCAGTTTTACCCTAAAATATATTTCTTTGACGTATTTAGAACTAGCCCTGCAAAGCTGTCTCTTATGGGGGAAATTTGCATTCTGTAAAGAATCTCCTTCCTTTACTAGGTTTCTCAGGAGAATCTGACACCTTTGATGAGGCATTCACATCTATTCTGTCTCAAGCCTGCTCCCTAGAGGCTTCATCTACACCAGAAGAATCTCGACTTCCATGACCCACCCCTTTAACTTTACTCAAGTTGATTTAGACTGTTCAGGCAGAGCTTAACCCTTTCAACCAATTGCCAATAAGGGAATTTTTAAATCCATCTATGACACAAAATATCTCTCAAGATGTCCTCCCTTTCTGTGCTGAACCAAAGTATACCTTACATGTATTAATTTATGTCTTTGCCTGTAACTTCTGTCTCCCTAAAATGTACAAAACCAAGCAGTAACCCAACCATCTTGGGCACATGTTTTCAGGAACTCTTGATGCTGTGTCACAAGTCATGATCCTTAACCTTGACAAAATAAGCTTCTAAATTGATTGAAATCTGTCTTGGATACTTCTTTGTTTACAACATCAACAATATGATAAACTATAAATTGTAATAACAACAAATTAGAAAACTTAGAACTTTGAGATCTTTGATGCATCAAAGATAAATGAACTCTATAGTGCTAAATATGTTGTTATGAAAAGTCCTTATCCTTTTGCATTCTTAGAAAAGGCAAGAATCACTTCAAAATAGTTTAATTACTGATTTTAAAATTACAGAAATGATGATGAATTCAAAATTCTTCACAAATAGTTTAAGATCAAGTAGTGTTATAGTTAAGAATGGAACTTGGGAACTATGGGATTTCAGCAGGCAGAAAGGAATCAGGACCATAAGAGGAACTGCCATAATGTCTACTCTATACATTGGGTGATAAAATGAAAGCTGAGAACTTACTAGAGGGCCATGGATCCTTCACTATTAACATTTTTCTGAGATCTATTTGCCTTTTCTTTCTTTTGCTCCTGACTCTTCACCTATTTCATTAAACCTTTAATGACCACTTCCTAACTTACTCTTCTCCCTAAAGCACATGCTGGATTCTTGCCATCAGTTGACTGTTCTTTTGACAGTCATACGCATTTCCCTTTACATAGGAAAGAAATTTGGAGAAGAAAAAGAGATTTAAGTAAATCTGCCATTATAAAATTAGAAAAATACAGATTTGTTTATAGAATATCACCAATTAAAGACATTGGAGATACTGACAAATTTATTTCTGCTATAAAAAGTATTGTATTGAAATATGGTAACATGCATCTTTTATTTACAATGTGAACATACCCATATAGAGAGTATTCAAATAAAGAAACAAACAAAAACCTCCTGCTCCCAAGAGGCTTCCTATGTGAACCTTATATTACCTCCTGAATTTCTAATAGACTACATTAGTTTTACTCCTTTATGTATTTCATATAAATGGAATGCAGTTTATATTTATCAGTGTCTGACTTATTTCACTCAATGTACTACTGTGGAGTTCATCCACACTGTAAAATGTAGTTGTACATAATTTATTCCCTGTTCTGTATACTGTCCAATAGCGTGAACACCAAAATGTATGTATGTATTTATTTATTGATGAACATTTAGGTGTTGCTAGTACAGACTATTACACAAGCATTACTATGAACATTTTGGTACACGTCTTTTGGTTTATGTATTCCTTTGGTCTGAATGTTCATGTCCCCCCAAATTTATATGTTGAAATCCTAATCCCCAAGGTGGTGATATTGGGAAATAGGCCTTTAGGAGGTGATTGAGTCATGGAAATGGAGCTCTCATAGGTGAGACTGTTGCCCTCACAAGAGAGGCCCTAGAGAGACCCCTCCCACCATATGAGGGCACAGTGAGAAGGTGTGCCATCTGTGAAACAGAAAGCAGACCCTCACTAGATACCAAAGCTGCTGGTGACTTGATCTTGGACTTCCCAGACTCTAGATCTGTGAGAAATACATTTCTGTTCTTTATAAGCCACTCAGTTTATCTTATTTTGTTATAGCAGCCCAAATGACCAAAATACGTGTGTACTCATTTCTGCTATACACTACATTGGGTCATAGCATAAGCTTATCTTCAGCAATAGCAGACAAAAGGATTTCCAAAGCAATTTTTCTGATTTATATTTATACCAGAATCCATTAGGATTTTGGTATTCCAAATTTTGTGAGACTTATATTTTCTTCTTTATAAAATTGTAGCCTTTATGGAAATGTGTTGTGATATGTTTGATTTCCCAATTCATTTCCGTGATTACTAACTACCTTTTCACATGTATACTAGCCATTTGAATATATTCTTTTGTAAATATCTTTCAAGTCTTTTGTCCAATTTTCTACTGGGTTGTTCATCTTATTAATTTATAGATATTTATTAGGTATTCTGGATATGAGTTATCAGTTGAATATATAAATTATAAGTATCTTTTATCTTCTCCTAGTCTTTGGGTTGACTTTTCCTTCTTTTAATGGTGTCGTTTATGTACAGTTTATCAATATTTTAAATCCCATTTTAGTATTTTTTTTGCATCCTCTTGAAGGAATCTTCACCTACTCTGAAGTCACAAAGTAGTCTTCCTCTATTTTTTTTCTAGAAATTTTGTTGTTTAACTTTCACATTTGTACCTATAATCCACCTGGGCCACATAGTGGTTCAGACGATTTTCCCCAATGCATATTGAAATGATTTAGGGCCATTTTTCTAAAAGAATGTACTTTTCCCTCCACTCTACTCTTAAGCTTACCTTTATCATAAAATCAGGTGTTAGAGATGGAATGTTTGCATCCTCTAAAATTTATATGTGAAGTCCAATTACTTTTAACTTAATTATTGTTGTATTTGGGTTTATATCACTATCTTATTAATATTCTGTATTTGGCCCATTTCTTTTATGTTCCTTCCCAATTTCTTCTTTCTTTCTTTTAGATAACCAGATGTATATTTTTAAACATTCCCTCTCTTTTATTTAATTAACCTGTTATACATTCTGTCACTGTTCTTTTATGCCAACTTTAGAAATTATAACTTTATCCTTGTCTTATTATGATCTAGTATGGAATATGCTTTTATAATTTCCCCAATAGTGCTAGAATTTTAGAACTTTTAAACTTCATTTATTCCTCTCCAGTTCTTTGTGGCTGCTTAACACAGTTTTGGTGTCCCTTTTCCCTATTGAGAACTTTCTGCTTGGGACATTTAGAAGCTTTAGACAAGCACAGTCATCCTACACACAAGATTTCCGGATTCCCTGCAGAGAAATAAACATCTGGTAATCATCAGCTTATCTTGAAAAGTTACATCTTTCTAGAAGTTTAGTTAATCGAATAATCTTCCTTGCTTTTAGAAATCCTTGAAGTCTTTTAAAATATGAATTTTAATTTATGCAGCTTTCTTTAGTTGTGGCAGTAAGAGTTGACCTCACTGTGATCAACTGCATCTGATTGGGAGGTGAAGGTCTTTTGTGTGTGTGTGTGCTGTTTTAACACTGTAAAACAAGTTAAGTCAATATCTCTTACCAATGTCTCCAATTTTAGTCTCTTGTTATTTATATTCTATACCAACGAGGATTTCTATAGACATACACAAAGGTTATAAGCTGGGATTTGATTATTAATATCTTTAGGATGTATACTGTAAAGAACAATAGTTGCTTTAAAATTCCCACACTATCTATGTAACTGCTTTTAAAGCAAAACACTTTTGCTATTAGTTAACAGGTCTTCAGTGTGTTTAAGTGTGTACAATGCATTTAATTTTGCACATTAGAAAATTGCATATGAGAAATCAATTCAAAATGGCTAAAACATAGCAGTGCTATTTGACCTCAAAATTGTTAAACGGCCCGGCACGGTGGCTCACGCCTGTAATCCCAGCACTTTGGGAGGCCGAGGCAGGCGGATCACCAGGTCAGGAGATCGAGACCATCCTGGCTAACACAGTGAAACACTGTCTCTACCAAAAATACAAAAATTAGCCGGTTGTAGTGGCGGGTGCCTGTGGTCCCAGCTGCTCGGGAGGCTGAGGCAGGAGAATGGCGTGAACCCGGGAGGCGGAGTTTGCAGTGAGCCGAGATGGCGCCACTGCACTCCAGCCTGGGCGACAGAGCGAGACTCCCTTTCAAAAAAAAAAGTTGTTAAACGGACTCCAGTAATCAGTAAAGCAAACAAAGTGAACAGGGAATCTAGTTTATTTTCTTTGTTATTCTACTTCAGAGTTTAAAACAAGGATTAATCATAATCAAATTTCCTTTTTAGAGACATTATTTTAGATTACTCTGGGTGCTTGTTTTCCAGACAGGTCAAGCATCCCTGCATATGGTGGCTATATTGGGGAAAAACTTGGAATTAGCAGAAAATAAAGCTTTGAGAAGTATAAACAATGTCATGTGTATAGTATGTAGAGATGTGACATTCTTTCTTTTCTTGCCACAACAGGGACTGTAGTATTCCAGCGAGTTAGGAAAAGATTTATGTTGCTTTTTTCCCTGTTGCAAAAGTAAAAGTTAATTTAAAAATAATAACAGAAAGTAATGGTGCTACAGGAACTAAATAACAGAAAGCAAGGAATTATTATTGCTCAATATGACTCCTTCCTCAGATTCCAGTCTGCTGGAAAGATATATTGTGGTATAAAATTAAATTTGAGGTCCCAAGTTTTTCTCAAATATGTATATATTTAAAAAATTTTAAGATATTAAGATCCTAGGATTAAATGAGAAAATCTGTATGTGTCTGCATGAGGCTGTGACTGTGTGTTGAGGAGATTTTGCCAAATTTGACTTCTCCCTTTATGGGAAAATTTGGGAATCTGCACTATGCAAGACATCTTTACTTTTAAGTAAATCTGGAAGTCCTTTGAGGTGCTGCATTCTGGCACGGAAAGACACCCTTCATCCTGTACTTCTGAAATAGGCTCCCAAGATGTACCAAATGAGAAACACTGACATCTCTAGTAGGAGGGCTTTCTTATACTCTGCATTCTTGCCAAAACTCAAACTGCCAAACACTACTTTCAGAGCCTGCTTTTCTCACAGTTAATTTTTCTACAAAGATTTTTGACTTAGGCAATATCAAATGCATGGAATAGAAGTGGAATTCACTACTCAAAGCTTAAACATTCATCTCTGAGTACTGCAATGCTCTAATGTAATGAAAATGGTGATGTGGCTTTTACCCAGTGCTTATCACATACCAAGCTATGTATCAGGTATGTTATTTATTCCATCTCATTGACTCTTTGTTACCAGCCCTATTTGAAGGGTTTTAATTAAGATTAGGTTCAACTACAAGAAGTCGAAAACACAGGGCAACAATGGCTTAAATGAGTAGAATTTTTTCCCTCACTTATTTTTCTTATGGTAGAAGGTTGCGGTCATCCTTAGCAGTCCTCCTTGATATTTCTGATTTCTCCCCTTCCAGATATAGTGTAGGATTATATTTCTCCATATTCTTGATGATAGACATGGCCATATTATTTCTCTTAACCAATTAAATATGAGTGGAAATAATGTGTCATTTCTGGGAAGAAGCCTTGATGAACTAATGCACAGTACACTCTGTTCCCCTTCTCTCACCTTTGATGATGCTGTTCTAATGTGGTAAAGGCTTAATCAGCCTTGGCTCTTGAGAGTTTTCTTATATCCCACGTGGTTCCTGATTCAGATCAATGTGGAGCAGAGCCTCGTGCTTTCTCCAAATGGAAAGTAGCATGAGCAGAAAATGAATCTTTTTTATTTAAAGCCACTGGGCTTGCCCTCTCTGATAGAGACACGAGGGGCTGGAACAATGTTCCATAGTGTCAGGGACCTAGGATCCACGTATCTCATTGCTTTAGTGGGTGTGACTTCTATTCCCAAGAACACCTCATGGTCCAAATTGGTGCTTTAGCTGAAACCATAAGATCTGCATTCCACCCAGTAGAAGTATAGAAGAGATTGAGAAGAGTATTCTTTTTGCTTTTTAGGGATGTTTCTGTAAAATTTCATGCATCACTTCCACTTACATCTCATTTACTATAACTTACTGACTTGACCACATCTAGAGAGAGAAAAGTCTGAGAGATTCTTTTCCCCCAGAACTGACCAACATTCAGCTAAATATTAGGTTTGTTACTTCGAGAGAGTGGGATAATTTATATCGAGAGACAACTAGCTGTTTCTACAAGGGCAGTTCCTACAATATCCTCATTTTGTAAATGAGAAACGGAGGGGTTAATTTAGTGAAGTTTATACAGCTAATAATTGGTGGTGCATAATTAAGAACACGAGCAATGTGACTATAAAGCCTTTGTGTTAACTACAATTTTATACAACTTCTATTGTTCACCTGTAGAAAATGAATTTTTTATTTAATATTGCAAGAAAAATGCTCTACAGCATCAAATTGTTTGACATTTCTGTTTTCTTCCCTTACCCTCAGACTGGTAGTTAAGATTAAGATGTGCCTGTAGCTGCCAGTCCTGATACTAACCAGGCACATTTTTGAAATTCACACGTTAGGAGCAGAAGCTCTGTCAGGTCAATCTATCTTCCTCCTTGGTTACACCAATTTTGAAATGCTAGTTTCAGTGCCATCCTGTAAGCAATGGATAGGCTTAATGGTTAAGGAAGAATATAAGCATAAAACACAATTTTTATTTTTAGAGATCATATTTTAAGAACCATTTAAATAAAAACTCCATTTCAGAAATAGATATATTTTAAATAAAAATTTAACTTGACTAATAAGACTTTAATATCTTTTAACCAGTTTTAATAGAGTGTGGCTCATATTCATAATTTTTTATAACTATCTCCGAACATTTCTTACATTAATTCCTTTTCTATTTATATGCTATATTTATCAGTGTTTTCCAAATGTAGCAAAAAAGTTTTTCTCACTATTCAGCAAATAATCAGGAAAACTTCACTGAAAGATCATATTAGTCACATTAAAATGTACTAAATGATTTTTCTAATTGCCATTTAAATTATTCTGGCTATAGTCCATTTCCTGGACTGAGAATTCTATTATTGGGTGTAAACTTCGAATATGTTTTATATATTTAAATATAAAATTATGAAAATCAGTGTCACCATGTAAATACAGCTCATTTCTTAGTGAAGAGCTTGGCCCTATTATATTGCAGTACATAAAAATACAGGTAGATTATGGAGAGAAGACAGGAGGTATATGGCAGAGAGAAAAATTACTATTTTTTCTTAGCTTGTGAAAAGTGTCTGAATCTATGTCAGTAATTATTTTCACTAATATGACAATGTTTTGATTCTAAGAGTCATATGGAGGTTGGTAGAAATTTTGCACCTTTTACAGCTTGTCCTTGGTGACCCTCTCTCAGCTAGCAGAACATGAAGCTGTTAATTAGTCAGTGACTATACAGTGTAAGTTGATTTATGACATTAGAAGGTACACGAATTCCTCAGCTCAGCCAATTGCAAAGTAGTTTTCTTTAATCTTCATTTACAGGAAATTTGCTGCAGCTTGGGCTAGTATTTACGGCATATTGCCTGATGCAGCAGCCATTGCAGGCCCTTTGGTGGCAGGGGTATTGAGCTGGCAGTCTAGAATTCCAAAGCAGATATAAATGGGAAAGGCATTTAGGAAGTGGCAATGAACCAGAGTTGTCACACTGAGATTTCTTCTCTGAGTACATTTCAGTGATTGCTCTGATACTGGGAAGTATAAAGTGTTTCAAGAAACATAAGGAGTTTGTGATTCATTTCAATGTTTGTTGAATAGCTCCAATGAATATCCCCCGGAGTCATATTATTGAGGTATGGTGGTTTAAACCAAAATTCTCTTTTTAAAATAATTTAAACATTTTTATCCAATTTGGAGTACATATGTAAATTTGTTACATAGATATATTGCTGATGCTGAGGTGTGGGGTACAAATGATCCAATCACCTTGGTAGTAAACCTAGTACTCAATAAGTAGTTGGGTACTACTAAAGATTAGGTTCAACTACAAGGTTCAACTACTTATTGAGTACTATGTTCACTACAAGGACCCAACTTGTAGTGAACACAGAGGAGAACAAGTCATTCCTTGTTTCCCTGTCTTTCTCCCTCCTCTAGTGTTTATTGTTTCCATCTTTATGTCCACATGTACCCAATGATTAGCTCCTACTTATATGTGAGAATATGAGTAAACCAAAATTCTAATCTTTAAGTTCAAACTAACATGCTAATTTGCATCAAGCATCAAAATAATTTGATAAAGGACAATACATCTTTGAAATAATCACATAAATTAAACAACAGGCTGGGCACGGTGGCTCACACCTGTAATCCCAGCACTTTGGGAGGCCGAGGTGGGCAGATCATGAGGTTAGGAGATCGTGACCATCCTGGCTAACATGGTGAAAACTCATCTCTACTAAGAATACAAAAAATTAGCCAGGCGTGGTGACCCGTGCCCATAATCCCAGCTACTTGGGAGGCTGAGGCAGGAGAGTCGCTTGAACCAGGAAGGTGGAGATTACAGTGAGCCGAGATCACGCCACTGCACTCCAGCCTGGGTGACAGAGCGAGACTCCATCTCAAAAACAAAACAAACAAACAAACAAAAACCAAAAAAAAAAAAAAACCCAAAGTGAACCAATTTTTCATTTGATAAGTTGGAGCTATCATGTACCTCTATACAGTATGTTAGAGGTACCAAAACTAGAAAAAACAAAGCTCTGTTTGACCTTTCTTTTTTCTACTATGTCACTTTATTTTATGCAATCATCACAAAACACTATTTGGAAAGTAGGTTTGCAAGAGAAAATATTATTTCTTTCCTCCAATATGGAAACTGCATCTCAGAGAGATTATGTGGCAACACGAGGGTTCAAATACAGAACTTCAAATTTCTAAATTGAAAAGGGCATGACCTCCAAAATGTGTAATAGTGGTGCAAGGGTATGCAAACAACACTGTGAAGCAAGAAAACCATGAACATGTTTTTACATTTTCCCCTTTCCGATCTATGTCCCTCTCTTTTCTTTTACTACCTGCATTCACTCTTTTCTTCCTTGTAATTTAAGCTCATGCCCTATAAAAAAATCTAGATTCTGAGGAGTTAATCTGAAAAATTATCATTTGTATTAAATTTATATTAAATTGTATGTTCAACTTCCATAATTATCTGCATTTTAACAGTGTCCTAGACTTCAGGTTGTATTAATCTCAGTGTATAAAGGATAAAAATAAGAATTGCATATTTTGTAGCTAATATATTTTCCATCATTTTGTTGTTTTGTTTCAAGATATTTCCACTATCATACTTACTTGCTCAGCATCCCTTTTTTTTTATTTCATTTTATTTTGTTATTATTATACTTTAAGTGTTAGGGTACATGTGCACAATGTGCAGTTTAGTTACATATGTATACATGTGCCATGCTGGTGTGCTGCATCCATTAACTCATCATTAAGCATTAGGTATATCTCCTAATGCTATCCCACCTCCCTCCCCCAACTCCACAACAGTCCCCAGAGTGTGATGTTCCCCTTCCTGTGTCCACGTGTTCTCCTTGTTCAATTCCCACCTATGAGTGAGAACATGCAGTGGTTGGTTTTTTGTCCTTGGTGATAGTTTACTGAGAATGATGATTTCCAATTTCATCCATGTCCCTACAAAGGACATGAACTCATCATTTTTTATGGCTGCATAGTGTTCCATGATGTATATGTGCCACATTTTCTTAATCCAGTCTATCATTGTTGGACATTTGGGTTGGTTCCAAGTCTTTGCTATTGTGAATAGTGCCGCAATAAACATACGTGTGCATGTGTCTTTATAGCAGCATGATTTATAGCCCTTTGGGTATATACCCAGTAATGGGATGGCTGGGTCAAATGGTATTTCTAGTTCTAGATCCTTGAGGAATCGCCACACTGACTTCCACAATGGTTGAACTAGTTTACAGTACCAACAACAGTGTAAAAGTGTTCCTATTTCTCCACATCCTCTCCAGCAGCTGTTGTTTCCTGACTTTTTAACAATTGCCATTCTAACTGGTGTGAGATGGTATCTCATTGTGGTTTTGATTTGCATTTCTCTGATGGCCAGTGATGGTGAGCATTTTTTCATGTGTTTTTTTTGGCTGCATAAATGTCTTCTTTTGAGAAGTGTCTGTTCATGTCCTTCACCCACTTTTTGATGGGTTTTGTTTTTTTCTTGTAAATTTGTTTGAGTTCATTGTAGATTCTGGATATTAGCCCTTTGTCAGATGAGTAGGTTGCGAAAATTTTCTCCCATTTTGTAGGTTGCCTGTCCACTCTGATGGTAGTTTCTTTTGCTGTACAGAAGCTTTTTAGTTTAATTAGATCCCATTTGTCAATTTTGGCTTTTGTTGCCATTGCTTTTGGTGTTTTAGACACGAAGTCCTTGCCCACGCCTATGTCCTGAATGGTAATGCCTAGGTTTTCTTCTAGGGTTTTTATGGTTTTAGGTCTAACGTTTAAGACTTTAATCCATTTTGAATTAATTTTTGTATACGGTGTAAGGAAGGGATCCAGTTTCAGCTTTCTACCTATGGCTAGCCAGTTTTCCCAGCACCATTTATTAAATAGGGAATCCTTTCCCCATTGCTTGTTTTTCTCAGGTTTGTCAAGGATCGGATAGTTGTACATATGCAGCATTATTTCTGAGGGCTCTGTTCTGTTGGTACCAGTACCATGCTGTTTTGGTTACTGTAGCCTTGTAGTATAGTTTGAAGTCAGGTAGCATGATGCCTCCAGCTTTGTTCTTTTGGCTTAGGATTGACTTGGTGATGTGGGCTCTGTTTTGGTTCCATATGAACTTTAAAGTAGTTTTTTCCAATTCTGTGAAGAAAGTCTTAGGTAGCTTGATGGGGATGGCATTGAATCTATAAATTACCTTGGGCAGTATGGCCATTTTCACGATATTGATTCTTCCTACCCATGAGCATGGAATGTTCTTCCATTTGTTTGTGTCCTCTTTTATTTCATTGAGGAGTGGTTTGTAGTTCTCCTTGAAGAGGTCCTTCACATCCCTTGTAAGTTGGATTCCTAGGTATTTTATTCTCTTTGAAGCAATTGTGAATGGGAGTTCACTCATGATTTGGCTCTCTGTTTGTCTGTTATTGGTGTATAAGAATGCTTGTTATTTTTGTACATTGATTTTGTATCCTGAGACTTTGCTGAAGTTGCTTATCAGCTTAAGGAGATTTTGGGCTGAGACAGTGGGGTTTTCTAAATATACAATCATGTCATCTGCAAACAGGGACAATTTGACTTCCTCTTTTCCTAATTGAATACCCTTTATTTCTTTCTCCTGCCTAATTGCCCTGGCCAGAACTTCCAACACTATGTTGAACAGGAGTGGTGAGAGAGGGCATCCCTGTTTTGTGCCAGTTTTCAAACAGAATGCTTCCAGTTTTTGCCCATTCAGTATGATATTGGCTGTGGGTTTGTCATAGATAGCTCTTATTATTTTGAGATACATCCCATCAATACCTAATTTATTGAGAGTTTTTAGCATGAAGGGTTGTTGAATTTTGTCAAAGGCCTTTTCTGCATCTATTGAGATAATCATGTGGTTTTTGTCTTTGGTTCTGTTTATATGCTGGATTACATTTATTGATTTGCATATATTGAACCAGCCTTGCATCCCAGGGATGAAGCCCACTTGATCATGGTGGATAAGCTTTTTGATGTGCTGCTGGATTCGTTTTGCCAATATTTTATTGAGGATTTTTGCATCAATGTTCATCAAGGATATTGGTCTAAAATTCTCTTTTTTGGTTGTGTCTCTGCCCAGCTTTGGTATCAGGATGATGCTGGCCTCATAAAATGAGTTAGGGAGGATTCCCTCTTTTTCTATTGATTGGAATAGTTTCAGAAGGAATGGTACCAGTTCCTCCTTATACCTCTGGTAGGATTCGGCTGTGAATCCATCTGGTCCTGGGCTCTTTTTGGTTGGTAAGCTATTGATTATTGCCACAATTTCAGAGCCTGTTATTGGTCTATTCAGAGATTCAACTTCTTCCTGGTTTAGTCTTGGGAGGGTGTATGTGTTCAGGAATTTATCCATTTCTTCTAGATTTTCTAGTTTATTTCTGTAGAGGTGTTTATAGTATTCTCTGATGGTAGTTTGTATTTCTATGGGATCGATGGTGGTATCCCCTTTATCATTTTTTATTACATCTATTTGATTCTTCTCTCTTTTCTTCTTTATTAATCTTGCTAGCAGTCTATAAATTTTGTTGATCCTTTCCAAAAACCAGCTCCTGGATTCATTAATTTTTTGAAGGGTTTTTTGTGTCTGTATTTCCTTCAGTTCTGCTCTGATTTTAGTTATTTCTTGCCTTCTGCTAGCTTTTGAATGTGTTTGCTCTTGCTTTTCTAGTTCTTTTAAGTGTGATGTTAGGATGTCAATTTTGGATCTTTCCTGCTTTCTCTTGTGGGCATTTAGTGCTATAAATTTCCCTCTACACACTGCTTTGAATGTGTTCCAGAGATTCTGCTATGTTGTGTCTTTGTTCTCATTGGTTTCAAAGAACATCTTTATTTCTGCCTTCATTTCGTTATGTACCCAGTAGTCATTCAGGAGCAGGTTGTTCAGTTTCCATGTAGTTGAGCGGTTTTGAGTGAGTTTCTTAATCTTGAGTTCTAGTTTGATTGCACTGTGGTCTGAGAGACAGTTTGTTATAATTTCTGTTCATTTACATTTGCTGAGGAGAGCTTTACTTCCAAGTATGTGGTCAGTTTTGGAATAGGTGTGGTGTGGTGCTGAAAAAAATGTATATTCTGTTGATTTGGGGTGGAGAGTTCTGTAGATGTCTATTAGGTCCGCTTGATGCAGAGCTGAGTTCAATTCCTCGGTGGCCTTGTTAACTTTCTGTCTCATTGATCTGTCTAATGTTGACAGTGGGGTGTTAAAGTCTCCCATTATTATTGTGTGGGAGTCTAAGTCTCTTTGTATGTCACTCAGGACTTGCTGTATGAATCTGGGTGCTCCTGTATTGGGTGCATATATATTTAGGATAGTTAGCTCTTCTTGTTGAATTGATCCCTTTACCATTATGTAATGGCCTTCTTTGTCTCTTTTGATCTTTGTTGGTTTAAAATCTGTTTTATGAGAGACTAGGATTGCAAGCGCTGCCTTTTTTGTTTTCCATTTGCTTGGTAGATCTTCTTCCATCCTTTTATTTTGAGCCTATGTGTGTCTCTGCACGTGAGATGGGTTTCCTGAATACAGCACACTGATGGGTCTTCACTCTTTATCCAATTTGCCAGTTTTTGTCTTTTAATTGGAGCATTTAGTCCATTTACATTTAAGTTAATATTGTTATGTGTGAATTTGATCTAGTCCATTTACATTTAAAGTTAATATTGTTATGTGTGAATTTGATCCTGTCATTATGATGTTAGCTGGTTATTTTGCTTGTTAGTTGATGCAGTTTCTTCCTAGCCTTGAGGGTCTTTACAATTTGGCATGTTTTCGCAGTGGCTGGTACAGGTTTTTCCTTTCCATGTTTAGTACTTCCTTCAGGAGCTCTTTTAGGGGAGGCCTGGTGGTGACAAAATCTCTCAGCATTTGCTTGTCTGTAAAGTATTTTATTTCTCCTTCACTTGTGAAGCTTAGTTTGGCTGGATATGAAATTCTGAGTTGAAAATACTTTTCTTTAAGAATGTTGAATATTGGCCCCCACTCTCTTCTGACTTGTAGAGTTTCTGCCGAGATTTCGGCTGTTAGTCTGATGGGCTTCCCTTTGTGGGTGACCAGACCTTTCTCTCTGGCTGCCCTTAACATTTTTTCCTTCATTTCAACTTTGGTGAATCTGAACAATTATGTGTTTTGGAGTTGCTCTTCTCGAGGAGTATCTTTGTGGAGTTCTCTGTATTTCGTGAATCTGAATGTTGGCCTGCCTTGCTAGAATGGGGAAGTTCTCCTGGATAATATCCTGCAGAGTGTTTTCCAATTTGATTCCATTCTCCCCATCACTTTCAGGTATACCAATCAGACATAGATTTGGTCTTTTCACATAGTCCCATATTTCTTGGAGGCTTTGTTCATTTCTTTTTATTCTTTTTTTCTCTAAACTTCCCTTCTCGCTTCATTTCATTCATTTCGTCTTCCATCACTGATACCCTTTCTTCCAGTTGATCGCATCAGCTCCTGAGGCTTCTGCATTCTTCACGTAGTTCTTGAGCCTTGGTTTCAGCTCCATCAGCTTCTTTAAGCACTTCTCTGTATTGGTTACTCTAGTTATACATTCATCAAAATTTTTTTCAAAGTTTTCAACTTCTTTGCCTTTGGTTTGAATTTCCTCCTGTAGCTCGGAGTAATTTGATCATCTGAAGCCTTCTTCTCTCAACTCATCAAAGTCATTCTCCATCCAGCTTTGTTCCGTTGCTGGTGAGGAACTGCATTCCTTTGGAGGAGGAGAGGCGCTCTGCTTTTTAGAGTTTCCAGTTTTTCTATTCTGTTTTTTCCCCATCTTTGTGGTTTTATCTACTTTTGGTCTTTGATGATAGTGATGTACAGATGGGTTTTTGGTGTGGATGTCCTTTCTGTTTGTTAGTTTTCCTTCTAACAGACAGGACCCTCAACCGCAGGTCTGTTGGAGTTTGCTAGAGGTCCACTCCAGACACTGTTTGCCTGGGTATCAGCAGTGGTGGCTGCAGAACAGCGGATTTTCATGAACCACGAATGCTGCTGTCTGATCATTCATCTGGAAGTTTTGTCTCAGAGGAGTACCTGGCCCTATGAGGTGTCAGTCTGCCCCTACTTGGGGGTGCCTCCCAGTTAGGCTGCTCGGGGTTCAGGGGTCAGGGACCCACTTGAGGAGGCAGTCTGCCTGTTCTCAGATCTCCAGCTGCGTGCTGGGAGAACCACTGCTCTCTTCAAATCTGTCAGACAGGGACATTTAAGT
Organism: Homo sapiens; assembly: GCF_000001405.40. Lineage (NCBI taxonomy): Eukaryota > Metazoa > Chordata > Mammalia > Primates > Hominidae > Homo > Homo sapiens. The sequence goes on along the minus strand of NC_000008.11, from coordinate 89,218,782 downwards.
CTGCAGAGGTTACTGCTGTCTTTTTGTTTGTCTGTGCCCTGCCCCCAGTGGTGGAGCCTACAGAGGCAGGCAGGCCTCCTTGAGCTGTGGTGGGCTCCACCCAGTTTGAGCTTCCTGGCTGCTTTGTTTACCTAAGCAAGCCTGGGCAATGGCGGGCGCCCCTCCCCCAGCCCCGCTGCCACCTTGCAGTTTGATCTCAGACTGGTGTGTTAGCAATCAGTGAGACTCCATGGGCCTAGGACCCTCCAGGCCATGTGAGGGATATAATCTCCTGGTGCGCTGTTTTTTAAGCCCACCGGAAAAGCGCAGTATTAGGGTGGGGGTGACCTGATTTTCCAGGTGCCGTCTGTCACCCCTTTCTTTGACTAAGAAAGGGAACTCCCTGACCCCTTGCACTTCCCGAGTGAGGCAGTGCCTTGCCCTGCTTTGGCTTGCACACGGTGCGCTGCACCCACTGACCTGTGCCCACTGTCTGGCACTCCCTAGTGAGATGAACCTGGTAACTCAGATGGAAATGCAGAAATCACCCGTCTTCTGTGTCGCTCACGCTGGGAGCTGTAGACCAGAACTGTTCCTATTCGGCCATCTTGGCTGCCAGACAGTAACATCCCTTTTCTTAAGTAAATGATCCTGCTTTGATATCCAGTCTCCCTCCTGCTATCATTCCTTCAGAATAAAACTTCTTAAAAGAGTTTTTGTAGTCACTGTGTCTACTTAGTCTCCTCCTGGTCTCTCCTCAGCCCACTCTACTCTGGTTTCTGCCCTGTTATACCACTGAGACTGTTCCTGTAAAGGTCAACAGGGACACCCATGCTGCTAAATCCAGGGTCACTTACTTATCTGACCTCCACCCCATCACCATATGACTTAATTAACCAGCTCCTCCTTGAAAGAATTTCTTCTCATCTTGTCTTTCATGATCTAGCCTTTTTTCCCAGGCTCTGATTTCTCTTGCCTGTTTAACCTTTATTCTATGATCTCTTCTCCTTTTCATATACATTATACGAAAATCTTGAGAGATTTAGTATATGTAATCTCTCAAGGTTTGACAATCTCTCAGTAGGTAGACAAATTTATTTCTATATCTTTCAATCTCTTTATATGTACTTACGATTCCCAAATCTATATTTTCATTTATAGTATTTTTCTGGTCATTATATTAATATCCAACTTCCTACTGGACATTTCCACATGGATGTCTTACAGGAATCTGAGAATAACCATAGCCAAAAAAAAAAACACTCTTGATCCCTACTTCCCTACACTAATCCACTACCTTTATTCTTTCCTATACCAAAAAAAGTCCCTTAATTCATCCATTAGCTCAAGCAAATAATTTAAAAGTTAACCTCAATTCCTCTATTCAGCCTGTTCTCCATATCAGAACAAATAAGTTTGACTCTATCTTCAAAACATATCCTCCTGTTTTTTCCATTGTTTTTTTAGTTTCATCCAAGACATAATTATATTTTATTTCAACTAAAATAATAGTTCTCTTTGGTCTTCTTGCTTCTACACTTTCACTAATATAATCCACTCTTCACACAGTAACCTGAGTCACTTTTTATTTATTTATTTTTGTTGAGATGGAGTCTCACTCTGTCACCCAGGCTAGAGTGCAGTGATGCAATCTTGGCTCACTGCAACCTCTGCCTTCCAGGTTCAAGCAATTCTCCCACTCCAACCCCTGGATTAGCTGGGATGACAGGCACCCGCCATCAGGCATGGCCAATTTTTGTATTTTTAGTAGAGATGGGGTTTCACTGTGTTGTTCAGAGTGGTCTCGAACTCTTGACCTCAGGTGATCCGTCTGCTTCAGCCTCCTAAACTGCTGGGATTACAGGCCTGAGTCACCACATGACTTTTTTATAATTAATCTACTTTTCAAAAAATCTGACTAAAGAGAATACCAGAGAGAAAATTTAAATTTCTCTCATTTAACTTTCCAGAAAATCAAGTCATTTAGGCATCTGTCCCCACCCTCTTCTGCTGTCAAATCCCATGGTTTGTCCCTAGACATCACTATTTTGCCAGAGCCATGGCATTTGACATCCTTAATCTTTCCTTCTTAAATCTTTTCCTCTTTAAAGTGCCAGGGGGCACTTCCTGCCTGCCACAATTGTAGGCAAGCCAATTGCCAGAGAAAACCCTGAAGCTGAGTCACAGGTACTGACAGTTGGAAGTTGGACAAATGCAAGTAAAATGATAGATGATGAGAGGATGTGGTAAGCCATCAACAATGGCTGCCACAACTGCTGTATATTCAGGTTGGTTCTTTTCAGTGAACTCAACCATCTGTCCAACATCTTACACATCTAACAGGCACATTATACTAGCACCCTAAAAACAAAACAGCTGATTCCTATTTCTCCAAACTTGTTCTCCCTTAAAATTCCCCCATTTCTGTCATTTGAAATTTCATTCTTCAAGTTGCTCAGTTATAAACTTTGAATTCATCCTTAATACTCTCCTTTCTTTCTTTCTTTCATACTGCACTTCTAGATCGTCAGCTCACCAAGACTGTTTCTCAACACTTCCACTGCCACCATGCTTTCTCACAGGGATTATTACATTTGCCTTCTAACAGGTCTTCTGTTTCCATCCTTGCAGTTGCCCTTGCAATCTTTTATGTATATACCAACCAAAGTGATATTTTAAATTTAAAGCATACTATACCAAATTTTCTAATTATGACCTATAATGTTCTAAATAATTTTACCCCCAGTCTCCAGTCTGACCTCATATTTGACCACAATCCTTTTTGCTCACTCCACTCCAGCCACACTAACCTCCTAGCGTTTCCTTAAATATATCAACTGTGTTCTTAGGGTTTAACATTGTTGTTCATTCTTTTTATATTACTTTTACACCAGGTGGACTGTACAACCAGCTTGTTCACTTATACTCTTCAGGTCTCTGTGTCAATTTCATATTATCAGAGAGGCTTACTAATGTTGCACCCCATGCATTATCATTTTTTCTCTTATTGACTTGGTACCCTCTTCATTGCTTTTCTCACCACTTGACATTATATATATATATATATATATATATATATATATATATATATATATATATATATTTATATACGCCTATGTCTATGTCTATATCGCTAACCCTATATCTGTGTGTACATCTATATTTATGCCTCTACCTATGTCTATGTCTTTATATGTCTAAGTCTATCTATATGTCTATCTATAAGAACAGAGAGGCTTTTCCGTTTTTTTCATTGCTGCCTCCCTAGACCTAGAAAAATTCCTGGCATTGATGAATTCTGAAACAGGAAAAAAACCATGTTAGGACAAAAGGAACTATTTTCTAACACTGTAAATAATGTATTTGCCATTTGTGGCTTTTCCAGATAATTTATTCTGACCTGAAATTAGAATGGATGAGTGGAAGATATATAAAGAAAATATATAAGTAATTCATATATAAAATTATGTCTTCTATGCTATATCTTCATAGCTTAGATATCCATAGAAGAAAATTAATTAGTAAAACAGGTTGATATGTTTTGGTTTTGTGTCCCCACCCAAATCTTATCTTGAATTGTGCTCCCATAATTCCCACATGTTGTGGGAGGGACCTGGTGGGAGATAATTTGAATCATGTGGGCAGTTTTCCCTCTACTGTTCTTGTGGTAGTGAATAAGTCCCATGAGAGCTGATGGTGTTATTGAGGGTTTCCACTTTTGCATCTTCCTCATTTTCTCTTGCCGCTGCCATGAAAGAAGTGCCTTTTGCCTCCTGCTATGATTCTGAGGCCTCCCCAGCCATGTGGAACTGTAAGTCCAGTTAAACATCTTTTTCTTCCCAGTCTCAGGTATGTCTTTATCAGCAATGTGAAAACAGACTAATAAACAGGTTTTACAATTTGGCCTTTTATTTTTATAATTTATAAATAAGAAAAAATATTCATTTGAAAGAAAAGGAGAGTAGAATATATTTATTTTGTAATGAAAATATCACAACATATATAACATATTACATTGGAATATACTGGAAATATTGGAAAATATGTGGAAGATCCTACAACAATAATTAATACTTAGTATCTGGTTAGAAATATAGTAGTAAATTTATTAAAAGAAGGGAGCATGCTGCTCAGTCAGCTTTCACAAAAATATAGCAGGTGTTAAGTATAGTAGTTTCACAATACGCTGGAATGTAAGAGGATAGAAAACTAGAAAGAAAAATACAAGAAAAATTCAATGACCAGAATCACTATAATTTGTCCTCTTTTATCATATTTCTCTTTGCATTTTAGACTAGTGAGTCTTGATAGAAGAAGGAGTTCTAGAAGAGTTTTCCTGGGTATTTGAATGAAGTCAGATTATCATTATTTAAAAAATTAATTACTGGCAATTAATTACTGGTATTGTATTAGGTACTGGTGACATAAAGTCCAGTGTAAGAAATTACTTGTCTTACCATCTGTTGAAGACTGCAAAAAGTAATGGTAATAGTACAGTATAATAAATGCTATAGTGGTGAGGATTGAGTGTTTCTAAAGAGGTAAGCATACCATATCTGTTGGTATGTTGGAAAAGGCTTTCCAGAAGATGTGACCTTAGAACTGAATGTTGGAAGACAAATGTCAGCCAGCTCTGTGAAAAGGAGGGCAAGGTCAGTTTCTGGAAGATACACAAGGTTGTGTGAAGTTACCAACACATAAACCTGAAAGGCTCATTCAGGAAATTGCATACTGGAGCCCAGAATAAATATAGCAAGGGGGAGCAAGAAAATCACAGCTAGGATCATGAAGGGCTTTTTTAATCCGAATAGGTGTTTACATTTATACTAAAATTAATGAGGATTTATGAAGAAGAGTGATGTATCTGCATTTTAGAAATATCCTTGTAGGAACAGTTTGGAGGCTAGATTAGAAGAGAGGGCATACTGGAGGAAAGTCAGGAAAAATACATGATTCATGGTGGTACTAATGAATATCAAAGCTATGGCATTGTTACTGAAATGTTGAGGTGGGTAATTAACACATATTTAGAAAGATGGAATGTTCAAGATGTACACTGGTTGGATGTGAGAAGTTAGTGATAAATAGGCATCTAGAATAATTTTTAGGCTTCTGACTTGGATGACTTTTGAATAGTACTGCTATCTACTGTGACAAGGGATTTCAGATGTGGAGAGATTAGGGAGTGAGAGAGGGAAAGGGATGATAAAATGATAAGCTCAATTGTGGAAATGTTCAATTAAATGCACCATGGAACATTCAAGTGGAAATTCAATAAGCAGTTATTTCTGGAGCTCATTGAAAATGAAGGTGCTGGGTAAATGTAAATTTGCACGTCATCAGAAAGTTACTGAATGTATAGGCCTGGGCTTAAAGAAGTTTACTGTGATAAAGCATGTGACCCTAACATTTAATGATGATTACAGGAAGATTAACTCACAAATAAGACTGATAATTAGCAGAAGTCAGACAAAGTACCACCAGGACAGAATGCAGAGAAAGTTAAATGTGCATGCATGTAAATGTGTTTAAGTTTTTTGGCATGTGATTTTATATTACTCAGAATTATCCAGAGAAACAGACTAATAGATTATACATATATATAATAGGAATTATCTCAAGTGGTTGTAGAGGCCAAAAACTATCATTTTCTGCCATTTGCAAGTTGGAGAAACATGAACACTCAGTGTAATTCAGTGGGAATCTGAAAACCTGAGAATAGGGCCTGGTGGTGGTATCAGTCCTAGTCTGAGTCCAGGAATACTTATGTCTTGGGACAGGAGAAAAGATGGATAGTCTCAGCTCAAGCAGAGACAGCGAATTCACCCTTCTGCCTTTTCATTCTATTTGGATCTTCAATGGATTGGCCTGCCCACATTGGTAAAGACTGAAAATGGATCTTCTTTACTTATTCTACTGATTCAAATGCTAATCTCTTTCAAAAACACCCTCATAGACATATCTAGAAACAATATTTTACCAGCTATCTGGACATCCCTTAGCCTAATCAAGCTGACATTTAAAGTTGACAATTATAGATTTGCTTTAGCTAATGCTTTTTATAATGTTGAAAAGATTTTGAGGCTTTAATAAAATGATTATTATGGGTTATATGAGTTATCTTCTTAGAATAGTGATTCTTAACCATTGAGGTGTTTAATACTCTCATAATAGATGTGAAGTTTCCACCCAGGGAAAAATCTACATATTGAATTGTATCTGTCAGAGTTATTGGCTCTTTGATTTGGAGAATGCATTCATTTTCATCCTTAGTTCAGAAAATAATCTATACTCTTGTGGGATAGGCAGCACTATACATTTATCGTCTTGTTTAAGGGCTATGTTAACTTTTTTGCTCTCTGTCATAATACAATCCAAAAAAAAAAATGGGCTGTCTGGACATTCCTCAGAATATCATGTTGGGACCAGATGAAAAGAAGTGACAAGAATATTGGAGCATATGTGCTTTAGCAGGTGTGAGATAAAGCCTATGAAAATTCATGGGCCTGACACATCAGTGAAATTTTTAGGGATCCAGTGATCTGAAGCATGCTGAGACATCCCTTCCAATGTAAAGCCTAAATGATTGCATCTCACACCTCCCACTATGAAGAAGGAAGTACAATGACTGGTAGGTCATTTTGGGCTCCGGAGGCAGCATAATATTATATTTGGAAATTCTTTGGCCAATTTACTGAGTGACAAGAAAAGCCACAGACTTTGAGTGAGACTAATAGAATAAAGGAGTCTGAAGTTGGTCTAAGTTGTGGTGCAAACTGCCTTGACACTGTGCTATACTCCCCAGTAGACCTTGTGCTATTAGGAGTAACTGTGTTGGGAAAAGATGCCATAGGAAGTTTATGTCAAACCCTGCCTGGAGAATTACAACAAAGACCTTTAGACTTCTGGAGCAGTGCTGTGCCATCTATAGCAGTATGTTCTACGCTAGTCAAACAGTGCTAAGCATCCTACTGGACCTGGGTAGATGAGGCACACTTTGATATCAAATGACAAAGTTGCCAGAACTTTCCATCGTGAGCTGGGTTATCTCAGGCGAATCAGTTGACAAAGGTAAAAGTTGAGGGACAGGTGTGCAGCACCAGTTGATAAGATGGAAGTGGTATTTCTGTGATGGGGCATGAGGACGGTCGGGGTATTGGGGGAACCCGCCCCCAATATTTCAACATAGGTTCTTTCTATTTTCCATAAGTGTTGGCTGGCTGAGAAATAAAGAGAGACAGTACAAAGAGAGGAATTTTACAGCTGGGCTGCCAGGGGTGACATCACATATCGGTAGGACCATGATGCCCACCTGAGTCTCAGACCAGCAAGTGTTTATTAAGGGTTTCAAAAGGGGAGGGGATGTAAGGACAGGAAGTAGGTACAAAGATCACACACTTCAAAGGGCAAAAGCAGAACCACTAATAAGGGTCTAACAAAGATCACATGCTTCTGAGGGAACAGGACAAAGGGCAAAAGCAGAACCACTGATAAGGGCCCAACAAAGATCACAAGGCAAAGGGCAAAAGCAGAACCACCGATAAGGGTCTATGTTCAGTGGTGCATGTATTGTCTTGATAAACATCATAAACAACAGAAAACAGGGTTTGAAAGCAGAGAACTGGTCTGACCACAAATTTACCAGGGTGGAGTTTTTCCCCACCCTAGTAAGCAGGAGACCAAGGCGTATCTCAGTCCTTATCTCAACTGCACAAGACAGACATTCCCAGAGCAGCCATTTATAGACCTCCCCCCAGGAATGCATTCCTTTCCCAGGGTATTAATATTAATATTCCTTGCTAGGAAAAGAATTTAGCGATATCTCTCTTACTGGCACGTCCATTTATAGGCTCTCTGCAGAAGAAAAATATGGCTCTTTTTGCCCAAATCCACAGGCAGTCAAACCTTATGGTTGTCTTCCCTTGTTCCATAAAAATCACTGTTATTCTGTTCTTTTTGAAGGTGCACTGATTTTATATTGTTCAAACACACATGTTTTACAATCAATTTGTACAGTTAACACAATTATCACGGTGGTCCTGAGGCGACGTACATCCTCAGCTTACAAAGAAAACAAGATTAAGAGATTAAAGACAGGCATAAGAAATTATAAAAGTATCGTTTGGGAACTGATAAATGTCCATATTAAGATGAAATCTTCACAATTTATGTTCCTCTGCTGTGGCTCCAGCCAGTCCCTCCATTCGGGGTCACTGACTTCCTGCAACATGGGGGCACATGTAAGTTACATGAACAAGTGGCTCAACCCCTCATGTAATTCACCACTGTTAGTTACAGCACTCTCACTTCATACTAAAGTTCTTAGTATGAAAAAAAGTTCAAACTTAACTGAAATACAAATTGGCTTGATATATGAATGTGAACTGTAAATGGACTGCTGCTAAGTTATAACCTCACTCAGGCATGGTGCTGAAAGACAGTAATGAGGAAACTGAAGGACATTATATTAAATGAAGCAAGGCACAGAAAGACAAATGCTGCATGTGCTCACATATATGTGAAATCTAAAAAAGTCTAATTCATAGAAATAGGGTGGCTACCAGGGGAAATGTTGATCAAAAGATATAAACTAAGTTATAAGATGAATAAATTCTGGAGACCTAATATAAATCATGGTGACTATAGCCAATAATAACATATTTTCTACTTGAGCTTCACTAAGAGAATAGATCTTTATTGTTATTATGGCACACACACATACACACAGACACACACAATGGTAATTATGAGAAGTGATAGATATGTTAATTAGCTTGATTGTGGTATCATTTTGCAATATATAAATATATTAAAACATCACATTGTACACATCAAACATTTAACATTTTTGTTTGTTAATTTTACCTTGATAAGGCTGTAGAATAGAGACCTAGAAGAAGAAAGATTGAAAGAAGTCTGAGGAGGAGGCATGCAGATGGGCTGTGGGAATGGGCACAAAATGTCCGTATAAGCAGAAACCATCCATCACAAAACAGGCCCTAGAAGCCTAATAAGGCATATGACTAGGCTAGCTGATATTAGTCAGACTCTTGTTCAGCCACCCTGGTGCTGGAATAATGGGCTTCTAGTCAGAGAAACCATGGTGGTAGAGATGGAGGCTATGTGTGGAACAAGGGGCATGGGCTTTCCCTGGCTAAGTCTGATCAAGCCACTGTAGCTATTGTACAACCTGACAAATATACTACAGAATCCCAAGTGTGTTCCCTCATATAGCACCATCCTTCAAAGAGATCAACTGGCCAGCTTGCAAACTGGTAACAAGTTGATTTCCTTCTTGCTCATGGAGTCTCAGAAAGCACCGTTCACTAAGAGCTTTCAGAGTATTTGTCCTGCAGTGACAACGGCTGACCTGCTAGAATTATTGAATGCTTTTTTGAAAGCAGAACTAATGAGTGAGTTTGGAGAAGATACCCTGCAGGAAGGAAACATCATCCTGTAGAGTATACACCTACATAAATAATCATATAATACCCTGTCACTAGTAGGTAGATTATACTGGCCCAAGAACCAAGGGGTTGAATTATGAATGGCTATACTCTTTATGATCCGCTTGGGGAAATTTGTGCATTATGGCCTCACAACCCTGGGATTTAAAGTTGATTCTCAGAAGGGGTACCCTCTAATAGGGGTCACAAGGGGATTCCCATTAAGTTTTATGCTATAGATGCCACTCAGTTATTCTGAGCTTCTTATGGCATACTAGCAAGAAGTTAAGGAATCACTCTCATAGGACAGGCAATTGATCCTATAATCAGGAGTTAGTAGGCTTCTGGGACACAATGAGAGAAGAAAGCATTTGGAGCATTTTTGAGGCTCAGAGGAATCCTAATAGGTAGTAGTAGAAAATGAGGAGAGAAATGATAAATATAGGTTGATGGATGTTACGATGTGTTATCCAGATTCAGGCAATCATTCCCAAGTTGCTGAAAATATTGTGTATAGATATTTCACAGCTGTGTCACTCTCAGGGGATTGCCATTGGCTGAAGGAAACTGCTTCATGAAGGTTCTGCCCTTTCCCTAGAGACAGCTGAAATACAAAGGCTGGTTGAAGCAGAGGTGCAAATAATCAGATCTCTCTCATCAATTTGGGACAACTCCAAAGCTTCCTACTTCTCTGCTTTGTCACTCCTTCCTAGGTGTTTTTCTCCAGTGAATTACCGAATACATTTCTGCACTCACATCCCCTTTCAGAGTGTTTCTTGAGGAATCTTACCTAAGACATCACAGAAAGATTAAACGGCTTTATTAGGTTTCATTTACACACAATAAATTGCACATATTTCAACTACACAGTTTAAGTTCTGACATAGGTATACATCCATGGAACCATTATTACAACAGCATATTGTACCTATCCATTCTTTCCAAAAGATTAATCATGCCTCTTTGTTGTCCCTGCCTGCTGCTCCACTCACCAAACTCCTGATCTGAATTCTGTTACTAAGCATTAGTTTATGTTTCCTGAAATTTTATGTATGTTGAATCACACAGTATGCAATCTTTTTGGTCTGGCTTCTTTCACTTAGCATATGTATTTTGAGATTCGTCCTACAATGTTGTACATATCAAAATGCATTTCTTTTTATTACTGAGCATCAGTATTCAGTGGAGTGAATAAAGAAGATCCACCTTCACCAACGTGTGATTAGATGAGGAGTATCATCTAATCCTCTAAAGGCCTGGATAGAACAAAAGGCAGAGAAAGGGCAAATTCACTCTCTTCTGGAACTGAGACATCCATCTTCTACTGTCCTTGAACAACAGAAATCCAGGTTCTCAGGTCTTTGACTTTTGGACCTTAGAGCAGCAGTCCTCTAGGTTCACAGGCCTTTGGACTCAGACTGAATTACACCACAGGGATGTCTGATTCTCCAGCTTACAGATAACAGATTGTGGTACATTTTGGTCTCCATAATTGCATAAGCCAATTCCTCTAACTAGTTCCCTCTTATATATTTATGTATATGCTATCAGTTTTGTTTTTCTGGAGAATTCTTAATAATACAACAAGAATATGAATAGCCTCTTATACAGAGGTGGCCAGAAGATGAAGAGAGTAAGGGCAAGTGCAGTATAGTGCCAGAAGAACCTCAGAGTTAGTTGCAATGGGGTTCGAATTCCAACTCTGGCACTTGTTAATGTGGTGGGCTCAGGCAAGCATTTCACATTGTTGAACCTTATTTTCTCTTCTGTAAAAAAAAAAAAAAAGAAAAGAAAAATAGAATTGACCAGGGTGAGTCATTTTTAGAATTTAAGATTATAATCTATGTGAGATATGTCTATATCTATCTCTCTATATACCTATCTATGTACTTATTTCCCCTAGTAGCAATGGTTCAGTATTCCCTAAGTCAGTGTTCACTGACAGTTTACAGAACATAACTGTAGTCATTAATAAGAATTGACTGTTATTTTTTGGTGAAGTGTCTGTTCAAATATTTTGCCCATTTTAAAAAGTCTGTTTTTAAAAAAAATATTTTAAGAGTTATTTATGTGTTCTAAACACATGTCTTTTGTAGGATATATTCTTTGCAAATGCTTTCCCCTAGATTGAGTCTATCTTTTCATTCTCTTAACAGTGTTTTTTTTGTTTGTTTGTTTTGTTTTGTTTTTTGAGACGGAGTCTTGCTCTATTGCCCAGGCTGCCTCAGCCTCCCAAGTAGCTGGGACTACAGGCGCCTGCCACCATGCCCGGCTAATTTTTTTTTTCTTTTTTTTTTTTTTTAAGTAGAGACGGGATTTCACCGTGTTAGCCAGGATGGTCTTGATCTCCTGACCTTGTGATCCGCCTGCCTCGGCCTCCCAAAGTGCTGGGATTACAGGTGTGAGCCACACCGTGCCCGGCAACAGTGTTTTTTTCAAGAACAGGACATTTTAATTTTGATGAAGTCCAATTTATTTGTTCTTTTATTGATTGGACTTTTAGTGTTGTATCTCATAAATTCTTGCTAACACAAGTTTACAAAGATTTTTTTTCCCTAGGTTTTCTTCCAGAAATTTTATAGTGTAGGTTTTCTGTTTAGGTCTATCGCTCATTTTGAATACATTTTTGTCTATCATGCTGTGTATGGGTTTAAATTTTTTTGTTGCATGTGAATATCCAATTGTTCCAGCACGTAGTTGAGAGGTTATTCTTTATCTACTTTGTAGCTTTTGCACCATTGTCAAAATCAGTTGTTCACATATATGCAGGTTATTTCTTAATATTCCATTGATCCATTTGTCCATCTGGAGGGTGATGCCACACTATCTTGATTAATGTAGCTTTATAGTAATTCTTGGAATCAGCTAGTGTTAGCCCTTTATCCTCGTTCTTTTTCAAAGTTGGTTTAGTGGCCGGGCACCGTGGCTCACGCCTGTAATCCCAACACTTTGGGAGGCCGAGGCAGGCGGATCACGAGATGAGGACATCGAGACCATCCTGGCTAACACGGTGAAACCTCGTCTCTACTAAAAATATAAAAAATTAGCTGGGCGTGGTGGCGGGTGCCTGTAGTCCCAGCTACTCGAAAGGCTGGGGCAAGGAGAATGGCATGAACCCAGAAGGCCGAGCTTGCAGTGAGCCGAGATTGTGCCACTGCACTCCAGCCTGGGCGACAGAAGGAGACTCCGTCTGAAAAAACAAAAAACAAAACAAAACAAAAAGTTGGTTTAGCTCTCCGAAATCCTTTTCATTTCTATGTGAATTTTAGAATGACTTCATCAAATTAAAAGAAAAGCTTTCCGGACTTTGGATTGGGAATGCATTGAACTCATAGGTGAATTTAGGGAGAATTTGCTTTCTAACAGTATTGAATTTTCACTGCATGAACACCATATATAACACCATATATCTCTCTATTTAATTAAGTCTTCTCTAATTTATCTCAGTTATATTTTGCCATTTTCACATAAATTTATAATTTTTTAAACATATCTTTTAAGATTTATCCTTACCATTTTATATATATATATATATATATTTTTTTTTTTTTTTGCCAAAAATGGCATGCTCTTTAAAGCAGCATCTAATCACAAAGTTAATATATTTAGTATATATATTTTTCTGAATAATGTTCCCTGTTTGGCATGTTTTGAGTTGGTTATAGGTTTTAGTTGCCATAATAAGTAAATACAAATAAGAATGTTAATAAATTCCAGTGAGTTTAGAATGATTGGACAGATGATATGGTTTGGCTTTGTGCCCCCAGCCAAATCTCATCTCGTAGCTCTCATAATTCCCACGTGTTGTGAGAGGGACTCAGTGGGAGATGATTGGATCATGGGGGCGGGTAGTTCTGGTGCTGTTCTTGTGATAGTGAATGGGTCTCACAAGATTTGATGGTTTTAAAAACCGGAGTTTCTCTGCACAAGCTCTCTCTTTGCCTGCTGCCATCTATATAAGATGTGACTTGCTCCTCCTTGCCTTCTGCCATGATTGTGAGGCTTCCCCAGCTACGTGGAACTATAAGTCCAATTAAACCTCTATCTTTTGTAAACTGCCCAGTCTCGGTTATGTCTTTATTCATAGCATGAAAGCAGACTAATACAACAGGTATCATTTGTTGTGGATATTCTGTCCAGGGATAAATAAATAGAATAAGGTAAAAACATCCAAAAGTTGATAACGTTATGTGGGTTTTGATACAATGATAACTCCTGGACACTTAAAGTGCTTTTATTCACTTTATTTCCTTCTCTTGAAATGCTTATCGTTTTAATCCCATCATTTTTATTATGATGTCAGAGTTGGCTCTAAATATGGTAACAAGTGGACATCAAATTTTTGTTCCGTACTCATTAAAAACCACCTTTTAAATACTAAATTTACATAAATTATCAATATTAAGAGGTGTTTTTCCTTGGTATTAAGGAAGTATATGAGTGTATATGTTTGTTTCTTGCATGAGTACTAGATTTTCTTTTGGAAACATAGATGCAGAACTGTAACTTTAATTTACATTAAAGGAGAAGCCTATCTTTTTCTTTCAAACTTCAATATCTTAAGAAAGATATTATTTTGATTATGGACTATATGATCAAGCAAGAAGTGCCTGTTGGCCTTAACTGGTGAAATGATATACTTTGCTTTCATTCTATGTATTTGTAAAAAATATTGGGATTCAGGACAAAAAAGTCTCTAAGTGTTCACACATAGAAATAATTGAAGAATCTTGTTTCCTCCCACAAATTTGAGGTGCTTGGTTAACTTATTTTCTGAATCATTTCAGAATTGTGGCAGCATAGACACTCACTTTCAAAGGATATAGAAAATGGAGGCAATTATCTATATAATTCCATCCAAAATTCCATAAGACAATGAAAATGAGTATTCTAGGACCTGAAGTATATCAATGATGGGTACAATTCTCTCTTTGCCAAGGGTACTGTCGGTAGTCAACAGACACATGAAGACCATGGCTATATTTTCTGAATATCCTATTTATTCTTAGGGTTGAGCTATTTTGATATCTAACACTGTAACTACGGGCTAATGCAACTGAAGAAAACTAAGTGGACTAGTTTCAGTACCTTTAATATGGTCATGTAGATAAATGATACTAATATTTGTTAGTCCAGTTAATGTAATTATCCAACTGATCAAATTAGCAAGACAGCAATTATCTACCATACTTGAGCCACATAAATATGACCCTAGTCTAGCACATGATGGGAGCTACCAGTAATTTGCTTACATTACAGTAATATGGATATTCACTTTGGGCTGGGTATTTCAAATAAATTGCAATCTTTAGCAGTCAAGGAAAAGCATATTTGCATTTTTGTATGAGGGTGTATTTGGTCATACGATTCAATAGATTATTTTCTTTGATTGTTTACTTTTCAATTACATTGAGAGTTTAGTAATTTAGGGTAATTGATGCATCAGGTGTACCTTATTTGAAGAGAGGATTATATCAAGGTCAATGATAATTACAATGACAGTTGTTTCTGAATAAGCACTGAGAAATTAAAAAGGAAGTATGTGCATCTAATTATGGATAGTAGTTGATAGCATAATAGCTTATTTCTGTTACCATAATGATTCTTTTCTTTGGTCATGTTAAATGCATGGGATGGGATAATGCAACAGTGTAATGTATAATTAAAAAAAACTCTCAGGAAATGAATTCTATAGTAAAGCACAAGATGTATTACTGTATCATGCTGATAAAGGACCATTAGAGTTTATTTATTCATTAATTTAACAAATTTATTTAGTGTTGTCTCAGACACTTGAGACACTGGAGAGTTGGAGGTGGATGAAAGGAGAACCTTATTCTTTAGTTGTTTACACAGCAGAGTAAATATCACAAAGGCAGGTACCTTGTCCCTTTTGTCAACTACTGTGTCTGCAGCATCTAGCACCATGTCTGCCATACAGTAGGTGTTTGTTTAATTTTTTAAATGAATGTAAAGTACAGGTAAGTATAGTTTTACATATATTATCTTCCAATTATTTGGATTCCTCATTTCATTTCTCTCCTCATAGTGTGGGAAGAGGAAAGATTTGAGATGAAATGGAGAAACATCAAGATGAAATGCAGAGTATTTAGACAAGATTATCCAAATTTGTTGAAATAAAGATTGGGATTCCTTGGAATACCTCTGATTTCTAACATTTCAAACTAGTGCTGCTATTTAGGCAATGATCATAGTTTTCAGTGACTTACTGGCATATACACCATAGTCCAAGTCACACTTGGAAAGTTGAGCAAGTTTGTCATTCTGGTCTGTGTAACTTTCATTCCTGAACAATGATCACCACCTCCTTCTCTTTCATCTAAGACATGTGGTACATATTTCTCTCTGACAGGTCAAAGTCACCACCTTGTCACTCTAAGCCGATCTATTCTTGTACCCAAAATATATCCTCTTCCTCTGTAACTTGAGAATTCAGGCAGATAATATTATTTAATAAAGCTGCAGAATTTCACAGAAGCATGGAAATGAATTTAACTTTTGTAGTTATATTTTGGGGTTTGGTTGGGCTGCTATATGACATTACAGTTAGAGATAGCTTGATATATTCTGGGAATTTTAAATAGCTCCATATTACTAAAGAGCAAGAGTGAGGAGTACAATATGAACAAGTTGAGATATTTTTAATAATCCAGATTAAGATACCTGCTGGTACTCCTAAATTTCTAACTTGAAAAAAAAAAGAATAACCATAATATTGACCAAAACTAGGGAAAAAAATTGAAGTCTTTGTGATAGGGTGTCTTGAGTTGAGTTCTCTGGAAGCAGATTTTGAGTAAAAGATTTGAGTGAAAGTGGTTTATTGAGGACGTATTGCCATAGGACACTGACAAGGAAGTGGGGGAAGTAAATAAGGAAGGTGAAAAAAAGCTCAGTGAGCATGCAACCTCAGGTAAAGTTCCTAAATGAGATTTCTGGAATATGAAGCCTCAGAGATAGCCTATCTGAAGGCAAGGCAACTAGGCTTCTCTACACCCTTGCTCACAGTCATTGGTAAAAAGCTGTGCAGGTGATTGGGGTGGTAATCGTCCAGGAAGATCTGTCTCCTTTCACCTCTGGGTACTGTGGCTCAAAAATCTGCAAGTGCTGGCCACTGAAAGCCCACCTTTTTGTGAGTGGTGCACAGATCTGTAAAAGAGAATTGATAAGAAAGATTGGAAGGAGATCTGCTGTGGTACTGCCATTATTTAAAGTAGCCAATGATAGATTTATTTTGAGGATACCATGAGAAATCCAAGTTAACATGTCCAATAGGCATTTGTAGGTTTAAAGGTCAGGAGGGTGCAGAGGCATAGATATTTAGAACTATGAGTCATCATCATGAATTTGATGCCATGCACAAGGAGGGTGTTAAGATTGAGAAAAAAGTTGAAAGTGGTAGTTGTGGAACAGATGATGTTCAAGGCATGAATAGAAAATATTGAACCTGTTACGGAGAAGATACAGAAACCAAAGAAGGAAAGCCAGGAGAAGACGCTGTTTCTACAGCCAAGAATAGAGGAGGTACAGTGGAGGTAGTGGTCAAAAATAGCAATTGCTTCTAATAATTCGAGCAAGGTAAATGAATATTGCCTATTTGATTTGGCAATTAAAGTAGATTCTTGAAGTGAGGGTAGATTTGTGGATATGGTGGGAACAAAAACCTAAACACTGTTGATTTTAGAGTGAATGAGTGATGATATACAATTCTATTAAGAAGCTTGGCTATGATAGGAAGGTGAAAAATTGGGCTGTGGCTAGGGGAATAGAAGCCACTGTTTAAATGAGAAAGACTCTCAGATATGTTTACTAGAAGGAGCCATCATGGAAAGAAATATTAAAGATACAAGATGAAGGGCTGAGGACTGATAAAGCCAGATGAGTAAACAATTAGGAATGTGTGTGTTACACAGTCCTGGTCTGTCCAGTGCACACAAACCATGGGACACAGAGCACTGCGAGACAAAGGAAGGAAGAAAAAAAGAATGGAGGAAGGAAGGTAGGGAGGAGAAGAAGGAAGGACAGAAATGGGAGCAGATTTGTCTGTAGCTGTGCAATGGGAAATTGAGAGAGTTATTATCTGATGCTTGCTATTTTCCTTGTGAGGTAAGAGGTAAGGATTTCTACTGAGAGCACAAACTGATTTACATTGAAAACAAAATATAATCAGCTTTCTTCTGAGAGGTTGGAACATAGATTTTTTTTATAATCAACACTAAAGTTTTAAGGAAGTTTGATTTAAATTAAATTTAATTAAAATTTTTGAAATTAAAGTTATTTAGTAGCATATCAATATTTTCTCAAAATAGGCTGCGTTCCTAAGACTACTGGGCATTTTTGTAAGAACTGTGGTGTAGAACTTCATCCACTGTCTTGGCATCTGTATTTGAACCCAGTGAATTACATAAGAACTTAACTAGATAATTTTGAACAGAAGCATTTGATTTGTGGAGTTTCTATGAGTTGCTTTCCTTTTACCACTTGAGTTTGGAGGCAGTAATAATGACTCAGTTTTAGCTGTGTTTTATATTTTCAAATTACTTTTGAATGTGCCATTTCCTTTTGGCCTTGCAATAATTGGCCAGTTGAACTTAGCCAGGTGGGGATTTGAATGAGAATACAGAAGCAAACCCTAAGCAATGAAAGAGAAGGAAGTTGAAACCAGCCCTCTGAATACTAAGGAAGAAATAGAATGCATTTGGAGAAATGATCAGTCATCATTCTGATGACTTCTTAAGGGTGAACCTTAAATTTGTAGCTTTGGGAATTGGAATATAATCAGAAACAGAATTGAATAACATTGTATTCATGAACTGGAAAGTACCTTAGGATATACAGCACTGTGTAGTAAAATATAATTTTGCTGGTGAAGAAACATTACCTAGTATGTAGTAGATACTCAATAAGTATTTGTGGAAGGGACAAATATGTGATTGAAGGATGAAACTGAGTTCCAAATAGTGAAATTATTTTCCTGAATTAGAGAACTCTTTGGTAGAAGGATTAGAAACTTTATTTTTCCAATAGCTAGACCAATCCTCTTTCCATTAAATTGAGAATTGTTTCAAGGGGTTATTATGGAGGAAAATAAAAATTACAAATGGAAAATGAGCCAGTGCAGTAAACCACAAAAATAATAAACTGCATTATCAGGAGTTTATAATGCAGTACTAATGAATTAGCCAGAAACATACTGGGCTGAATCCAGAGAGTCTGGGATGTTTTCACCCCTGATATTTCACTCTTGCCATCTTCACTGGTTACACTAAGAAGAAGAGTGCAGTTTTTAGAGCAAGGTAGAATTTACCTTCATTGTGCTCTGTGATTTTTATGGTTATAGCATCTGAGTGCAATGAAGATGAGTGTTTTCCCCAAGGCTGCTGAACTAATTAATGTCAAAAGTTGAATTTGAACTTATATCTCCTGATGACTGTTTCTCTAAAATACTTCCTTCCAAGATTTCACTCTTTCAATATAAAAAATACACGTATTTTTTTCTTCTCTGCCCTCTCCTTTATCTCGTCTTAACCTTTTTTGACTAAAATGAAGCAAAATGAGGGAATAAATAAAGACTTTGTCTTACTTTGTCTATTATATGATTACTGGGATAGATTCTTTAATAATAATTGAGTAATACTTGGAATAAGTTGCAATTTATTATAAAAATAAGCAAAACAAATAGTTTTCATAGCCTAGAGCCTAAAAAACCCTGCAATTGCTAAAGAGAATATATGTGTGTTTTCTCTCTCTTCCCCCTTTCTTCCTCCTTCTCCCTCCTTTTCTCTTTACTTTCTCTGTTTCTTTTAGATGCCAAATTTCTTTTACCCTCTGCTATTTATTTATCATCCTATTTCCAAGTTCAAACAATGCTTTATACATTCTGTCCTCAATGATACTTCACCCAAACTTACATATCAAACCACTACTGGGTTCATATGTAATTGAACAAACCATGAATTTTTTTCCATTTATTTGTCATTTCTTCACGAATATTTCTTAAAACCTACAGGCCAATAACTGTACTTATGATGTGACACATAGATAAAAAAAGGAGGCAAACTTCCTATTCTGAAAATGTGCATATTATATCTTGAATTAAATAATAAATGCAGAAATGTAAAATTATGGCTGCAACGACTACTATGAAAAAACTTTATTATTTGTAAGAAGATGAACAAAATAGATCATTTTCAGATAGATATAAAGCCAATACAATTGTCCATCAGGCTACTTATCTGGAAGTCCTCAGAGATGCAGGTCAGCCACTTGGGGCCAATGGGAGCCTTCTGTTTCGCTTCATGGTTATCTTTGTGGCAGAAGGAAGGAACCTTAAGGAAGATGTATCAACCTGTCCTGAAGAATAAGCGGACAAAGAGTAAAAGGTTTGGTACTTCCAGTTTCAGAATTAAAAGTGGGGTCTCTAGTTATCATTCTGGACAGGAGGCAGGTGCTTGGGACTATGGATCTTTATCTTTTTTTCCCATGAAAATTAAATTTCACAAATCTGCTTTTCTTTATTGATTAGAGTTAAGGCCTGAAAAAGGAGAGGCCGAGAAGTGTAAAGGAAGGAAACAGTAGGGAAGATTATGTCCTATACTTGACTCAGAGATGAACAAGGTGTCCAAGAAATAGACTATGTGGCTGCAGATTTAGCCATTGAAACCAGAGATGAAGAGCAAAAGAAAGTTCCAGGTGTCTGGACTTGAAAATGAGTCTAAACTAGAGCATGACATAAGAAAGACTCTTGAAGGTTCTTCACACCAAAACTTCTCTTAGACCCACGGGTTCAGCTCAACTGCTATGAATGTTAAAACTTCCAGGCATGTCAGTGGGAAGGAAGATGTATATAAAGAAAGCATGCATTGACACATAAATGAACTCAATTGTGGACTGGGTGCCTAAATCGCAATTTCCAAGGGTACTTTGTAAATTTATGTCTAATCTAAGTTCATACTGGTGGGAGAAGTATGATAGTTGGTAATTACAAGCACTAGTGATGCTTACTTGATGACAGCATTAGAAAAAGGGAAAGGAGATTCCTTTAGTTTAAGTCATGGCATCAGACAAAGACAAAGACAGTGTCCAAAGAAAAGGAGGTGATGATGGCTGGCAGATTCTCCTCCCAGTGGTAAATTGTAGTGCACATTAAAATAGAATGGGGATGGTCTTGTGACCCATGGTGAGGCTCACATGGGACTTAACTCAGCGGACACAGGGTATGAAGGGTTCACATATCATGAATACCAGATACCACACTCAAGAAAGGAAAGCTAACCCCAATCATGGGAGGAAATCGGTCCTTAATGTATTTTCAAATTCAGTGCATATTGACTCTGTAATTGGTTGGGGCTACACCAGCACTTTGAATATATTCTATAGCTGTTGCTTATCAGGGCTATCTTCCCTTCTGCTCTGGTTAAGAAAAAAACTGATAATTTTAAAATTTTCACAATGGCCTCATGAGATAATTATTGGTATTATAGTTGTTTATATTAAAAAAATCAAGACTCAAGAGATTAGGTAACTTGACTAGTTTACACAAGATTCAAATTCAGTTCTAAAAAATTAGGTAACTTGACTAGTTTACACAAGATTCAAATTCAGTTCTCTAGAGCTGTAAAATCCCCTTCTCTTTCCCTGATAGCTCACTTCATTTGCTTATAAGACCACTACCACTTTGTTGGGAAGTTTCCTTTATAAAAAAGCCATTAATGTAGTTTTGCCTGAAAAATTTGTCTATCATGCCCCTCCTTTGTCCCATGAAATATTTTTTATTCCCATTGAGTGTCATCTGTGGAATCCATACTTTTTATCATGAGAGAGGGCAGTTGACTATCTCTTTCCTGACTGGTGACACTGTTACACAATCAAAATTCCATTTGTTGTTCACTTCCCATCCTTTTAAATCTATCCTTCTAAATCATTCTGTTCAAATAATTACCACTGTTGCTCACTGGCACCCATATCTATTTTTTAATAGCTTTATTGAAGTGTAATAAATTTGACAAACAGCATGTATTTAAAATATACAATAGGCTAAATTTTGACTTATGTATGCACCATGAAACCATCACCACAATCAAGATGATGAATATAACTATCACTCCCAAAAAGTTTTCTTTTACCTTTTAATAATCACTCTCTCCCACCCCTCCTGCATTCTGATATCCCCATATTTATCCCTAGGAGACCACTGAACTGCTTTTTCTCACTATATATTATTTTGTATTCTTAAGAATTTTATATAAATGGTATCATTCAATATGTACTCTTATATGCCCAGTTTTCAAAATACTGTGTAGTTACTTTGAGATTTATCTACATCTTTGCTTGTGTCAATAGCACTTTCCTTTTTATTGCTGAATACTATTTCATTGTGTGAACATACCACAGTTAGATTATCTATTTACCTGTTTAGGCACATTTTGGTTATTTCCATCTTCTGGATATTACAAGAGCTGCTACAGATATCCTTATACAAATCCTTATATATATTTTTTGTGTGTGTGTGAGGGTAAATAACTAGGCATATAATGGCTGCATCATATGTTAGATGCATATTTAATTTCTTTTTATGAACCTGCCAATTTCTTTTGCAAAGTTGTACCATTTTACATTTTCGTCATCAGTGAATGAGAGTTTATTTCTCTACATACTTGACAACACTTGATATAGTCAGACTAATGTAGCCATTCTAAAAGATTTATAGTGGTATCTCATTGTGGCTTTTGTTTGCATATCCTTGATGACTAATGATTTCAGCATGTTTTCATGTGTTCATTTGGCATCTCTATGTTTTCTTTGGTGAAGTGTCCATTCAAATTTTTACCCGTTTTTTAACTGAATTATTTATTTTCTTAATGTTGACTTTTAGGAGTCCATTATATAGTCTGGGTGCAACTGTTTTTTACACACACACGCACACACCCACACACAAAATGAAAAGATAAGCCAGATAGGGGGAATATATACATACATATACACATATATGTATATGTATACACATATATATGTATATATAGGTATATAATTTGCATGTATATTCCCCCATCTGGCTTATCTTTTAATTTTCATAACAATATATTTTAAAGAGCAGATGTTTTAAATATTGATGAAGTCCAATTTATCAACTTTTTAATTTTATGCATCATGTTTTGGTATTATAAGTTCAAGGTCATGAAAGTTTTTTTTTTTCGGGAGTTTTTTCCAGGAGTTTTTTACTTTTAGATTTTTCACTGAAGTCTATGACTCACTTTTAGTTAATTTTTGGGTATTGGGTAGACTGTGTATTCATAAGTAATCCAATTGTTTTCTTGAAAAGATTATACTTTCTTCACTGGTTTGCCATTGCTCCTTTGTCAAAGATCAATTGTCTATATGTGGGTGGGTCTATTTCTGGACTCACTCTTTTGTGACACTAATATATATTGGTTTATTTTGAAGCAAATACCGCATTGCATTCATTAATGTAGCTGTATAATAAAATTTGATATTGGTTAGCATTAGTCCTCCAACCTTATGCTTCTTTTTTAAAGTTGTTCTATTTGATTTACTTTGCTTTTCTGTATCAATTTTAGAATAAAATTATCAATATGTATTAAAAATCCTATTGGAATTTTGATTGGGATTATTTTGAAGTTATACAGCAAATTGGGAGAATTGATGTCTTAATAATATTGTGTCTTCTGAACCACATATAAGGTATATGTTTCTATTTATTTAGGTCTTCTTTGAATTTTTCCCAGGAAGATTTTTAGTTTTCAATATACATGCACGTTATCTTTTTTTTTGGTCTGATTTCTTTCTTAGCATTTTCCAGGTTTTACTGCTATTCTAAGTGGTATTACGTTTTTAAGCTTCAAACTTTAATTGCTCATTGCTAGTATTGAGAAACATAATTTTTAATGTTATTTTGCATTCTGCAGACTTGCTACACTCAGTTTTTACTTCTAGGATTTTTTTTGTAGATTCCATTTGAGTTTTTACATAGATTATCATCTTGTCTGACAATATAGTTTTATTTCTTCCTTTTCAATCTGGACCCTTTATTTCCTTTTCTTCTCTTAGTTAGTGGTCAGAAACTTTAGTATCATGTTGAATACATGTGGTGAGAGTGGCATCCTACGTTATTTTTGAACTTAGGGGAGAAAGCATTTAGTGTTTCACCACTAAGTTTGACATTAAGTTTAGGTTTTTCATAGATGTCTCTATCAGATTGAGGAAGTTTCTCTTTCTAGATTGTTGGCATGTTTTTATCATTAATGGATGTTAAATATTTTTCAAATCCCTTTTGTTCATCTAACCAGAGAATCATATGGCTTATCTCTTTTTGTTTCTTAATACCATGAATTATATTTGACTGATTAAAATTTTTAAACCATACATAAATTTCTGGGACAAAACCAACTTGATCATGATACATTGTACGTGCATGTATGTGTATATATATATACATATATATGTGTATATATAATATGTATATATATATACATATATATATACATACACACACAGATATATATTTTATATATATATGAGAGAAAGAGAGTTGGTTAAAATTTAATT
Organism: Homo sapiens; assembly: GCF_000001405.40. NCBI lineage: Eukaryota > Metazoa > Chordata > Mammalia > Primates > Hominidae > Homo > Homo sapiens. The sequence goes on along the minus strand of NC_000008.11, from coordinate 89,194,774 downwards.
TTGGTAATAACTTTTACATCTATGTTCATGAGAATTATTTATATGTAGTTTGTTTGTAAGATCTCTGGTTTTGGAATCAGGGTTGTATTAGTCTGTTCTCACACTGCTGTAAAGAGCTACCTGAGACTGGGTAAGTTATAAAGAAAAGAGATTTAATTGATTCACAGTTCCACAGGCTGTACAGGAGGCATGGCTGGGGAGACTTCAGGAAACGTACAGTCATGGCGGTAGGATGAAGGGGAAGCAAGCGCGTCTTCATATGGTGGCAGGAGAGAGCGAGCGAGCGAAGGGAGGAGTTCCACACACTTTTAAACCATCAGATCTCCTGAGTACCCACTCACTATCATGGGGATAGGAAGGGGAAAATCCACCCCCATGATCCAACCACTTCCCACTAGCTCCCTCCCCCAGCATTGGGAATTAACATGAGATTTGGGTGGAAACACAGAGCCAAATCGTATCAAAGGTGATACTTTAGAACTACTTGGAAAGTACCCTCTCCTGTTCAATTGTCTGGAAGATTTTTGTAGAATTTGTGTCATATCCTCCTTAAATGATTAGTAGAATTCAAAGCGAAGCCATGTGGACTTGGAGTTTTGTACATGAGAAAGGTTTTCAACTAGATGATCAATTTCTTTAGAGATGAGAGGCTACTCAAATGATCTATTTCTTCCTGAATAAGCTTTGGTAATTACGTCTATCTACACAAAAACATTTGTCAACTCTTTGAATTTATTTTGGTAAAGTGTGAAAAGCCATTTCCAGACATGAGGTTTTTTTTCTTTCAACTTTTAGATTCAAGGAATACATGTGCAAATTTATAAAAAGGTGATGAAGAGTTTTAGCAAAGCTCTAAAGTAGAATTATCTTACATCCTTTCATAAAATATCAGCCCCAAAACACTCACTTTTAGTTCCTTAAGTCAAGTGACTTGTCATACCTATCATATGGAGAGAAGATGGGAAGAAATTTGAAAAATGGTACAAATACATTCTGATTAATTCTGATGGCGTTATTTCACAGAAATTATGTGGGATTAAAAGGCTAGAAATTATCAAACTCTAAAGCAAGATTTAAAAAAATAAATAGTCTGGGGTTTATTTAGCACTTTTTTGAATGTGTAGCACACAAGTCAGTGTTAATTAATTTAGAGAATTCTATAATCTATAAATTGCAGGCATCTTTCTTGGATTATAACCAGCGTTGTGCTAGAGCCAGCTCACACTGGTTTAGGAGAGCCAACGAAGCATCTCTTTTCAATTTCCTGTTCAGCAATGCCAGTTTAGTCGCTTAAAATTGGCCAATTTGGGCATATTTACACCATGGAAATTGACAACTGCTACAAAGTAGGGCTTTTTAAAAAAGTCTTTAGAGGTGGTTGATAAACTTTTACTAGCATGCCATTAATTATAAACCCTGAGAAAATAAGCACTCTGAATCGATTCTAATATTTCTTTGGGGAAAGATATGACACTTAAATAGCATTTTGAAGTAAAAACAAAAGTTTACCATGTGGACAAAAGGGCATACTAAGTAGAGGAAATAGCATAAACAAAGTCATTTAAGACAAACAGTGTGTTTTCTTATGGAACTTCAAGTTTTATGACCAAGTGTTGTTGGACATTAAATATGGGATTGGAAAATGGCAATAGTAAGGTTGCCAGCAGCCAAATTATGGAGTGCTTTGTATGCCATCCCAAGAAGGTGGATTGTATTCTCTTACAGTGCCAGGGAATTATGTTTTCAAACTAGAACAGTAGCATAAAATCTGTATTTTTGGAATGTTCCTCTATAAACAGTACCAAGAATTGGAATAAATGGAAAGAAGAAAGACTAATCTGGAGACCACTGACAAAGTATAGAGAATTTATGATGAGGATGTAAATGTATATGACAATATGATTTAAGTTGCTGTAAAATTTTAAATACGTAGTTATTCCTGCTCAAGTTCACAGTAAACTGTTTGAAGAGAAGATCTATGCAATATCTTTTTATACCTTACAGTATTTACCAAAGCACTTAGTACACTATGTGCTCAATAAATGTTCTTGTTATATTTACATATATCATTATTTATGTAAAACTCGATCTCCTCTATCTACACAAAAACATTTGTCAACTCTTTGAATTCACTTTGGTAAAATGTGTAAAGCCATTTCCAGACATGAGTTTTATTTTTTTATTTTTATTTTTTTAGTTTTTTTTAAAAATTATTATTATACTTTAAGTTTTAGGGTCCATGTGTACAATGTGCACGTTAGTTACATATGTATACATGTGCCATGCTGGTGTGCTGCACCCATTAACTCATCACTTAGCATTAGGTATATCTCCTAAAGCTATCCCTCCCCACCCCCTTACCCCCACCCCACAACAGTCTCCAGAGTGTGATGTTCCCCTTCCTGTGTCCATGTGCTCTCATTGTTCAATTCCCACCTATGAGTGAGAAAATGCGGTGTTTGGTTTTTTGCTCTTGTGATAGTTTACTGAGAATGATGATTTCCGATTTCATCCATGTCCCTACAAAGGACATGAACTCATCATTTTTTATGGCTGCATAGTATTCCATGGTGTATATGTGCCACATTTTCTTAATCCAGGCTATCACTGTTGGACATTTGGGTTGGTTCCAAGTCTTTGTTATTGTGAATAGTGCCGCAATAAACATACGTGTGCATGTGTCTTTATAGCAGCATGATTTACAGTCCTTTGGGTATATACCCAGTAATGGGATGACTGGGTCAAATGGTATTTCTAGTTGTAGATCCTTGAGGAATCGCCACACTGACTTCCACAATGGTTGAACTAGTTTACAGTCCCATCAACAGTGTAAAAGTGTTCCTATTTCTCCACATCCTCTCTAGTACCTATTGTTTCCTGACTTTTTAACGATTGCCATTCTAACTGGTGTGAGATGGTATCTCATTGTGGTTTTGATTTGCATTTCTCTGATAGCCAGTGATGGTGAGCATTTTTTCATGTGTTTTTTGGCTGCATAAATGTCTTCTTTTGAGAAGTGTCTGTTCATGTCCTTCGCCCACTTTTTGATGGGGTTGTTTGTTTTTTTCTTGTAAATTTGTTTGAGTTCATTGTAGATTCTGGATATTAGCCCTTTGTCAGATGAGTAGATTGCGAAAATTTTCTCCCATTTTGTAGGTTGCCTGTTCACTCTGATGGTAGTTTCTTTTGCTGTGCAGAAGCTCTTTAGTTTAATTAGATCCCATTTGTCAATTTTGGCTTTTGTTGCCATTGCTTTTTGTGATTTAGACATGAAGCCCTTGCCCATGCCTATGTCCTGAATGGTATTGCCTAGGTTTTCTTCTAGGGTTTTTATGGTTTTAGGTCTAACGTTTAAGACTTTAATCCATCTTGAATTAATTTTTGTATAAGGTGTAAGGAAGGGATCCAGTTTCAGCTTTCTACATATGGCTAGCCAGTTTTCCCAGCACCATTTATTAAATAGGGAATCCTTTCCCCCTTGCTTGTTTTTCTCAGGTTTGTCAAAGATCAGATAGTTGTAGATATGCGGCATTATTTCTGAGGGCTCTGTTCTGTTCCATTGGTCTATATCTCTGTTTTGGTACCAGTACCATGCTGTTTTGGTTACTGTAGCCTTGTAGTATAGTTTGAAGTCAGGTAGCATGATGCCTCCAGCTTTGTTCTTTTGGCTTAGGATTGACTTGGCAATACAGGCTCTTTTTTGGTTCCATATGAACTTTAAAGTAGTTTTTTCCAATTCTGTGAAGAAACACATTGGTAGCTTGATGGGGATGGCATTGAATCTATCAATTACCTTGGGCAGTATGGCTATTTTTTCCAACTTTTGGATTCAAGGGATACATGTGGAGGTTTGTTACAAAGGTATACTGCCTGATGCTGAGGTTTGGAGTACAACTGAACCCGTCACCCAGGTAGTGAACATAGTACCCGATAGGTAGTTTTTCCACCATAGACCCCTTCTCCTCCTCCCTCCTCTTGCATTCTCCAGTGGCTATTGTTCCCATCTGTATGTCCATGTGAACCAAAGTTTCTTTAACTTCTCTCAAATGAAATAGAAAAGAATTATTTTCATTTCCAGCTAGAGAGCAAGAACCCACAAAATTGTTAATTAGCCAAATTACCCTTCATCTAAAAACAGCGAAAAGCTTACAAGCCAATTAAAAAAGAATCACCGAGCTGCAGTCTGGTCGATTGTGGCAGTTGGGACCTTGGTCTGGGTTGACAGGAGATATGTTTTGCAGTTCTGTCATGGCATTTTAACAGCATACAACCCATTGTTAAGAATACACCAGTAGGTAATTTTATCCACGCCTATGGACCTACACATGCCACTATGTCATCTCAGAATAAAGAAAATGCCTAATTGCTACTATACTGTGAAGGTTTCTTCCAAAGGGGATTTTATGCATTTCTGCTGCTAAAGTTCTCCACACAGTAATGACACTGAAAGTCTGGATTAAACAAGTAGATAAATAAGATAAGTAAAGTTAATAAAAAGTAATTTCAGAACAAAGAAAAGATTACATATATTTTATCAATTTCATATTGCATATTTCTCCATGGTGACAACGTTGCTTTTTTCTTAATGCATTATCTGTTTTTAAACTGTATTATTTTGGCATTTATTCAGTGTTTCCTATGAGATCTGTACTGTGCTATGTACTAGGAATATAAAGGTATTGCTTCATTTTTAAAGCTTTGAAATATAAGTGAATTTGTATTTAGTTTTAATTATTAATTGCAATATAATGTAACTGATGCTGTGGTATGGGTACCCATAAGTTGCATACACGTTTTTGTTTAGAACACAGGGAAGTTGATGAGCTTTATCAACATGAATGGTTAGTTTTCTGAAAGCGTGCTGAAATTTACATTTATATAGAAAGCATACTTTTCTCTTTAAGCATTTGAATTCTACATTTTGCTCCCACAATAATGTGGCTTTCTGGATAATAGTAAGTGAATTTTTAATGACAAACTTACTTGTATTTTCTTAATTATAATGTTTCTTGGTTTTGATACTGTTGAACATCACCTCCTTCTTGTCACTCTCTGGCTTCACTAACCAGTTCTTTGATCCTTTTCCTGTTTAATAATTCATAACATAAAACTGTAATAATAGTTAGCAGGTGCTTATTATGTGTCAGGCATTGTTCAAATAATTTTATTTGCATTAACTCATTTAACATATTTGAAAGGCCCATGAGCTTGCTATTATTATTATTTATATTTTATCGATGAGGAAATCAAGGTGTAGCAAGCTTAAGCTTAAGGCTCAAACAGAGCCTAATATGGTTCAGAGTATTCATTAAATTGAAACATGTAAAGCCATGGTAAAAATTTTAGATTTTATGCCTTCATGTTGCTACATTTAAACTGTAGGTTCCTAAATTTAGTCTTACTTATCTGACACTCTGTATGCTTAATTACTAGCTTTACTTCCTCTTTCTGTCCCTTAAATAAATACAAATATAACTAAATTTCCTTTTGTGTACCTCGTTCAACTTCATACCCCTCCTCTTTATGAATGTGACCACTTTCACAACTTCAGTTGTCTCTATGGTGATGTATCCCCAAATTCTCAACTGAACTTTGCACTCTTTCCCAGCCCCAAACCTGTTTGAATCATTGAACAGAACACATCTACTTTTCCAAGCTCTCAATCTCACTTGTCAAAAATTTTTCTTTGCTCACCAAGCTAACTCATCTAATTGACTTTTACATAATTTTTGGTTAAGGACTCCAACATTATTTTAATTGTCCCAGCTTCAAATATTACAGGTATCTTTACTTATACCTTCAGATTTAATGGTCATGTCCATCTCGTTGCCAGAATTAAGGGTTTCTCTTCCCAAGTTCAGTTAGTCCCTATGAATTGCTTGTATAGACTGTCATGAAAACTTATTGTTTTCATCTCTCCAATTTGTTGTTCCAACATTGCTGTCAAATGAATATTTATAATGTATAGTTATCATCATATCTCTCTGATGAAAACGGACCTTCAATGACTTGTAACACCAACCCAACAGGCTTTGCATTCCTCCTTCCAACTCTTTACTTGGCTCACCTTCTTTTTTTTTGCCGATGGCAACCTCTCCCCAAACTTATCTTTAGAGGACAAAATCAACTTATCCTTTAATGATCCTTTGAAATTACATTTTCTTATGGATTTATTGTTTTCTCTTCTTATAATGATTTGTACTCTTGTCTCTTCTGTTTCTACACTTTGGAAACTCTTTGAGGGAAGAAGCTCTGACTAATCTACCTTTGACCCTCTGCAGTACATAGCCTAGCATTGGGAATGTATTTTGTAGCTGCTACTCAAACTTTGTCATATTACTGAAATAGTGAATCAGAACACCAGTGATATTGTTCTGGTGTAATTTTCGAGATACATTACAAAGACTCCATGTATGACTTCCCTGTTCTCTTGAAAAATATCTTCTTCTTCTTTTTTTTTTTTTTTTTTATCACAAGTGTGGCTGTTTTAAAGCAGAATGAAGTCCTCCCTGGAACTGAGTCTTATTTCAGGGCTAGATTTGTGCAGGCATTGACGGTAAGCTTTAGATTTGGTGTGTTTGCATTAGGACTGCTTTTGTCTCTATTTCTGGGATTTTTCTCAAATTGAGTGCTCTCTCCAGAACTCACACTTAAAACTTCATTAAAAATATCCATTAATTTATCTTAGTCTCTTTTTGTTGCTATAACAAAATACCTGACTGGGTAATTTATAAAGAACAGAGATTTACTGTACATTTCTGGAGACTGGGAAATCCAAGATCAAGGTGCCAGCCTTTGGTGTCTGGTGAGGGACTTCTTGCTGTGTCCTCATATGATGGAAGGCAGAAAAACAGAAAAGGATGAACACCGTGTCTTCACCTGGTGGAAGAGTGGACGAGCAAAAGTGCCTTAGTTAGTTCCCTCAAGCCCTTTTCATGGCACACTAATCCATTCATGAGGCAGAGCCTTTATGATGTGTTCACTTCCCAAAGGCCCCACCTCTTAATACTACCACAATGGGTAATAAGTTTCAACATGAATTTTGGAAGGGACACCTTCAAACCATAGCAGTCATATACAAGTTCCTTTTATTATTTACTAAGGGTTCAGAGTTTGCTGTGTTTCTTTAGCTCTCATTTGAAACACCTGTTTCTAGATCTATCAAGCTTCTCTGTTTTCCCACATGTATTCATAACACTTATTGCTCAGCTGGATGAAGAAATAAGAAATAAAACTCTGAAAGCTCTGCTTATTTTAGAACTCTGACAGCTGCATTATGGAAGGGTAATAACTAGTAATATTATAGAGCAGAGGCATCCAAGGAGTTTTCAGTGCACACCATGTCATCAGCAATATGTATGTATGCAGGTTGCTTAACTTTTTAAAAGACTGGCTATCCCTGGAGTTGACAGGTTTCATGTTTGGTGTTTGAACGTTGGTACTGTGTGTGAGGGTCTAGTAATATAACTTTTTAGTATTCTTCCTTAATATATTTACTACATCATGTGATTATGGTAGAATTGAACTTAAGCAACTTGAACAATATGATGTAACAACTGAACCTAAGATTCAGTCCATCCCTGGTTAAGATGTTGGCTCTTCCACTTAATAACTAAGCAACTTCATTCAAGCAACCTATGACTCAGTTTCCTCTTCTGCTAAATAAGGATAAGAGTTTTCTCTTCGCAGAATTATCATAAAGAGGAAAAAAGCATTTGGAAAGTAGTTAATACCAAACATTATATAGTTTATCAATAAATGGGGATTTATTTGCTTGTATTGCTGTTTTTAGTGCTTTTATTATAATATACTTTAATCACAATTACTAATTTTATTTCCAGAAATACTTGTGAGTTATTATGTACTAATATTTCAAGTCTTTATTTTTTTAGTTCTATCACAACACCTACAGCATTTGCTTTTTAAGAAATCTTACCTGTTACTTGTCTTTCCCGCTCCCTCAAAGAAATGGTTCAATATTCATAAATTATAGAATCCCATAATCTAACAACATACTTAGGTGCTCCATAATGTGTGGTGAATAAATAAAAAATAGACATAATCTTGTAGCCAGTTAGTGGTTGCAACAGGAAAGTGGTTAAACCCCAGGTATTTTAATAATTTATGGATGATACCAGGGTTCTCAGAGAAACAGAACCACTGGAAAATATATATGTATGAAATTGGCTTACTGGCTCACATGAGGATGGAAATTGAGAATACCCAAAATCTCTTGACTGCAAGATGAAGATAATTCTGGAGAGCCGAGAGTAGTTGGTGTAGTTTCATTCCAAGTCTGAAGGCCTGAGATCTAACAGAGCTATTTGTATATGTTCCAGTATTATTGTGCAAGAAGACTGATGTCCAGGTTTGAAAACAGGCAGGCAGAGTGAGCAAATTCTCGCTCCATCCTTCATTCTTTGTACTATTTCAGCCTGCAATGGACTGGGTAAGGACCATCCAGACTGGGGAGGGCCATAGGCTTTACCCAATCCATTGATTCCTATGTTAATCTCATATGAATCACCCTCATTCTCATATGAATCTCATATGAAACACCCTTACAAACATACTTAGAATAATGTTTAATCAAATATCTGGGCACCCCGTGGCCTAGTCAAACTGACACATAAAATCAACCATCTCATCTGGTTAGGTCCATGTCTTGCTATTATTATTTGCTGTTGTTGTTTTTTTGTTGCTTGTTTAAAGTCCCCTGTGAATTATATCTACAGGCTGGGTCAGCTGTATTTGGGATAACTGGGATATTTGGGTTGTGTCTATACCTGTATTTGCAGAATATTGAGTCTTGTAACTATTTTTAACCTTGAAACACCTGAATCACTTCTTTGTGGCTGAGTTTTACATATTCTGTTCTCATTTTACAATTCTTGGACGAGAGACACGAAGTTAAAATCAATGGACTACATTTCAAATTCAATTTTATCTCATGTTTTATCTCCAGCAGAAATCAATTTGATTGGTGTTTCAGCAAAGGGTTCAATATTATTATTTAAAAAATAGCCATACTTTTCAATTCAGAGTGAGACATTTTCTCCATCTCAAATAAACTGTGATCTCTATAAAATAAGTCAAAGATCACTAGGAATTTTTCTAGTTCTTTAAATCTTTGCAGCAACAATGTGTGTAGAATTGGGGCTATCACATTTATATACACTTTCACACACATACACACACTAAGCGCAACAGGAGCAAAACCAAACCTATTAAAACAAAAGAAAGAACATTTGATATTGGATGCCAATTCATTTATTTGGACCTGGGGATTGAAGACTCCTGGTTGTATGTCTAGAGTTTAATCCTGTTGGTATATCTTATCTTTCCTTTATGTCTACAATACAAACATTTTAATCTTTCTGAATGGTTGAATCACAGTAAAAAATATTTATGTCATGCTTACTTAATAATGACAGTTAAAGGCAAACAATGCTTAAATTAAATTAAATTGGGATCATGTATATTTATATGTTGAATTGAGATGACTTCTACAGAGGACTGGAAAGCTTTGGGCTAGTTTAGTTCGCAATTAGAGTTTACACTTTCTAAGTCCTACCTAATTTTTCTCTTGCTACTTTTTGTAATATACAGTCAGTCTTACACACACATACACAAATTTCAAATAGTTGATCCTTAAAAAACTATCTTTGTGTTCTCTATTTCAAAGTGAATTTTTTTTTAATGCCATGTACTTAAAAGAATAAATCTGTAAAATTCTACATAAAGTGGATAAAAACTTGAAAATTAACACATTTTTTATTAAACAAGCTTTATATGAGCAGTTTTCTGGAACTGACGTATGCTATTAAACATCAATGCTAATGTTCTGACATGCCTAGCTTTTAGATTATAATAGATTTATCAAATGTTTGGCATGCCAAAGAAAATACATAATTCAATTTCTCTTTTAAAACAGACTTTTTGAGCCATCACAAGACACAGCAATATTGTGACTATATTAAAAGCTCTGTGGTGGTGGTAAATTACTTTGAAGCACTGATTGTGTTGTGATGCCAGTTGCATTTTCCAAATCTGCCTGATGTATATGAGAGAAGATCATTATATTTCTGCTCCATGGCCCATGGAAATCCTGCAGTGCTTTCTGAATATACAGTCTATTCCACAAACACTCATCCCCACACGCCCGCCCCTCTCCATTAATGGCCTACTGGGATATTTAGCCAAGACTGTGGTGCACAGTAGAGCTATAAGCTATTAATCAAACTTATATTTCATACTAAGAGAAACTCAGATATATCTAAAGCTCTAATCTGTTAATATTTCTTCCCATCTTTAGATTTTTTCCTTAAACTTTATTAGAAGAAAAAGCTCAACAGATTAATATTACATATTGAAAATAATACATGTGGTTTATATGAAGAATTATAAACTTGGTAAATGAACACCCAATTGTGTAGGCATCCCACATGTCAGATAATTCATGCCTTGAGGCAGAAATATTCTTGGAGATAAATTCATATCACATGTGCATCTCATTATGGCTCACTTCACAATAGAGGTGATGTGCTGTAATATCTCAAATAAGTGGCTGGTGGAAAAGAATATGCCAAAATTGGTCAAAATTTTAGCTTTAGCAATTTTTCCCACTTGTTATAGTTTACTTTCTGCTTTGAGTCTCTATCTCTGCACATATACGTCCTCATTGTTGTCTTATCATGGGTCTTGTTTAAGAGAGGAAAGCCTAGTGTTATCACTGAATAAGATAAATTTTTAGAAAATCATCAGGTTCAGTAGATAAGTATTTTAAATATATTCCAGATCTTAAGACAATTTAGTATTTTAACATTTGATTGATGTTTCTGTTTACTGTGTTTATTAAAGATGAAATATGTCTCTACTGCTTTATTTCTATGAGACATTCTACTTGTTCAAGTAATAAATAAGAGCCCAGTAAATTTACAAAATAATAGTTTTTAAATTTTAGAATAAGAAAATTCAACCTAGTTGCATTTATATTTTCTATCCCTAGTAAACCAAAAGAAAATCTACAGAGAGGTAAGTCATCTTTATAAAACAGATAACTTTTATATAGTCTACTACTCTTTTCTATTCAACTATTTTCTAAAAACTAATGCCAAAATATGGGAAAATTTTTGTTGTGTAATTAGTTCAAAACAATTTCAAACTGAAATGAAAAAGTGTGTTATTTATCTGCTGTTTCATAACAAATTATACCAAAACTTAACAACAAAGGATAAAAAACATCTTTTATTTCACATGGTTTCTGAAAATCGGTGATTTGCTGGGTGGTTCTGGTTCATCTCTTATGAGATTGCAGTCAAGCTATTGGGCAAGGCTGTAGTCACCTAATGACTCATCATGGGCTACAGAGTGTATTTCCAAGAAAACCCACTCACATGACTGTTGGCTGAAGGCTTTGTTCATTTTCACTTTGTTCTCTCCATAGAGTTGTTCATGACCTGGTGATTATATTCTGCCAGAGTGATCCAAGAAAGACAGTGAGTGAGAGGAAAAAAAAAAAAAAGAAAGGCAAAGTACAGTGTCTTTGATGACATAATCTTAGAAGTGACATAAAATCACTTGTACCATATTCTATTGATCACTAAGACCAGTCTTGATATAATGTGGGAGAGGCTTCATGAGGGTAAAAATATTAGAAGATTGGGATCATTGGAGGCCATCTTGGAAGCTGGTAGTTCTAATTTGGGAAAATTCGATACCATAAAATAACATTAAAATCAACTTTAATCATATTTGGTGTGCAAGTTAACCTTTAAGAAATATTTATTCTTTTAAATGATGTTTTAGGGGCTGATGTGGTGATTCTACCATTTTGAGTCTGATCTCAGACTGTAGTTTTTAGCATTTGCCTCTTTTGAAAGATTCATTTATGATCATACATTGAGTAGTTTAGTGATACTGCAGATACTGTGTGCAGTGTACTGTGAAAGACAGGAAAGAAAGATTCCACCAGTGCTATTATACAGAAGGGGAAAGTGCAGCAAAAGAAACATGGGTCTCTATCCCAACATCACAAAGAAACTAAAAATTCTTTCAGATCCTGGTGAGACCTTACTAATATATAATAATCAATAAAAACTTCGACTTTCCATGCTGCCAGGCCACTAATATGCCATCACATACTTCCATAGTCACTGAAAAACAGTTGAGGCTCCTGGGCATTTGTTTTATTTTTCACACTCTAATAACACTTGGGGAACACAATTTGCTCTATGTTTTCTTGTTGACAAGAAAGGAGTTCCCTTAGATAAATTGATGACTCTCAGTCATGTCTCGATTTTTCTTTCTTAAATTTATCATATAAAGCTTTCTTAATCACTGAAGAGAGCAGTGATATTGTCAGTTTTTTGCTAATTGGTTTTTGGTCCAAGATTCCATTTTTAAAAGCAGAAATAATGTTAAAAACAAATTCAGGTATTTGTAATTGAACAAGTAATACAAAATTATTAGATAAAAATTTAAAGCTTATATAGGTTAATAAAAATTTTAAAATAGGTGATACTCTAAGTCTACTGTGGAGATAACTATAGAAAACTGATTTAAAACTTTTGAGTGTACTCATTTATGTGGATAAAAAGCTCCAAAATTATATTCAATAAAGTCTTCATATTACTTATTTTATAGATACTCCAAAATTCAATGAACAAATCCCAAATTGTTCGAAATTTAGACATATTAGACATAAAAATATGTTCACTTCTAAAAGTAGAAATAAATATTCTAGAATATAAATATGTCTTATAAATTTCTTAAATATTTTCTTCTAGTAAGTTCTTAGAAATGTAATTGCTAAATCAAAGGTTATTTGCCAAATTACTTTCCAGAATCTCTACAATTTGCATTCCTACCAACTCTGCATCTTAATCAACATTTAATTTTTTATCCAAAGACAAATGATACTTTTGTTTTAATTTCCAGTCTTTTGATAAATAGTAAAATTAATCTTTAAAAATGTTTTATGTTTGTATTTTATAATTTTATAAATTATTTGCTCATAGCGTTTATCCTTCTCTCTTCTTATTTATTGTTCTTAGTAACAAATAACTTGATTAATCAAGTTCATTAATCACAATGCATGCTGTCATCATTGGTTCATTGGTTCATTTGTGTTTCTGTTATTTTATGTATGTATGCATGTGTGTAATATTTTTAATAATATAATCAACCCCCAGGTGCGCACCACACAACTCAATAACTGTAGTGAATCCAGAACTTTATTTTCTTTCTTTTGAGAAAGATTTGTTTTTTCTTTTGAGACAGGTCACCCAACCTGGAGTGCAGTGGTGTGATCCTGGCTCACTGTAGCCTCAACCTCCTGGGCTAAAGCAATACTCCCACCTCAGCCTCCCAAGTAGCTGGGAATACAGGCATATGCCACCATGCCTGGCTAATTTTTTTAAACTTTTTTTTAGAGACTAGGTCTCACTATGTTGCCTAGGCTGGTCTCAAGCCCTAGGGCTCAAGCAACCCTTTCATTTTGGCCTCCCAAAGTGTTAGGATTATAGGTTCGAGCCCCCATTCCATTTTGTTATACATATTTCATCCATCCTAAGAGTTAAACACTATCTTCATTTTACATTTATAATCCTATTGCCATTTAAAAAATAGATGTAGATTTGTATTGCATATAAATATATGCCTAAACAACATAGTGTTGACTTGTACTTGTTATTAGAATTTAGAAAAAGAATATCACCCCATATGGTCTTCCAAGAATTCCTTTTTTTCAAACAACGTAGTAGATAATCAATGTTCAATACTGCATAACATTTTATTGTGTAAATATATCACACTATTATTATGTCTCTTGTCTATGCACATTTAGGTGATTTCCAGTTTGGGGCTATTATAATGAATTCTTATATGAATATTTTTATGTATGTAATTGTGCAGAGATATTCTGGAGTATATATCTAAGAGTAATATATCTGTCCAACTCTCTAAGAAAATGCTAAATTGTTTTCTAAAAGTGGTATAGCAATTTCCACTGCTAGCTGTATAAAAGGTTCACATCTCCAATTTCATATTGCCACATTCTTTGTTATTTGCCAATCAAATGGCTGTAGAAAAGTATCTATTGAGGTCTTCATTTGCTTTTTATTTGTGTTATTGGCCATATATATTTTCTTTTCTATGAAATGCCTGTTCATATCTTTTAACCAGTTTCCTTTGAGTTGTTTATCTTATCCTTGACAATATAAAAATAATTCCACATTTGTGGTTTACAGGTATAGCAACTATTTTCTCCCATTTTAGGGATTCTCTTTTCAATTTAAAAAAATATCTATTTTTAATTGACAAAAGTGGCATATACTTATGATGTATAACATAATGCCTTGATATATGTATATATTTTGGATTGGCTAACTCAAGTTAATTAACATATCCAATACTCCATATACTTATTATTTTTGTGGTGGGAACACTTAAAATCTACTCTCCTAGCAATTTTCAATTATACAATACCTTCCTATTAACTATCATCATCATCTTGTACAAAGATCTCTTGAACTTATTCTGCCTGAAATTTTGTATCCTTTGTCCAACACTTCCCCGATCCCCACTCCTGGACCATGGTAACCACTACTCTACACCCTGCTTCTGTGAGTCTGAATTTTTTAGATTCCACATATAAGTCAGATCATGCAGTATTTGTCTTTCTGTGCCAGTTTTATTTTACTTTGCATAATGATGTCTTCTAGCTTGATCCATTTTCAAATGACAGAATTTCCTTCTTTTTTACAGCTGAATAGCATTCCATTGTGTGTTTGTGTATATATATATATATATATATATATATATATATATATATATATACACATATATAAAATATTTTCTTCATTCACTTATTCATTAATGGACGCTTAAGTTGATTCCATAGCTTAGGTATAGTGAATAATGCTGTAGTAATACAGATATCTCTATGACATACTGATTTCCTTAGATTTATACCCAGTATTAGAATTGCTGTAGTATATGATAGTTCTATTACTAATGTTTTGAGGAAACTTCATACTGTTTTTCATAATATCGGTACCAGTTCTCATTCCCACCAACAATACATAAGGATTCTCTTTCTTCACATCCTTGCTAACACTTATCTTTAGTCTTTTGGATACTAATCATTCTAAGACTTGTGAGGTGATACGTCATACTTTTGGTTTGCTTTTCCATGATAATTAGTGATGTTGAACACTTTTTATACACCTGGTAGCCATTTGCATATCTCCTTTTGAAAAATATCCGTTCCAGTTCTTTGCTTTTTTAAAAATTTGATTTTTTAAAATATCGAATTATTTGAGTCCCTTATCTATTTTGGATATTAACACCTTATCAAATATATAATTAGAAAAATTTTCTCCCATTCTGTAAATTGTCTGTTTACCCTGCTGGCTGGCTGTTTCCTTTGCCTGTGCAGAAGCTTTTTAGTTTGATGCAATCCCACTTGTCTGTCTTTACTTTTGTTGCCTGTATTTTTGGGGTCATAGCTCCCAAATCATTGTTTGCTAGGTCCAATCTGCAGACCCTGATCCAGCGACTGATGAAAGACGTACACTTACACAGATATTTTGCCTGTCAGCATGGCTAAGGGGCTCTGCTGCCTGAGTCTGTGTGATATCCTACCTTGTTTTAACCTGAATTGACTATCCCTTAGCTGAGAGAGCCAGACAGACTCCATTTTGGGTCCTTCACTTGCAGCCCCTTACCCACCCCCCTTCCTCAAGGACTTAACTTGTGCAAGCTGATTCCCGGCACATCCAAGAATGCAATTACTGATAAGATACTGTGGCAAGCTATATCCTCAGTTCCCAGGAATTCACCCTGTTGATAGCACCCAAAGCCCCCGCGTTTGTGTCTGGTTGATAGCACCCAATGCCCCTGCATCTATCACCTTGTGATAGACTTAAAGCCCCTGCACCTGGAACTATTTGTTTTCCTGTAACCATTTATCTTTTTAACTTTTTGGCCTGTTTTGCTTCTGTAAGATTGCTTCCGCTAGGCTCCCCCTCCCCTTCCTAAACCAAAGTATAAAAGAAAATCTAGCCCCTTCTTTGGGGCCAAGAGAATTTTTGAGCTCTAGCTGGTTTTGGTAACTGGCAATAAAGGACTCCTGAATTAGTCTCAGAGTGTGACATTTCTCTATAACTCTCTTGGTTACAACATCTGCAGCATCGGCCTCAATAAGCCGGCGAAGTTCACATTTATTTAGTACAGATTAAATGACAAAGGTCTCAAGTAAACACCACTAGAGGGTAATTAACATTGCCAAACTTCTGATTAGAGAGCAGTTGCACGCCCAAAGATGATCAAAGCTCGGTCTTAGGACCACATGAGTCAACAAGCTATTTAGATAAACTCCTCTACATTCCTATGCATCTACGTACTAAGCTTTTAAGAGAATTCAGCTGCCTTCAGTCAAGTCTTTTACTGAAGCTATGCAAACCTCCCAGCCTTCCAAGGTTTGTGTCTATTTCCTATAACTTTATCTTTATAATTTCTCCCACCACCCTGACGGATCCCCTACAATTGCTCAATGTCAAAAAACTTTTTCTGTATGTTTTCTTCTATTAGTTTTACAGTTTGTTTTTACATTTAAGTCTTTTATCTATTTTGAGTTAGTTTTTGTGTATATTGTGAGATAAGGCTCCAATTTTATGTTTCTGCATATAGATATCTGGTTTCCCTAACACCATTTATTGAAGAGATTATATTTTGCTCATTGTGTGTTCTTGGCATATTTGCTGACAATCAAGTGACTGTAAGTGTGTGAATTTATTTCTGGGCTTCACTTTCTTTAAAGGTAAAGATGAAGATAAGTTCTTAATTAAAAATAGTTGAAGGTATTAATCTTTTGGTTATGGTTGACACATTTGTGTCTTATTGAAGAAATCCTTTTCTACTCTCAGATAAAAATATCTTCAGCTGTATTTTGTTTTCCATGTTTTAAAATTCTGTGCTCCAGTGTCTGGTGCTCTTCTGGAAGACTTGAAGCAACACTGCTCTTTCCACGATTCCCATTTTTTCATTTCCCTCCCCTGAGGCTCACCTTTTTTCATCTCTAGCACTTACTCTTGGGCATGGCTGCTCTGCCTCCATCTAAAAGAAGCCCAGGCCTCACATTGCTTTTGGCTTAGTTTAGTTGTTTGTTATTATGTTAGAGGCTCCCCCAGAGACTTCTCCTTTTGGTGAGACAAGTGATGCCTCAAAGTGTAAGGCATAACCTGGGTGTAGCAGTTGGCAAGTGAGAGGCCTCCTCAGGATTTTTAGCCACTCATCTGAAAGTAAAAGACCATTTGGCATATTTCTTTATCTTGATGATTTGTAAGTGCTCTTAAATTTATTAAGATTCTTAACCTTCATCTTGTAATATCATATCTCATTTTAAAAATTGCTATTGGCGTTCAGATTTAATATCACTGTACAACACTTTTACATTTGAACGTGTCATCCAGGAAGCTTTCCTTTATGATTTGTCTTTCCTTTTAGTTCTCAGAAGCCTTTGTCTATACTAATATAATGTAAATTATTAAGTATATTTCACTCATATCGATATAGATTAATTTTCATATTTACGTCATTTATACTTCACATGTTTGTTTCAGTGTAATGAAAGAGGGGAGGTCTTTTTTTTTCGGTAAAGCATGCAGACTGATTTTCAAATATGTAAATATAAAAAGAAAATCCTCGGCTTAGAAATGCTATCTTCATAACATAGTACATAGGATCTCTTTTAGATTTCTATTCTGTTCTCTGAGTCTTGTTTATTCTGTCATATGTGTAATAACCTTCATATCTGATATGGTGTCTTCTCTGATTATTCCATTCTTTAATTTTTTTTCTGGCTTGATTTATATTTTTATCTTTTCAAGAAACTTTAAAATTACTTTGTCAAGTCCTGGAAATTCCACTGCAATCTTAATTCAAATAACAATACATTTATAGATTGATTTAAAAGAAAACGGATAGCTTTACAACCTTGAACATTCCTGTCCAAGAACATAGTATGTCTCTTCATTAATTCACACTTTGTTTTATGTCTCTCAGTCACATTTTTCTCGTAAAGTTTCTCCAAATATCTTGTAAAATGTATTCCTAGACATTTCACAATTATGCTAATGTCTTAAACCTTTCATCAGTTATTCAGTAATATATGAGTTCACGGTCATTATAAATCATTAAACAATAGAAACATGTGAAACAGAAAGTGGAGCTCTCTTTGAACTACCCTACACAAATAATTATTGATAACATTCTTTCCATATTTCCAGACCTCTCTTTATGCATGCACACATACATATGTGTGTGTATTTGGGTATTTTTTAAATTTTCGTTATTGTTTTTAATAAAATGGGATTATACCTTATTTATTCTTGATTTTTTTTTTGTTAACCTGAGAGTAAACCTTGGAGATATTTTTATAAAAATTTATCCATCTTTACTGCATTTCTTAAATCACTGCATACATTTCTGATATATGGATATATCATAATTTATTAAACTACTCATATTTAGTGCCATATGGGTTTTTTTCTTTAATTTTCAGACAACAGCAAAAATAAACAACTAAATACAAGTAAATTTGTGCTCATCTGCAACTGTTTTCTTTCTTTTTGTTGTCATTGTTGTTTTTTAATAGAGCTAGGATCTTACTCTGTCACTCAGGCTGGAGTGCAGTGGCCCAATTATAGCTCACTGAAGCCTCAAACTATTGGGATCAAGAGATCTTCCTCTCTCAGCCTCCAGAGTAGCTGGGATTAAGAGTGTGTGCCACTGAACACAGCTGGCAAATTTTTTTCTAAAGTAAAGTCTTAGAAAAATAATTATTGGGTCAAAAGATATAGTACTAAATTGATAGTTATAGCTAAAAGTTATTGCTATTTTGTAATCTCACCCACAGTATTTTGGCACCATTGCTAACACTAGACTTAGAGCAAACATGATCATTTATTGTTTTATTTTCTATTTACTAATTATTAATGAGGTTGAGCATTTTTATATATTTTTGGCTATGCACATATTTTATGCTTGCAATCTCTTTATGCATTACCATTCTTTACTAATAAATCGTTTTATTGCTTATTTACTTTTAGAAACTCTATATAGTACACATATAAATTTCTCCCAATTAAATTGGAAATAAATATTTTCTTCGATACTTATGCCTATGTTTATGGTAACTTCCATTTCACAGAAGCTTCCAAATTTATATAGTAAAACATATGTTCATAAGAGAGAGTAGTACATAGTTTATTTCATATGTAGTGTTCAGTTTTTGTGGCAGGAATTTTAGCGCTTTATCAAAAATAAGCATTCTTCAACTATCTTTTTGCATGTCATTTTTCTCTCCCATTTATGTTGTAGAATCTTCATATTCTATGATGTGGAGAGAAAGGGCAGGATTTCTCTTTTCTCATATTTCAGGGACATATGTCATCACTTGTAGCCTTTCAGAAAATGTTAAGAAGGAGGCTTCCACTTTGTCTTTCTACCCCAGCCACTGCAATGAAGATGATTGTGTACTTTACCTGAAAGCCTTTTCCTATTCAATCAATAGAGTTTTGCTGCGGTTTAGAAACTGTTTCTTTATGCTGGAATAAGCCACATTGCTTTTGAAATGCTTGATTAGAATAAAAAGGAATCATTACCTTAGAATTTCGGTTTATTGTTACCTATGCTTGTTCTTCTACCTCTATTAATAAACCCCTCCTGGTTTATGGTTGCCTCCTTTCTCATTCCTGCAGTTGAGATTTTTGTGGTGCTTTGCTAGAATGTCCTTTATTTGCTCCACTTGTCTTACACTGCTTTCTTCAGAAAAGAAAGGTGGTGTTGTTATTTGTTTTTAATGATATCTTCCTTTGATCTTAAGTTATTTGCATTATTTGAAATTTGTGGTTATATTATGTAGCTTAACTCAGTTTCACCGCTGATGATTTTATGATTTTTACTTCTATTTTATTGTTTACTTTTTTATCATTTTTTTCTGAAGAGTTTGGAAGATAAATTTTTCAGTTGAATTTCTCTTAATTTAATTAAATTTGCTTTCTTTATTTGCTGCCTTTGCATTCATAATTTTTGTTCCTCAAGCTAATATTGCCAGGTACTTAATCTCTGCATCATTCAAAGTGCTAACTAAACCAGAAACTAGGTTAAATAGAAAAACATAAGTTGCCAGTAAAGAAGATATTTGTAACAGCATGTAGATTAAAATAATAACCATAAATAAATCTTTAAGATAGTTGAAGTTAGAAAAAGTAAAATTCTGCAGAAACTTTCTATTGCCTGGGATGATTTTATTCTGATTTTCAGTTCATTGAACTGCAAGAAAAGTTTTTTCCTCCAAACATTACTCTTTGTTGTTGAAACAGTGTCATACTTTGTTACTGTCATCAGGAATCTTGATAAGTCAAGGACTCGCCCTTCACAAAAAGGACTTTGTGTAATTTGAGCTTTCTTGTTTTTAAATAATCTTACTTATTACTTATTGTAATATACACTTATTCACATATTTGAAGCTCTATTTTAATTGCATATGATGTAGTGACTCTGTTAGGATTAGACTGTCTTAATGCAAGCCTATTAAATAGATACCATTTTAATCTCTCCATCAAATAAAAATGTTATTTCACACTGACTGGTATTTATCGAAGACAAATCTATCATAACTGGTACAGGAGATCCAAAAGGCATGGATCTTATTCAAGGGAGCTTATAGTCAGGCTAGCAAGAAATATGTGAGACAATGTTTAAATAACAAACATATATAACAAAATGTGTAGCAATGATGGCTCAATACTAGCTTTTGTAAGGAATCTCCAGTTTTGAGGTCAGGTGTTCCTTCTTTCAAGATTAATATAAACAAGATAGAATGGCGCATTCAGTAGACATTGGCTCAGTGTTTGAAAAGTAAACTTATTTATATCATGGCTAAGGCAATTAAATTTCATTTCTTGGGCAATGGTTTCTGTTTAATTTTTTTCCTTTTCTGATACTTTTTTTTGTTTGTTTTCACTACTGACAAAAATAAGTCTTTAACTTTTTATGACCTCTTAGAATAGTGGTTATTAATGTTTTTGAAGTCTTACACCTCTTTGAAAATCTGATGCACACTTTTACACTTTTCCTCAGAAAAAATGTCTATGTGCATACACATTTTCAACACATCTAGTTTTGCATACAATTTTAGGATATTCATGGAAACCTAGCTATAGTGACTCGGGCTTCCGCAGGTCACATGTTAAGAACCACTCTCTTAAAAGTACTTTTTCATGTTTATATTAGGATGTCAGTATATGTGTGTGCGTCTAGTGTGCATGCCCACGTGGGTACACATACTTGTATGTGTATCTGTGTGTAGTATACATAGTTGATTCCCAAGTATCCTTGTCATTTATCTGATTAGCATTTATTCCAAATATTTTCTTTCTTAAAAATAAAACTATTATTAATAGTTGCAATGATAATTTTACCAATAGTTAAATAAAATAAAATAGTATTGTTGTTAATAGTTGCAATAAAATATGCTAGGTTGGGTTGGTACACCTACACTTTGTCCTTCTAGCTTCTGGCACAGTCTCCCCTAATAGTGTAGGGACACGTAGAGTAAACTATTTTCACATTGATATGTGTTTATATTTGAATAATGACCAACAACATCTGTCTCTCTTTTCCCCAGCTGGTTCCAAGCATAAGAGTTTAACCCTATTTTTCAATAAGAGCATACAACCTGTCTCTAATGAAAACAAAGGGCAATAAAAGCTGAGTAAGTAGAGTCAAAGACATTTTCCAGAAAGGCCACTTGATGGACCAGTTAGTTGGGTCATGATTCATAGCTTGAGTTGCAAAAAGAAAAATGGCACACAAGTCAATGAGGTCCATTGGAAACAGGACATTATAGGTTAGGCATATGTGAAATTTGTGCAGGAAATATTTCACTGCAGATTTATCGAAGATAGTGTTTGTGCCCTTACTATTTACTTACTGCATGGTATAAATTCATAACTATTTTGCTTTTAATAGCTATTTTGTTTCATTTTGCCATAAAGTTTTTGACACTAATCAGTTCAAAAATAAAGTGCATGTTAAATGAAAAATAACTACTGAATTTTGCTTTCTCAAGAGATTTCCTGTTGAATGTGCCACTTGCACGTAATCTTTGACATTTACCATCTGCATCATCAGAGAAGCATTGAAGACCGCATAAAAATGAGAGATACAAATCTGCTGATGAATCATCAATATCTATGTCAAAAGTTGTTACCTAATTTAACAAGACTGTGCCTAAAGATGATGAATACATTGAACTGCTGAAGGTTCATTTACATATCATTGTGTGAAGCATAACTTTTCATTTAGATCAATGATTAGGTTGGTCTAAATTAAGTTCACTCACTTTGGATGATCTTGCCACACAAAATTAGTCTCTTTCAGTGATCTCTATCTTATTGACTAGCAACACCATCCATCATATTTTATCAGTTTTCCTGGCATGTCCTTACTAATATTAAATAGCATGAGTTCCAATATCCTCTATTTGTAAACTGAAAAACAATTTCGACTTCATAAGGTTTTTGAAAAGATTACATAATATTGAGTTTATAAAACCCTATGTTTGACCCACAGTAGAGACTCAATAAATAGATATTCTTTCAATCATAGATTTTAACTCAGAGTGTTGGTATTGTTTTGTGTTTTGTCTTTGATGTCCTAATCTTAGAATTTGCTAAAAGGTATAATTTTAGTATAAAGCTGAGGATAATGAATTGTTGTTCTGTGCCAATTAATTCACTCTGGAATATAAGAATCAGATTTGTTCTTTCTTTTCTATTATATCAAGCATGTAAGTAACTATATTTGCATTTGCATTTTTACCATGATTATTTGTACTTTGATTAATGATGTCATTTTCTCTTCTTCAGCTTGAATTCTGATATATCCTCACTCATTTGCTATTTTCATTCCTGTCTTCAAGAGGTGAAACTTGTTGATCAGACAGATTTCTTTGGAGAGATTATTCTTCTTATGCCTCAGCTTTAGATTATTTATTGATATTTTTATTCCAAAGTTTCTGGCTTGGTTTTCTCAGGCTTCCTTTTCTTTCTGTATTTATTTTACCTTCATATTCATGTCACATGAATGGGGTTTGGAGGGACATTAGAAAGAGACTGATATGATTAGGTAGAAGATAAAGAAAAAAACTAAATTTTATTTATGGCTAAGAAATTGTCCAATAATATAATTACATTAATATGAAACCAGTCATATTTTGTTGATGCAATAGTAACTTGTAATGTAGTGACAAAAAGAACTGAATAGACTTACCCTTTAGTTATATAAGCTAGCATTCTACAATAGGTTTACTAGTAAAAAAAAAAGTTTATTTAATTTAATTCACCCAAACAGTTGTTTTATGAAATATTATCTGTAAAAATTCTTACCTATTTCTGAATTGTATTTGCAACTTCTTTCAATTTCAAAATATATCTATTCTTTAAATTCTGTTCAGAAAGGTTTAGTGATAACAAAACCTTATTTTTGACAGACTACTTCACACTGTACTAATAACTGTTAACAAAGAGCTTAGTAGTTTTAAGTTTTCTGTGTTAATACTGCTTTCTCTGTTGCTTATGTCAAATTTCTTTATCAGATAATGGTCTTTTATTAACTACTTGTATTTCTAAGCTAAAGTCTGACAAATGTTGAAATTTGTTTGTTTTAATCTGTGGCAGCTTGAGCATGATTAGAGATTCTGTTTCAAGTTAGGCCTTCACTCTGATATGTCAGGTTTTGAATATTAGTGCTACAAGGCCTGGGCTGAGTATTTAGAGCACACACAGAGCAAGATTAGAGAAACTGAGTACCTTGAATGAAACCAATAGTAATCCTGAGCTTTAGTTCATACATATTCTCAGAAAGTACATTTGGAGAGAATGGTAAATGCTATCATTAAATAAATAACCAATTTAAATTTAAAAATAATAACAGCAGAAGTGGTAAACTTAAGTAAATTTAGAAATCTAATCAATGTAAACAAGAAAATTATGATTCTGAATTTTAGCCAAAACAGCTTTCCAAGGATGTAACCAGATATGAGATATATTAACCAACTCCAGCCTTTTGTTAGCTGATATATTTCAAGTAGAAATGGCACTTACACATCTATGTATGTAAAGATTCTTTGAAACTTTGAATATTAAAAGAAGAATCATTTCCAAAATTATTTAGTTCATGCTTTATGATTATCCTTAGGAAGTCATATTAGCACCTGACATTTCACTAAAGGCCATTCCTTAAATGCACTATCCTTTGCTATGTTTTGGATTTGAATCAATGAGAAAGCTTTCTAATTAATTGCTGTGATTCTTCAATTCCGATTTTCTGTAATTACTATATATCTAACCTCTGATATCCCAGCAACAAAAGCACCAATATCAGGTATACACTTGTTCATTCACTCACAAATAGAGATTAGCTGAGCAGCAAGCACGTCACCCCAGGTACCCTACTGGACCTCACGCGATGCAATGATGAGCTAGCTGTTCGGGGTTTCAGTCCTTACCTCTCAGAGCTATGTTTTAGATGAGCTCATGAGTTAAATATTCAAATTATTAACAATGCAGCAGTCGTCCCTCAAAGAGTCATTCTATGTATAGGTCAGTTGTTCAACTCTCATTTGGTGGACACTCTTAATTATTCACAATTTAACCACTAACTGATTTGAAAATTCGTTTCCCCTACTTGCTAAGTGAGTAAAGGACCTACCTGTTTAGGTTTTCTGTGATGTTTGAGTTAACCCACATAAAGTATTTGGAGTTGTGCATTGTGCCAGTTAAGTGCTTAATAAATGCTAATTAATACAATCAATACTATTCTTTCATTTTCAAAAGCTTAATAATGCTTATTTTATCTTTATAACTAGAAATTGAACATTTCTCTTACAAAGATATATAAAACCGATGTATAAAACCTTCCTCTGTCTAATTGGTCCCTATTAATTACCCATTATTCCAAATGTTTGTTTTCCTCAGCCAGGGGCATAATTTGACTTAATAAGTCAAATTCCTTATTCCTTATTATGAAATAAGCCCTTCTCTAGTTCTTTCCTGAACACTTTCTCAGGTGTGTTTGAATATCATGAACTAGCTCCTCTTGAAAAGTGATATTTTCAGCTGTACTAAATAGTATCCTGGGGTGCATTAAGAGTAGGTGGCCTCCTTAGATATCAGTTAACGAAGAGGCCCAATGAAGTAACACCATGGTAGAACTGAATTCAATACTCAGTATCTGAAAGTCAAAATGTAAGAAGGCAGGGTAAGTCAAACAGCAATCACTTTGACTCAAAGTAGTCTGAAATTACTACTTACTTATTTTTCATACTGTAGAAGTTTAGTATACATGCTTTCTTTCATTCAACAATTGTTATTGGAGAACCTACTATGGGTCAAGCTCTCCTAGGTAAATGGGATAGAGAAATGGATAAAATAGAATTTCTCTGCTAGAAAGGCTTATAGTGTAGAGGGAGAATTGGTCTATATAAATAAACAAATGTAACAGACTGTTCCAAAGACCATGTGAGATTTTTATACAAAATAGTTGATGCAAAGGAGATATTCATTATCAACCAATGCAGGATTTCCCTTTAGGATCGGAACAAGTCTGATAAAGTCTATCTTTAGGACTGGCAGTGGGAAAAGCAGGTGAAAATCAGATATTAGAGCTGGGGTTTGAGGTGAGATACTGGCCCAACTATAACCATATAAGGAGAACAGATTCTGATTGAGCCAGGAATGGAAGTTGAGCCCACTTATCTGAAGTTGTAATTATGTCCAGTATTTACTGTCTCAGGTTAATATTGGTTTGCAGGCCAGAAAACAAAATAAGCCAGAGGATGGGATTAAATAATTTCTACTCTAGAGTAAGGGCTGCAGAGATAGGGAATCTGGAAGAATTCAGTATTAATATCTTGAATTGTGTTTGTTTTCAACCTGAAAATATTCATGAAAATAAAGAGGCAGTGAAGTTTTAGCCTCACTATTGTAATGTCATTTTTCACAAAATACTATTAAAAAGTTTGTTACAGGCTAAGCACAGTGGCTCATGCCTGTAATCCCTGCACTTTGGGAGGCTGAGGTGGGCAGATCACTTGGGGTCAGCAGTTCAAAACCAGTCTGGATAACATGGTGAAACCCTTTCTATACTAAAAATACAAAAATTAGTTGGGTGTGGTGGCACACACCTGTAATCTCAGTTACTCGGAAGGCTGAGGCAGGAGAATCACTTGAGCCTGGGAAGTGGAGGCTATAGTGAGCTGATATTGTCACTGCACTCCAGGCTGGGTGACTGTGAGAACCTGCCTTTAAAAAAAAAGTTTATTACATTCTCTGTCAGATTGAGAAATTATTATCTGGCTATTTACTTGCTGTATAGTTTTACTGTTATTATGGATAACGAAGGAAATTGAAATGCTACTGGAGGAAGGGAAAGGGATTAATAGCCACTCACACCTAGTAATTACTGCTAATTTTTTTAAGTTTTTTTTTTTTTAATACTTTAAGTTTTAGGGTACATGTGCACAACGTGCAGGTTTGTTACATATATATACATGTGCCATGTTGGTATGCTGCACCCATTAACTTGTCATTTAACATTAGGTATATCTCCCATGCTATCCCTCCCCCATCCCTCTACCCCACAACAGGCCCAGCTGTGTGATGTTCCCCTTCCTGTGTCCATGTGCTCTCATTGTTCAATTCCCACCTATGAGTGAGAACATGCAGTGTTTGGTTTTTTTGTCCTTGCGATAGTTTGCTGAGAATGATGGTTTCCAGCTTCATCCATGTCCCTACAAAGGACATGAACTCATCATTTTTTATGGCTGCATAGTATTCCATGGTGTATATGTGCCACATTTGCTTTATCCAGTCTATCATTGTTGGACATTTGGGTTGGTTCCAAGTCTTTGCTATTCTGAACAGTGCCGCAATAAACATACATGTGCATGTGTCTTTATAGCAGCATGATTTATAGTCCTTTGGGTATATACCCAGTAATGGGATGACTGGGTCAAATGGTATTTCTAGTTCTAGATCCCTGAGGAATCGCCACACTGACTTCCACAAGGGTTGAACTAGTTTCCAGTCCCACCAACAGTGTAAAAGTGTTCCTATTTCTCCACATCCTCTCCAGCACCTGTTGTTTCCTGACTTTTTAATGATTGCCATTCTAACTGGTGTGAGATGGTATCTCATTGTGGTTTTGATTTGCATTTCTCTGATGGCCAGTGATGATGAGCATTTTTTCATGTGTCTTTTGGCTGCATAAATGTCTTCTTTTCAGAAGTGTCTGTTCATATCCTTCACCCGCTTTTTGATGGGGTTGTTTTTTTCTTGTAAATTTGTTTGAGTTCATTGTAGATTCTGGATATTAGCCCTTTGTCAGATGAGTAGATTGCAAAAATTTTCTCCCATTCTGTAGGTTGCCTGTTCACTCTGATGGTAATTTCTTTTGCTGTGCAAAAGCTCTTTAGTTTAATTAGATCCCATTTGCCAATTTTGGCTTTTGTTGCCATGGCTTTTGGTGTCTTAGACATGAAGTCCTTGCCCATGCCTATGTCCTGAATGGTATTGCCAAGGTTTTCTTCTAGGGTTTTTATGGTTTTAGGTCTAACATTTAAGTCTTTAATCCATCTTGGATTAATTTTTGTATAAGGAGTAAGGAAGGGATCCAGTTTCAGCTTTCTACATATGGCCAGCCAGTTTTCCCAGCACCATTTATTAAATAGGGAATCCTTCCCCCATTTCTTATTTTTGTCAGGTTTGTCAAAGGTCAGATGGTTGTAGATATGTGGCATTATTTCTGAGGGCTCTGTTCTGTTCCATTGGTCTATATCTCTGTTTTGGTACAAGTACCATGCTGTTTTGGTTACTGTAGCCTTGCAGTATAGTTCGAAGTCAGGTAGCATGATGCCTCCAGCTTTGTTCTTTTGGCTTAGGATTGACTTGTCAATGTGGGCTCTTTTTTGGTTCCATATGAACTTTAAAGTAGTTTTTTCCAATTCCGTGAAGAAAGTCATTGGTAGCTTGATGGGGATGGCATTGAATCTATAAATTACCTTGGGCAGTATGGCCATTTTCATGATATTGATTCTTCCTACCTATGAGCATGGAATGTTCGTCAGTGATATTGGTCTAAAATTCTCTTTTTTTGTTGTGTCTCTGCCAGTCTTTGCTATCAGGATGATGCTGGCCTCATAAAATGAGTTAGGGAGGATTCCCCCTTTCTCTGTTGATTGGAATAGTTTCAGAAGGAATGGTACCAGTTCCTCTTTGTACCTCTGGTAGAATTCGGCTGTGAATCTGTCTCATCCTGGACTTTTTTTGGTTGGTAAACTATTAATTATTGCCTCAATTTCAGAGCCTGTTATTGGTCTATTCAGAGATTCAACTTCTTCCTGGTTTAGTCTTGGGAGAGTGTATGTGTCGAGGAATTTATTCATTTCTTCCAGATTTACTAGCTTACTTGCATAGAGGTGTTTATAGTATTCTCTGATGGTAATTTGTATTCCTGTGGGATCGGTGGTGATATCCCCGTTATCATTTTTTATTGTGTCTATTTGATTCTTCTCTCTTTTCTTCTTTATTAGTCTTGCTAGTGGCCTATCAATTTTGTTGATCTTTTCAAAAAACCAGCTGCTGGATTCATTGATTTTTTGAAGGGTATTTTATGTCTCTATTTCCTTCAGTTCTGCTCTGATCTTAGTTATTTCTTGCCTTCTGCTAGCTTTTGAATGTGTTTGCTCATGCTCTTCTAGTTCTTTTAATTGTGATGTTAGGGTGTCAGTTTTGGATCTTTCCTGCTTTCTTTTGTGGGCATTTAGTGCTATAAATTTCCCTCTACACACTGCTTTGAACGTGTCCCAGAGATTCTGGTATGTTGTGTCTTTGTTCTTGTTGGTTTCAAAGAACATCTTTATTTCTGCCTTCATTTCATTATGTATGCAGTAGTCATTCAGGAGCAGGTTGTTCAGTTTCCATATAGTTGAGTGGTTTTGAGTGAGTTTCTTAATCCTGAGTTCTTGTTTGATTTCACTGTGGTCTGAGAGACAGTTTGTTATAATTTCTGTTCTTTTACATTTGCTGAGGAGTGCTTTACTTCCAACCATGTGGTCAATTTTGGAATAGGTGTGGTGTAGTGCTCAGAAGAATGTATATTCTGTTGATTTGGGGTGGAGATTTCTGTAGATGTCTGTTAGTTCTGCTTGGTGCAGAGCTGAGTTCAATTCCTGGACATCCTTGTTAACTTTCTGTCTGGTTGATTTGTCTAATGTTGACAGTGGGGTGTTAAAGTCTCCCATTATTGTTGTGTGGGAGTCTAAGTCTCTTTGTATGTCACTCAGGACTTGCTTTATGAATCTGGGTGCTCCTGTATTGGGTGCATATATATTTAGGATAGTTAGCTCTTCTTGTTGAATTGATCCCTTTACCATTATGTAATGGCCTTCTTTGTCTCTTTTGATCTTTGTTGGTTTAAAGTCTGTTTTATCAGAGACTAGGATTGCAACCCCTGCCTTTTTTTGCTTTCCATTTGCTTGGTAGATCTTCCTCCATCCCTGTATTTTGAGCCTATGTGTGTCTCTGCACGTGAGATGGGTTTCCTGAATACAGCACACTGATGGGTCTTGACTCTATCCAATTTGCCAGTGTGTGTTTTTTAATTGGGGCATTTAGCCCATTTACATTTATGGTTAATATTATTATGTTTGAATTTGATCCTGTCATTATGATGTTAGCTGGTTATTTTGCTCGTTAGTTGATGCAGTTTCTTCCTAACCTCGATGGTCTTTACAATTTGGCATGGTTTTGCAGTGGCTGGTACTAGTTGTTCCTTTCCATGTTTAGTGCTTCCTTCAGGAGCTCTTTTAGGGCAGGCCTGGTGGTGACAAAATCTCTCAGCATTTGCTTGTCTGTAAAGTATTTTATTTCTCCTTCACTTATGAAGCTTAGTTTGGCTGGATATGAAAATCTGGGTTGAAAATTCTTTTCTTTAAGAATGTTGAATATTGGCCCCCACTTTCTTCTGGCTTGTAGAGTTTCTGCCGAGAGATCAGCTGTTAGTCTGATGGGCTTCCCTTTGTGGGTAACTTGACCTTTCTCTCTGGCTGCCCTTAACATTTTTTCCTTCATTTCAACTTTGGTGAATCTGACAAATTATATGTCTTGTAGTTGCTCTTCTCGAGGAGTATCTTTGTGGCAATCTTTGTATTTCCTGAATTTTAATGTTGGCATGCCTTGCTAGATTGGGGAAGTTCTCCTGGATAAAATCCTGCAGAGTGTTTTCCAACTTGGTTCCATTCTCCCCGTCACTTTCAGGTACACCAATTAGACGTAGATTTGGTCTTTTCACATAGTCCCATATTTCTTGGAGGCTTTTTTCATTTCTTTTTATTCTTTTTTCTCTAAACTTCTCTTCTCACTTCATTTCATTCATTTGATCTTCTATCACTGATATCCTTTCTTCCAGTTGATCGAATCAGATACTGAGGCTTGTGCATTTGTCACGTAGTTCTCATGCCATGCTTTTCATCTCCATCAGGTCCTTTAAGGATTTCTTTGCATTTGTTATTCTAGTTAGCCATTCGTCTAATTTTTTTTCAAGGTTTTTAACTTCTTTGCCATGGGTTCGAACTTCCTCCTTTAGCTCGGAGTAGTTTGATTGTCTGAAGCTTTCTTCTCTCAACTCATCAAAGTCATTCTCTGTCCAGCTTTGTTCTGTTGCTAGTGAGGAGCTGCATTCCTTTGGAGGAGGAGAGGCACTCTGATTTTTAGAGTTTCCAGTTTTTCTGCTGTGTTTTTTCCCCATCTTTGTGGTTTTATCTACCTTTAGTCTTTGATGATGGTGACGTACAGATGGGGTTTTGGTGTGAATGTCCTTTCTGTTTGTTAGTTTTCCTTCTAACAGTCAGGACCCTCAGGTGCAGGTCTGTTGGAGTTTGCTGGAGGTCCACTCCAGACCCTGTTTGCCTGGGTATCAGCAGCGGAGGCTGCAGAACAGCGGACATTGGTGAACAGTAAATATTGCTGCCTGATCATTCCTGTGAAAGTTTTGTCTCAGAGGAGTACCCGGCCATGTGAGGTGTCAGTCTGCCCCTACTGGGGGGTGCCTCCCAGTTAGGCTACTCGGGGGTCAAGGACCCACTTGAGGAGGCAGTCTGTCCATTCTCAGATCTCAAACTGCATGCCGGGAGAACCACTACTCTCTTCAAAGCTGTCAGACAGGGACAGTTAAGTCTGCAGAGGTTTCTGCTGCATTTTGTTTGGCTATGTCCTGCCCCTAGGGGTGGAGTCTAAAGAGGCAGGCAGGCCTCCTTGAGCTGCAGCGGGCTCCACCCAGTTAGAGCTTCCCAGCCACTTTGTTTACCTACTCAAGCCTCGGCAATTGCAGGCTCCCCTACCCCAGCCTCGCTGTTGCCTGACAGTTTGATCTCAGACTGGTGTGCTAGCAATGAGTGAGGCTCCTTGGGCATAGGACCCTCCGAGCTAGGCGTGGGATATAGTCTCCTGGTGTGCCGTTTGTAAGACCATCAGAAAAGCACAGTATTAGGGTGGGAGTGACCCAATTTTCTAGGTGCCGTCTGTCACCCCTTTCCTTGGCGAGGAAAGGGAATTCCCTGACCCCTTGCACTTCCGGCATGAGGTGATGCCTCGCCCTGCTTCGGGTCAGGGTCAGTGCACTGCACCCACTGTCCTGCACCCACTGCCTGACAATCCCTAGTGAGATGCACCCAGTACCTCCGTTGGGAATGCAGAAATCATTCGTCTTCTCCGTCGCTCACACTGGGAGGGGTAGACTGGAGCTGTTCCGATTCGGCCATCTTGGGTCCACCAAATTTCAATTACTGCTAATTTTTAATTCCCCAAAGCTTGTCTTAGTTTAAAGGAATATATTTTTAATATATAATTTTGTATTTATATATAATATATGCTTATACATAATTTATATATTATATATCATACATTATTTTGTATGCATACACTTGTACACATTATATATATATAATCCTGAAATATACTCTCTCCATTTCCCACAAAAAACTACAAAATATTTTTTTTCTGTGTATAACAATCATGTGTTTATTTGGAGCTAATTGTGACTTGACAATTTAAAAATTCAGCTCCAGCACAATAACTTCAGTACTTCACATTTCTATTTGTAATAATTAAACATAACACTTTTCATAGTAGTTTGAAGTTTTAACTTTGAAAAGGAAAGGTTTTTATAATTTCAAGTTATAATTAACCTATGTGTTCTTTATTTCTAAAAATCAGTGAAGTGTACAATCACTCAATTTTTTGGACTTCACCTTTCAGCTCTGGTAGGCTTCTACTTTAGAAAATATGAATATGATTTTGTGTAACTTATATTTCAGATAATAAAAACGGTGGTCTTTCTTTGGTCATGTTTGTTCTAAAGGCAAATATATATTATGAGATAGTATTAAATGATTTCCGTTTTTTAATTTTTATTTTCTAGTTTTAATTTTTATTTCCAAAAGTTTTCTCAAAATATAGTATTTATATATTGAAAAGCTCATTAACAGTTTAGAGTCAGACTGTGTGTGCACGTCTGTACACAAGTGTGTGTGTGCAAATGTTTGTGCTTGTACACATTTGTGACAGCAAAATATACACTAATTAGCAAAAACAAATTGCTTCCACCATTTTATTATATTATATTCTGGCTCCTGTTTTATTTTTGAGAAGTCTGTTCTCAGCTGACTTGTGGTTCCTCTGTTTAAGATGTTATTGTCTTTGCCATTCTGCTGTTATTTCCTTACAGGATGTCCAGTTGTTTATTTTTTAAATCTAACTTGGGATTTATGTTGAATCTGAAGATTTATGTCTTTAATCAATTCTGAATAATTCTCAACTATTATAATAATGTCTCTTTCCCATTCTCTACCATATCCTTGGAGAATGTCTAAATATATGTATATATATATATATATATATATTGGTCTGCCACTCTGACTAGGAAGCCCCTGATTCTCTTTCCCATCTCTTTCTCTCCATGTGTTACAATTTTGAAAATTTCCTCATATCTGTTTCTGATCTACCATTTCTCTTTATTTGTGTCCAGTCCTTCTTTAACTCACTGAGTTTTACCTAGGTGTAATTCTTATAGTTTTCATTTCTAGACATACTATTGTCTTTTTCTCTTTTCATCTAATAAATGCTTTTTTATGACAATTGTTAGAAATACCTCTAATTCATAGGTCTACTTTAATAAATTTGAGGATGTGTCTGCTGACTTTCACTCATAGTGAGTTGTTTGCTCATGTATTTGTAACTTGTACTTGAACACATCTTCAATATTTTGCTTTTAAGACATTTTTGTGCAAACTGGTTTGAGGAGAGACTGTCCAGAAGGGTTTGGATATTAGAAAATGTTGGTGTTCCACCTAGATGTCTCCAGGTCCCTTGTAGAGATTGTGTGTATTCATCTCCCATCTTCTGTGTGCTATTCATCTCCCATCTTCTGTGTGCTTTGCTTCTGTGGTACATACCTGTGTTCTCCTTGAGATGATGCTCTTTGGACCATTTTTAAAATTCTGTTTTGCAGGCTCAGAGAGTCAAACTGTCTAAAAGTTTATTTCCCCACCTGAGTGGATTGTAGCCTATGACTCACATTAGAAAAGCTCAATTCACTTGCCTTAAGGTAGGATGAACTCAGAAGTATAATTTTCACTCTGGAGGATGCAAACACAGGAGCAGCTGAAGCTGGGTCTTTGCCTGACATTGAAGGCTTAGTGAGCTTTTACTCTTTCTTGTCCTACTTCCCCTAGTTGTTTAACTGATTTCTGTGGGGAGCATTTCCTTAATAAATCATTTGCAGATAAATCCTCATCTTCACATCTTCTACTGAGGAGCATGATAATAAGCCAGATTTTGTGTGGGTTCTCCTAAGTGCCACAGTGGTATGAGTTATGTAGTGTAATATAAATTTAAATTCCAAACTTATACGTGGTTGGAGCAAGCTTGGGGCTATCCAGGAGTTCTGTTTTTTACTTCAACCTAAACTAAGGCTGAGGGAGGCATGCTTTTTATTATTTTCTTTGTCAGTTGACAGATTATTACTAGCCCACACTTTCATGAAGGATGTAGGTCTTCAACGTATGTGTGTTGTATGTAGTGACTGGATCTTTGGATTGTCTTGACTGACATATTGAGAGAAGTAGAAATGACTCATAACAATTTCATGGTTGTAATTACTGGATAGTACATTGATTAGGAATATGGCACAAGCATATTCTGGGAGAGGCTGAAAAACGTACTACAACAAAAGTGTACCATGATCACATGAGTTTGGCAAACTCGGCTTTTTTATTATAAGATTTTATGTCCTGTCATTCTTACATTTACATCTTTAATGTGAGTCCTATTTCCACTTTCCTGACAAAGACAACCTTTCTACTAGTGTGCTGAAACTTATTTTAGTTTCCTATTTTAGGAATTCTCCCTTTTCTTTCCTGAATTATCAGTTATCCTCTTTCTATTGGATTATTCACATCAACATAACATATTTTTATTTCTCCCTCCTTAAGAGATAAAAAAAGCCCCTCTGTCTTCCCAACCTAATTATATGGCTACTGATCCTTTTCTCTCTCTTTGTTTTATATGAAAAATTCATCTATGCTTTATTCAAGTCTCTGCTCTCATTCTCTCTTGAATCAAGTCTAGACAGACGTTTTTCTCTACTTCAACAGAGGCTGTTTTTGCCACTCTTAACAAAGTTTTCACATTGCCAAATCCAATAGTCAGTTTTCATTCCTCATTGTACTTTTTAGAACCCTCAAGGATAAGGCAGCAGTTTCTCTCAGGAATTTAGATTTTTAACACATCCTTCTTTGCGTGACTGGAAGCCGTCTGTGAAGCTTTTAGCCATTACATTTCCCTGATGTGATTGCGATAGCAATTTCCCTGTAATTTTTAGCTGTACACTGACACACAGAGTTTGTAGGAAATAAGAAATCTATAGGTTCTAAAAAGCTTTGGCCTCCTAGTTAAAACCTGAACACTATTAAAAGTGAGAGTGGCCATTTATACCAATTACGTATTTTTTTATTTTAGCTTTCCTTTTGTGACTGTAACTAATTTTAAGAGTAAGACATATGGTAACCATCTCTTGACTTTCATGCCATTGCTTTCTTCTACTTCTGGAGAGAACACAACATAGAACAGGGTCATGCTACCAATTCCATCCTTTTATGTTTCACTTCCTTGCATAGTTCATGGGTGGTGGCAGCTGGAGAAGATGTTCCAGATCATCAGTGGCCCCTTTTAGGAATAGGTAGCACTGGTATTAGGAGGTTCCAGATTCTGAAACTCAGTGATGCTTATTATTATATCCATCTAAGTACACCATGGGTAAACACAAGGCTGGAGCTGAAAATTTAGGAAAAGAGGCAGTCCAAAAATAGTTTCTGTACTCTAGAGAGATAATCATAGGTCCTGAGATTGACTCTATTTGCACAATAAGATATGATAAAGTACATTTTAACGTGGGAAGCACAATATGGATATAAGGACATGTCCTGATCATGAAGTGGAAGTGTGATGCCAGAGCACAATGTGAGCACTGAGAAAACCAGACAAAGTTTTATTGGACAAGCTCTTTTTATCGTTACTGTTTCTCTTCAGTGCCTGCTGACCATGTTATAGTGAACCTTAATGACATTATACTCATGTTTTGTTATTCCAGTTCTTATTCTTCCTTCCTTCAACATCTCAGACTTAAAATTATATAACAGCCTCTTAACAGCACTGGAACATTTTCACATGACTTCATTAAATTTAAAACAAAATGTATTGAGATGCTACTATGTGAATTACATCAGTTTGAAACTAGACATAAGTCACTTCCTTTTAGAAGTTTAAACTGTAGTGGTAGTATTATATCAAAAAAACTTTAACTTTTTTTCTCTTTTTTCCTTTTTGTTATTATTATTATTATTATTATTATACTTTAAGTTTTAGGGTACATGTGCACAATGTGCAGGTTAGTTACATATGTATACACATGCCATGCTGGTGCGCTGCACCCACTAACTCGTCACCTACCATTAGGTATATCTCCCAATGCTATCCCTCCCCCCTCCCCCCACCCCACAACAGTCCCCAGAGTGTGATATTCCCCTTCCTGTGTCCATGTGATCTCAATGTTCAATTCCAACCTATGACTGAGAATATGCGGTGTTTGGTTTTTTGTTCTTGCGATAGTTTACTGAGAATGATGATTTCCAATTTCATCCATGTCCCTACAAAGGACATGAACTCATCATTTTTTATGACTGCATAGTATTCCATGGTGTATATGTGCCACATTTTCTTAATCCAGTCTATCATTGTTGGACATTTGGGTTGGTTCCAAGTCTTTGCTATTGTGAATAATGCTGTAATAAACATACGTGTGCATGTGTCTTTATAGCAGCATGATTTATAGTCCTTTGGGTATATACCCAGTAATGGGATGGCTGGGTCAAATGGTATTTCTA
This sequence comes from Homo sapiens, assembly GCF_000001405.40. NCBI lineage: Eukaryota > Metazoa > Chordata > Mammalia > Primates > Hominidae > Homo > Homo sapiens. The sequence goes on along the minus strand of NC_000008.11, from coordinate 89,158,206 downwards.
GTTCTAGATCCCTGAGGAATCGCCACACTGACTTCCACAAGGGTTGAACTAGTTTACAGTCCCACCAACAGTGTAAAAATGTTCCTATTTCTCCACATGCTCTCCAGCACCTGTTGTTTCCTGACTTTTTAATGATTGCCATTCTAACTGGTGTGAGATGGTATCTCACTGTGGTTTTGATTTGCATTTCTCTGATGGCCAGTGATGGTGAGCATTTTTTCATGTGTTTTTTGGCTGCATAAATGTCTTCTTTTGAGAAGTGTCTGTTCATGTCCTTCACCCACTTTTTGATGGGGTTGTTTGTTTTTTTCTTGTAAATTTGTTTGAGTTCATTGTAGATTCTGGATATTAGCCCTTTGTCAGATGAGTAAGTTGCGAAAATTTTCTCCCATTTTGTAGGTTGCCTGTTCACTCTGATGGTAATTTCTTTTGCTGTGCAGAAGCTCTTTAGTTTAATTAGATCCCATTTGTCAATTGGCTTCTGTTGCCATTGCTTTTGGTGTTTTAGACATGAAGTCCTTGCCCATGCCTATGTCCTGAATGGTAATGCCTAGGTTTTCTTCTAGGGTTTTTATGGTTTTAGGTCTAACATTTAAGTCTTTAATCCATCTTGAATTGATTTTTGTATGAGGTGTAAGGAAGGGATCCAGTTTCAGCTTTCTACATATGGCTAGCCAGTTTTCCCAGCACCATTTATTAAATAGGGAATCCTTTCCCCATTGCTTCTTTTTCTCAGGTTTGTCAAAGATCAGATAGTTGTAGATATGTTGTGTTATTTCTGAGGGCTGTGTTCTGTTCCATTGGTCTATATCTCTGTTTTGGTACCAGTACCATGCTGTTTTGGTTCCTGTAGCCTTGTAGTATAGTTTGAATTCAGGTAGTGTGATGCCTCCAGCTTTGTTCTTTTGGCTTAGGATTGTCTTGGCAATGTAGGCTCTTTTTTGGTTCCATATGAACTTTAAAGTAGTTTTTTCCAATTCTGTGAAGAAAGTCATTGGTAGCTTGATGGGGATGGCATTAAATCTATAAATTACCTTGGGCAATATGGCCATTTTCATGATATTGATTCTTCCTACCCATGAGCATGGAATGTTCTTCCATTTGTTTGTATCCTCTTTTATTTCATTGAGCAGTGGTTTGTAGTTCTCCTTGAAAAGGTCCTTCACATCCCTTGTAAGTTGGATTCCTAGGTATTTTATTCCCTTTGAAGCAATTGTGAATAGGAGTTCACTCATGATTTGGCTCTCTGTTTGTCTGTTGTTGGCGTATAAGAATGCTTGTGATTTTTGTACATTGATTTTGTATCCTGAGACTTTGCTGAAGTTGCTTATCAGCTTAAGGAGATTTTGGGCTGAGACAATGGGGTTTTCTAGATATACAATCATGTCGTCTGCAAACAGGGACAATTTGACTTCCTCTTTTCCTAATTGAATACCCTTTATTTCCTTCTCCTGCCTGATTGCCCTGGCCAGAACTTCCAACACTATGTTGAATGGGAGTGGTGAGAGAGGGCATCCCTGTCTTGTGCCAGTTTTCAAAGGGAATGCCTCCAGTTTTTGTCCATTCGGCATGATATTGGCTGTGGGTTCGTCATAAATAGCTCTTATTATTTTGAAATACGTCCCATCAATACCTAATTTATTGAGAGTTTTTAGCATGAAGCGTTGTTGCATTTTGTCAAAGACCTTTTCTGCATCTATTGAGATAATCATGTGGTTTTTGTCTTTGGTTCTGTTTATATGCTGGATTACATTTATTGATTTGCGTATATTGAGCCAGCCTTGCATCCCAGGGATGAAGCCCACTTGATCATGGTGGATAAGTTTTTGATATGCTGCTGGATTCAGTTTGCCAGTATTTTATTGAGGATTTTTGCAACAATGTTCATCAAGGATATTGGTCTAAAATTCTCTTTTTTGGTTGTGTCTCTGCCCGGCTTTGGTATCAGGATGATACTGGCCTCATAAAATGAGTTAGGGAGGATTCCCTCTTTTTCTATTGATTGGAATAGTTTCAGAAGGAATGGTACCAGTTCCTCCTTATACCTCTGGTAGAATTCGGCTGTGAATCCATCTGGTCCTGGACTCTTTTTGGTTGGTAAGCTATTGATTATTGCCACACTTTCAGAGCCTGTTATTGGTCTATTCAGAGATTCAACTTCTTCCTGGTTTAGTCTTGGGAAAGTGTATGTGTCGAGGAATTTATCCATTTCTTCTAGATTTTCTAGTTTATTTGAGTAGAGATGTTTGTAGTATTCTCTGATGGTAGTTTGTATTTCTGTGGGATCAGTGGTGATATCCCCTTTATCATTTTTTATTGCGTCTATTTGATTCTTCTCTCTTTTATTCTTTATTAGTCTTGCTAGCGGTCTATCAATTTTGTTGATCCTTTCAAAAAACCAGCTCCTGGATTCATTGATTTTTTGAACGGTTTTTTGTGTCTCTGTTTCCTTCAGTTCTGCTCTGATTTTAGTTATTTCTTGCCTTCTGCTAGCTTTTGAATGTGTTTGCTCTTGCTTTTCTAGTTCTTTTAGTTGCAATGTTAGGGTGTCAATTTTGGATCTTTCCTGCTTTCTCTTGTGGGCATTTAGTGCTATAAATTTCCCTCTACACACTGCTTTGAATGCGTCCCAGAGATTCTGGTATGTTGTGTCTTTGTTCTCGTTGGTTTCAAAGAACATCTTTATTTCTGCCTTCATTTCGTTATGTACCCAGTAGTCATTCAGGAGCAGGTTGTTCAGTTTCCATGTAGTTGAGCGGTTTTGAGTGAGATTCTTAATCTTGAGTTCTAGTTTGATTGCACTGTGGTCTGAGAGATAGTTTGTTATAATTTCTGTTCTTTTACATTTGCTGAGGAGAGCTTTACTTCCCAGTATGTGGTCAATTTTGGAATAGGTGTGGTGTGGTGCTGAAAAAAATGTATATTCTGTTGAGAACTCTTATTTAAGATGGATTGTGATAATTAAAAAAAAAAAAAAGAAAAACAGCTATAGTACCATGAGAATACTAACAACTTTCAAACCTCTATGGTGACTTTTAATACTGACACCATGTACCTTGTGAAATGGGTATAGGAATAAGACCCCAAACAAAGGGAGAGTTATAAGGATTCAATGAGATAATCTATGTCAAGTGCTTAGCAATGTTCCTAGATCAGAGTGAACAGTCACTTGAAATTGGCTTTAATTATGATTTTGGTTTAATTTTTATTTTGCAAGCCTTTTTGGAGGAATCTCTTCTTTTGTTTTCTGAAAGATGAGCAGAATTGGAGATTTACTCCTCTGTGTTTCTGTAAGCCCTTGCATATGGTTTTATTATAGCACTTCCCACACTATTATAATTGTTTGTTCAATTATCTGTCTCCAACAGACAACAAAATGTGAGCTCCTGAAGAGACGGATAGTGTTCTATTTGTTTTCAATTCCCGAAGTTTAGCACAGAGCTTGATGCACAATAAGAGGTTAATAAATGTTAAATAAATGTTATTTAGTTTTTGTAATTGTGTTGTGTTTTCATATAGAGTGGGCAACAGTGGCATAGATTGCAATATGTCCTCAAATCTTATTGGCATAGTTATTTTGCTGTCATCTGTGGCAGTGTTTCAAAGATTCAGATGTATTTTCACACTTCTTTTCACCCTGTGAGCAATCTATCCTTTATTAGCTCACCATAAAGAAATAAGTTTGGAATGCAGCTGTTCTCCATTAGCCCCTCATAACGTACTCACTGAAACTGAATCTCTGTGAATGTTGTCCTTCCTTCAAAGGTATAAAAATATCTGGATTTTGGTTAGTTGCAGGGATAGAGGGTGGGCAGTTGTGCCATTGATTGGGACATATGAAGCAGGAGAATCTAGTTCTCATTCTGGGGAAATGCTCTGAAGCCTCATAATTCTTAGCTTCACCCAGAAAGGTAGGCAATTTCATTATGTTCATGCCACACTTTTTACTGCTTCTTTACTGAATTAGTGTACTTCACTTGGAACTCACTGGTAAAACTGGAGAAACGGGTGAATGTTCATTTTTCTAGATTATTTTAATAAAATAATACATGTAAAGATGTCCTTTGAAATATGAAGCAGTAGATCACACAACGTAGTGACAGTGATAGTGTAACCAATCTAATTGTATTTTGAATACAGTCTGCTTCTGAAGGAAGTGTTGCCCTTGCAAAATTTTAAAACTTATCTCTCAGTATTTTTGAGTTCTTCAGGGGTTGTATTGCCTATCCACAGATCCAACATTTGTGAGTTTCTGTGGGGTGGAGTGACTGGTCTGCTTCCTTTGTCATGGAGGTGTTTCCTCTCTCCATGCTGCTCCAAGAGCTGTGAACTCAACTGCTGCTCAGAAGACTAGTTGGTGACTAGTGACTGAGCTCTCTGAATGCCATACTGCATGGTGGTGTGAGTATGGAGGTAATGGAGAGATGGCTCCTCCCTTCCAATTCCACTCTTGGAGGAATTGAGGTGCCTTAATGCGTTGCACAAATTCCTGAAACAGAGTGGAGGGAAAAGTTCTGGGGACCTATTCAGGTGAAAAGTATTGTATTAGTCCATTCTCACACTGCTATAAAGAACTATCTAAGACTGGGTAATTTATGAAGAAAATAGGTTTAATTGACTCACGGTTCCACAGGCTGTACAAAAGAATGGCTTAGAGGCTTCAGGAAACTTATAATCATGGTGGTAGTCAAAGGGGAAGAAAGCACATCTTACCATGGCAGAGCAGGAAAGAGAGAGAGAGAGCAAGGGAAAGTGCCACACACGTTTAAACAACCAGATCTTGTGAGAACTCATTCGCTATCACAAGGACAGCAAGAGTGAAGTCCATCACTATGTTTCAATCACCTCCCACATGGCCTCTCCTTCAACACATGGGAATTACAATTCAACATGAAATTTGGCTGCAGACACAGAGTGAAACCATATTAGGGATCTTTGTGACACCAAATGCTACCTCTTCTCTTTTGTTTCTGAGACAAGATATTTGTGTCTGGATATTTTGCCACTTAAGATGAACAGTTGTGTACTAAGAAGGCCTTCCATCTCTGGTCTCGACTTCTCCATCCCCTAACAAAGTGGAAAAATATATATATTTTAGTTGGGCTGTGCTGACAGTCATACCCAGTTTGTATCTGATTACAAGTAATATTCTCAGCTTGGATCATTTTTTTTTTCAAAGAAGTAGAGAAAATATTTTTTATTTATTTTTATTATTATAATTTAAGTTCTGGGATACATGTGCAGAACGTGCAGGTTTGTTACATAGGTATACACATGCCATGGTGGTATGCTGCACCCATCAACCCATCATCTATATTAGGTATTTCTTCTAACACTTTCCCTCCCCTAGGCACCACCAAAAGGGCCCCGTGTGTGATGTTCCCATCCCTGCGTCCATGTGTTCTCATTGTTCAACTCCCACTTATGAGTGAGAACATGCGGGGTTTGGTTTGGTGTTTGGTTTTCTGTTCTTGTGTTAGTTTGCTTTGGTTTATGTTCTTGTTCTTTCTGTTTTTGTGTTAGTTTGCTGAGAATGATGGTTTCCAGAATCATCCATGTCCCTGCAAAGGACATGAACTCATCCTTTTTGTGGCTGCATAGTATTCCAAGATGTATATGTGCCACATTTTCTTTATCCAGTCTATCATTGATGGGCATTTGGGTTGGTTCCAAGTCTTTGCTATTGTGAACAGTGCTGCAATAAACATACATGTGCATATGTCTTTATAGTAGAATGATTTATAATCCTTTGGGTATATACCAGTAAAGGGATTGCTGGGTCAAATGGTATTTCTAGTTCTAGATCCTTGAGGAATCGCCACACTGTCTTCCACAATGATTGAACTAATTTACACTCCCACCAACAGTATAAAAGCATTCCCGTTTCTCCACATCATTTCCAGCGTCTGTTGTTTCCTGACCTTAATGGTCACCATTCTAACTGGCATGAGATGGTATCTCCTTGTGGTTTTGATTTGCATTTCTCTAATGACCAGTGATGATGAACTTCTTTTCATATGTTTGTTGGCTGCATAAATATCTTCTTTTGAGAAGCATCTGTTCATATTCTTCACTCACTTTTTGATGGGATTGTTTGTTGTTTTTTTTCTTGTAAATTTGTTTAAGTTCTTTGTAGATTCTGGATATTAGCCCTTTTTCAGATGGATTGATTGCAAAGATTTTCTCCCATTCTGTAGGTTGCCTGTTCACTCTGAGGATAGTTTATTTTGCTGTGCAGAAGCTCTTTAGTTTAATTAGATCCCATTTGTCAATTTTGGCTTTTTTAGCATTGCTTATGGTGTTTTAGTCATAAAGTCTTTGCCCATGCCTATGTCCTGAATGGTATTGCCTAGTTTGTCTTGTAGGGTTTTTTGTGGTTTTAGGTCTTATGTTTGAGTCTTTAATCTATCTCGAGTTAATTTTTGTATAAGGTGTAAGTAAGAGATCAGCTTGGATCATTGTTATGGAATCTTCTCAGCAACTGGCTGGGAATTTGTAAGACCTGCCCTACCAGTTTGCCAAACATTCCTGCAATGTTAACACTGGTTGACATCAGAAAGGTGACTGACCAGGGGTCCTGACAATTATTTCCCCACAGAAAAGGACCAAAACAATAAATAACAGCTATATTTTGATAAGAGTGTTTGAGGGAGAAAGTTGGAGTTCATCAAGGGACTTAGGGAGATGCTATGGGTTATGAAGACTAAGAATGGCCACATAAAAAAATGCCTGAGCTGAGCAACCAGCTAACTAGCCCTGTGCTGTCAAAATGGGATCTTGCCTAACACCCAGCCCCCAGGGTAGCAGTGCTGAAACACAACCACCAGAGGAGGTACCTGCCTGATGCCTTGCTTCAGAAGAGCAGAGCCCAAGTATGTAGACCAGCCACACAGACTTCTTCAGGATAAGCCATTGAGGCAATCACTGGCAATACTGGCACTGCATATAGCTGAAGATACTGTATTAAAAACTATACTCCTGCACCCAAAAAGAAAAAACTAAGGCACCCTACCCAACGAATACCCTAGAAATATCTGCAAGTAAAAGTCTTTCTCGATGAAAGCCACTCTATAAAACTGGAAAATATTACTATTTTACCAGATGTACAGATGTCAGTGCAGGCATGTAAGAAACAAAAAGTAAGAAAACATGACACTATAAAAGAAACACAATAATTATCCAGGTACTAACTCCTAGAAAATAGAAATGTACAAATTGCCTGCGAATGAAATCAAAATAATAATCTTAAAGAAACACAGTAAAACACAAGATAATATAGACTAAACCATATCAGGAGCACAGATACAAATTAATTCAACCAAGAGATAGAAATCATAACAAAGAACCAAGCAGAAGTCTTGGAACTGAAGAATTAAATGAATGAAGTAAAAAATGCAGTCAAGAAGTTCAACATCAGACTAGATCAAGTACAGGAAAGAATCTCTGAACCTGAAAACAGGTCTGAAATAAACCAGTCACACACACACACACACACACACACACACACACACACACGAATAAGAATAAAGAAGGCCTCCAGGACATATAGGACATCATTAATCAACTAAACATTTGTATTATGGGAATTTAAGAAGGAGAAGAGATAGGAAAAAAGGCATAGAAAAACTATTTAATAAAATAACAGCTGCTAACATACCAAGTCCTGGGACAGATATAGACAGCAAGACCAAAGAAACTCAAAAGTCACTACATATTTACAATTCAAAAAAGTCCTCTTTAAGACATATTATAGTCAAATTGTCAAAAGTCAAAGACGAAGTTAATTATAAAAACAGGTGAAGAAAAGAGTCAACTCACATGCAAGAAAATCAGACAAGACAAGGATGCTTACTCCTCTTGAATCTAATACTGGAAGTCCTAGCCACAGTGATCAGGCAAGAGAAAGAAATAAAAGGCATCCAAACAGGAAGAAAGGAAGTCAAGCTATCTCTCTTCACTGATGATATATTTCTACACCTAGAAAAATCTATAGTATCTTCCCAAAGCCTCCTAGAACTGGTAAACCACTTTAGTAAATTTTCAGACTACAAAATCAGTGTACGAAAACCAGTAGCAGTTTTATACACTAGTAATGTTCAAGCTGAGAGCGAAATCAAGAATGCGATCTCATTCTCAAGATCCACAAAAAGAATAAAATACATAGTAATAGAGCTAACAAGGGAGATGAACTATTTCTACAATAAGAATTATGAAACACTCCTGAAAGAAATCAGAGATGACACAAGCAAATTGAAAAACATTCTATAAGAAGAATCAATATTGTTAAAATGCATACTGCCAAAAGCAATTTACAAATTCAATCCTGTTCTCATCAAACTACCAATGCCAGTTTTTAGAGAATTAGAAAAACCTATTTTAAAACACACGTGCAACCAAGAAAGAGTCTGAATAGCCAAAGCAATCCTAAGCAAAAAGAAAAAAATCTGGAGGCATCACACTAACAACTGCACAATTTCAAACTATACTGCAGGGCTACAGTAACCAAAACAGCATGGTACTGAATGGAAAAAAAGGACTGAAATATATGCTGTCTGAAAGAAAACCACTTTACCTGTAAAGACACACACAGACTGAAAATGAAATGGAAAAATGGATTCTATGCAAATGGAAATTGTAAGTGAACAAGAGTAGCTCTACTTAGATAAAATAAACTTTAATTCAAAAACCTAAAGACAGACAAAAAAGGTCACTATGTAATGACAAAGGGATCAATTCATCATGAGGAATAACAATTGTAAATATATATATATATGCACCCAACACTGGAGCATCTAGTGTATTTTGAACGTTACTCACAGAAAGAAATGACAAAGGTTTGAGGTGATTGATATGCTAATTACTTTTAATTGATCATGGCACAGTATATATATGCATCAAAATGTATCACACTGTACCCCACAAATATGTAGAATTATTACATATCAATTAATAAAAAATATATAATTAAAGTAACTTTTAAAAAGAATCACAATTACATAATATATACACATACATAACAATGTCTTCAAATTTTTTCAGTTAGGTATGGCTATGTTGCCCAGACTGGTGTTGAAATTTTGGGCTTCAGCAATCCTTCCACATCAGCCTCCTGAATAGCTAGAACTACAGATGTGTGAAATGATAGCCAATTTAAATTTTTTTTCGTGTGTGTTTATAGTGTTCCAAATTAGCCTACCCTGCTGATTGACTGTTACCAAATTTCTGTAAATTATTGTATGTGTTTTCCTTGTAGGATAAAATAAAATCAAGGGGTATATATTAAAAATAAAAATTTATTAGACTAGAAAAAAGAATGGGGTGTTGCTTGATTCTAGAATCACAATTAAAACCAATTAGGTCTTTAGAAAACCTTCAGCATGGGGCTTAGAAAGTTATGGCTGATGGCTATACCATGGCACCTCTAAAATATTTGTAAAAATTTATGATATTTTAAAAAGTGATGGTATACCTAATGATATTCAGTTACATCAAGGAACAGGAGGAAATATCCTTAGAGGACTGTTTGTATACTGAAGGTGTTGATCAGCACTGCAATTTAGAGAATTTCCCATGCTGCTTGCCTGACTCTGCACCGGTATATAAAGAAGATCAAGCAGTGGTTGGGTACAGGCAATCATCTTTTTTAAAGTCAGCTAGTCCTAAGGCAAATCATAGGACTTGGTAAAGTTAATGATGAAGCTAATCTCTCTTCTGTGAGCTCCTGATGCACTAAGAACTTAATGATATCATTTTACTTAGTAACATTACATATCTAATTTTTGACACATATGTATCGATATTGTATCCTTGCCTTTACTATAAAGTAAAAAGAATAATTCTATTTCCTACTTCAGAGTTTCCCAAATACATAGCGCATTATTCATAGTCTTTTGCTTACTAGAGCCTAACAAGGTTAATAAAGTGTCTTAAGAAACTCTAAAAAGCACCTATTGGCATTTTGCTATTAACAATATCCCAAATAAACTCAATATTTTAAAAAACACCTAAGCCTTTAGATCACATTATTGTTGGGAAAAAGTATTTTTTGGGATTATGTCATCTCACTCAGAATGTTTAGAAGACATTAGGATTTCAAGTCATGTGTTGCTATGTAGCACAGCTGCACCTAGCAAATTTGCTGTTTTGGTGACATTGTCCATTTTGATGAGCCTTCAAACAAAATTATGCCAAATAGAATGCAAACTCTTATGCACAATGCACTTCATGATTATCAGTTTGACTTTGCATCAGTTTGCTTAGAGAGGAAAAACAATGAAAATCCAAAATGAATGATAAGGTGGATACACTAAAAAAAATGCATTTAGATTATGTGGGTTAGTCCACTGTAAAAGTTGCATAATACAGAAGTAAATGGATAATTCCGGGTAAGTTTATTTAAGTCCAAAGGAAAACACATCTTTGTTTATTACTATCCGATGTAGAATCTATTGGGAACTGATTACCTCTTTGAAACAGTCTTTTATATTTGGTAGATTGTCTCTTCCCTCTGAGCTGCTAATTAGTTGCTCCTGAGGGATGGTGAGGGTGACGTGCACAGTAAAGTTGTCTCAGCAGTAAAAGATTATGTCGCTGTAAGATAAGTGTAGTTTGCTATAAATATTAAAGTCACTCAAGATGAATAGAACTTGCAAATTCCAGTCACAATCTTTTTCAAAACCGTAAAGCTAGATCCTGAACTGAAGTTATGGTGACTTATAAAGAGAATTTTAGAGAAAAAAAATATTCTTTTTAAAAAGCAGGCTTTGATATGAGAGAAAGACTTTATGGGACAGAGAATACCTTTCCACATGTAAAAGTACACTTAAACATCATTAAATTATATAGATAGCTGGCCACTTAAAATTTTTCTACTTTAATTTACAAGTGTTGACATAGTAAAAGCAAATTGTTTAAGGATGCTTCAATATTTGTATATTCAACTTCAGAAGCTTTCAACGAGTATAATACACCTTCATGCATTTAAATTATGCATTATTTCCTATAAACTGGGACTATTTTTAAAAGATAGTGAAATTCCAGCTTCAGCTCTTGGATAGTGAGGTCATTGAATACAGAAGAGAAATTGAGAAAATTATTCTGAGAGTTGAAGTAATGTGAATTTTTTTTGAGTGCTATTTATTTAAGTCTCAACATTTTTCAGGCTTAACAGAAAGTACGTATCAGGAGACTTTTAAGAAACCATCTACTAATTGTAATGATATGATGTATAAATCTAAAATTAGGAATCAAAGACTATGTCTTATATACAGTGGACTTAGTTAATATGTTTAGCCAACCAATACTTAGCATTTTTCTCTAAACCTCATAGGTGATTTTGACCATACTAGTTTGTAAATGTTGCTAGTGGCATTGTAGATGGACTGTAGTACAGCAGAATTGAACAATACAATGCAATAAATAATTTGGAGAGCATATTACAAAAGATCAAGAATTGTGCTTGGCAGGTAGGTAGGATGTGCGAGGATACTGATGTGGACCAAACATTATTTCAGTCCTCAAGAAATCTGTGATGTGAAATGAGAAATTTATAGTACACTGAAAAAAAGCAAAATGTGCTATGAAATACATGTGTAGCCCATAGGAAAGAAGATATGATCTGAATTACTTAGAATATTTAATGTACCATCTTACCTAGGGTTTTGCAAGGTCTTTTTTGGGGAACGACTTTTCTGTCTTTTGATGTAATGCTGAGAACCTTGTGGCAGGAAAGAAAATGCCCCAGTTTCTTTCCCTTGTTATATCCATTGTGAATTTTTCTGAAGATTTTAACCAAATTACCACATACATTCTCCATTTTATTCGCCAGCATAATCAGGTAAATTATGTATTTTCTGGAAGCACAGCTTCTTAAGTTATCCCAAATAATCATGAGCTACACATGTGGTTTCATACCATTCTTCTTCTTCTTCTTTTTTTTTTTTTGAGATGGAGTCTCACTCTGTCACCCAGGCTGGAGTGCAGTGGCGCCATCTCAGCTCACTGCAACCTCTGTCTCCCGGGTTCAAATGATTCTCCTGCCTCAGCCTCTCTAGTAGCTGGGATTACAGGCACCTGCCACCACTCCTGGCTAATTTTTTGTATTTTTAGTAGAGACAGGGTTTTATCATGTTGGCCAGGCTGGTCTTGAACTCCTGACCTCAGGTGATTCACCCGCCTTGGCCTACCAAAGTGCTGGGATTCATACCATTCTTAAATAGAAAGTTATCAAAATTAGTTATATATATATATATATATATATTCCTGAACTCTCATTTTTCCCTAATCTTCAAATTTTCTTTATATTCTTTCCATCTATATTGTCCTGAAGGGCAATAAAACAAGTCTGAAAATCCTTTTTTACCCTTTTTCTGTATTTTCGTGGCTGACAGCCAGACTCTGCAGCTCTGTCACAGCTGGGCTAGATTCCTGGCAGGTGGTGATCATAAGCTGACTTGGAATTTTCCCTGAAGTGCTTGGGTTGTTAGAATGTAGGCCAAATGGACTTCACAAACCACTGTGTGGTATGCATCCAAACTCTCCATTTGATCTCACTTTGATATGAAGAATAGCTACAGAAAAACATGTACAAAAATGCTCTCCTAAGAGGCGTGTACACACAGCCAGGTCAAGCTGATACAATGCTGACAACTGTGGTTTAATATCAAAATTGCAGTATCATCCCTAGTTTAATTGTCTTGAGAGACTGAGATGTTTTTCCATGTTGTGTAATAGGGCTGATCCTAATTAAGTCACTAAACATTACTAGTCATGTCACAAGAAAATATTTATGTGGTCAAAGATTCATATTTTGTCATCATTTTCTATACTGTTATAAACTAGACTTCTTTTTAGCATATCATTTGTTGCAGTTTTTATAATACTGTTTAAAATTTATTTATAATATTGAGGGCTGGACTTGACTCAGGTCTGAATTAGAAAAACTTACCAGTTTTATAGATTTTTTTAAAGTAGTATATTTTAAAATATGTCTCTTTTAAAATTTAAATCTGTTATGTGCTCAACACTGTTCAACTGAAGAGATAAAGGCAAAAAATATCTGCCAGGGAGAACATAAGAAAAGACATAACCATTTTAGACAGAAAGAATGACATTAGATGGAAATATAAATATATACAAAGAAATGAAGAAGGCAGAAATAGTAAAAACTAGGTAAATGGGAAAGTAAACTTTTTTCTATTTTTAATAGCTTTAAAAAATATGTCACTTTCTAAAACAAAAAAGCAATGATGTATTTTGATGTTTTAACATATTGTATATTTTTATGTATAATAGTAATAGCACAAAAATGAGCAGGAGAAAATTGAAAGTATAATATTGTAAAGTTTTATACTATAAGTCTGTTGGAAAGTAGGCTATGATAAATTCAACATATATATTGTAAGCCTTAAATTGACCACTAAAACAATTTAAAAATATATATCTAAATAAGCCCATGATGGATATTAAATAAACCCATTAACAAACACCCAGTGCAAAACAAGAAAAGAAAAACAAAAAGAAAGAAAAGGTAACACAGGCCGGGCGTGGTGGCTCGCGCCTGTAATCCCAGCATCTGGGAGGCTGAGGCTGGTGGATAACCTGAAGTCGGGAGTTCGAGACCAGCCTGGCCAAACTCGTCTCTAATAAAAATACAAAAAAATTAGTCAGGCATGGTGGCAGGAGCCTGTAATCCCAGCTACTAGGGAGCCTGAGGCAGGAGAATCACTTGAACCCAGGAGACAGAGGTTGCAGTGAGCCGAGATCATGCCACTGCCCTCCAGCCTGGGTGACACAGCGAGACTCTGCCTCAAAAAGAAAAATAAATAAATAAAGAAGAAAGAAAGAAAGAGAGAAAGCGAGAGAGAGAGAAAGCAAGAGGGAAAGGAAAGAGAGAAAGTAAGAGAGAAAGAAAGAAACACAGAACAAATGAGCTAATTAGAAAAACTACAGCAAGATAGAAGGTTTATATCCAACTGTATCAGTAATTATATAGCATTAAATGTACATGATTCAAAACATCCAGTTAAAAGTCAATGTCAGATTCAGACTGCATTCGAAAGTAACACTGAACTATGTGCTGTCTACTAAAAACCCATATTATATTAAGATATAGAGAAGTTAAAGACAACAGGATTTAAAAAGGTATACCAGGCAACACTAGTCAAAGAAGGTTGGAGTAGTTATATTATCAAAGTAAAATTTATAGTAAGGAATATTACCAGAGATAAAGACAGATGATTCATAATGATAACAAAGATAGTGATTCAAGAAAAATAACAATCCTAAATGTGTATGCAGCTAACAACACTTCAAAATACATTGCAAAAAATTGATGGAACTGAAAGAAAACTAGGCAAATGGACAAATCTACTTTTATAGTTACAGACTTCAACACTGATTGCTCTATAATTAATGAAGAAAATAAGAATACAGAGGACCTATCAACCATACTCAGAACATTCGAGCAACTGTAAATTGCACATTCTTTTCAAGGGTAAATGGAGTGCTTGTCAAGATAGACCATATTCTGAGCTATGCGTCTCAACATACTTAAAGATTTTATATATATAATATATACAAAATATCTACTGTAAAGAGTATATATATAATATATAGTATAATGTAATGATACAGTAAATATATGGTATGAATTACTTATAAGACTTCTGCATGTGTATATATAGTACATACTATATATATATATATATATATATATATATATACACACACACAAGAACTATTTTCACTGAAAAAAACAGAAGCTAAAAATTAATTTTAAAAAGTTACTAGTAAATCTCCAAATATTTGCAAATTAAACAATAGCACACACTAGTGGATATAAAAATAAACCACAAAGGAAATTAGAAACTAATTTAAATAAAAAAAATTAAAATATACCATATTAAAACTTCTGAGATGCAGCTAAAGTAGTGCTTAGAAGGAAATTTATTGCAGTAATGCTTATATTAGGGGAAAAACATAATTTCAAAACAATTATCTAAGTTTCCTCAAGAAACTAGAAAGGGAAGAACAAATTACACCCAAAGTAAACAGAAAGAATAAAAGCAAATATAAGAGCAGATATCAAAGAAATTGAGACTGGAAAAAGAAATAGAGAAAAGAACTGACACCAAAAGCAAGTTGTCTGAAAAGATAGAAAATAAAATTATACTTGCAACACTCTTCCCAATAGTCAAGATTTGGAAGCAATCTAAGTGTCCATCAGCAGATGAATAGATAAAGAAAATATGTTACATATGCACAATGGAGTACTATTTAGCCATACAAAAAAAAAATGAGATTCTGTCATTTGCAACAACATGGATGAAACTGGAGGTCATCATTTTAAGTAAAATAAGCTAGGCACAAACAAACAGTTATTTGTGGGAACTAAACATCAAAACAATTGACTTCATGGAGCTTGAGTACAGAAGGATGGTTACCAAAGGGTGCTAAGTGTAGTGGGAGCAGAGGGCATGGGGAGAGGTAGGGATGGTTAATGGACACCAAAGAAAAAAAGAAAAAAATAGAAAGAATGAATAAGACCTAGTATTTGATAGCACAACAGGGGGACTATAGTCGATAATAATATAATTGTACATTTTCAAATAATTAAAAAAGTATAATTGGATTGTTTTAACACAAATGATAAATGCTTGAGGGGAAGCATACCCAATTTTCCATGATATGATTATTATGCATTACATGCCTTTACCAAAATATTTCATGTACCCCATAAATATATACACCTACTATGTACCCACAAAATTTAAAAATGTAATAAAAAATAAAATTATAAACCTCTAGTTTGATCAAGGAAAAGAAGAGAAGACACAAATTATTAATATCAGCAATGATACAGGGGAAGCCGTAATATATCCTACATACATTATAAGATGTTAAGGTCAGATTATAAAATATGCCAATAAATTCGAGAATTTGGATGAATTGGACAAATTCCTTGAAACACACATCTACCAAACTTAAGAGGTGTAGATAATTTAATAAGTCCTGTCTACTAAATGGATTGCATTTAAAGATGCCTTCTCACTAAAGAAAGAAACAAAAAACCACTTCCAGCCTACATGGACTCATTGTTGAATTTTATGACACTTTTAAGGAAATAGTAATTTCCATTCTATACAAACTTTACAGTGAATGAAAGTACATGTTTCAATAAAGCCAGTGAGGTGATTTACATGGTAACGATATTAACAGTTTGGCCAATCTGCTTATCCAACTTTATATTTTATGATAAACCAGTGCTAAACCCACCAGTTATAGGTTTTTTTTTTGCAGATTCTGTAAACCAAAACTAGACCAAAACATTGCAAGAAAACTGCAAGCCAATATCCCTCATAAAGTAGACACAAACAGCCTTAACACAGCATAATGAAATTGATCTTGATAGTATGTAAAAATGGCAATATATCATGACCCTGTTGATTGCATGACTGGAATATAAAGTGGTTCAACATTTACAAATCAATCTACTTCCACAAATCAACAAACAAACAAAAAAAGTCAAACACATGATCATCTCAATATACAGGAGAAGCATTTGAAAAAAGTTAACATCGGTTAAGAATACAAACTCTCCAGAAACTAGAAATAGGAGATATAATCAACCTGAAGAAAGGGCGTTATGAAAACTGTATTTAACATCAGACTTAATGGTTGAAAGTCTAAATACGTTCTTCCTAACATAGACAACAAGTAAAGGTATCCATTATCACCACTTTAATTCAATATCATACTGGAAATTTAGCTAGTATAAGAAGGCAAAAAGAAGAAAATGGCGTACAGATTGAAAAGAAAGAAATAAAACTATTTGCAGCAACATCATTACTCATGTAGAAAATCCTACTATAACTCGTGCGTTTAGCACTAGTTTATGACAAATTATAAGGTCAAGTAAGTAGGTTGGTCAAACTGTTATCGTACTAACCATGTTTATGAAAAAGAAGCACTTTTAAATAGGTAAATTTGATGTTGACAGTAAACATATTTCCATTTCATTGTGAATGTAAGGAATGCCCGATGTTTAAAATTAATTTTAATGTGTTTATTGTTGACATAAAGTGCCAAACAGTAGGTTAGAAATTACTTTTTTGTCATTACTTTTAATGGCAAAAACAGCAGTTACTTTGCACCAACCTAATAACTGTGCATTTGTACACACATATATAGTGATATACATCCTAGAATGTAGCATGCATTTGTATCTCAGGAAGCATCAATAAATGATGACTGGATGGATAAAGGAATGCATGATTGTAATTGCTCAATGTTAACCAATACACCATTGAAATAGCAATGTATCATAATTAGAGTGTGAGAGCATTATGGTTAAACTGGAATACAAGAGTATAATATAATGATTATAATTTACAATATGAGTTTTAAAACTAATTACTGTTTTTTCCTTAAGAAAATTCACTTCCAATTCTCTGACAAAACGTGTGCCTGCTCTTTTCCCTGCCCACAATCTAACGTTTTAAGTTCCTTTAAAGTTGTTGAGGTCTGTGAGATGCTTTTCCAGCAAGTCAATGTTAGAATAAATCGAAGTTAGGTTTTGAGAGTTCTCTTAGTATCAGGTACCATCAAAGCTGTTTGACAGCTGGGGAGTAATCTTCCTTTGAGAAGTGCATTGGATTATTTTAAATTTAACTTCAGCCACAGTTTCATTAAGTTCCTCTTCAGCAGTTTCTGGTAAATTGTCTTGAAAATTAGCAAACATTTCAATAATGCAGTCTGGGAAATTCAATGCGTAATTCTTAGCATATTTTATTGCAATAATAAGGTATTGACAATTTTGCTTTTGCTTAGCCATTATGCTCTTTGTTGGTTTTGATTGAGCATTGACAGTCTTGATTGCAGGTCAGTGCAGTAAGTCCCAGCAGCATCGGACTGAATGACTTGAAAAATTGTCCCACTGGAAATCAGAAGAGAAGCCTTTGTAGAAACTGATTAAAGTCGTATAAAAGGAAACTCTAAGTGTATTAAGCAAATTTTATTGAAAGCATAAATACAAAAGTGTGTACACAAATCATGCATGCATAATTTTATGATGTTTTACCAAGTAAATAAACCTATGTAATCAAGTGGTTCAAGAAATAGAAAACTGCTACTGTCGAGAAACCTCCTTCATGACCTTTTCAAGTCATTACCCCCATTTAAATGGAGCTGCTGTTCTGATTTATATCAAAATACATTTGCTTTGCCTACTTTGGAGATTTCTGTAAAAGGAAACAAAAAATAAGTGCCCTTTTGCTGGTTTCTTTCAGTCAACATTGTGCTATTGTGCTTAGTAGCAGTTTATTTATTTTTCATTGCCGTGTAGTATTTAGATGCATATATCATGGCTTATTTAACCATTCCACAGTTAATGGGCATATAGGTTGTTTCCAGTTTGGGAAAATTATAAATATTGGTACCAATTTTTTCATACTGATTTTTTTTCGCAGCTCATATTAGTCATTTCTTTGGGAGTAGAAATATTTCAGAATAGGTAATTTGTACATTCAGCTTTATAAGATTCTCCAATACAATATTCCAATATGAAAGTTCCAGTCATCTCACAGCTTTACTGAGTTGTTATTTTCATATTTTTTATTATTGCCATTTGTGTGAATGTGCCATTATACTATATTGTGGTTTAACTTTCATGTTTTTAATTTTTATATCCCTTTTTCAGAGTGTTTGTACATTTTTTAAGATTAGATTGAGTGATATGTAGTAGTTATTTTTATGTTCTGAATCCGTGCTGTTCAGTATGGTAGAAACTAATGATATGTGACTGTTAAGCAATTTAAATGTGGCAGGTCAATATGGAGATGTGACTCATATTTCTATAGGTCAGTGCTGTTATTGACAAAAATTCTATGTCAGGTACATATTCCATAGACATTTTCTCCAACGGCGTTGGCTTCATTTTTATTATCTCATTTTTTTAATCAATAATGATCTTTGTTTTTAATGAAGTCCAATGTTTCATTCTTTTCCTTTGTGATTATTGCTTTTTTGTGCTGTGTAAAACAACTATTGTCTTCCCTAAGAACATAAAAAAATTTTAGTATCCTGAGACTTCACTGAAGTTGCTTATCCACTTAAGGAGATTTTGGGCTGAGTTGATGGGGTTTTCTAAATATACAATCATGTAATCTGCAAACAGATTACAAGCATTCCTATATACCAGTAACAGACAAACAGCCAAACGATGAGTGAATTCCCATTCACAATTGCTACTAAAACTATAAAATACCTAGGAATACAACTTACAAGAGATGTGAAGGACCTCTTCAAGGAGAACTATAAACCACTCCTCAAGGAAATAAGAGAGGACACAAACAAATGGAAAAACTTTCCATGCTCGTGGATAGGAAGAATCAATATCATGAAAATGGCCATACTGCCCAAAGTAATTTATAGACTCAGTGCTATCCCTATCAAGCTACCACAGACTTTTTTCAAAGAATTGGAAAAAAAACTACTTTAAACTTCATATGGAACCAAAAAAGAGTCCGCATAGCCAAGACAATCCTAAGCAAAAAGAACAAAGCTGGAGGCATCACACTACCTGGCTTCAAACTACACTACAAGGCTACAGTAACCAAAGAAGCATGGTACTGGTACCAAAACAGATATACAGGCCAATGGAACAGAACAGAGCCCTCAGAAGTAACACCACACATCTACAACATTTGATCTTTGACAAACCTGACAAAAACAAGCAATGGGGAAAAGATTCCCTATTTAATAAATGGTGTTGGGAAAACTGGCTAGCCCATGTGCAGAAAACTGAAACCAGACATCTTCCTTACACCTTATACAAAAATCAACTCAAGATGGATTAAAGACTTAAACATAAGACCTAAAACCATAAAAATCCTAGAAGAAAACCTGGGCAATACCATTCAGGACATTGGCATGGGCAAAGACTTCATGTCTAAAACACCAAAAGCAATACAACAAAAGCCAAAATTGACAAATGGGATCTAATTAAACTAAAGAGCTTCTGCACAGCAAAAGAAACTATCATCAGAGTGAACAGGCAACCTACAGAATGGGAGAAAGTTTTTGTAATCTATCCATCGGACAAATGGCTAATATCCAGAATCTACAAAGAACTTAAACAAATTTACAAGAAAAAACAAACAAACCTATCAAAAAATGGGCAAAGGATATGAACAGACACTTCTTGAAAGAAGATATGTAAGCAGCCAACAAACATATGAAAAAATACTCATCGTCACTGGCCATTAGGGAAATGCAAATCAAAACCACAAGGAGATATCATCTCATGCAATATTTGGCTGATCTTGTTTCTCAGCATTGTAACCAGCATTTAGCATCATTATTTTTAAATTTCAGCCATTTTGATGTGTGTATAGTGATATTTCTTTGTGTTTTAATTTGCATTTCCTTAATCAAGAATAATGTCAAACGTCTTTTCATGTGCTTCCTTGCTGTATGAATATCTTTTGTGATGTGCCCATTTATGTTTTTTATTTTGATTTTCTCATGTTGAGTTTTGAGAGATATTTATGTTATCTATCTACTCTATCTACTCTGTCTGTCTATCTATCTATCTATCTATCTATCTATCTACCTACCTACCTACCTACATATCTATCTATCTTTATACAGAGGTTTATTATAAGGAAGGGGGTCACATAATTATGGAAGTTTACATGTACTAAGATCTGCAAAGTAAATTGGTAAGCGGAGATCCAGGAGAGCCAATGATACAATTCCAGTCTGAAGGCTGTTGGGTGCAGGACCAAGAAAGAGCTGATGTTTTAGTTCAAGTCTGAATGTGGGAAGAAGAAAACAAACAGAAAAAATGGATGTCCCTATAGGAAAGCCGTCAGACAAAAGGAATTATCTCTTACTCAGGGGAAGAAAAAGCTTTTTATTCTATTTAGGCTTTCAACTCATTGAATTAGGTCATCAGGGAGGAAAATCTGCTTTACTCAGTCTACCAATTTTAATGTTAACCTCATTACTAAACACTCTCACAAACATACTCAGAAAAATATTTAATCAAATATCTGGGCACCCTGTGGCCCAGTTAAGTTGACACAAAATTAGCCATTACATTTTTTCTTTTCTGAAGGACAGTTAAATCCCAGTCTACAATTTACTTATCCCAGTCTGCAATTTACTCTTTTATTCTCTGAATAATTTTGAACAGATCAAATTTTTTAAAAAATATGATAGAATACAGTTTATCAATGATTTCCTATTATGGATCATGTTTTTGGTGTCAGGCTGAGAACTTTTTGCTTAGCCCTATATTCTGAAGATTTATTCCTAGTTTTTCTAAAAGTTTTAGTTTTGCATTTACATTCAAATCTGTGATTTATTTAATTTTTAGTTAATTTTTGTATAAGGTTTGAGATCTAGGTTGAGGTTTTTTTTTCCTTCCTTATTTCCTTCCTTCCTTCTTTCCTTCCTTCCTTCCTTCTTTCCTCCCTTCCTTTTATTTTTTTCTTTTCTATTTTTTTCTTTTCTTTTTTTTTTTTTTTTTTTTTTTGAGACAGAGTCTCACTCTGTTGCCCAGGCTGGAGTGCAGTGGCGCAATCTCGGCTCACTGCAAGCTTCACCTCCCAGGTTCACTCCATTCTCCTGCCTCAGCCTCCTGAGTAGCTGGGACTACAAGCACCTGCCACCATGCCCGGCTAATTTTTTGTATTTTTAGTAGAGACAGGGTTTCACCGTGTTAGCCAGGATGGTCTCAATCTCCTGACCTCATGATCCACCCACCTTGGCCTCCCAAAGTGCTGGGATTACAGGCGTGAGCCACTGCTCCCACCCTCTTTTCTTTTCTTTTTTCTTTTCTTTTCTCTTTTCTTTTTTTCTCTCTCTCTTTCTTTATTTGTTTCTTTTTATCTATCTATGTCCAATTGCTATAATACCTTCTTTTTGTATTGGAATACTTTTGAATTTTGTCAAAAATCAGTTGAGAATATTTATATGGTCTATTTTCATATTTTTATTCTGTTCCATTGATCTGTGTGTTTAATCCGATACTAATACCATACAATCTTAATTAGTATAGATAGAATAACTTTAGCTGATGCCTCCCAGCTTATTCTTCTATGTCAAAATCATTATAGCTATTACAGTTTCTCAGACATCCTTAAGAAATTTTAGAGTAATCTTGACTGTATCTATAAAAATTATCCTTCTGAGATTTTGATAGAAATTGTGTTAAGCTTGTGTATCAATTTAGGGAGAATTGACATTTTACTGTGCAGAATCTTCTAATCCATGAACATAGTCTGTCTTTATTTATTTAAATATTTGATTTGCATACATTTTAAGTGAGTCATTTTCAGCATACAAGTCCTACACATTTTGTTAGATTTGCACCTAAAGTCATTTTTGGGCAACTGTAATTGCTATTATTTTTTAATTTCAGTTTTTACATGCTACTATACAAAAATACAATTGATTTTTGCATGATTTTGTATTCTGCAACTTTGTTAAACTCACTTATTGTTCTGAGATTTGTATAGGTAAACAGGTTCACGGGAGTTTGTTGTACAGATAACTTTGTCACCCAGATACTAAGCACATGTACTGTACTTAAGTATCCATGTTGAAACCTGGATATTTTGGATCTTACATTATGAGACTCTGAAAGTAATTTAAAACTTCTGTTTCACTGGCACCACCCAAGCAGGGGAAGGGTATTGCAATTTATTTCCTGGGGTTTGATGTCCAGATTCTCAATTTGACCTGTTAACACCCAAGGGTGTGTGCTCCTTATTATTGTTGGGTAGGTATAGAAATCGGGGTTCTCAACTAGATCGCCAGTCATACCTCTCTGCCTGAATTGGTTTTAGTGCCTCATTATTGCTCCCCACTGGTTTTCCAGTGGCACACAGGGGTCTGGTTTCTTTATTGCTGAGCTTAAAGTCCTGACTCTCTCCTAGGCCTCTGTTGACACTATTTCAGCAGGAAGGTAAAGAAGCTCCTCATTACTACTGGGGATGCAAGTCCACGTTCTCACTAAGCTAAATTCACTTATTAGTTATAATATTTTGTTATTTTTATTGTTTCTATATAAATATGATGTCATCTACAGATAAAAACATTTTCCATTTTCCTACAGTCTTTATGCTTTTATTAGCTTTTCATTCTTTATTAAAATGATATAATGTTGAGCAGTAGCATAAGGTAGTGTAAGGAGTAGACACTGTCTTTTATTCATAGTGTTAAATCAGTAAATATACTATTAGCTGTATTTTTTTCATATCAGAATGAAGTGGCTCCATTTTATACATGGTTTTCTGAGTGGTTTTATCATAAATAGGTGTTGCCAAATGCTATTACTCCATCTATTAATTGAATCATTTGCTAATTTCCCTTTATTTTGTTAATATGACAAAATTAGATTCATTCATATTTTCCACTGTTAACTCAAACATATCCTTTTTAATATTTTGCTGAATCTAGTTTACTAATGTTTTTATATAAGATTTTTACAGCATATATACATGAGCTCTAACATTTATTTTTTAAAATGTCTTTTTCATATTTTGATATTATAGTAATGTTGGTCTCAAATAAACAGGCAGTTTTCTTTATCTGTTTTCCAAAAGACAGGCATATTTTGAGTGATTGGTATAATTTCTTTATAAGACTTCTGAATTTACTAGTGAAAGTATCTGTTTTTAGAAATGTATCTGCAGAAGGATTTATAATATTAAAATTTTATCAATCGATATACATTGACTTTTCATATTCTGTATTTAATCTTGCACCAGGTTTTGGTTTTTTTTTTTGTCAATAATTTTTTCAACTTCATCTAAGTTGTTGAATTTACTGTTGTAATTTTTTCTTAATATGCCTAAACAAAATGGTTACTATCTGTAGGGTTTGTACTGCTTTGATTATTGATATTAGTATTTTCTATTTTTCTTGATCAATATAAGTGTATATTTATTAATTTTATTATTGTTTTTCTATTAAAATATATGGGCTAATGTTCTGATTAAACTCTTAGCAAGTAAATTCAGTGGTCTTATTAGAATAAAACTAAGTATTCTAAGAAATGACTGGGCTGACAGTAGTGTAAATGCATTTTTTGTGTCATATCAGTATATATTACTCATAGATACAATAGCCAGTTAGAATTCAAGAAAATTGTTCAGTTGAGGACATTGTATTTTTCAATAATGTTTCTATTCAGTTCCTTGCTGAGGCATGAAATATCTTTAAGAACCTTTCACTAAGGTTCTTCTCCTTCACCTGGCTTCCCTCTGGGAATCTTTTTCGTAGCATGTTTCCTGACCCAGTCATTCTCTTCCTTTACTCCATTATCATATCTACTCTTTTTTTTCTGTCTGTATCTGTACATATGGACACCAACACATTAAAAATAGAGTTGTACAAAGATCTATGCCTCTCATGGTGCAAGTGTTGCCAAAAGACAATATTCAAAGAGCAAATGAAAGTATGGTATCTAGTTGTAGAAGAAAATTAAAAGATTAAAAAAATGAATGCCATTTTAGTATTCTGTTACCACATCTTTACATATCAATATAAATTCTAGGGTCATAGATAGGAAAGTAATTGTGATTCCAAAGATTGTCATTAGTAAAACTATAAATAGCATTGCTAATAATTAATAGTGATCATTTGATGAATCCATGGTTTGAAATGGGCTTTGACACTTTACTGGATAACGTATACACTGTAAGGAGCTTAAAAATAAGACAATTTCCTACTACATAGTAAAAGTAAATGAATAAGAAAAGAATTGGCATCTGTAACCTTATTTATCCTTACCATTTTTAGTTCAATGTCAGGATAATTTATTTTGTGTATGTGACACAATAGTAGGTGCAAATGACTGCATATGTAAATGATTTGAAGGTAAATATTTCAAATATGGATATACCAGAAGAAAAATGAAAATCCAGTACAATTTCAGTCATTGTTAAATAGGGTCATGATTTCCAGACTTCTCTTCTGTGGACTATTCTTTTACCTGGCTCCTCTGTCCTTCTTTCATTTATGTAGCCCCTTCTCATCCTTTGTAATCTGCAGTGAGTCTCACCTTTTCCTGGATTGCCTAGTGAATATTGACCTTGTCTCACACTAGTGACTGCTGCTTTGTTTCATTTTTCTGCCACAATATTATGAATCCATCATAATTAACAAGATTTTAAGCTTCTCAAAGGAACAGTGAAATGGGACTAACATTTTTAATGAATATCTCTGTGTTAGGACACTTCTGTAAATTACTTTATTCAGTCGTATCATTACAACTATGGGAGGTGGTTTAAAAATGAATGGAAACTTATGAGTGTCTCCAGGATAAAAAACTATAAGTGCATTGCAAGATGCAGTAAGTCTATTACTCTCTAGAGAAGCAATATGACATAGGGGTTCAAAGTAAGAACTTTGGAACTAGAAGGAACTGAGTCTTGCTTTTATTGGTTATAAGTTATGTTACTATGGGAAGCATTTAAATTCTATGAAACTCTTTTTTATCTATCTTTCAAAAGAGAATAATATTAATATTTACCTGGTAGGGTCCCTTCAGGGATTAAAAGACATATGAATGCAGAATTCCCATTTAGGTATTCAGTAAATGCTAATTACTCTTTCTATTATTAATATCTTTTTTCTCAGCCTCCAAACTATTTTTTGAAGCAGGCATCATGCCAAATAATGTTATATTTCTTATCATCTAGAGACATGCTGAGCTCAGAGTAGATGCTCAATACCTCTCTCATTCACTGATAGTAGTAATATTACATCTCCTTTGACTTAAATAAGTTCTGCTCTGAAATTTCTATTTTAGTCTATTATCTGTGAAATGGATCAGAATAATCAGTGTCCCAAACTTATCTGAGTAGAATCATTAGCACTTGTAGTGGTTTATTATTCTTGTTACCCTTATCAATTTAAGCAGTTAAGGATCCAGATGTCATCAATAGAAAAGCCACTGAAGCTCACCCTGACCCTGCTGTTCATGTGCATTCTTTATGTTTTTACTAATACCCATCTCAACTGCCTTGGAACTCTAGGAATCATTTTGGTCATGTTGAATGTTAATAATTTTAAGAGATTGCTTTGGAAAAAAATGCACCAAATTACTTTGACCCATAGTGTTTCTAATATGTCCACAGAACAACCATGAATATATATGTAATATATACCATGAATAATACTATAAATGTAGTACTATTTTGGTGCCTGGGAGTACACAGTGAGCATTACACATGATTTCTTACTTCAGTACCCTTGACTTCAAATTGACGGATGAAGCAGTCAAACATGCAATCACCATATGGGTGCTAAATATAAGAATGTCAGAAAAGAAAAGTCAATTCAAAACTCTGCTGGTACAGTGAAGAAGGAGGTATTTTTTAAATAAATGTTTTACAAACTGAGATTTTTTTTAAAAAAAATTCAATGATCACTTTTTAACCTTTGGTATTATCTGTGAACATTTAACACTGAAATCACTCATACCTGTCAGAAGATTTGGAAGTTTATTACATTTTGTCTTATAACCCTATTTTATATTACATAGAAAAAATAAGTATTACACTGACTGCCACTTTTAATCACAAAAATTATAATTTTCCCTGTTTTCTTGTAATCCATATCCATATTCACATATCATGTTTAAAAATTGGTAAGCATAAGATAGTATTGGCTACTCTGCTTTTAGGAATCTCGGAGTTCTTGTCTTCTTTACACATTCCAACAGACATAATCAATCAAAGTCTCTATTGACCAAAGTGCAAGGAGGCCAATTCTTCAGTGTATTATTCAATGACAAAAAGATACATTGTTTATAAATGGGAAGTGTCATTCTTTGTCAGCCATCTAGATACTTATAATTTTATTCTTTTGGTTTTTTTTTTCATTTTCATCTTTTTTCCCTATTTTACTTTCTCTGTTTATTCACTCATTTACTTATTCATAATGTTTTTTAAGTACATGTTTCACACCAAATGAAGATACAGAATAAGACAATATAAGTAGTATTTTTAGCCATGAACCATACTGTCTTAAGTTTGTTTAATATATCTGCTGACTCAGCATTCATCCTAAGGCTTGGCATAAGTTATTTTAAACCCAGTTGTACCCCATCACCTTTGGCTTAGTTAAAATTTCCCCTCCCTATATGATACAGCTCACTTGTTTCTCATCCCACTGACCCAAATCCAAACACACAGATGTTGACCACAATAAAATCTAACGGTCAACATGAGAGTCATGTAAGTAACTTTTCCCTTCTCAAGTGTTTATTTTATTTTATTTATGTATGTATAGTAATTAAATCAGTGTAATTTCCATATTCTTTATCTCAAGATTTTTATATTCATAATTATCATATTCATAATTTATGATTTATTTGTGTTTGAAACATTCAATATCCTCCTTTGAGCTATTTGAAGCTATATATTATTGTTTACTATAGGCATCCTATATTTCTATACAACACTAGAACTTATTCTTCCTATTTAGCTATAATTTTGTATTCTTTAACAAATCTCTCCCTCTCCCCTCTTTCCCCTACCCATCGCGGCCTCTAGTATAGTATCCTTTCGTCTGCTTTTTCTTCTATGAGATGAACTGTTTTTTTTAGCTTCTAGGTATGAGTGACAAAATGCAGTGTTTAACTTGCTGTTCCTGGCTTATTTCACTTAAATTAATGTCATTCAGTTTCATCCATGCTGCCATGAATGACAGAATTTTATTCTTTTATATGGCTGAATAGTATTCCATTGTATTTATGTACCACATTTTTTTTCAAATCCCTTCATCTGTTATTGAGCACTTGAGTTGATGCCGTATCTTGCCTACTGTGAATGGTGCTGCAATAAACATGGTGATGCAGATGTTTCTTCAATATACTGATTCCTTTCCCTTGGATAAATACCCAGTGATGAGATTGCTGGATCATAGTATACTTCTATTTGTAGTTTTTTTGATGAACTTCCATAGCTTAAAGTGGCTTTACTAGTTTACATTCCCACTACCAGTATATAAGAGCTCTTTTTTCTCCACATCCATGATAGCACTTGTTATTTCTTTTTTGTTCTTTTCATAATAACCATCTTTACTGGAATGAGCTGATACCTCTTTGTGGTTTTAATTTATATTTCCCTGATACAAAAATCAACTAAAAGTATATTAAAGACCTAAATATAGGACATGAAACTTTTAAACTACTAGGAGAAAACAGGAGAAATACTTTGAGATATTTGTCTTGAAAAAGATTTATGAATAAGACCTGAAAACACAGGCAACAAAAGCAAAAATGAACCAATGGGATTATGTCAAGATAAACAGCTTCAGCACAGCACAGGAAATAGTCAACAGAGTGGAGAAACAACCTACGGAATTGGAGAAAACATTTGCAAACTATTGATCTGACAAGGGATTAATATCCAAAATATACAATGAATGCAACTATCGCAACAGAAAAAAATAATAATTAAACAATCTGAAAAAATGGGCAAATGATCTTAACAAACATTTCTCAAAGTAAGACGTACAATAAATACATGAAAACATGTTTAACATCACTAATCATCAGGGAAATGCAAATTAAGTGCTTTCTTTAAACTAGCCCATCTTAAGCTTCAGGATTAATGCCCATGGCCCAGGATAAAGGCATAGTACCCTCTTTCTTTCTTGTCACCCTCTGGGTGAGCATTATTCCACCTTTGGACTTTCTGTCATCCTTGTGTAAGTATCCCTAACCTCTCTGGATCTGTGAGTAATACGTTTCTTCTGTTTCATGATTTCAGGTTTCACTTCATTGTGTTCCAACTGACAAACACACTTGATCATTACTTTCTCCCAGACAGGGGTCCCCTAGAGAGTGGCTATACTGGCTTATGGCTACTCACAACAGAAAGTTCTCAAGACCAAATTAGGAGAAATCATAACAAATTAAATTCAAACACATACATTTCACAGGGGGATAAAATACACAAGTGGATACTAAACAAAAAAAAATGTCAGATGTCAACCATAAATAAAGATAAATGAAGGTCAATAGATAGAAAGTACAGGAAATATTTTAGGTAGGGTAGTAGGTAAAATATTAGCTACAGGAAGACCTTTCTAAGATGAGAATAATCCTGTGATTATCAAGCTGAGGAAAGAGTAGAACAAAAACTCTGGGGCAGAAGCATGCAGGGAGGCCAGTGTGACTGGAAAGAGCAGGCGTGGAGGTCAGAGACATAGCTGGAGTCAGATCAGGCAGGATCTTTTATTTAATGGGAAGAGTTGGGTTCTATTTGAAGTGCACTGGGAGACACCAGAGAGTTTTGAATGGAAAAGTGACATAATCTGACCCAAATTTTAAAGAGTATCAGTCCTGCTGTTGTATAAAGATTGTAGATGGTTTGAAGGCACAAATGGAATCACAGAGGAAAGACTGAGACCCTGATAGGATGCAAGAAGATTTCCTAGTGGTTTAGATAGAGTAGGAGTTTTGGACATGTGATCCAACTCTAGATGTACTTTGACAGTAGGGCTCATCATTTTCAAGGCCATAGAAAAGCATGGTTGTAAAGATCTTATTTCATCTAGGCAAAAACAACTCTCCTAACATTGCATTTGAATTAGTTGTGTTACCTAGAGTGAGAGACCATTCAGAGGTGTGTAGCCAAAGGCTTGTAGTTGCTTTCCCATGCAGCATTCCTTGGAACAATAGAGAAAATACTTCATGAATAAAGGTCATGTTCAAAAAAATGTTTAAAATGCAGAAAATCCCCTTTGTGATTGTTAAATCTCTGAGATACTGTAACACAAAATAAGCTCTTTTTTATTTAGTATCTTCTAACATGATTTAACTTGGGAAATATATTGTGGCTTAGCACGTTGGTAAATGGTTCCCTAAAGTTTTAAATAGTATGCCTTTACTTGGTAAAGTCTGCAAAATCTGACTTCTTCAGAACCTACAAGAATAGCGATCAGTTCATCAAAAATAGAAATATTTAAGCCTGTTAGTTCTAGAAACATTCTCTTCAAACAAATACAGTTTTACATTCTTGAACACTTTTAATGACTTTAGAACAATTTTTCTTGATGCTAGGTAACCATAATTGTTATATTAATTTGAAACATATGATATTGCTATTTTAATAGGTTGAAAATACTCTAATATTTGCAATTTTATATGTTTCAAGTTAGCAATTTTTAAGACTCACAGCAACTTCAAGGTTCAACATTTTGGAAGTACTTTCTATTTTCTAGTCACTGTGCTTAGTGATTTATATACATATAACCTAGTTAATACTCAAAATGACTTTGTCAGGAAAGAATTGTGAGAAATTTTGATACGAGCAAAAGAAGATGGTTGACTGACTAAGCAAGGTCATTCATTAGGTTTGTCTCTACCTTTCATTTTTTGACAATTTTATAAGTTTTAAAAAATAAATAATAATGAAAATCACTCTTGCCCATAGATATGCAAAGTAGCCATATCTAGTAGAATGTAATTAGCAATTGCATAGACACATTTTCATCTATTTACAAATGTGTCTGATGTGTCTGTATATCTGGTTTTTGAATTTTTCTTTGACATAGTTATAACATCTAAACTGTTCTTTCATTAACAAGGAGTTAAATAAAATATTTAACATATTTTTACTTTATATATCTATATGAGTAATGATTATAACTATTTTAAAATACTTTCCTTTTACTATCCTTTGAAATAGATATTATTACCCCATTTTATCAATGAGGACACTGAGACTCAGAAATATTTTTTAATTTGCTAAAAACATGTTAGTAAGCGGTAGATCCAGGATTTCAGCTTTTTCCTGAAAAATGTCACAAATTGCACCATTAACTACCATGATAAAAAGCCAATATTCCATTTCATTACTTTAATAATGAATAAAACCAACTATGTATATTGATATTGAAGGGAAGTCTCTAATCATTAAACAACCATATTTCTTCATATTTTATTTTTTGAGAAAGAATAGAGTGGAAGAAGAGTGGCAAGGAGCAATATGTTCTCATCTTATCAGTGAGACTGCAGTAGTTGTGGTCGGTCCCCCACTGTCTCACCCCTAAATAAATTTTCCCACTAGTTTTTCTCATTTCTATTCATTAATGCTCACATAGAGAGTTTCAATTCCCTGTCTTTGGTTCAGCAGGCTTGCAAATACTCAGGACTGTTCCAGAGCAGGTGGTCTACAGGTGAATTCATCATGGAGTCCACACCATCCTCAGAGTCCCTACCACTCTGGTTTCTGTTTCTTTGAATTAAGAGGTTTTTCTTCCCACTTGGATTTTTCCTTGTGCTTCCACATTCTGCAATGGCCTGTTGAAATTTCCTCCCTGCATTTCAGTACAAACTTAAGAGGGCAGTGATTTTTATTTGCTTTCTTTATGGCTTTATCCTTTAGGTTTTAAAAAAGTTCCAGGTATATAGTAGATGCAAAAAACTATAGTTGAATTAATAAATGAGTTATCTTTTCTTCCATTCTTCTGGGCCCTGCCTTATCTAGGGTCTTGTAGGTGGAATACAAGATTGTCGGGTAATAGGCACTGGAAGTATGTCTCCCATAAAAGAAGCTTCCTCTAGTGAACAAACTGACTTTTTCCTTAACCTTTTATTTTTTGCTTTCATGTGGACTTAGGGTAGAGGGTCAATGCCCCTCATGGTAAAATTATAATAGAAAAAGAATTTGGGAAATAGAAAGAGACTGTCATTGCTACTTGTAGATAAAACCTTGACACATATTTATTCCTCTATTCGTATCATATATATTAAGAACTAAAACTGCAGGGCAGGGAGTTGTACGAAGAAACTAGACCAAGAAGGAACTCCCGTCCTCCAGGTATAAGTGAAATTATAAATTTAATAATACCTAATACTAATCTCATAATTACCTATTCCTGAAGGTTTGCTGTATGCATTGAAGCTACATTAAGTATAATAAATATATAATTTCTCATATTTTAACTGCCTTTAAGCATAATTGATATTATTTCTATACTATGGATGAAGAAACCGAGGAACAGAAAGAGATATGTCAGAAATTACAAAAGTAAGTTACAGAGCTGAAATTTGAACTCAAGTTTTCCTGGTTTCAGTTTTTGTATTTTTCATTTATAAGATTCTCAAATTTTGCATAGTTTGGTACCTAATGAATATTTGTAATACATTCCTAGGAAAATTATATAGCTATATTACAGTTTTAAAATTAGAAATGAAATACATTATTAATAAAATTATTGTTATTACCATTAGTTTTGTAAGTGACTGGTGAGAGATTATTTGTAGTGTATCTCCAAAGAATGTTTCAGTCTCAGTAATGGTTAACTTGAACTGTAGGTCAGTTTTACAACTAATTGACTTCTATTACTACATTTTGTTTCTACTAAATTAGAAAACCCCCACTCACATTATTCATTATCATGTAGCAATTATCTGAAAACTCTTTAAATAGCTCTAGTATTCAAATAAGAGAATTAGCCAGAAATTATGGAGAGTTGTCTCATGGGACTTCTTTCATCAATTCATCAAATGAAAGTCAAACAAGTATATCACGCTCCAAAGCTAAAGAGTTGAATTTACAACTGAGGAGCTAGGTGTGAATTGCTCCTAATCCAATCTTTGATGGCAGTAAGGTCGTAAGTATTTCTACATGTTTTGTAATAGCAGTGGGATGTGTTTTATAAATATGCCCTAGAGTTGTACTTCATTGATTTTTTTTTCTTAACAAGTAGAGGAAATTATTTATGGGAATTTTGTCTCATGGTTTGGTGGTGTTTCAAAAATCCTGGTACTTCATTCAAAGCATTAAACCTTGTGGTATTTTAGTGCTGAGGAAGCATATTTAGAGCACTTAAGATTCTGAGTATATCACTTAGATATTCCACTTGAACAAGCACTTGAAATTATAGATGTGTGTTTAAAACAATGTTTTTTAAATCTCATTTCACATTTCATAAAGTCATATGAGCACCTTTCCCGTTGGCAGCCGGCATGTCGTGTTACAAAAAAAAGGTCATGTACTCAGTGAGCATGGTCAGGTCATTTTTATTATTTCCTTCAATACTGAATCGGCTTATGTGGGACATTGTTGACAATGAACAAATCAAATGGGTGTTGGGCTACACAAGTAGCTTCCCTTATTTGTGTATGAACATGATTCCTTGCTCCTATATAATGGATACTCCCTCAGAACCAAACTAATTCCATTTTTTTCAGCCTCAGTTGTATCTCATAAAATTAAGTCAACAAGGATACATGAAGGATACATGAAGGATACACATGCCCACATCTATTCACGTGATGCACATTAGTCATTCCTTACTTTTGAAGAGACACTGCTTTCTCATGTTATATGACATTGATATTGTATGACTATCCAACTCTGTTATATGATGAAGGAAAGTTGCCAGTGGCTCATCCTGCCTTCTTTCCATGGATAATATTTGATAAATACTTTCAGATTTATTTTACATGTTTCTTCACAATAGTGTGAATCATCCTTGTCTTTGCCACAAGGAGTATGACTTTGAATGATGTCTGGGTATTTTCCTTCTCTTCTCTACTTTTAATGCCATAGAGTACTGTTATCCAGGCATGCTGTTGAATGCTGAGGATATGTTAGTAAACGAGGTAAAAATGTTCCCTGTGCAGCCAATTCATCAGCCAATTTGTCAGCATTTCAGGTTGGTACTCTCTCTGAAATAAACAGATTTGTTGATTTTTCTCCATTTGTATCATTACCACCATAGGTCATTTGGACTGTGGTAAAACCTCCAAATTACTCTCCTTGCTTTTACTTTTACTCTAATATTCTACTCTAACAGAACAGACTAAATAATCTTTTAGAAGTATAAATTAGACTGTTTCCTCCCTATTTGTAACTCTGTAATAGCTTCCCATTTTGATTCAACTTAAATTTAAAAACTTTTCAGTGGAATTCGAGGCAATATGTATCGATAAGTCCTCACTTAATGCCATTGATAGGTTCTTTGAAACTGCTGCTTTACATGAAATGACATACAGCAAGTCCTCAAATAACATTTTGTTAAATGTCCTTTTGCTGTGAGGGAAAAAAATCATTTTGTTATACATTGTTTCACTTAAAGTTACAGTTTCCAAGAACCCATCAATGATGTTAAGAAAGGACTTACTGTACTCAGTTTCCTATCTATCTGACCTCATTTCCTATACATCTTTATTTACAGTGAAATAGATACACCCACTTTCTCATTCCATGTCAAGGCCTTTGCTCTTGCCTTTTCTTCTGTCTGGAATGTTCTTCTCTGCCTATTTCCACATTGCTCTCTTTTTTGTCGTTCTCCAGATGTCAATTCAACTGCAATTTCTGCATTGAGTGCCTCCCTGACAATTCTTGTTTATTTTCTTTTTTTAAAAACAGATACAGGGGTCTCACTTTGCTGCTTAGGCTGGTCTTGAACACATGGGCTCAAGTGATTCTCCTGCCTTGGCCTCCCAAAGTGCTGGGATTACAGGCGTGACCCTGTCCAGCCCCTGGCAATTCTTTTAGATGGGAGCATGGTCTATTTAATAGTGCTTGACACATATTAGATGCTCAATAAGTAAATATAAATAATAAATGAAGTAACAAAAATAATGTTGAATTATGGTAAGAAAGAAACAAACAGAAAACCTGGAAGAAGGAAATCACTTTAGTTAAGGTAGTTAGCCCAAGCTTTTAGGAGATTACAGCCCTGACAATTCTTTTAGATGGGAACATGGTCTATTTGACAGTGCTTGGCACATACTAGATACTCAATAATGAAATATAAATAATAAATGAAGTAACAAAAATAATGTTGAATTATGATAAGAAAGAAACAAATAGAAAAACTGGAAGAAGGAAATTACTTTAATTAAGGTAGTTAGTCTAAGCTTTTAGGAGATTTGGTAGTTGAGTTCAAATTTCAGCTAAGACTCGAAAGATGAGAAAGAACCAGGGAAGAATATTCCAGGCAAGGCACACAGCAAATGCCAAGGCCCTGATTTTGAAAATTATTTGTTTGACACTGAGAATACTCAGTGGTCCAAGGTGGCCGAATAGCAGAGAGTGGGGAAGGCAGCAGTGAGGAATGAAATTGGAGAAGTGTGTAGAGTCTGCTAGATACGTACAGACCATGGTAAGATGTTAAATTTTATTCCAGCTGCAATGAGAAAGTAAATTAAAGGTTTATGGGCATAGGAGTAACACGATCTGATTAACAAAAAGAAAAGATTACTCTGTTTGCTCGGTAAAAAATTGATTATACAGAGCAAGAGAAAAAGAAAAGATTCCAGTTAGGATATTATAAAGTAAATCAATTAGGAATATTAGTAGCTTGTTTTTTCTATTCACACTTTTTTCACTGC
This sequence comes from Homo sapiens, assembly GCF_000001405.40. Taxonomy (NCBI): domain Eukaryota; kingdom Metazoa; phylum Chordata; class Mammalia; order Primates; family Hominidae; genus Homo; species Homo sapiens. Next base: position 89,122,832 of record NC_000008.11, on the reverse strand, counting down.
TTTAAAAATGCAAACGTTAAGAATACACTTTTCAAAAACACTTAGAGATTCTAATTTTACTTTTGTACTGGTGTCCATCTTGTTATCTAATATTGTGCTGTTTTGAGTCATAATATTGACAGATTTTTTAAATTTGTTTTTTTTTTGTCAGAACATTTTACTAAATTGGAGCTATTGATTTAGTTTACAAGTTGGAACTGCATTTAGGGTGACTAATGGTTCAATCTTCCAGGAAAGTTCTGGTTTATACCTGTTGTCCCATCTAATTACTAATATTAAATTATTTTATTTTCAAGATGTTCCTCTTTGTGTGACATACTATCTGATTATTTCGATACAATATTAACAAAAATGCTGAATTAAAAGAGATAAGTAAATGCATGATATAAATCTGTGTATATACAAATAAAAATAGCTCATTATTTTGTGATACTAAATATTGATATAGGATGCCATGAGGACCTAGAGATGAGATGAGGAATGATCAACATAGCCCTTTCATGCTCAAAGAGCTATGACAGACCTGTTCCTAGCTATGAGGTATTCATAAGAAGCTTTGTCTCTAAGGTGGCTTTCAAGCTTTGAATGACAAGGAAAACCAGACCTAGTAGTGCGGTTTCACCCAACTCTACATATCACCCCATCACAACCCATATAACTGTGCATCTTCAGTGTGTTAACTTTATGAGCCCACACATGCCAGGCACTGAATATTACTCGCCTGCTGCCACTTACATTTCTTGGTCATGGGGACATCAATAATTATTCATCACTGCCCTCCAAACCTGGCAAAATTTTCGAAATCCCTCTATACATGGCATTCCAGGCACTCACTATCCACCCACTAGTGGGCTGCAAGAAGAAACTGTTAGCCATTTATGCATTAGCCCATTGTCCTCTCTACTCTCCCTGTGGGGCATCACTCATGAGAAGTGAAGAGAAGAGATGTGCATATTTTACCCTAATATTTAATCTTTATTATAAAGATATTAATCTTAGCATGAGCTACTTTAGGTCAAAAATATTTATAATGTTGTCTTTATAGATAACAGAAGTTAAATTTTGACTTCTAATGAGGCACATTCTGAGAGAAATTTTAACAATTTCTATGAAACTAGAAAACAGTCCAGTGACACTGATTATTTAAGAGGATTTCAAGGGTTCTTAAATCTTCTAACCTCTTTAATGCCTGGGCCGTTTCTCCAGAGTCTGTGCTGTCATGGTTTCCTGTTCCATTAAAAATACAAGGAAAATATCATGAATGACTTACTGCAGTTTCCAGGTGTTTTCTTCTTGATCTATGTGACCTGTTTTAATAATGCTCTAGAGAGATTTTTCAAAAAATAATGTCAAAGTAATCTTGCAGAAAACTGATTGTTCCCCATGGAAAAACTGGAAGGCAAAGAGAAAAATAGTGTTGCTCCTGTGTATAATATGACAAAGCCTGGGCATTGAAAATCTCCTTTTTCTCTTTTGTCAGTTACTTGTGGTTGCCTGAATGGGGCAAAATGGAACTTATGAAAGCCATCTTATGTATATTCTTCCTTTTTTCCTCATAGCAATTTTTATTTTCCCCCCTTGGTATGACTCAGACTCCATACCCCACAACCCTCTACATGCACTAATATAGGAGAAAAGAATCTTACATACAATCCGTGAAGGAACAGATGATTCTACAGCTGCTATTATTTTGTGCTCTGTGTAACCAATATGCAGACCAGGACAATTAAACTAAAAAAATGTTCTCTCTAAAATTCTTGCCAAAGAGGAATCATATTTGTTACTTCTTAGGGAAGAAAAAAATATTTTTTTCTCACCTGAAATTCCTTGCAAAAATAAATACTCATTTTCAACTGCTACAAAAGGGCATCTTCTATTGATGTAGCTTTGGAAAAAAATGCTAAGCTAGTTCACATTTTTTTTTAAATTTCAGCTTTCATATTCTAATTTGGGATCAGCCACAAGACACACAGCAGCACTCTTAGCTTCAATAATCAGAATAGAAGAGTTATTCATGATGTGTAATATTCTGCCTAATGAAACGCATGCTTTCCTCGTGAAAATAGAGTGTAAGTTGGCAGCGAGTGTTCATCCTTGCTATCCCAGCCACCACATTTTAGAGGTTACCCAGGGACACTTGCTCTGAAATCGGGGATATATAAGGGATACGTACAAGAGTAAAATATCCTAAAGGAAAGACTGACGCCAGTGTGAGGGGAGGCCTGAAGGAGGAATTAGCATGCAAACAGGCAGAAGCTCTTCACTCCACTAGATCAACTCTCTCTGTGTTTTTGGTGTGATGTAGAGCACTAAAAATAACTCTTGCTATTTGTTTTCACTACACATACTTTGAGGCAAATGGAAATAAGGTAAATGCTGCTTATGTAGAATATTCATAGCTTGATGTTAGTATTTAATATTAGATGTAGCTAGCAGATCTAGATCATTTATAACTGAAGCTGATTACTTTGACATTTGCATTAGGGTAGGCTAACTGCAGCATATTCCAGGTCCCCATGACTCAGAACAATCAAGGTCTATTCTCACATAGGTACTGTTATCACAGTTCAGCAGGAAAGCTGTGCTTCAGGCATCCAGGTTTCTTCATGCTGTGGCTATACAATTTATTTGGCTTTAAGGAGAGCGGAAGACAGGAAGACCACGAAGGATCTCACAAGAAGGTTTAGAGGCCAGATCTGGCAACTAGCACTTCTGCCCAAATTGTATTTGCCAGAACTCAATCACATAGCTCCACCTAACTCCAGATAGACTGAGAAATGTCATAAAAAGTGTATGCTCAGAAAAAAGAAGAATCAATACTTACCTGCCATTTTCTGCCATAGCTATTTAGGCAGTGTTAGGCTATAAAATATAAGCTGTTTGATGATCATGTACTGGGTTTGGGTTATCACAGAAGTCTCAGCATTTAGCTATCTGTGATATTTTATACATTTCATATATATATACAAATTTCATATATATATTAATATCTATCATATATATCATATATATCTCATATATATAATATATACATATGAGAGAGAGAGTCTCTTTTTAACTAGTGTGATGGATTTCCCTTTGTAGAATTGTGCACTCATGTTTACCAGAAGTACCAAGACTTTTTTGATAGTGTGACAGAATTCTGTATCATCATACTATACTCTGAACATGGTTTTCACATAATTACTGCACTGAAAACAGAAGTTGTTGAGGACTGTGACTTCATTACAGATAGTCCACTTTTCACTGTTTAAGTAATAATCTTATTTTCCAGACTGTCTTAGTTCATTCTTTGTTGCTATAAAGGAATGCTTGAGGCTGGGTAATTCAGAAAGACAAGATATTTATTTGGCTAGTGGTTCTGCAGGCTGTATAGGAAGATGGCACCAGCATCTACTTCTGGTAAGGACTGCAGGAAGCTTCCACTCATGGAAGAGGGTGAATGGGACCAGCTATTACATGGCTAAACAGGAGGAAACAGAGTGGGGAGGGAGGTACCAGACTCTTTAACAACCAGATCTCGTGAGAATTAAGAGTGAGAACTCACTCTTTACTGGCACCAAGCCATTCATGAGAGATCTGCCCTCAGAGCCCAAACACCTCCCACCAGGGCCCATTAAAACATTGGGGATCAAATTTCAACATGAAATATGGAGGGGACAAATATCCAATCTATATCAAAGACCTTACCTCAAAAATACTTGAAGGCAGTAGCATCTCCAAGGATCAATTTCTTTTTTAAATAGGTATATGTGCCTAGGTGTGATAATTATTTTCAATGTGCTAAAGCTATTTCAGCCCAATGACTTTTCTGTCCTTAATATTAAACCTGGCTAACATTCAATTAAAATTTTAATTAAATTAAATTGTAATTAATTATATTAAAGATTTTTTAAAAATTAAATTTTAATTAAATTAAAGATTTAAATAAAATTAAATTAGATTTAAATTAAATTAAATTAAAATTAATTTTCCCCATATCCTCTCCAACACTTGTTACCTTTTGAATTTTTGATAATAATGTGACTTAATATTAACCCTGAGTTTCACATAAATATAGCTTGAGCAAAATTGAATATAGATTTAAATGCCTCATAGTAATTCATAAGATATTGGCGGTAAAATATGTATACTTAGAGTCCACGATGACTCAGCTTTTCTAATTTGAATTATTTTGGGATGCCCATTTATATACTCCATCAAATAGCATATAAATTTCAAAAGAGAAATAGCCATTTAATATACTTGTTCCATAATACCTGATTGTCTTATACTGAATGTTCTTAAAATGTAGGACTGCTTTATTGATATGTTGTCAAATGGTGTACGAAGACAAATTTACAAGCAACAATTTCTGACAAGAAAAATTTACTTAACTTCACATATATCATACAATTTAAAATTTGTGTTCAGAGTATAATTGTAGAATATAGAAGACTATGGGACAGTGAATGTAATATGGACTTTGGAGTCATTTTACCTAAATTCAAATGCCAATTTCTCTACTTCTCAAAGAAGAACCCAGAAGAAGCTGAGTTGATTTTTTAAACATCTGAGTTTTCTCATCTGCAAAATTGGAATAATATCTCTATTACAGTGTTCTTGTCATGATTCAATGAGGTAAAACACTGGCTTCCAAATGTTTAAAACTGAAACCCACATTAAAAAAATAAAGCTTTCATGTCATCACTTGGAATGTACACAAATATATCTTATGTGTATGTATACAAATACATAAATATAACAACCATAAAATAATACTTATCTTTATTGTGAGATGAATTCATATATTATGTTTTATGTCTTTTTATTAAAAATGTTGAGATAACTTCATAATCAATAATGGGTGAATACTTTAAGTTTTTAAGCTTTACTGAGGTATAAATGACAAACAAAAATTTTATATATGTGGTATATATTGCAATGTTTTGCTATATCTATATTAATGTATATAGTGAAATGATAAGCACAACCAGGCTGATGTACATAAACATCAGCTAACATAGTTATCTTTTTGTGTGTGTTGTGAAAATGCTGAAGATACAGGTTCAGCAAATTTCAAATATGCAATACATTGTTATTAACTGTAATTACCATGTTTTACATTAAATATAAGGAACTTATTTCATAATGACTGAAAATTTTAACCATTTACCGACATCTCCCCATTTTCCCCTGTCCCTGACCCAAGGTAGCTACCTTTCTACTTTCTGTTTCTACTTTTTTAGATTCCACATATGAGTGAGTTCATGCAGTATTTGTCTTTCTGTATCTGGCTTATTTCATTTAGTGTAATGTTCTCCAGGTTTATCCATGTTGTTATAAATGGCAGGATTTGCTTCTTTTCTAAGGATGAATAACATTCAATTATATTATGCTGTATTTATTATATTATATTCCATATACAAATATATAAACCACATTTCCTTTATTCATTTATCCAGTGACAGACACTTAAGTTGTTTCTATATCTTGGCTACTGTGAATAAGGCTGTAATGAACATGGGAATGTAGATATGTCTTTGTGATAATGATTTTATTTCCTTTGGATATATACTAAGAAGTGAGATTGCTCAATAGTAAGGTGGTTCTCTATTCAATGTTTTGAGGAAACTCCATGCTATTTTTCATAATGCTATACCAATTTACATTACCATCAACAGTATACAAGTGTTGTCTTTTCTCCACGTTGTCTACAACACCTTTTAAATGTTTGACAGAAACCATCCTAAAAATTGTGATTTTAGGATGATTCTATGGTGATTCTAAGGATCATTGTGGCTGAGGTGTATCTAAGACTCATTGTGGCTTTAATTTGCATTTCCCCAAATTAGTGTTGTTGAGCACCTTTTCAATAACCTGTTTGCCATTTGTATATCATCTTTGGAGAAATGTCTGTTCAGGTCCTTGGTCCATTTTTAAATTGGGTTATTTGGGATTTTTGTGAGTGTTGTTTTTGTTTTTGTTCTTTTACAATTGAGTTTTATGAGTTCTTTAGATGTTTTTGAAACTAATCCTGTATCAAATATATGTTTTGCAAATATTTCTCCTTTTCGGTAGATTACATTTTAATTTTGTTGATTGTTTCCTTTTTTCGCCAGAAAATTTTTGGTTTGATGTAGTACTACTTGTTTATTTTTTTCCTCTATTGCTTGTGCATCTGGTGAAATATATTTTTAAAAAATCATAACAACTGAGACCAATGTCATGGAACGTTTCCCATGTTTTATTCTAAGAGTTTTACAGTTTTGGATCTTAAGTTTTTATTGCACTTTGAGTTGGTTATTTGTATACAGTGTAAGATAGGGATCAAATTTCATTTTTTTAACATGTAGATATCTAGTTTTCTCAACACCATTTATTTATGAGACAATCCTTTCTCCATTGTACATTTTTGATGCCTATGTTGAAAAGAAATTGACAATAAATGCATAGATTTATTTCTACGTCTCCTATTCTGTTCCATTGGTCTGTGTACCATGCTGTTTTAATAAATATACTTTTTTATACAATTTGAAATCAGGAAATATTATGCCCTCAGTTTTGTTGTTACTCAAGATTGCTTTGGGGACTTTTGTGGTTTCATACATATTTTAGGATTTCTTTTTCTATTTACGTGAAAAATGCCATGGGACTCTTTGTAGGGGTTGCATGGAATCTATAGATCACACTGGGTAGTTTGGATATTTTGGCAATATTCATTCTTCTAATCCATGAACTTGGGATATCTTTTCATTTATTTGTATTTTCTTCAGTTTCTCTCATCAATGTTTCATAGTTTTCAGCATACAGATCTTTTACTTCCTTTGTTAAATTTATTCTTAAGTAATTTATTATTTTTGATGCGATTGTAAATGGGATTGTTTTCTAATTCCTTTTTCAGATAGGTTTTTGTTAGTGTATCAAAATGCAACTGATTTTTGTATGTTGATTTGATTCCCTCAACTTTACTGAATTCATTGGTTTACTGAAGTCATTCATTGGTTCTAATAGTTTTTGGTGGAATGTTTAGGCATCTCTCTATTTAAGATCATGTCATCTGCAAACACAGGCAATTTTGCTTCTTCCTTTTGGATGTCTTTTATTTATACTTCTTGCCTAATTGCTCTGTCTGGAACTTCCAGTATTATGTTGAATGAAAGGGGGAAGAGTGGGCATCTTTGTCTTCTCCCTATCTCAGATGAAAAGCTTTCAGCATTTCACCATTGACTATATTAGCTGTGGGGTTACCATATCTGGCCTTTGTTAAGTTTGAGTATGTTCCTTCTATGAAAGGATATTGAATTTGTCAATTTTTTTCTGCTTTTATTAAGATGATTATGTGACTTTTATCCTTCATTTCATTAATGTGGTGTATCCCTTTTATTGTTTTGTGGTGTTTATTCCCTGCATTCCAGGAATAAATCCCACTATATAAAGGTATATGAATATTTTAATGTGATGTTGAATTAAATTTGAAAATGTTTTATTGAACATTTTTTCAACTGTGTTCATTAAGAACAATGCCTTGTAATTTCCTTTTTGCGTAAGTCCTCATTTGGCTTTGGTATCAGGATAATACTGTCTTCATAAATGAGTTTGGAAGTATTCCCTCTCCTTCAATTTTTTGAGAGAGCTTGAGAAAGTTTGATAAAAATTATTTTTTATACATTTGGTAGAATGCATCAGAAAGCCATCTGGTTCTGGACTTTTCTTTGCTAATTTTTTTTTCAACTTTCATTTTAGATACAGGAAGGTACATGCACAGGTTGTTACATGGGTATGTTGCACCCAAGTAGTGAGCCTAGTACCCAATAAGTAGTTTTTGAACCCACACCAACCTCCCTGCCCACCCCTAGTAGTCTGTCGCATCTATTATTCTTATGTTTATGTCCTTGGGTGCTCAATATTTAGCTCCCACTTATAGGTGAGAAAATGCAGTATTTGGTCTTCTGTTCCTGTGTTAATTCATTTAGGATTATGGCCCCCAGCTCCATCCATGTTGCTTCAAGGGATGCGATGTTACTATTTTTTGTATGGTTGTGTAGTATTCCATGATGGATATGTACCCAAGTAGATTCCATGTATTTGCTATTGTGAATAGTGCAGCAATGAACATATTAGTGCAGGTATCTTTTTGGTATAATGATCTATTTTTCTTTGACAATATACCTAGTAATGGGATTGCTGGGTCAAATGAAACCTCTGTTTTAAGTTCTTTGAGAAATCTCCAAATTGTTTTCCACAGTGACTGAACTAATTTAAATTTCTGCCAAGAGTGGATAAGCATTACCCCTTACTCCACAGTCTCGCTAGCATCTGTATTTTTTTTTTCCTTTTAATAGTAGCCATTCTGACTGGTGTGAAATGGTATCACATTGTGGTTTAGATTTGCCTTTCTCTAATAATTAATAATGGTAAGCATTTTCTCATATGTTTGTTGGCCACTTGTATGTCTTCCTTTGAAAAGTATCTGTTCATATCCTTTGCCCATATTTTAATGTTCTTTGCTTATTGATTTAAGTTTCTCATATATTCTGGATATTAGATCTTTTTCAGGTGCATAGTTTGATTTCTGCCATCCTGTAGATTGTCTATTTACTCTATTGATAATTTTTTTTTGCGTGCAGCAGCAGGTCCCACTTGTCAATTTTCTGTTGTTGCAATTGCTTTGGGGAACTTAGCCAAAAATTTGTTGCCAAGCCGTAAGTTTTCTTCTAGAATTTCTACAGTTTGATGTATTACACTTAAATCATTAAACCATATTGAAAAAATTTCTGTATATGGTGAACTGTAAGGTCCAGTTTCCTTCTTCTGCTATGGGTAGCTAGTTGTCCCAGCACCATTTATTGAATAAGGAATCCTTTCTCTATTGCTTGTTTTTGTTAGCCTTGTTGAAGATCAGATAGTTGTAAGTATGCAGATTTATTTCTAAGTTTTCTATTCGATTCCATGAGTCTATGTGTCTGTTTTTGTGCCAGTACCATGTTGTTTTGGTTACCATATATACCATATATATACCCTTATAGTATAGTTTGAGGTTGGGTAGTGTGATGCCTCCAGCTTTGTTCTTTTTGGTTAGGATTGCTTTGGCTATTTAGGCTCTTTTTTGGTCCCATACGAATTTTATAATTGTTTTGATTATTGTTTCAATCACCTTACTTGTTATTGGCCTGTTCATATTTACTCTTTCTTCCTGATTTTGTCTTTGTAAGTTGTGTCTAGAAATTTATCCTTTTATCTAGGTTATTCAAATTGTTAGCATATATTTGTTCATAGCAGTTTCTTTTTATGCTTTGTATTGTTTTGGATGCAATGTTTCTTTTTTTCATTTCTGATTCTATTTATTTGAGGCTTCCTTCTCTCTTTTTGATTTAGTGTAGCCGAAGATTTGTTAATTTTATCTTTTAAAAAACCCAACCCATGGTTTTGTTGTCTATTCTATTGTCTTAGTAGTTTTTGTTACACTTAGGTCTGCCTTAATTTTTTATACTTCCTTCCATCTATATTCATGGGCTTAGTGGGCTTAGTTTGTTCTCTTCTTTTCTTCCTTCTTTCTTTCTTCTTTTTTTTTTTTTTTGAGACAGTGCCTTTCTCTGTTGCTCAGACTAGTCTCAAAATCCTGGCCTCAAGCAATTGTCTGCCTCAGCCTGAAAAATTGCTGGAATTATAGAAATAAACCCACTGCCCAGCCACTTCATTCTTATTTTTAGTTCATTGAGTATAAATTATTTGAGATCTTTCTTTTTCTGTCCTGTTGACATTTATTGCTTTGAACTTCTCTCTAGAACTACTTTAGCTGAATCCCAGAAATTTGTTAGAAAAGATACTTAGTATGATTTCAATAATTTCATTGAAACTTGTTTTGTGGCATAATGTGTTATCTACTCCAGAGAGTGCTCCCTGGGTATTTGAGAAGAATGTGTATTCTGTTGCTGTTGGATGAAATGTTCTGTATACATCTGTTAGGTCCATTTTGTCTAAAGTGTAGTTCAAGTGCAATATTTCTGTATTGATTTTCTGTCTGGATAATCTATCCATTGTTAAAAGTTGGATATTGACGTTTCCTACTTTTATTGTATTGATTTCTATTTCTCCTTTCATTTCTGTTAATATTTGTTGAATATGTTTAGGTGTTCTTATCCTTTGCTGCATATTTACTTAAAATTGTTATAGCCTCTTGATAAATTGACCCCTGTATTACTGAATAATGATATCCTTTGTCTTTCTGGAAAGTTTTTAACTTGAAGTCTATTGTTTCTGAAGTAATAGATACCCCATTTTCTTTTGGCTTTCATTTGCATGAAATATCTTTTTCCATCCCTCCACTTTCATTGTATGTGTATCATTAAAGCTGAAGTTAGTCTCTCATAGGCAGTATATAGTTGTATAGTTGGGTCTTAATTTTTCATCCTTTTAGCCACGCTATGTCTTTGATTGAAGAATACAGTCTTTGCATTTGGAGTTGTTATTGATAGGTAAGAACTTACTATTGCCATGTTGTTAAATTGTTTTCTGTCTTGCAGTTCCTTTGTTTCATTCTTCCTCTCTTGCTGTTTTCTTTTGTGGTTTGCTACTTTTGTGTAGTATTATGCTTTGATTTCTTTCCCTTTATATTTTGTGTATCTACTTAGAGGTTTTTTTTTCTTTGTGGCTACCATGAGGTTTACATAATTTTTTATAGTTTAAAACCATCTGTTTTAAGTTTATAGTAACCTAACTTTGCATACAAAACTATACTGTATTAGTCCATTCTCACACTGATATAAAGAAATACCCAAGACTGGGTTATTTATAAAGAAAAAAGGTGTAATTGGCTCACAATTCTGCAGGCTGTACAGAAAGCATGATGTTGGCTCAGCTTCTAAGGAGGACTCAAGAAACTTAAAATAATGGTGGAAGGCAAAGGGGAAGCACACACATTGCATGGCTGGAGTAAGCACAGGAGAGAGATAAGCAAGGGGAGATACCGCACACTTTTAAATGACCAGATCTCATGAGAACTCACTCAGTATCATGAGAACACCACCAAAGGAATGGTGTACAACATTCATGAGAAAACACCCCCATGAACCAATCACCACCCACCAGGCCCCACTTCCAACACTAAGGATTGCAATTAAGCATGAGATTTGTGTGGGGACACAGACCAAAATTATACTGTGTACTTTTACTTCCCTCTTTCATTTTGTGTTTTTGATGTTCTGATTTATTTATTTTTATATTGTGTATTCATTAAGAGATTATTGTGGATACAGTTATTTTTAATTTTATTAACCTTTATGCTAGAGCTATAGGTGACCTATACACCACTATTACAGTATTAAAGTATGTTGAATTTTACAATACACTTGCCTTTAGCAACGAGTTTTATACTTCCATATGTTTTCATATTACTAATTAGCTTCCTTTTATTTCAACTTGGAGAACTCCCTTTACCATTTCTTGTAAAAGAAGTTGAGGGATGATGAACTCTTTTATCTTTTGTTTGTCTGGGAAAGTCTTTATTTCTGTTTCATTTCTGAAAGATAGATTTTCTGGATACAGTAATTTTGGTTGACAAGTTTTTTCTTTTCATCACTTTGATATATCATCCCAATCTGTTCTGGCCTGCAGAGTTTTGCCAGGAAATCCACTGATTGCCTTATGGATATTCCCTTGTGTGTGATGAGCTTCTATCCTTTTGCTAATAAAGACCTTCAAAATTCTTTATTTGTCTTTGATTTTTGACAGTTGACTATAATGTATCCTGTTAAAGTCTTCTCTGGATTTAAACTGTTTAGAGGATTTTGAATTTTATGTACTTGACTGTCTTTGTATGCAAATTTGTGAAGTTTTTAGTGATTGTTTCTTTAAATATGTTTTCTGCCCTATTTTTCCATATGTTTTCCTTCTTAGAGTCACTTAATGTGAATGTTAGCTCCCTTGATGGTATCCAATAAACCCTGTAGGCTTCCTTCATTCCTTCTCACTTCTTTTTTTTTTTAATCTTCTGACTGACTATTTTACAATGACTCATATTTGAGTACACAGAGTTTCTTCTGAATGATCGAGTCTGCTGTTGATCCTCTCTATTGTATTTTTTATTTCATTTGTTGTATTCTTTAGCTCTAGAATTTGTTTGGTTCTGTTTTATAATTTCTGTCTTTTTATTGAACTTCTCCTTTGCTTCGTGCATTTTTTTTCAGATCTCACTGAGTTGTTTTTCTGTGTTCTCTTGTAGCTTGCCAAGATTCCCTAATACAATTATTTTGAATTGTTTGTCAGACAATCTATCAATTTTCATTTATTTAGAGTCAGTTACTGAAATATTATTGTTTTCTTTGTGATTTTATATTTCCTTTATTTTTTCATGTTCCTTGAAATTTTACATTGCTATCTTCACGTTGAAGAGCAGTCACCTCCTCTTGTGTCTAATGAATGGCTTCAGAAGAGAAACACCTTCACCAAACAGCCCATCTAGGGATTCTGGGGCTCTCTTAGACTTTATCTGTGGATGTTCTCACTCTATACATCTTGTTTTATCTTGAAATGAGGGATTAAATTTTGTGCTTCTCTCAATCTTGCAAAGCTTGATTAGATGCAGGGAGCTCCTGTTTGTTTGTTTTTTTATGGAGTGGTGCCCTAAATTGGTCAGCTGTTTGCCTTTTTGAAATCTCATATAGTCAAGCTGGCTGTCTGTGTGAGATACTTGCACTTGCTGTCTGCAGTGGCTCACTTGAGAGGCTGTCTTCTATGTGGGAATTTAATTCCCATGAGGTTATTTGGGGTGCCCATTGTCATTTTGGGTGGGGTCCATAGGCAAGACATCCCTGACTTATATCAGCATTCTTGATGGAGTTTGTGAAGCAGTTATTAGAGTATGCAGCCATCCCTCCCTGCTCCCAGCCCCTGCAACTCACCTTAACTTTCTGAATGGCATGAGAAAGAAGTGTGTCTCTTGGGCAGTGTGTTGCATGGCTGTGGAAGCCTGGCACTCATTTCTTGTGCTATTGCTTTCCTCTGTGGGAGTAATCATCCTCTGTTGTTGGGGGTTACTTTTGGCACTAAGTTATGCTGCCTTTGGGAAGGGATGATATGAGTAAAACAAAATTATTTTTTTCTACCCTTTTCAATGCATTTATTCTCAGATTTTTCCCATTGGTGTGTTAAAACTTATCTTCTAGTCTCCTAGACTCCCACAAAAGTACACTTGCCCATGGGTAGTTGTCATAATTGATGCTTCTGTGGAAAAATAATGGTAGAAATGTCCTACACTGCTATCTTGATGAATGGCTTAAGATTTTAAATTTGAATGAAAGCACAATACTCTGGCTCTTTGTATGAGGATTGCCTTTGCTGACGAGGCTTATACTTTTGACTGGTTATCAAACAGTATGGAGCTTCACAAGGAGATGATCACTGTCTATTTCTCTTTATAAATTATAGCCAGTTCAGGAGAAATAAAAATTATTTTGGCCCATATTTCTTCTATAACTGCCTAAAATTTCTTCTTCAATTTTATGCCATGGATTGATCCAAGATTACAAACATTGACATTATATGAACATTTATATATTTCTTCCCCACTTAATTGATTAAGAGTAACCTGTTTAAAGTCTCGGACGCTACTGAGGAATTATCAAGAGAGCACAAATTTTGGAATGATTAACATGATTTTTGATGACATTTGTAAAATTTTTAATCTTGTAATAGATAATAACATAACGTTTTCCAGGAAGATTAAAAGCCACTCTCCTGATAAGAGTTTAAGGGGCATTTTGGGGAGTATTGCTGAAATAAAGTTAAGTAAAATGGGAAGGAATAGATTAAAAAGGAACAAACCTAGTAGAAAAAAACTGAACTTGTTTTACAAAGCACATACAAGTTTTGAATAGGGAAACTGCAGTGGAGGAGATTATTAGGGAGATTTCTGTCAATTGAATGTTCATTTTTGGGCTTCTGACAAAATATCATAAACTGAGTAGTTTATAAACAACATAAATTTATTTCTTACAGTTTGGGATGCTAAAAAGTGTAACTAACATAAAGGTGTTGGTGGATTTGATGTCTGGCGAAGTCCTGTTTTCTGGTTGGTTCATAGATAGCACCTTCTCACTGTGTCCTCACATGACAGGAGAAGTGAGGGGCCTCTCTAAGAAATATTTAATAAGGGCAATTATCCCATTTTATAAGAGCTCTTCCTGTATGACCTAATAACTTTCTGAAGGCCCCATTTCTTAATACAATTACCTTGGGGTTTCAACATATAAATTTTTGGGGTACACAAATATTTATACCATATCAAGTACATAGCTCAACACATGACATATGGAAAGTACTCAAAAATTGTTTTAATGAATAAATTATGTTCCAAAAAGTACTTCTCCAGACTTCAAAGAGCTAGGACAACATAGGGAATAATATAGGACTGTGCTTTGGCTTTGTGATGTCACTGTGTGGTTTGGGGTTATATAGGCAGCAAAGCTTAAAGCAGGGGGATCTGAAAACTATGGCTGTTTATTCAAAACACTTAGAGAGGTTTGAAAAATGACCATTGTGCCCTCGAAAAATTGAAACAGAATTTCTGGCAATGGGGCTCAGGCATTGGTATTTTTATAAAGTGTCCATACTGATTCTAACAACATTGAATATACTGTCAGGGTTGAGAACCGATGTGTTAAAGCAAGCCTGTGAGATAGAGCTAGTTGTTTATGCTAAACTTAAATAAGCAATATATCAAGAATCGAGGAGGAAATGGATTTGCCTTGGGAAATAGAGTGCTTTCTCACTAGAAGGGATTAAATGTGCTGGGTGAGTGGTTTATAGAGTAAAGGATTTTTTTCTTTACAGAGAAATCTACACATCATATAGGAGATCAAATAAGCTGACCAGGTTTTTTTTCCTCTGGCTATTTACAGACTTAGTTTGTGACTACTCATACTCATGAAAAGCTAGCCAGAAGAGACAAGGTAAAGATGAGCTCCTTCCCTACTTCATATTTTTTTTCCATCTATTCTGGGTTTGCATGATGAAATACTTAACCCCTTCCTCTATCTGTGAGCCTATGTGAACACTGGACTGTTTCCTACTATTCTAATCTCAAGTATTTAACTGACCTACTTGTTTAGGTTCCAGGACCCTGTCAATTCTTCAGTTTAGTCACTTGAGTGAAGCCCGAATGCTATAAGCACAATGCTACGCTGATTAGAAGGGGAAAAGAAGTGTTGGGGAGCACTTGCCTAGCATCTTCTAGCCCTTTACCTCAGGTTGAGACCTTCTTCTAGGGTGTCATATTCTTCCTTTAGATTAGACTTCTTGGATATTGTGACAAACTCAGCGTAAGTCTGACTTTGCCATAGCCCCTTAAATTCAGCACCCTGGACAGCCTACCTTTTTCTGGGTTGGGGAAATAAAATGGGGGGAAGTGGCTATCTATGTTGCCATGCTGTGCATTTTCACAGTCTTTTCTGGTACCTGTTCAAATTTATCCCCTCATTCTAATGGAGGTTTCTTAAAATGTGTTTTTTTAAAAGCTGAAACTAAATCAAAAGTGTGATTTAAAAGGAGTATCCAGATGCATGAATATGAGAGCACCCAGGTGAAGTCAGCAGTAATACAACAGATTTAATGCAGGCTGCTTTAATCAGATATTTTAGTCATAAGTGGATTCTGCCAATAAGGAATGGAAATAAAAATAAAAACTCAAGACTGGAGGCCTAAATTTGGTAGGTATCCACCTAAATAGAAAGCCTGAAGCAACAACATTGAATATTCATATAAGGGTGAGATGCTTGGGCAGACTCACAGTAGGAGCAGAATTAGGCAGAACAAATACAAAGGAACAATGGGACCAAATCATCTAAAAATGTGAAAAAAAAGAAAAAAAATCCCTGGTATTTAAAAATATATATATTAAAGAACTATGAGTGGTTGAATGTTGCAAGGGGAGGAGCAATGAAAGAAGAGAAATAGAAAAGCCAGAGAAGAGTGGTGGAAATGAGGATCTGGAGAATGTGGGCAAGAACAAGATTCAGATCAGCAGGACAGGAATTATATGTAGAAGGTAAGAGAAGAGCCAAAGGATTATGAGAAGATTAACATAGAAGCAGTGATCTACTGCCACACAGAGAACAAAAAGGACACCATTTGGATGCTTTATGGCTTTTTAAATTAAAAGGCAGACCCATATGTGGGAAGGTTTTGGACTCAGGACTTAAATAATGATGCTGAAGTATGTAGGCCAATGTTATATCTCCATAGAGACTTGTAAAATGGAGAACTCACAAATATCTCTTTCTGGTAAAGTATGCATCAAAAAATTGTAAATGGTCTTTTGTACCTTTAACTTCATATTTCAATTCTAAAATTGGTTACCTGAGATTTTCATTGTACATTGAGGATTTCACTCAATTTACAGAGGTATTATTTCTGTTATATTTTTAACACTAAGATATATGCATAGTTCTTCATTAAGTGTATAATCCAAACGTGTGAGAAAGTAACATTTTTGTTGTCTTCCCTACTAATAAGTAATGAGGTAGTTTGTCATAAATCTACTGTTACTGGCGCTAGTCATCTCAGCACTATTATAATTAAATATGTCTTCTGCCACAATTGAATTGGAATAGAATTGCAAAAGTCACTATCATATTAGAAGCAACACTGGTTCTTGTCTTTTCATTATGTAAATCTAGCTGTTGAGAAGATGTCAGATCAGCAGGAACTGTCAGGCCACCTGCAATTACCTGCCATAATGTCTACCTCCCCCACTAGCATAAGCTTCTTTCTCTGCAGGTGCTATAATTTCCTCAGGAGGAAACTCATTATCAAGTAAAATAATCTATCTATATTTTCTCACCCAGATTTTTCCAGAAGAATTTAAAACTACACTTTTGATTTTTGTCTTTTTAAAAACTTTTTCCTTTTACTGATAGATTCCAGAAACATTAACTGAGCACTTACTATATGAAATGTATGATATAAAATGGCATAATATAATTATTTAGTTCTTTAAAATCATATGAGAATTCCCACAGGTAGCATCTCCTTTAGGCTTCAAAACAATTTTATAAAAAAATAGCTACTTATGCTTCATAGTTGAGGAAATTAAAATTTATACATGGTAATCAATCTATATTTCATTTTTCTCACTTCATATAACTTTGGTACAATACCAGCATCACTCAATATACCTATGTATTATGAATTCTAAAGAATTTTAACTACATATGTGGAATCTTTATAAGATTTCACTTGGAATATGGTAGGTACCACAATTGTTGAAATAAATTAATAGCACTACAATAAAGCAATTATCCTGGACAGAATTGTTTTGTAGGTAATGTCCTTCTGTGACATGGTATCCATTATAATAGGGCATATATTTTATTTTCTTTTTTAATTTTAGTTTTTTTATTCTTTGTTGAAGTATAACTGACATACAAAAACTTATACACATTTAATGTAAACATACCAGTGAGTTTGTATATATAAACATATATAAACACACCCATGATAACATCTCACAATCAAGGTACTAAACATCTCCATCACCTACAAAACTTTTCTGTATTCTTGCACATCTGTGCAAAAGTAATTGCCATTTTGGAACATGAATTTTAAATCACTATAACTAGGCTCAATCCCATCTTTAATAATCAAAATAGGAAGCATTTCAATCAATACACTTTTGCCAATGAGAAATAAGTTTGTTTATTCCTGTAGCATAAAAATCCATGCTTTGGGTTTCC
Source organism: Homo sapiens (assembly GCF_000001405.40). NCBI lineage: Eukaryota > Metazoa > Chordata > Mammalia > Primates > Hominidae > Homo > Homo sapiens. Next base: position 89,105,121 of record NC_000008.11, on the reverse strand, counting down.
ACGAACCTTGGAAAGCATTTTCTGCATCCTGCTCGTTGTGGAAGCGTTTTCCCTGCAAAAAGTTGTGGAGATGCTTGAAGAAGTGGTAGTCGGTTGGCGAGAAGTCAGGTGAATATGGCAGATGAGGCAAAACTTTGTAGCCCAAAAATCTGTTCAATTTTTGAAGCATTAGTTGTGCAACCTGTGCTCAGGCATTGTTGTGGAGAAGATTTGGGCTCTTTCTGTTGACCACTGCCAGCTACAGGGGTTGCAATTTTCAGTGCATCTCTTCAACTTGCTGAGCATATTTCTCAGATGTAATGGTTTCTCTGGGATTCAGAAAGCAGTAGTGGATCAGACTGGCAGCAGACCACTAAATAGTCACCATGACCTATTTTTTAGGTGCAAGTTTGGCTTTAGGAAGTGCTTTGGAGCTTCTTCTTGGTCCAACCACTGAGCTGGACATCACCCGTTGTATAAAATCCACTTTTCATCACATATTGCAATCCAATTGAGAAATAGTTCCTTCTTGTTGCGTAGAATAAAAGAAGAAAACGCTTCAAAAACGACGATTTTTAAAATTTTTGTTCAGCTCATGAGACACCCACTTATTGAGCTTTCTCACCTTTCCAATTTGCTCCAAATGCCGAACAACCGCAGAATGGTTGACACTGAGTTCTTTGGCAACTTCTCATGTAGTTGTAAGAGGATCAGTTTCGATGATTGTTCTCAATTTGTTGTTGTCAACTTCCGATGACCAGCCACTACGCTCCTCATCTTCAAGGCTCTTCTGTCCTTTGCAAAAGTTCTTAAATCGCCACTGCACTGTACGTTCATTAGCAGTTCCTGTGTCAAATGCGTTATTGATGCTCCGAGTTGTCTTGGCTGCTTTACGACCCATTTTGAACTTGAATAAGAAAATTGCTTGAATTTGCTTTTTGTCTAACATCATTTTCATACTCTAAAATAAACATAAAATAAACAGCAAGTAATAAGTCATCAGCAAAGATAAAAATAAAGTGAGAAATACCCACGAAAATGATGCATAAAATAACCACATTTATTTAAAATATATATAATATAAAACAGAAAATTCCAGCAATGCAGAAACTGCAATTTCTTTTGCATTCACATCACAGTAGGAATACTTAATGTGGAATCTATCTTCTTAACATATTTTAAAGTACACAATATCATATTGTTAACTATAGGTACTATGTTGTAGAGCAGATTGCTAGAACATATCCATCTTTCATAACTGAAACTTTACACCTATTGAGCAATAATTTATATTTTTCTTTTTCTCCCTGTGCCTGGTAGCTACCATTTCACTCTCTGCTCCTGAGTTTGACTGTTTTAGATATGTCATGGTAAGTGGAATCATGCAGTATTTATCCTTCTGTGACTGGATTATTTCACTTAGCATAATGTCCTATAGGTTCATCCATATTATCACATATTGTAGAATTTCATTCTTTATTTAAGGCTGAAAAATACTCTATTGTATGTATGCACTACATTTTCTTCATTCATTTTTGGGTGGATATTTGGATTGTTTACATATCCTGTGAATAATGCTGCAATGAATATTTGGATGCAGATATCTTTGAGATCCTGATTACAGTTTGTTTGGATATGTATACAAAGGTGGGATTTCTGGATCATATAATTGCTCTATTTTTAAATTTTTGTGGTACCTTCTACTGTTTTCTATAGTGGTTGCAACATTCTATGTTTCTTTCAATAGTGTACAACGGCTCCAATTTTCCCATATCCTTGTTAACATTTGTTATCTCTCTCTCTTTTTTTAATAATAGACATTCTAAATGGTGTGAGTTGTTATCTTATTGTGATGTTCCCTGATGATTAGTGATGTTGAGCACTCTTTCATATACCTGGACCCATTTGTATGTCTTCTTTCCAAAAATGTTTAAGTTCTTTTTGTATTTAAGTCAAATAATCCTTTAAAAATATTGTGGTTTTTATAGTATGTTAGGAAATACTTGTATATTTAGGACATTGACTCTTTATCAAACAGATGGTTTCAAATTTTTTCATTTTGTAGTTTGCCATTTACTCTGTTGATTATTTCTTTTGTTATATAAAGCTTTTTATGTTGATGCAGTACTACTCATGTCTTTTTTTTTTTTTTTTTGGTCTATGTTTTTGATGTCAAATCTAGGAAATTTTTGCCAAGAGCAATGTCAAGAAGATTTTTCTTATGTTTTTCTTTTTGGCGAATTTTACAACTTCAGGTCTTACATTTAAATCTCTGATCCATCTTGAGTTGAATTATATGTTATGGTGTAAGGTAGTGATTAAGTTTCATTTTTTTTCCATGTGGATGTTCAGTTTTCCCAACACCATTTGTTGAAGAGACTATCATTTTCCCATCAGATGTCCTTGACACTGTTATTGAAGATGACTTGAATGTATATCTCTGAAGGAAATTAGAAAAACAATCTCATTTATAGCAGCATCAAAAAGAATAAAATGCATAGAAATAAACCTAACAAAGGAGGTAAAAGACTTATGTAGAAAAATTATAAAATACTGATTAACAAAATCAAATAAGACACAAAGAAATGGAAAGACATACTATGTTCATAAATTGGAAAAATTAATATTAATTAATTATTAATTAAATTAATATTATTGAAATATCCACATTACACAGTGATCTACTGATTATAGCATTTTTTAAAGAAGTAGGAAAAAACAATCCTAAAATTCATATGAAACCACAAGGACCCTGAATAGCCAAAGTGACGCTGATGTTGAGAAAGAAAAGCAAAGCCAGAGACATCCTAATTTTTACATATATTACAAGACTACAATAATTTAAAAAATACAGTACTGTCATAAAGACAGACACTAGACCAACGGAACAAAATACAGAATTCAAAAATAAACCACTAGCACATTTCTTGACAAATTATAAAGTGAGTAAAGACAGCCTAAAAATTATAGTTCTGGATAATGTCTGCAATGTGAGAAGAAGAATTACTCATATTACTTTGGTTTACTCTTCTATCATCAAGACCAATTAATTATTCAAAATGGATCTCTCCAGTTTTAATGATGTCATAATCATATAAAACTCTGCTGGAATAAGAAGTCGGTGCAAATCCCACATTTTCTGACTGACACTGTCAGTATTAATGGGGCCAGAATGCATGCTAGATTTCTGATTTAGGCAAACCGAGAAGAGCTGCAGTGACAGAAAAGGCCCACAGTAGCAGGGTTAATATTTAAATTGGAGGCCACAGATTCAAGAAATTATTTAAAGGCATATAGAAAATCCAGATATAATCTGCAATTGATATCAGAGTGTCATCTCTGGCTTAAGTGGCATTTCCAGATAGGATTTTCCATGCTTCCTATGTGAGAAGTAGGCTCGATTATAGAACTAGTTTGTAAAAGCTTATTATGTCTGTCTCTTCTCAACTCCGTGTTCAATGAGGTCAAGTTTGTGAAGTTTGTGGCTTGAAATCAGCTATGGTGCAAATATCTACAGTATGAATATCAGCAGCAGTTACAAATCAGTCTCTAGCTCCACACCTGCCACTTTCCTCACCAAAAAGCTTTTTTTTTTTTTTTTTTTTTTGACGGAGTCTCATTCTATCGCCCAGGCTGGAGTGCAGTGGTGCGATCTCGGTTCATTGCAACCTCCACCTCCTAAGTTCAAGTGATTCTCCTGCCTCAGCGTCCCATGTAGCTGGGACTACAGGCCTGTGCCACAATGCCTGGCTAATTTTTTTGTATTTTTTAGTAGAGACAGGGTTTCACCATATTGGACAGGCTGGTCTCGAACTCCTGACCTCATGATCAGCCCACCTCAGCCTCTCAAAGTGCTGGGATTACAGGCGTGAGCCACAGCGCCCAGCCGGTTCTTAAACATTTGCCAGTACATCGTTCTCATATCTCTCAGTTCAAGGTCTTTACTCTGTGTGAAGCTGGTCACAGCCAATATAGCAGCAACTGAGGTCAAGGTGCATGTTCTTAGCTAAGGAGTGGGGTAAAGTTGTAAGAGATAGGGGATGGCAATGGCTATCTTGCAAAAGCCTTAGCCAAACAAGGGATTTATAAAGCAAGGATTATGGACTTGATAATTACCTTAAGAGTTATGGATGAGGCTGAAGTTTACTAAGCTTGTAGGTGTTTAGTAGGCATTGCTTAAATTACCCAAGTCTTTGGAATGTAAACTCAGTCCAGAATCAATTCTCTAGTTACAAAAGAATTTTTATTATGCTTCCAGTTTTTGCCAAGATTGGCTTGGGAATGGATGAGTCAGAAGTTGCAGAGGATAATCCTTAAACTCATAGTTGATTAAGATTTTAAAAAAAAAACAATATGGATTTTTCTGGGCACTATTTATATGCTTTTTAAATAATTACGATAATTTTTCAAAGTCAGTGGAATCATTCAGACTTTGTTGAGTATAAAACAGAGGCTCACAGTGGCAGAGTCCTTTTTCCAAAGTCACCCAGTTGGTAAACGGCAAGCTTGATTAACATAATGGTTTCTTTGGTATTTTCTCTGTGGTGCCAGGTTGCCGTAACGAAATTATGGATCAGGTACCATAAATATCAAAAAGATAAATCTCTTATGTCTAGTTGGGTGTGGAGGTTATTTTATAGATGATAAAAGTTTATTTGTGGAGGATGTCTTAGAGTTGGATAGGACTATAGGCCAGAGATTGTTAAAGAGAATAATTATGCAGTTCAGACAAGAACTGATGAGAACCGGAATATGATATTGGGGAAAGAATGAAGAGAACGGGTCAGATTCAAGAGATGAGATTATAAAATTAGATTGATATGATGGTAGTAAAAAGGGAAAGTACTCTTGGAATGACTTCTGTTATACACAAAAATTGTCCTGTTCAAATATACTGTCAGCATTTATCATTGTATTTATGCATATTTACATTTCTACAAGGAACTTAAAATTATCCTATGTCTAACCTTTTTATATCCCTTCTGAAAAGACTAATAAGACATCCAGTCTTTATTTCCACCCTGCAAATTCCTTAAAATAAGTGAAAGTCATTCTACATGCTCTTGGTCACCTCACTGCTTCCCTCTTCTTAATTTCCCTGATCTTCTTAGACATCCAATCTGTTCTTATGATAATTTTGTGCCAATCTTACTCTGTATTTTCCACTCTTACAAAATCAAACCCAAAAAGAATAGGCCTGTCCCTATAGCTGTTATTTATGAATGTTTTCTCTGTATTGAAAAATAAATATACATGCCTTATCTTATTTAATATTTAGAATAACAGAAAATATTTGTTGAGCTCCTCCTATATGAATGAGCAGATATTATCATTACCCGCTTTCCAGGATTTAAATTAAGACATAGAATGTCAGGGATAGCAATGTTCCTGGGGTTGCACAGGTAGTTAGTAATAAAATGAAAGTTGAACCTGGGTGTATTGACTCCGGGCCTATAGTTTTAACCATTGTGCATGTTGCTGGAGTAGGCATTCTGCAAGCATGCTACATAGTATTGACACTCTAAATGCTTGTTGTATAAATCAATGAGGCATATATAAGAGTCCAGTTTCTGTTTCTCTTATATACCTAAGCAGAGTGAAATACATTGCTTTAAGTAATTGTAAAAGACTTTTGTTGTTATTATTATTATGATTTTTGTAGGATTTTCAATTTTACTACTTTTCAGAATTATCAGAGTTGTTTTAAAATCTCTTTTAATTATTAATACTAATTAGTGAGGATTATTTTAAGAACAGATCCATGAAGAGAACAATTCAGGAGTCACCAATCTGTTTTTGCATTATGATTTTCACATATGCCTCAGAGACCATTTGCTCAATGTGCATTGCTACTTCTCATTAAGTTCACTTTTTAATTTATGGTCTTTACATATGTGTAATTTTGTGCAAAGCCCTGTGAAAGGCAAGGCATTTCTTAAGATGTAGCAGAAAAATTAAAGGCTATAAATTTTACATAACAAAATCATAAGAAAAGTTATAGTTGTTTAGAATGTCTGTAGTGAGTGATACTCTATATTTTACTTCTTATTGTTAAACAAGTCTCTAATATAGTAGCATTTATATTCTTAGTAACTACTGGGCTATGAAAAAATAAAACATCATTTAGATATGGGGATTAGTGTTGCTAGAGAGATAAGTAAAAGTGGGAGTTACAGGGCACTTTGAATGTTATCTGTGGTGAAGCTAGATAGGTCTTATCTTAAGATGTGTAAGATTCTTTGGTGATGATATTGTTTATTTTCCTCCATTGGAATACTACAGATATTAAACTTAGGTTTAATAAACATTCTAATAAAATTATTGATTGCTTTCCCTTATAAAAACATCCTTATATATATATGTATGAATAAACACATATTTATGTTTGTGTATATGTGTGTGGTGTGTGCATACACACATACACAATATTACAATATGCAGTTACCATCTAGCCAAACAACAATAGCAGAAAGCTACTCCAGACAAATGCTAAAGTGAGCGGTGAGTTTTAGGCTTATTCTCTTGGGAGGAACAGGCATAATGAGAAAGACTTCTGCATAGATTATTGTTTAAAATTCATCAAAACTCTCGATCTAGAAGTAGCTTCCTATTTCATTTGTTTGTCATCACTGATCATTGAAGCCAATAATTAAAGGAAAAAAGAGGTTGTCCTTTAGTCGACACTTCAGTCTTTTTACATATTTTTCTCCAAAATTTCAACATCTGAGACCACAAAAATTCAAAACCAAAAAAACTATGAGTTACATAAGACTCTTCAGAACGACTCAGCCTACTACCTTTTGCCTTTTGTACTTTTTTTTTCTTTGAGACAGTCTTACTCTGTCATCCAAGCTGGAGTGCAGTGGCATGATCTCAGATCACTGCAACTTCTACCCCTGGGGTTCAAGCAATCCTCCTGCCATAGCCTCCCCAGTAGCTGGGACTACAGGTGCCCACCACCACGCCCGACAATTTTTTTTTTTTTTTTTTTTTTTTTGTAGAGATGGGGTTTCTCCATATTGGGCAGGCTGGTCTTGAACTCCTGGCCTCAAGTGATCCACCCACCTTGGACTCCCAAAGTGCTGAGATTACAGGTGTGAAGAACTGCACCTGGCCCCTGTACTTTTTGAAGATAATTTTTATGCTCAGAGATACTGCTTACTAAGAACTAATGAAAAGTCTCATGTTTCACAGAAAATGTATATACAGTATTGCATATATTTTTAGCCACATTGCAATAATTTTTAATTCAAGAGATTTTAAATTGCCTGTCATCTTTCAATAAGTACTCTTTTGGTACATTTCCCATTCTGATCCTGTCTCAACAGCTTGCTAGTTATCAGAATTTTTGTCAAGCATCAGCATGCTTTCAGTTTTCTCTTTGTGTAGCTAGCCATCTTTCCTCTAATCAATATATTACTAAGGCACTTTATATGCAAACTTAAATTAATCCAGTACAGGACTATGTTAGGATCCCATCATATAGTTGGCCAAAGCAGCAGAGCTGGATATGATTTGCTTCTTGCTAAATAATTAGACAATGTCAATGATTAAAGAGCTAGCCATTGAGGGGAGGCTGTGTTAATGAATGAGTCTATTATTTTAAGAAGGATTAGCAATTATGTATTCTCTAATATTGATTTTCACTAAATTCTATATTGAAATTAAAGAGATTGATAATAATATCTTTTATTCAGTTTCACTATAATAGATTTAACAAATAAAGTAATTGTGTGCATATCCCCACAACCAGCTTCATTTAGCAACAAATGGCATAATGTAATAGATGATGTTATAATTTAACAAAAGTAAAAACATAAGTATAATTAAACTCACAAATATTTTAATCAAATAAAAAAGTAGAAGGATGGCATGCCACACATTCTCCTTTTTATATTATTTACATTTCTCTTTAGAATTTATTTTCATATTTTATATAGTTGAAGTACATTTACATATAACTGTGGGCTGCCTTCCATGAGTAGATTCTTTTTTCCATTACAATACATTATTAATAATTAACTCATACAGGTATCCTAGACAACCAATACATGGCAAGTACTGTATATTTCTCCTGTGTCATTACAATACATAATTATACAGGGAGCCTATGCACTGATTAAAAGAGGTGGAATGATTAAAAACATGTGGCCTATTACCACGTAAAATAGGTTTGGGATTAATTCTACAACTGATATTTAAAATGAGTGTATAATTCACTATATTAAAGAGTTTTATGTATATACAATAGGAAATGATTTAAGATTTCTTAACATTAAAACATAATGCAAGAAGGAGGTAGAAATAAATTATATTAATTCTCCCAGAGAAAGACATTATAATAAGCTGAATCATACAATTTTTAATTTTAAATGTATGGGTTAAAAGGAATGAAAGCCCTCGGGACAAAATAGAATGAAATAAGATTTTGATTCCAACAGAGAACTTTTTGGAACTCTCTTCTACAGATATCGTATCAAGACCTTATGGAAGAAATGGCCTTTCAATCATATCTCCTGAAGTCGTAGAGATTTTATCATGTCTCATGTATAATGAAATGTTAATCTGATTTTTCTTGATTGATATCATTCTGAGTAATTCATATTGAACACCAGTTCTCACTCATTATAAGACTGATTTAATGTGGTACTTTTAATTAAAGCCTGTTTTTAAAAATGGCAACTGAATCCACAGGAAGTATGAACATTTCTCGTTTGGAGGAGTTTTCTTTAGAGAATAGTATTCACTGGACTCTGCATTCATTGAACTAAACTTTAGACAGAGATAGAAAAGGGTTAAGCAGACAGTCTTCAACTCATCAGAACCGCTACTCACAGTTTTCCTATTTCTGATTCCACTTCAGGTTTCTAAATGATATTAAAATATTTTAAGTCTACATAGTCTTATATGAAAATTATAACCGTTAATATATTTGTAGTAGTGAAAGCAGATAGACAGATAAATAGATTGATTGATTCATTGATTTATTGATACACCTCAGTAAACTGCCTGAAGTAGTGGCAGAGATGTGTTAGCTAGAAATATTCATCATAAGTTGGGTTTTGAGACCGTGCCCAGAGAAAAGTTATCTGACACTTAAAAACAACTGTCTAGAAAGAGGCCCCAGAGTGCTGTGTAGACAGATGAAATAGTCTCTGCACACACGAATGAAAGGCTGACACATATCATCTACTTTCTGCAAGGTAGACCCAACAACCAGAGCTGATAGTTCAGGCTTGTGGCTATGACCTCATAAATCATACACACAACTGAGGGAATAAAAACATTTGAGGAGCCATAGCTTCATAGCTCACATCCCATGGGATTCTATGAAGGACAACCAACTATTGGCAAGTCTTCCTACAAGTCTAGAAAAGCTGCTTAAACTCATCAATGGTTCTGGCCATATTGTAATAAGGCTGAGTAAAGCCAATAGCTAGAATAGAGGCTGTAAGACTTCCCCTCCCCTCATCAGTAGATTCTTGAGGAAAAATGCCATAAAAAGTGAATAAGATAAAAATGTGAACATTAATATTTTAATATGCAGATATGACACATTAGATGAGAAATTGCCACTTTGAGCTACTTGAGAAAATAGATTCACAGGGCCAATTTCATGAAGAGGTGAAATCTGAAGATGAGTTACTTCTCTAACCTGTTTTCATCTGTTAAAACTAATTGAGTTCTAGTCCCTCATAAACATTGTTAAGATGTTTCAATTTATGATATATATCTCATTAGTTCTTCAGATTAAGAAACTTTATCTTATAGTTAACCTTCTGTCTTTGGGAAAATTAACTCACTCATAGATCAATATGATCAGATAGGTCTGATAGTCTTTACAATGTTCATTTATTTTTGTTCCTTGCATGTAGCAATTTCTTAATGAGTATTCATTCAGTGCATAAATAAAATTTATAAATAAGTGAAATATTTTTGACTCTCAAAAAGCTTTGTATTTCTTGAAGAAAACAAGACAAGAAAATAACTACAGAAAAATTAAGAGCAAAACCAGTGTTGGAAGATATGTAAACAAAATAATATGAGTGAAGGAATTCAAGAGAGGAAGTAAATATACCAACTTCGTTGAAAGATTAAGTTAGACTTGAATGTCTTATTCTTTCAATTATTTTACACATATACTATGCAATTTTCATGTAGTTCAATGTTATTCTGTCAGAATACCTATTTGTTCTCAAACAGAAATTATACAGTGTTTGGTTAAATGTGACAGAATTCTCTTCAATCTGATATAGAAAAAATTCAGTTGTAGGTACCTTCAATTTAGTAGGGAACTCTAGCCTTTCTACCAAAAGTATCTGAACTGCCTTACCTTTATCTAGGTTCTAGAACATTTCCTATAGGCCTGAGGTTGAAAAGGCATGACACTTTTATTCTGGATTCTAGACTTCCTCCCTTTCCCCAGCAGAGGCCATAGTACAAGGGATCAATCATATCAGCCGTACTTTGGGTTCATACAGTTTTCCACAGTCAGCCTCCTTGGTTTAAGAAACTTGTTTTATAATTCCTGCTATTTATGGCTTGGGACACATCAGAACTTTTAAATAATATGTTCTCTTTTTGTATTCTCTCTATTATATAACAAGTTCAGGAGAAAAACTCAACACAGATGAAACAGAGCAATTTGGTTGACACACTTAATCAAATGAGGGGTTCAGTAATGGCGTTTGAAGTGAGATAATCTGGGCTTAGATTTCAGCTTAGCTACTTAATATGTATGAATGTCACACTAATCTCTTACCTTTATGCCATACGCCATGGTCTGAATGCTTATATACTCCCCAGATTCACAAGTTGAAACCTAATCACCAGTGTGATGCTATTAAGAGGTGAGCCTGGTGGGAGGTAACTAGGTCATGAGAACAGAGCCCTCACGAGTAGGAATAGTGCCCTTATAAACGAGGCCACAAAGAGTTGCCTTGCCCCTTCCACTAAGTGAGGACGTAGTGAGAAGGTGGCATCAGTGATCTAGAAAGCTGGTTTTCACTAGACACCAAACATGCTGATGCCTTAATCTTGGAGCCTCAAGAACAGCGGTAACAATAGGAAATACATTAATGTAGTTTATAAGCTATCCAAGTTTTGGTATTTTTATAAGTAGCCTGAATGGACTATGACAATATATAATAAGATATATTTCTTGCAACAGTACTAAGAGATATACATTTTATACTCATTTTATCAATGTATTTGAAGCGCAGAGGAGTAAAGTAATATGTCCAATCTTGCATAGCTACTGAATACACAATAAATGGAAGCTTTAAAAATGTATTGTAAAGGCCAGGCGCAGTGGCTCACGCCTGTAATCCCAGCACTTTGGGAGGCCGAGGCGGGCAGATCACAAGGTCAGGAGATCGAGACCATTCTGGCTAACACGGTGAAACCCTGTCTCTACTAAAAAATAAAAAAAAAATTGGCCGGGCCTGGTGGCGGGCGTCTGTAGTCCCAGCTACTCGGGAGGCTGAGGCAGGAGAATGGCGTGAACTCGGGAGGCGGAGGTTGCAGTGACCCGAGATCACGCCACTGCACTCCGGCCTGGGCAACAGAGTGAGACTCTGTCTCAAAAAAAAAAGTATTGTAAAGTCATATTGGCTATGTCATTAAGATGTAGATTATCAGCTTTCTTTTGTACAATGCAATATAGCCATGGTGTTGTTCAGGATATTGGTGTGGTATCTAAGACTTCCAATCTCTACCACTTGTAAAAAAAAAAAAAAAAAAGCGCCAACATTTAGTTGATAATTAATATGATGGCTACTAATTTAAAATACTTATATGAGCATTAAATATGTTTATTTCTTTATAACATGTGAACTAAACAAAAGATTTTACTATATAACATGTCAGTAATTAGTGCATAGTTTACTCTGGGTTATAACATTTTGTCAAAACAACGTTCTCATTTTTAAAATTAAGTTCTTAGTAATATTTTTATCAGTATTCTAAATGTTTCTATTATGTTTTAATTTACGTGCTCTTCTGTGATATTTTATAATATGAAGATAACTTTTTAACTTTTGAGGTATTCTAAGATTAACGATAGTGATAGTAATCATAGTTAAGTTGTTCCATTAGCAGAAATCAAGTACATATAGGGTATATGTTCGCATGTACAGTTATATGTAACTCTTGTATTTTGTTTTGTTTTGTTTTCATAGAGATGCTACAAGAACAATTTTATATACAGGAAGATCAGAAATTTTATTCTGGTATTAGTTTCAGAGGGTAGTAAGAACTGCAATTTGGTCTTTTCAAATTATAAAGAGAAAGATCCTTCTATAGGCATTTGAAGATAATATTTAATTGATAAATCCAAATCCATATTAATGTATGTGGGTGGTAAAGAGACTTGTGATTGTTAAACATTCCATTTATCTGAAAATCTCATGTGACAAATGCCCATATAGAACACTATCATAAATGATTTCAAAAATGGTTACATCAAAAATTAGCTTCTTCAAGTGAAGAAATCCCTTGGAGTAAAAAGAAAACACACACACACACACATACACACACACACACACACACACCCCTTTAGAACTGAGAAGCCTCATTTTGGAATTACTAGTAGTGTGACTTTGGACAAGTGACTTAACCTTTCTGAAATTTCTACTTTTCTAAAGTAGTTTTACACTGAGTTTTGCAATGAGAATTAAACTATGTAAAGCCCCTAGTTTTGGAGACTGATATGCAAAAGACAATTAGGAAATAGCAGATACTTGTAAAATCCAGACACTGTATGCTTGAACAGTAGGAGAAAATGATGCCATTATTTTTTATGTAATGCTGTTTAACTTAGCTCCTGCTGTAGAATATAGTGAAGCCTTTATTAAGGTAGCCTACTCAATAAAAATACAGCAAATATGTATTTACCAGTAGCATTGCAAGGATACTTTGGGTCATTTTTGGCTAATGTCATGGAAAGCAAAGATTTCATTATTTCTTTACACTTTTGACTTGGCAGATTGCTGACTCCACAAGGGCAGATTTGACCACCAAATTTAGAACCTATGAGAGGAAAGTGGCATTGGAGGTCTGGTACAATCCTTGATTCCTTTGTATCCACTAGATTTATTATTATTTTGAGATTACTTACTAGATTTATTGCTTTTCTGTTTTGATCTCATTTATACTTTTATATTAATTAATTTCTTCTTCCTGCTTTCCTTTTTTACATTAAAAAACTTTTTATTATGGAAAATATCAAACATAGGTAAAAATAGAAAAATATAACAAATACCATATATCACCCAGCAGTTCCATTGATTATCATCATTAGGTCCTGTTTCCTTTTCATATCCTTCCACTTCCTATGCTTTAATTGTTTGAAGCAAATTCTAGGAAGTATATCATTTCCTCTCTAAACATTTCTGCTTGTATAAACAAGAACCCCTTTAAAAACATAACCACAATGGCACTGTCACATCTAGAAAAAAATGTTTCCTTAAGATAATAAAATGCACCAGTGATTATGTTTCCCACTAGAGGATTCTGCTACCTTTTTTAAAAATCACTTTATTGAGGTATTAGTGACATACAAAAAGCTGTACATAGTTAATACATACAGCTCAGTGAGTTCAGTGATGAGCACACACCTGTGAAACTGTTACCACCATCAAAGTCATGAATGTATTCTTTGCTACTGCAAGTTGATTCCTGCCTCCTTTACTGTCATTGTTATCATTTTGGTCAGAATATTTAAGGTAAGATCTACCCTCTTAGTAAATGTTAAATATAGAATATAATACCATTAGTTATAGGAGCAATGCTGCATAGGAGATCTCCAGGACTTATTTATCTTGCATAATCAAAAGTTTGTACCCATCACCTCCCCACTGCCCTCTCCCCTGAGCCCCTGGCAATCATGATTCTACTCTGCTTCTATTAATTTGAATATTTTAGATTACATATATAAATGAGATCATATTGTATTTGTCTTTTGGGTCTAGCTTGTTTCACTTAACATAACTAGGTTTATTTTGAATTGTATGCTAGTTACAATTTTTTAATTCTTTGTTATTTACCAATGTAAATATATTCTTATTTACCAATGTAAATATTTAAAGCTATGAACTTTCCTCTGATCCTTGTTTTTATTATATCCAATTGGTCCATTTAGGTAATTGTTTCATAATGATTTTTTTCCAGTAAGTTTGATATTTGAATTGTGTTTCTCCTATTGACACAAAAGATGTTGAAAGACTATGCCAAAACAAATACATCCTTCTCTGCCAGATGTAAGGGCCTCTGGAACTGTTCAGTTTTCTAATTTGTTATTAATTTCTGCTTTTCTTGTATTTGAAAATATTTCTAAAAATTGATTTTACATTTTAAAATATATTAAGGTTTTTTTTATTGCTTAATTCATAATTTTCCTTGGGAACTTATAAGTATACATACACAACTACATATACGCTTACTAAAATAAAGGTTTATATATACATTTTATGTACTTTATATTTATAAAATGTATGTATATATCTATGTATTTCTGTATGTATATCCATATCTATATTTTCATCCTGAAACTTCTAATTACGTTACTCAAGGGTTCTGTATTCCTCGCATGCTTTTTCTTTACTAGCTCTATTATGGACTGACTGAAAAGATTAAGTAATATCCTTCACTCTTCGTGATTTCCATCTCAATTTTATTGCATTTCCTGTAGGTTTTTTTTTTCTTTAAGGAACTTGCTGCTTTATAATTTGTTATATAGATTTTCAGTTTTTCTGTTATTTAGGTAGTCTTACATCATTTTCTTTATGATTTTGAATAATCCATTTAGTCTTTAATTTCTTGGATATTGTCTATTTTCTATTCCAAGGAATTCTGTAACGTACATATTTCTCTTATTCCCTCTCCTCTGCTTCCTTTTTCATTAGTCCATTTTAGTCAATAATGTTAACTTACTCTGTTTATTTTTGTATTGAAGCTTCTGAAAATTATGTTCTAAAGAATCCTGGATAGCTTCTGATGATATTTAAACCACTCATTTAATGTTATGTTAACATAGTAAATTTGAAATTATAATCCCGTGATAAAGGCAAAAAAAGGATACTCTCTCAGAAAGTCTATCTGATCATTTCTTTGAGCAAAGTCTAAGTGACAGAAACAGATTCAGAACTCAGAATTGGGCTTCCCACTTACACAGCTCCATTCTTCCTATTATACCCTGCACTGCCTTTCATAAAAAGTTTGTTTTGTTAATTATTTTTTTATTTTATTTTTTATTTTTTATTTTTTTATTATTATTATACTTTAAGTTTTAGGGTACATGTGCACATTGTGCAGGTTAGTTACGTATGTATACATGTGCCATGCTGGTGTGCTGCACCCATTAACTCCTCATTTAGCATTAGGTATATCTCTCCATGCTATCCCTCCCCCTTCCCCCCACCCCACAACACTCCCCAGAGTGTGATGTTCCCCTTCCTGTGTCCATGTGATCTCATTGTTCAATTCCCACCTATGAGTGAGAATATGCGGGGTTTGGTTTTTTGTTCTTGCGATAGTTTACTGAGAATGATGATTTCCAATTTCATCCATGTCCCTACAAAGGACATGAACTCATCATTTTTTATGGCTGCATACTATTCCATGGTGTATATGTGCCACATTTTCTTAATCCAGTCTATCATTGTTGGACATTTGGGTTGGTTCCAAGTCTTTGCTATTGTGAATAATGCCGCAATAAACATATGTGTGCATGTGTCTTTATAGCAGCATGATTTATAGTCCTTTGGGTATATACCCAGTAATGGGATGGCTGGGTCGAATGGTATTTCTAGTTCTAGATCCCTGAGGAATTGCCACACTGACTTCAACAATGGTTGAACTAGTTTACAGTCCCACCAACAGTGTAAAGGTGTTCCTATTTCTCCACATCCTCTCCAGCACCTGTTGTTTCCTGACTTTTTAATGATTGCCATTCTAACTGGTGTGAGATGGTATCTCATTGTGGTTTTGATTTGCATTTCTCTGATGGCCAGTGATGATGAACATTTTTTCATGTGTTTTTTGGCTGCATAAATGTCTTCTTTTGAGAAGTGTCTGTTCATGTCCTTCGCCCACTTTTTGATGGGGTTGTTTGTTTTTTTCTTGTAAATTTGTTGGAGTTCATTGTAGATTCTGGATATTAGCCCTTTGTCAGATGAGTAGATTGTGAAAATTTTCTCCTATTTTGTAGGTTGCCTGTTCACTCTGATGGTAGTTTCTTTTGCTGTGCAGAAGCTCTTTAGTTTAATTAGATCCCATTTGTCAATTT
This sequence comes from Homo sapiens, assembly GCF_000001405.40. Lineage (NCBI taxonomy): Eukaryota > Metazoa > Chordata > Mammalia > Primates > Hominidae > Homo > Homo sapiens. The sequence continues at coordinate 89,088,857 of NC_000008.11, read as the reverse complement.
TGGCTTTGGTTGCCATTGCTTTCGGTGTTTTAGACATGAAGTCCTTGCCCATGCCTATGTCCTGAATGGTAATGCCTAGGTTTTCTTCTAGGGTTTTTATGGTTTTAGGTCTAACGTTTAAGTCTTTAATCCATCTTGAATTGATTTTTGTATAAGGTGTAAGGAAGGGATAGGCATTAATGAAAGAATCCCTTTGCTTGTCTGCTAAATAATCAGATAATTAGTAAGGTTTCATTTTCTCAAGTTATTCACCTTTCAGATTTATGCATTTTAAATGAAATTGTGTTCATTTTTTAAACTCAGTATTAAATACATATAATGGGAACTGACATTCTTTTCGACTTGGGTTTAACCATTCTTCAAATGATAATCTGTAACCATCTTTCAACACCTGATTAAATTTAATGGACTTGTTTTGGTGCATTTATTTAGTTTATTTAGAAATGGTACCTCTAAGACAGAAAAAAATATATATACCTAACTGACTGAAGAGAAGGAGCAAATAATTGGCTCAGGTAACCAAAAGTGTGGATGTAGAAGTGGTTTATTTTATGCATTGATGCCAGGACCTAGATTCTGCCTAGCAGACTCATTCTACATTTCCATTCCTAAGTCCCACTTCCCCTTGACCAAAGTTTCCATAACAATTAGTTATGGTTTATGTGTAGTTTCTGTTCATCAGTGTAGACTTCCCAAGACATTGCCTTTCTGAATTGTTATTCGTCCACAGGGAGAAGTTGTTAAATTCATTACTACTTAAAGCACAGGCAGCATTAAACTCTGAAATGGAATGTGGCCAGAAATATGGCACTGGAGAGAATGAGAGAAAATAACTTCCAGTTTTTTGAATCCTGGAGTCATTTCTCTAGGTTTTTATTCATATTTTTACATCACTGGTTAGATTTTCTGCAGTGCTTGCAGGCAGATTTTAATTCTATTATCATAGTTTCCTCACAAACTTTCCTTAGTCAGCTTGGTCTCTTTCCATTTTAAGTTATACTGCCATTTAAGATTCCCATCACACGTCTCAGTTCTTATTTCTGTGGTTTCTGTTTTAATTGTACTGAAACCACAAAAAAAGATGATTTCTGAGAATTTTATCTGCTTTCTGTACTAAATTATTGTCACTATTATGCCATTCCTATGCATCTTCAGAACATTATTCCGTTTTTCTTGTGCTACAGAATCTTTTAATGAGCCCCACGGTGTTGTCTTTTCCCTCAGTCTATCAATCTTTAAATGGTGTATACAATTCTATGGCCCTTCTTTTTGTGTAGCATAGTGTTTGTAGAGAATCTTTGTCTGGATATTATCTGGATGATAAAAAATTATCCAATACACTATTTAATAAGCAACTAAGAAACAAAAAATGCTGTCAGTTAACCAGTATATTATTTTCCTGTTACTTAACACTGTTATTCCTTTTACTGAAAATACAATAGCCAGTTTAAAAATCATCTTAAAAATTATATAGCATTGTTTGGAAACCCTGAAGGACGATGTAAGAGACCTAATTTGGATAAAGAATTCCTAAAACTTGTTCATAGTCATTGTCCTTTTTAATCAGAGTCATTCCTGTCTATTTTCCTGTACGTTTTCACACTCTGTGCTCTAAATTAATGTGTTATGTTCACTATTGTCCCAGGAATGTTAATTATTGTCCCAGGGAATATTTTTCCAAACAGCTGACACCTATTTTATAAGTTTTGATGTTAGTGCTTACCAGAAGGTGTTAATAGTAAGTTTCCAGGCAATTGCCTGGATATATATACATGCACATTCCCGCACCAAATGCCTTCAAATGTTTGAAAGGCTGAAATGTTGAGGAGCTTTAAGAATGGCTCCAAGAAAAAACACAAGATTCATACATGGACAAGCAATTTACAATTGCACCAGCAGTGCTACCATGCAGACAGAGTTGTAAGATACCATAGATTGTGGAATGAACTCTTGATTTCAGAGGTGGTTTCTAAAAACCTGTGCATCTTGAAATCAATGAAATGCAATAATTATGTATGGCTATAAAGATACATAACCCAATTTACTGAACTAGTTATACACGGGAAAAAGATACTGGACATGTGTGCTACCTTCCTTTAAACTCAACTCCAGACCTCTTCCTTTTCACGAACTTGACATAGTCTTCAGTTGTGCGATGGGGAGAGGCAGTCACTTGGTAGTATTACTTCTGTAATCTAGCAATGCAAGAAAGGACCCTCTTCCATGAAGCCAGAGAGTATAGTTATTTGTACACTTAGATAGTTGGGACAAACTTTGCTTTGCCTCTTCAGTGTTAGGTGTGACTTTCTTCAGGTCTGGCCTCTTTCTTTTGATATTCATAATTTAATTTTGTACATTCCTGTGCTTATTTCAGAACTTAAGCTAAGGTCTATTGTAAAATGTTATATAATATTAAAATAGAAATAAAAAATTTAAATATTGAAATGTAAAAGAGAAAGAAAAGAAAGAATAAAAGTCACTGTACTTATCCAGTTTATTGTTCTAAAGAAATTTCCAGTTCAGAATAAATTTAAAATGTTGACAAAATGTACATTAAGGACTAGTTTTATAGCACTTTATGATGTGCATGCCCACGATTTTCCTTTTCCCTAATGAAAGTGCTTTTGAGCAAATTATGTATTATTAGTGTTACAAATCAAAACATTTAAATAAGCCTGATGCCCTGCTATTCATACATGAATCTGCTTGTAAAGTCAACAATCACCTTACATATTTTGAGGGGGAGTATGGGGTGCATTTGAAAGAATTTTAGATCAGGTTTGCTTAAAATAGGCTTACATCCATTTTTGCTTTTTCCATTTTCTATTGTTTATCATCATTCACAAAACTTGTAATAAGCAGTTATCCAAATGCAAAGATATATTATACCTAATTAGAAGGCATAATTTTCATTTTCTCATCTTTGGACTTGATATTACTTTATTTACACTGAGAATCAGATAAAGTAGGCCGATATTTAATCTAGGGTAAGGGTGATGCTTTATCCACTGATTACTGTATCAGATTCACAAAGTCATCACCTGTAGACTATTTCCTTTATATATTAAGTCAGATCCTAGTGAACTTGGTGCTTGAAATCTTTGTTATCAAAGAGCCATGTTTGTTTTTGTTCAGATATCACCAAAAGTAATACCTAATTTTGTTCACAGCAATGCATAAATGCTTTAGGTAATTCTTCTAGGGCAAGTTCAAGAAATATGTTTCTACTGTTCAAGGAAGCAGGTTATCTTCTAGGAGTTTTACAGTTTCGTGTTTCATATTTATATCTTTAAACATTTTTTGAGTTGAATTTTGTATATAGTATGTGATAAGAATCCGGTATCATTAATTTGCATATGATATCCAAGCTTCAAGATATTGGTTTGGCAAGTATTTCAGCAATATGTCAACCAAAGCACAGGCAACAAAAGCAAAAATAAACAAGTGAGACTACATCAAACTAAAAGGCTTCTGTACAACAAATAGACAAGTCAGTAGAGTAAAAAGACAATCTATGGAATGGGAGAAAATATTTGCAAACCATGCATGTGATAAAAGTTTAATTTGTAAAATATATAATGGATTACTACAACTCAACAGCAAAAAACCTAATAACCTGATTTTTAAAAAATGAGCTAAACACTGCCAGGCGCGGTGGCTCACGCCTGTAATCCCAGCACTTTGGGAGGCCGAGGCAGGCAGATCATGAGGTCAGAAGTTTGAGACCAGCCTGACCAACATGGTGAAACCCCGTCTCTACTAAAAATACAAAAATTAGCCAGATATGGTTGCACATGCCTGTAATCCCAGCTATTCAGGAGGCTGAGGCAGGAGAATCACTTGAACCCGGGAGGCGTAGGTTGTAGTGAGCCGTGAGCCGAGAGCTGAGAGCCAAGATTGCGCCACTGCACTCCAGCCTGGAAGCCTGGGTGACAGAGGGAGACTCTGTCAAAAAATAAAAATAAAAATAAAAATAAAAAATGGCTAAAGACATAGGTATACTTTTCTCCAAAGAAGAAATACAAATAACCACCAGTTACGTGAAAGGGTGCTCAACATCACTAATTATCAGAGAAATGCAAATCAAATCACAATGAGATATGATCTTATACCTGTTTAGATGGCATTATAAAAGAAAAACAGAAGACAGGAAGTGTTCGTGAGGAGGAGGAGAAATTGGAACTTGGTATACTATTGGTGGAAACGCAAAATTGTACAGCCACAGTCAAAAAGAGTAAGAGGTTTCTCAAAAAATTAAAAATATAACTAATGTATCATCCAGCAATTCCACTTTTATATGTATTTCCAAAATAATTGAAATCAGGACCTTGAGATATTAGCACTCCTACATTCACTGCAGCATTATTCACAATAGCCAAAATGTGGAAACAACCTAAATATCCATGGTGAAATAAAATATGTGTTATACAAAAATATCATCTTTATATAAATATAAATATATCATCTTTATATAAATATAAATATATCTTTATATAAATATAAATATGTCATCTTTATATAAATATGAATATGTCATCTTTATATAAATATAAATATGTCATCTTTATATAAATATAAATATGTCATCTTTATATAAATATAAATATATCTTTATATAAATATAAATATATCATCTTTATATAAATATATCATCTTTATTAAATATAAATATATCATATTTATGATTTATATATTATATAAATATATCATATTTATGATTTATATATTATATAAATATATCATATTTATGATTTATATATTATATAAATATATATTTATATAAAATTTATATAATTTTTATAAATTTATATAAAAATTATATAAAATTTACATATTTATATATAATTTACATACAAATTATATATATCATATATAAATTATATATGTATAAATTATATATATATAAATATCACATATTTTATTTCACCATGGATATTTAGGTTGTTTCCACATTTTGGCTATTGTGAATAATGCTGCAGTGAATGTAGGAGTGCTAATATCTCAAGGTCCTGATTTCAATTACCACTTAGTGTTGAGTGGTTGGGGGCAGTTGTTCATTTGATTAACTCAATATAGGATAGGTGCTGGGAAAAATGCAGAGATGGTTAAGATATCACCTAACGGTGTAATATTTTACAATCTAATCAAGAAGACAGATGTAGAAACAGAGAAATTGCCATTTAATAAGAAAATGTTATAACAGAAGTTTGTATGAAGTCTTGTGGAAGACCAAAAAGCAACTAATGTGGCCAAAGGTTGTTGAGGAATGTTTCCAAGAGGATGGGGCTGAGATGCATCTTGAAGGCTGAGTAGGAACAGACAGACCATTAGATGGTGCTCAGTCTTATCTTCATGGAGGATAGATACATTAGAAATTTACTGCCTCTAACGTGTCTAGTTGTTTCAGACAGATCCAAGTACCTATAGTAGTTATCTCAATAAGGGGCGAAACATGATAGAAAAAGGTCATTTTCTATCATAGGATTTTTCATGTTGGCTAAGATCAGCAACACTATTACATTCTTAATACATTTCCATTTACATGTATAATGGAGAGAATCAGATTCAGGGTTTTAAATTATAAAGACAGGAATAAGAAGAAGGAACCAGGGCAAATGATAGCTATGTTGTGTTAGTGAACTAAATTAAAAATGTGGATAGCTCAATGGAATAATTAAACGTATATTTCTCATACATGTGAATTACTGCAATTCTCTTCAGCAGTTTCTTAGCCCCAGCCCCATTTTTGGATTCTTTTTCATTGAAGATATTTTAACGAGTGACCTACTTTGGGATACTTTTCATTAGAAAAAAAAATGTATTTGCTGATGCCTTTTCCATACAACCCAGATGGTTAATATCAGACTGCAGTGGAAACCTGAAGGAACACATGTGACCTTGAAAACATCTAAATCAAGTCTGTTCAGAAATGATGGGCTGCAACGCCAGGTCTTTTTGCCCCAATGGACTTTGCAAATAAAATGAATAAATGAGAGTAAGAATAAATGCCTAAGATTCCAGGGAGGAAGGGGAGGACCCTTGCAGACTTACTGAAGTTGTCATCAGAAAATCTAGTATCAGGATTTTCCTTCCATTCTGAGTGAGCTTGTGTGTGTGTGTGTCTGTGTGTAGATGAGTGGGTGTAATTGGAACAGTTGACCTGACTCAGATATTTTTCTTTTACATTTTTAACTTACCTAAAATGTACCATAAATATTGAGGTAACACTGATCTTCTCAACTATTTTTAGCTATTTGAAGTCTCATAGGTGTTTATTTTATAATTAAATGACAATAAGTAATTTGGAGCAACACAAAGATCCAGAATAGGAACTTTTGTTGCTTTTTCTCTTAGCCATGCAGTTTCTGCCTGCCTTACAATGCGCCTGAGAAAGAGAAAGAGAAACCCCATTAAAATAGGAAAAATATCCAACATGCAAATGACTTCACTTTGAAAGGAATAGAAGTATAAAGCCCATGTCTCCCCTCTCTTTCTTTTACACTTTTTTTGGCATAAGCAGGTGGGCATATGCTTGCATCATTGTTAAACCTGGCCAAGGGGATAGCTTGGGCTGCCTGTCTATGGTAAAGTTGATAACAATAATACCACTATTGAAGGATTAACCTGGTAAAAAAGAAAAAAGAAACATCCAGAGGTAAAAGGCTGTTTAAGGAGTGAGTTTGGAAGACAGTTTTCTAAAAGCATTTCAATATTTAGTGGCCTGGGAATGTGATTCAGGGAAATTATTCTGTCGATGATGTAAAGAAGAATAGTGAGCTCCAGTTTCTATTTTTCTGTCCTCCTTTCATGTTTAAAAATTAAATTTGTTTCAAAAGAGATTTAGTAAGGGGTCACAGTGAGTGTAAACACTTGTGCGTATACAACATTGGTAGGTCTCAGTTTAAGAAGATGTGGAAGATGCTGAGAAGCATGCCAATTTCTCTGCAAGGTCTCTTGGGTAAAGGTTGGGAATCTGAATGAGGTGAAACAAACCCCAGAGGAAATAACCCAGCGGGGGAAACTGAGGCATTAGTTCAAGTCCTCCATAAAGTAAACACCAAGATGGGATTATAGAAATGCAAGTTTATTAGTGGCAAAACCTATCAAAGGAAATGGGGAGGAAGTCAGGAGAAACTAGGAAAGCCTTTCAGATTATTGTATAGTTTTTACCCTGAGAGAAGTAAGGAAAGAAAGAGGAAGGGAAAAAAGAGGGGCAATAAGAAAGGTAGGTTAAGTGAAGCATGCACAGTATAGTTCTAAGGGAAATTTGGCAAGGTCTTTAGTAGTAGAAGTAGGAGTATAGTTGTTGAGTCAAAGTTGGCCATCACAAGAGTCCTGCGCCTCCAAGATATGGGCCTGTGTTAGTCCCTGCCATGCTCAGCTATTGTCAGGGAGAAGCTATGGGAAATCTGGCCTCATAGTAGACTTGTATTTTAAAGACCACTAGCTGGAGCCATTGGCCAGTTACTCTCCTTGCAGTTGGCAAACTAAAAGACATGTTTTCATAGCCAAAATACTGTCCCCTGCATCTGAAAATTTACCTCACAAGTTAAGGGATAAAAGTAATCTATTTCCAAGGGGAGTGAAGACATAGGCTTGGTTGAGACTCACTTTCTCTCTTTCTTCCTTCTTTCCATTCTTGACAGCTTTGACTGGGAACCACCTCTCTGACAGATTCTATGCTACATGCTTTGATAAAGTAGGGATTCAAGCTAAGGATAACATAGGGAAGGTTGTCTAAGCAATGATGGTACAGACAGTTAATAAACTAAGAGTTCCTGACTTTGTCTACTATTTGAAAGAATTCAATTGCTGCCTTTAGGTGTATGAAAAACTTATACTGCAGTTGCTGCCTTTAAGTATATGAGAAACTTACAGTTGTTTACAAGTATAAGTCCTTGTAATGAAGAATGGCCACAAATGGCTAGATAGGAGATTGATTATAGGCCTGGCCAAGTGAATTGTAGTTGAAAATACTCTAAGTAGGAGCTCAAAAAGGAATCAAGACCACAGCCTAATTCAGCAATTCCCAAATTTTTTTGTGCTTAGGGCAACTTTGCACTGCATATTTGGTTATATCTATTGATATTTGCCATGCTGATATTTGCCATGCAGACAAATTTTCACAACAAAAGAATGCACAAGCACACATTCCACTGTCCATCAGAATGAAAATGTCAAGATGATAATGACCTAATACTTTCTGTAACCTCTTGAAAGCTCCACTATACAATTGTGAGATGGAGTGAAGAACAATGTATTAATGTTTTCATGAATCTGAAAGGATCTCAGGACTCCTTGAGGTCCCTGGGCTATACTTTGAGAACTATTTGTTTAATATACATGGACTACAAAATCCTGCTGGGGTTTAGACAGCTTCAGGTCATTGGGCATGTGTGTGCCAAGTGGTTCATGCCCATGGACAGCTGCTGTTAGCCTTAGGGCAGGCCCTGCCTTGGTGAAAATGGGGTTTCTGCTATACTTTCCATCTAGCTCATGTTTTATCAAGAAACTGTTTGAGGATAAGTCTATAGATTGACAGTTGCCAAAATCTACACTTGAGAGATGATGATATCAGATAATTAGAACTGTTAATGATAGAGTCTCCAAATGTATCTTTCTACTTGAAGCAAATAACAATCCAGGAGAATTTGTTGCAGCCCAGACACCTATCTACTGGAAGAGGGTAGGGCAAAGTCACTGAGTGTCAGATATTTCTTGGGAATAGAAACTGATTTTGATAAAATAAAACTCATTGTACATTTATTCGAGTGATTACTATTTGATTCATTCATATATCAGTGATTAAACTATAAGCTCCTTGTGGGTAAGAATCATGTTTATTTTGCTCAGTCCATTTTACTGAGAATCCAACACAATGCACATAGTAAATGGTTACATTTACTGAATGCATGGATGAAAGAATAAATGAAAAAATGTACTTGGAGTTGAAAAAAGTGCTAGGTAAAAAGTGGTGAAAAAAATTGGCATGGACTTTGTTGTAAAAATCACAGTCAAATGTGAAAACAAAATAAATAAGTTAAAACTGGCCTTCCTTCAAACAGGAAAGTTCTAGCTCATTTTCTGTCTTTGAACACAATTTTTTCTCTGCCTGGACAGTTCTTTCTCAACATGTACTTCTTGTGAAAGGCATAACTCACTACTTATAAAATTACATGTTAAAATTGTCCTGTGTGCAAGTCTACCAGTCTCCTTACAAACTGTAAACTCTTAGAGATTAAGCAGTGAACCTGTTTTGTCTTGGAACTCCCAGTGCTATGCACAACATTTGGCAAACAATAAGCAATAAATATGGTTTTGTTGAACAGGTAAATAGATAAATGTGCTTTACAAAAGGATTATCAGCAGATCATTTTAAAAAATATTTATGAAGATAATATGTAAAACTAACAAATCAATGTTTACATTACTTCTCCTGGTATTCCTCTCATCAATCCACCACCAACTTTCTCATCACTTTGTAAAACTTTATCTTTTATTTTTAGTTTACACATAATTGTCATATTTATGAGATACAAGTGATATTTAACACGTATCTAATATGTAATAATCAAATCAGGGTAATTAACATATCCATCACCTCAAGCATTTATCATTTCTTTGCACTGTGAATATTCAAAACCCTCTCTTCTAGCTTTTTGAAAATATACACTAAATTATTGTTAACCACTTTCATTCTAAAGTGCTATGGAACAATAGAAATGTATGACTGCTATCAGCAGTTACTTTGTGTACACCACCTTCTCCCTGTCTCCCCCCCACTCAGCCATTCCCAGTCTCTAATGACTACAATTCTACTCTCCACTTCTAGGAGCTCAATATTTTTTAATTCTCATATATGAATATTAACATGACGTATTTGTCTTTCTGTGCCTGACTTCTTTCACTTAACATAATATTCTCCATATTCTCCATCCTTTCTAAAGCTCGTTTTTGTTGCCTTGAATCACAGGATTCCGTTCTTTTTTACATGCAGGATGTAGCTGGTATCTCAAATTAGGCAGTTAATGAATAACAGAGAAGCAGACCAAGCCAAGTATAATGCATAGGATTTTATAGACAAAAGAAGATAAAAGAAAGTCTTTCACTTTTAGACTTTTATTTCAAAAACCTAGAATCCAGACACATATTTTATGATTCTATCTATATAAAACTTCCTGAATAGGTAAATCTGTAGAGACAGAAAGCAGATTAGTGGATTCCAGGGGCTGGCAGTAGGGGAAGAGACGGGGACTGACTGAATAATGGATAAAGTTTTTCCTTTTGGAGTGATATAAATTTCTCAAAACTAGATAGTGTGTGACAGTTGCACATTGAGAATGTACTAAGTGCCACTGAATTTTACATTTTAAAATGGTTAGTGACTAATATTATGTAAATTTTTTCCTCAATTAAAAAAATAAGAATTGTAGAGCCCAAAGTTGAGAGTGCTTTACAAGGTGAGAGCAGGAAGGGATGCTAGCCTTTGGTAAATGAGGAAAAACTTTGTATTACATTTTACCTCATTTATTCCTTCATTCAACAAATATAAACAGGTACCCTGACCTGAGTACTATGCTATGTTTTCAGAAGAATGGCATGAACAAAACTGATATGATCCTTATCTTCATGCAAATTATAGCCTTGTCAGAGTTCTGTATACTCACTTACTTGAATACATTCTCAATATTTTCTTTACATGATTGAGTTAAATACTACATTAAAAATTAGGAAAGATATTGCTATTAGAGAAGGTACTCTGATAATAAATTCTCAATAGAAAGTAATTCTTAGTATCAATTCCATAAAAAATATAGTTAAGTGTATTTTTGCTTAATAAGTACAGAATTCTCTTAATCTTTGCTTAAACTTGGAATCCTAAAGTCAAATATACTCTACTTCAATTTTTCTCTATGATGACTTTATTTTTGTGCCTGTCTTTAAAAAAAAATTAACTATACTGTCAAAATTTTCACACTTTCCAAGTGTATAGAATCAATAGGTTATCTAACTTTTGCAATCTGGAGTCTGTAGTTATAAATATAATTCTAGCAGTTCTTTTTTATATTTGAACTGCTCAGTAACAGTGCTGAAAATTCTAAGATAATGAAATTCAGTATGGATTTACTAAGTAATAATATTAAGTAATACATACAGCTGTAAGTCCTATGGTAGAGATTCAGGGAAGAATAAGATTTAAGTCTTGTTCTAGGTAACTTTACAATCTTATCATCAAGTAGAACAAATCTGATAACCACATAAATATAATAGGAAGTGCAGGAGACAAAACAACATCTTAAGAAATATGTAGCCCTAAAATATAGACTGAAAAGAGAGAGATACTCATTCAGCACATAATAACAAATTTCATTAAGGGGTGACGTCTGGTGGCTAGTAATATAATTTTGAGGGGAGATTTAGCACAGGAGAGAGGCTATTACAGTGACAGAAAACACAGTGAGAAAATACAGTGATGAGAAACAAAAGATGTATAGAAGGCATAGAAAGTAATTCCGAAGACTGTTGCAATATTTTTCAAATGTCAGTCATACTTGTTCTACCTTAATAATTTTGTCGTATTTTCCATATTTGCACATACATATTTATAATATTTGCATGTTTTTTAAAAACTATTTTAAATATTTCCTATCACATCATACAGTTTTATTCCTTAAATATATTTACTTTTAGACAATTTTGGCTCAAGCAACATACACTTGCCTCTCACAGTTCTGGAGGCTGAAAAGTTAAAGATGAAGGTACTGGGAGGTTCACTTCTTAGTGAAGGCCTTCTTCCTGGCTTGAAGACAGCTACTTTCTGCATCCTCACGTGGCAAAGAGAGGAAGAGCCGGTGTTTTTTCCTTTTGTTATAAGGACACTAATCCCATCATTGAGGCTCTGCTCTTATGACCTCATCTAAGCCTAATTACCTCCAAAAGGCTCTGCCTCCGAATACCATTATATTGCATACTAAGATTTCAGCATATGAATTTTATGTGGACACAAACATTCAGTCCATAATACAGACACTGATTAAATATTTGTTGAATGAATAATTGACTGCATGAATGAATATTTTGTATTTAAGTTATAATCTTCAAGTCAGGACATGCTTGTATTCATACATAAAAGTGTATCAGATCTATAAAGTTTGTAAGACACAAGTTCTTACAACAAATAAGTTAGTCTATGTACATTTTGAAAGTGCATGCATGTTTTCCTGAACAATTGATATTTTTGTTTATTTTGCTGTGTCTTGTTTTCCTTTTAGACATGTTAGTCCTTTTTTTAAATTTATTTTTGTAAATTGACAGAACTGACAGATATATAGATATGGATTTTTTATTTTTTGTAGAGAAAGGGTCTCACTATGTTGACCAGGCCACTCTGAAACTCCTGGGCTTAAACAATCTTCCTGCCTTGGCCTCCCAAAGTACTGAGATTATAGGTGTGAGCCACTGTGATAGATAAAATTGTATTTACTATGTATAATGTGATGTTTGTTTTAAAGTATATGTACATTGTGGAATGACTAAATATCACTAATTAAAAAATGCATTATGTCACATAGTTATAATTCTTGTGGTTAGAATACTTTTTTAGAACTTTTTGAGAATATATTATTCACTGTAATTATATAGTCACCATGTTGTACAATTGATCTCTTAAACTTATATCTTCTAACTAAGATTTTGTGTTCTTTGACCAATATCTCCCTAACCACCATTGCTTCCTACTGCCCCAGCCTCTGGTACCCACCATTCTACTGTCTACTTGTATGAGGTCAACTGTTTTAGAAATAAGTCATGCACAAAAAAGACAAATATGATACAGTATTTGTCTTTTTGTGACTGGCTTATTTCACTTAATATAATGTCCTCCAGATTCATCTATATTGTCACAAATGACATGATTTTCTTCCTCTTCATGGTTCTGTAGCAGTGGTCCACAACCTTTTTGGGACCAGAAACTGGTTTCATGGAAGACAATTTTTCCATGGACTGGGGTTGGGGGATGGTTTTGAGACGATTCAAGCACATTACATTTATTGTGCACCTTATTTCTATTATTATTACATTGCAATATATAATAAAATAATTATGCAACTCATCATAATGTAGAATTGGTCCCTAAGCTTGTTTTCCTGCAACTAGATGGTCCCATCTGGAGATGATGAGAGACAGTGACAGATCATCAGGCATTAGATTCTTATAAGGAGCACGCAACCTGGATCCTTCACATGGTCAGTTTACAATAGGGTTTGCCCTCCTATGAGAATCTAATGCCGCTGTTGATCTGATAGGTGGAGCCTAAGCGGCAATGCAAGCAATAGGGAGCAGCTATAAATACAGTTGAAGCTTTGCTTGCTCACCTACCACTCACCTTCTACTGTGTGGCCTGGTTCCTAACAGGCCACAGGCTGATACTGGTCCATGGTCCAGGGGTTGGGGACACCTGCTGTATAGTATTCTACTTTGTATATATATCACATTTCCTATATCCATCCATCCACTGATTGACACTTAGATTAATTTCATAGCTTGGCTATGGTGAGTAATGCTGCAGTAAATATGGGAGTGCAGGTATCTCTTCAATATTCTGATTTCATTTCATTTGGATATATACCCAGTAGTGGGAATGCTGGATCATATGGTAGTTCTATTTTAATTTTTTTGAAGAACCTCTATACTCTTTTCCATACTAGCTGTACTAACTTGAAATCTCACCAACAGTGTACAAGGGTTCTCTTTTCCCTACTTTCTTGTCAACACTTATCTTTTGTCTTTTAGATGATAGCCATTCTAACAGATGTGAGGTGACATCTGATTGTGGTTTTAATTTGCATTTCCCTGATGATTAGTGATGTTGAACTTTTTTATATATCTGTTGTATATCTTCTTTTGAGAAATGTCTATTCAGGTCCTTTGCTAATTTTTTAATCTGGTTATTTGTTTTCTTGCCATTGAGTTGTTTGAGCTTCTTATATATATTGGAAAGTATCCCCTTACAACATGTATAGTTTGTGAGTATTTTATCCCATTCTATAGATTGTCACTTTACCCTGCTGACTACTTCCTCTGCTGTTTAGAAGCTTTGTAATTTGATGTAATTCCATTAGTCTACTTTTGCTTTTGTTGCCTATGGTTTGGGGGTAATATCAAAAAGTCATTGCCCAAACTATGTCATAGAGCATTTTACCTATGTTTTCTTCTAGTAATTTCATAATTTCAGGTCTTACATTTAAGTATTTAATATATTTTGTATTGATTTTTATATGGTATTTGATGAGGGTTTAAATTTATTCTTCTGCATGTGGAGATCTAGTTTTCCCGAAATAGTTCATTGAAGAGACTGTGCTTTTCCCTTGCACATTCTTGCAAGGATGCCTTGATCAAAAATCAGTTGCCTGAAAATATGTGGATTTATTTGTGGGTTATCTATTTTGTTCCATTGGCCTTTATGTCTGTTTTTATGACAGTATACATAATATCTCTTTTAAATAATCACACGACACTTTGATGTGATTATTAGGGAACTTAAAGTCTTCATACCCTACTTTTGTACTGCATAAGACACTGAAAAATTTTCATCAGTAAACTTTATTTTTTAAAGGGAATTTTAGATTCACAGCAAAATTGAACAGAAACTACAGAGAATTTCTATATACCCCCATTTTCACCTACATACAACCTCTCCTACTGTTGACATTCTTTACCAAAGTCATACATTTATTACAGTCAATTAGCCTACATTGACATATCATTATCACCCAAGGTCCATAAATTATATTAAAGCCCACTCTCGATATTATAAATTCTGTGGATTTGCACAAATAAGAACATGTATCCACCATAGTAGTACCACACAAAGTAGCCTCAATGTCCTAAAAATTTTCTGTGATCAGTCTATTTCTCCCTCCCTCCACCAACAACTGGCAACCACAAATATTTTTACTGTCTCCCTAGTTTCACCTTTCCAAGGATGTCATATAGTTTGAATCATACAGCAAATAGTCTTTTCAGCTTGGCTTCTTTCACTTAGTAATATGCATTTATTTTCTTTTTGTTTTTTCATTGCTGGATAGATCATTTCTTTTTAACAATGAATAAAATTCTACTGTCTATATGTACCATAGCTTATTAACTTACTGAAGGATATTTTAGTTAATTTCAAGTTTTAGCAATTATCAATAAAGCTGCTATAAATATCAGTATGTAGGTTTTGTGTGTATGTAAATTTTCAACTTATTTGGGTAAATATTGAGGGGTGCAATTGCTGCATTATATGGTATGTTTAGTTGTGTATGAAACCATGGAACTGTCTTCCAAAGTGGCTGTACTAGTTTGCATTCTCACTGGCAGTGAATGAGAGTTCCTGTTGCTCCACATCCTTGCTAGTATTTCATGTTGTCAGTGTTTTCAATTTTGATTATTCTAAAAGTTGTGTAGTGTTATCTCATTACAGTTTTAGTTTGCAATTCTCACTTTTTTCTCTGATGACATATTATGTTAAACATTTTTGCATATGCTTGCCATCTATGTATCTTCTTTGATGAAGTGTGTATGCAGTTTTTTTGCTCATTTTTAATTAGATTGTTCTTATTTATTGAAGAGTTTTTAAAGTTTTTTTATATATTTTAGATAACTGTCTTATATAAGGTGTGCCTTTTGCAGATATTTTTTTCAGTCTATGTTCTTGTTTTCTTATTTCCTTGACATTTTCTTTCACAGAGCAAAATTTTTGAATTTTAGTAAAGTTCAACTTATGATACATTTTTCATGGATTGTATCTTTATTGTTATGTCTAAAAAAGTCATTGTCATGCCCAAGGTCATGTAGGTTTTCTTTAATGCTACAATCTAGAAGGTTTTACAGTTTTGCATCTGAAATTTCAATGCAAATATTTCAAATGGAATCTGAGATCTTAAATGAAATTGCATTGAATCTGTAGAAAAAGTTGGGAAAAAAACTGACGTCTTAACACTATTGAGGTTTCTTAAATCCACGAACATGGAAGAGCTTTCCATTTATTTAGTTCTGTGATATATTTCAATTTTGTAATTTTCCTCATTGAGATATTATACATATTTTGTTACATTTATACGTAATTATTTTCTAAATGTAAATGCTAATTTTTTAATTTCATATTCTACATGTTCATTGCTACTATATAGGAAAGTGGGTAACTGTATATTAATTCTGTATCCCAAAAGCTTACAATAGTCACTTATTAGTTCCAGGAGTTTTTTTATTGATACTTTTGAATTTTCTACACAGACAATCTTGTCATCTGTGAACTAAGACCATTGTATTTCCTCCTTTCCAATTTGCACACCTTTTATTTCTTTTTCTTGTCTGGTTGAATTATCTAAGACTTTCAGTAAGATGTTGAAAAGCAGTGGTGGAGGAGATGGAATTCCTGCCTTTTTTCTGATCTTAGCAGGAAAGCTACAAGTGCATCCCCTCTATTCTTTCTTTGCTGAAATAATATTTACTTTTAAAGAGTAGGTTAGGGTTTTTTTGTTTGTTTGTTTGTTTGTTTTTTGTTTTTTTTTTAGCAAGCTGAGCTGCCTACCCCTTCCAGTGCAGAGATCATGGTGCAGCAGGGCCTTCTCCACTCAATGCCCATGCAGATCTCCAGGCACCAGGGGTACCCACCCTCCTGTATTACGAGTTTAGGCCACCCCACCTCCAACCATATAGAGAACTTGGGGCCAGGGAGGTTTCTCAGCTCCACATCTAGGCATACCTCTGAGCACTTGGTGATCACCCACTGAAATCTCCCTCATTAATGGTTCTTGTGACTGCCATTGAGGGACCTGTAGGTAGGCCTTCCCAGTCTAGCCACACTCATCTTACCCCCAACCCTTAAAGGCTGAGCAGGGAGCTCAGAAAACTGTGCACTCCATAGGTTAGCCCATTGTCTTAAGCAACAGAGAGCTTTTCCCATTAAACAAGTATCAACTATATACCCAGCCACCTTGGCCGCAGCCAGCTGTTACCCATAAGTGCCATCTACTGGCTTATAGGTAAAATGCACAACCCAACATAAAAATATGCTGACAGAATTACATAAGGCTTTAGAAGCAAACCTCAAAGCCCCTGCACAGCATTCTCTACAGCCACACCTCATAGGGAGGAGAAGAAGGAAAAGGGAAGGAAGAACAAAAACAATACTATAGAGAAAGAAAGAAAAAGAATAAATCTGACCTACACAAAAATAATTACAAATATTAGAAGTGCCAGAATTTTCAGAGGAGAAGGAAACAGCAAAATAATTCTGGTGCTGTGAAAAATCTGAAAATAGTGATATGACCAAGGATCATAGATATCACCAAAGGATCATAATATCTCCACAGCAAAAGCCCCTAATCAAAATGAAAACTCAGAAATATATGATAAAGAATTTGAAACATGAATTTCAAGGAAGCTCAACAAGATCCAAGACAGGGTTGAAAATCAACATAAAGGAACATTTAAATCAATCCAGAAAATAAAGGAAGGGATAAACATATTCAAAAGAAAACAATCAGAACTTTTGGAAATGAAAAACTCACTTAAGAAATATCAAAATACAATTGAAAGCTTTTTTAATAGACTGGACAAAGCACAATAAAGAATCTCAGAACTTGCAGATCAGTCTTTTGAACTAAACCTGTCAAAAAAATAAAGAAAAAATAATATAAAAACACTAACAAGTCTTCATGAAATAAGGGATTATATAAAGTGACCAAACCTATGAACTACTGGCATTCCTAATAGAGAAAAGGAAAAACCTGCAAAATATGTTTGAGAAAATTATTTAAAAAAATTTCCCTAATCTTGCTAGACTCAAGAAATCCATGGAACACCTGCAAGATATTATACAAAATGAACTTCGCCAAAGCATATAGTCATGAGACTGTCCAAGGTCAATGCTAAAGAAAAAAATTTTAAAGGCAGCTAGAGATGAAGGTTAGATCACATAAAAAGGGAATGCCATTGGGTTAACGTGGAGTTCTCAACTGAAGCCTCACAAGCCAGGACAGATTGAAGGCTATTTGGGAAAGAAATCCCAAACACAAAATTGATATCCCACCAAACTAAGCTTCATAAGCAAAGGAGAAATAAAATCTTTTGCAGACAAGCAAGCATTAAGGGAAAGAATTACCACCAGGCCAGACTTACAAGAGATCTTTAAGATAGTTCTAAGTAAGGAGAGGAAAAAATGATACCTTCTATCACAAAAAGAGACTTAATTACATAGCCCACAGACCATGTAAGGCAACCATACAATAGAAACTGCAATGCAACCAGCTAACAAATTCATGATAGATTCAGAACCACACATATCAACATTATCCTTTAATGTAAGTGGTCTAAATGTCCCCACTTAAAAGGCACAGAGTTGCGAATTGGATTAAGAAACAAGACCCAACCATCAGCTGTCTTCAATAGACCCTTATCACACAGGTATTCACCATAAGCTCAAAGTAAAGGGCTTGAGAAAGATCTGTCATGCAAGTGGGGAGACAAAAATGAGCAGGGATCACTATTTTTGTATTAGATGAAACAGACTTTAAAACAACAATGGTAAAAAAGGACAAAGAAGGGCATTACATAATGATAAAAGTTTCAATTCAACAAGAAGATTTAACTATTTTAAACATTTATGCATCTAATATTGGAGCAGTTAGATTCATAAAAGAAGTGCTTCTATGTCTATGAAAAGACTTAGCCACACAATAATAGGGGAAGACTTGAACACCCCACTGACAGTGTTATACAGATTATTGAGGCAGAAAACTAACAAAGAAATTCTGAACTTAAATTTGACACTTGACCAATGGGATCTAATAGACATCTACAGAACACTTCACAACCACTTTGGAATATACATTCTTCTCATCTGAACATGGAACACACTCAAAGATCAACCACATGCTCAGCCAGAATGCAAATCTCAATAAACTGAAAAAAAAAAAAACCTGCAATCATCCCAACCATATTCTCAGACCAGAGTGGAATAAAAACAGAAATCAATACTAAGAAGATCTTCCAAATCCACACAATTATATGGAAACTAAACAACTTGCTCCTGAATAACTTTTGGGTAAAAAACAAAATTAAGGCATAAATCAAAACATTTTTTGAAATAATGGAAAAAAGAGATACAACATACCCAAATCTCTGGGATACATCAAAAGGAGTAATAAGAGGAAAATTTATACTGCTAAATGCCTACCTCAGAAAGTTAGAAAATTCAAATTAATTATGTAACATCATACCTCAAGTATTGAGAAAAGAACAAACTAACCATGAAGCCAGCAGAAAAGAAATAACTAAAATCAGTGCATAACTGAACAAAATTGAGGCCCAAAATTCATAAAAAGTGTCAACAAAACCAAAAGTTAGTTATTTAAAAGTATAAACAAGATCCATAGACTGCTCACTAGATTAATAAAGAAAAAAATAGAGAAGATCAAAATAAGTGCAATCAGAAATGACAAAGATGACATTACAACTGATTCCACAGAAATACAACAGATTCTCAGAGACTATCATAAACACTTCTATGAACATGAACTAGAAACTCTAGAGGAAATAAATAAATTCCTGAAAATACACAACCTCCCAAGATTGAATCTGGAAGAAATTGAAATTTCTGACAGACCAACATTGACTTCCAAAATTGATTAAGTAATAAAAAACCGAACCAAAAAAGTCCCTGGAACAGATAAATCCACAGCCACATTTTACCAGACAAAGGAAATCCAGTACCAATTCAATTAAAACTATTCCAAAAAATTGAGGTGAAGAGACTCTTTCCTAACATATTCTATGAAGCCAGCATCATCTTGATACCAAAACCAGGCAATGACATGTGGAGAAAGAAAACTACAGGCCAATATCCCTGATGAATAAAAACACAAAATTCTTCAACAAAATACTAGCCAGTTGAATAGAGCAACACATCAAAAATTTAATTCATCATGATCAAGTAGGCTTCATTCCTGGGATGCAAATTTGGTTCAACATATGCAAATCAATAAATGTGATTCATCACATAAATAATTAAAAACTAAAACCATATGATCATCTCAATAGACATGGAAAAAAAGTCTTCAGTAAAATCCAACATCCCTTCATGATAAAAACCCTCAACAAACTTGGCATCAAAGGAACATACTTCAAAATAATAAGAGACTTTTGACAAATCCATAGCCAATATCATACTGAATTGGCAAAAGCTGGAAGCATCCCCCTTGAGAAATGAAGCAAGACAAGGATGCCTACTCTCACCACTCCTATTCAACGTACTACTGGAAGTCATTGCCAGAACAATCAGGCAAGATAAAGAAATAAAAGACATCCAAATAAGTAAACAAGAAGTCAAACTATCTCTCTTCATTGACACTATAATTTTATACCTAGAAAACATTAAAAACTCTGCCAAAAGGCTCCTAGAACTGATAAATGACTTCAGTGAAGTTTCAGATGGAAAATCAACATACAAAAATTAGTAGCATTTCTAAACATCAATAACGTTCAAGTTGAGAGCGAAATTAAGAATATACAATAGCTATAAAATACCTAAGAATACATCTAACCAAGGAGGTGAAAGGTCTCTGCAAGGAGAACTATGAACACTGCTGAAAGAAATCATAGATGACACAAACAAATGTAAAAACATGGATTGGAACATGCTCTAGGATTGGAAGAAAATGTACACCACAGAATACTACACAGCCATAAAAAATAATAAAATCATGTTCTTGGCAGCAACATAGATACAGCTGGAAGCCATAATTCTAAGGAAATTAAAATAGAAACAAAAAACTAAATAGCACATGTTCTCACTTATAAGTGGGAGCAAAACACTGGGTATGCATGGACATAAAAAAGGCAACAATAGACACTAGGGACTACTAGAAGTAGAAGGAGACAGAGTGGAAAAGGCTGAAGAGCTATTGAGTACTATCCTCACTATCTGGGTGATGGTGATGGGACCATCTGCATCCCCAAACTCAGCATCACACAATATACCCATGTATCAGAATTGCACATGCACCTCCCAAATCTGAAATATAAGTTGAACTTATATAAAAGAGGATATATCATAACTTTAAAGTCCCAGGAATGAAATATAATAAAAATTAACATAATTAAAATAAACAATGTTATTCAATGTAAAGCAATAAATGTAAGAATAATAATAAACAGCAACCTGCAAATAATTATAAAACACAACTGATTTATAAAATGCCTGTGTGAACTCAAATTCTTCATAAGAAGATTGGAATATTTTATAATTAGTTGGAAATAATGAAATATTTTGTAATTATTTGTTTAAGATATCTGTAGTAGTTCTATATCGGGAAAATGACTCAGCAGCTAGTTGATATGGCATCATTTTAATTTCCTATCCTAGGCTATTATCCTTAGCAAACTAATGCAGGAAGAGAAAACCAAATACCACATTCTCATTTATAAGTGGGAGCTAAGTGATGAGAACTCATGAACACAAAGAAGGGAACAACAAACACTGGAGTCTACTTGAGGGTGGCAGGTGGAAGGAAGGAAAGGAGCAGGAGATAACTATTGGGTAGTGGGCTTAATACCTGGTGATGAAGTGATCTGTACAACAAACCCCCATGACATGAGCTTACCTGTGTAACAAACCTTCGTGTGTACCCCCAAACCTAAAAGAAAAATTAGAAAAAAAAAGAACAAGAGACCAGACATAGAGGATTAAGTCCTCAGAGAGAGAAATAAAATGATTATGAGATACTAAAATAATAATAAATAACAATAATAACTTCCAATCCAAAGAGACTGGGATCTTGCAAATTGATTTTCATCAAAAGTATTTATTGAACATTTTTTCCAAAAATGGCATCTTTTCAACAATTTTTATGTGTGAATATGTTGACATGATTGATGTTAACACTGATAGAATGGTGTTACAGTAAGCTGTGTAAAGCATGACTAAGAGAAATATAGAGCAGGTTATTACCTTTTTCTTAGACTACTTATAACCAAAGGATCAGACTTCATCTTGGCCTGGCTTCACAAAGCTCTCATTCTGAGGTGAGAATCCAGCTAAATCTCTTATAAAAGTGTGGGAAAGGGTCAGAGCAGGAGGTAGAATAAAAGCTAATTCTCTGGTTTGGAATCTGCATGAGAATGTCATTAATGGAAGTACAGTTGACCCTTGAACAACACAGGCTTGTACTTTATGGTCCATTTATACATGGATTTTCGATAAATATATTGGAAAAAATTTTTTAGAGTTCCAACAATTTTTGAAAACTTGCAAGGTGAACCACATAGCCTAGTAATAGAAAAAAAATAAAATTAGATATGTCATGAATGCATAGAATATATGTGGAGACTAGTCTATTTATCATTTACTACAATAAAATAGATACAAATCTATTAGAAAGTTAAAATTTCTCAAAACTTATGGACACAAAAACTATACATAGTACCAGGCACATTATCATTTGCAGTTGAGAGAAATGTAAGCAAATGTAAAAGCACAGTAGTAAATCACAACTACATAAGACTAACTGTAGTAACACTGTACTACTGTAATAATTTTGTAGCCAGCCCCTGTTGTTATTATGGTGAGCTCATGTTGTGAGTATCTGTTTAAAATGCCATGTCATGCTAATCATTTCTATAGGAATAGTTCATCTCTGTAGTAAATTTTGTATCTCAGTGAAAAGGGATCTTTTGCAGTTCTCACATATTTCTCATCGTTTTTTATATAGTACAATCCTGTAAACCTTGAGCAGCACAGTGGGATGCACATGAAATGCTACTAATAATGCTGAAAGTGCTCCTGAGAAACAGAGACAAGTCACAATATTACAAGAAAATGTTTAATCACTTGAGGTGCGTCATAGACTATGGTCTGTATTTGGTGTTGCCCATTTCAAGATAAAGTAATCCAGCATAAGATCCATTGAAAACGAGAAAGGGAAATTTGTGAACCACCACTGCAGCCATGCCAGCAGGTGCAAAAACCTTTCATGGTTTATAAAATATGTTTTTATGTTGTACTGAAAATGCAGCTTTAATGTGGGTGCAGGATTGCTGTAAGAGTCATACTTACAGTCCCTAATATGATTTGAGAGAAGCAGTCATTATATAAAAGCATAATGCAAAAGGAAGTGGAAAGAGCTAAAGCTGGATAATGTAAAACCAGCAAAGGATGGTTTAATAATTTTAGAAAGAGTATTCGCTTAAAAATATCAACATAACAGAAGAAGCTTCTACTGACCAAAAGGCAGCAGATAACTTCCCAAATGTCATTATGAAAACCACTGGAGAATATGGATACCTGCCTGAACAGGTTTTTAATGCAGAAAAAAAATGCCCTATTATGAGAAATCAACTTATCCTTCTTTTTTGCAGATGATATGATCTTATATTTGGAAAAACCTAAAGACCTCACCAAAAAAACTATTAGAACTTATAAACAAATTTAGTAGAGCTGCAGGATACAAAACCAACATACAAAAATCAGAAGCATTTCTATGTACCAACACTGAACAATCTGGGAAAAAATTAAGAAGTAATTCCATTTATAGTAGCCACAAATAAAATTAAATACATAGGAATTAACCAAAGAACTGAAAGACTCTGAAGTGAAAACTATAAATCACAGATCAAAGAAATTTAAAATGACACAAAAAAAGGAAAGATATGCCAAGATAATGGATTAGAAGAATCAACATTTTTAAATGTCATTCTACCCAAAGCAATCTGCACATTCAATGAAATCTCTATCGAAATGCAAATGACATTCTTCACAGGAATAGAAAAAAATCCAAAAATTTATATGGAACCACAAAATACCCAGAATAGCCAAAAACATCCTGAGAAAAAAAACCAAAACTGGAGGAATCATATTACCTGATTTCAAATCATACTATAGAACGATGGTAACAAAAACAGCATGATACTGACATAAAAACAGAGAAATAGATCAATGGAACAGAATGCAGAACCCAGAAACAAATCCATACATCTACAGTGAACTCATTTTTGACAAAGTTGCCAAAGACATACATTGGGTAAAAGACAGTCTTTTCAATAAATGGTTCTGGGAAAACTGGATATCTATTTGCAGAATAATGAAACTAGAATCCTATCTCTTGCCATATACAAAAATCAAATCAAAATGATTAAAGACTTAAATCTAAAACCTGAAACTATGAAACTACTAGAAGAAAACATTCAGAAAAATCTCCAGGACATAGTTCTGGCAAAGATTTCTTGAGTAATACCCCACAAGCACAGGAAACCAAAGCAAAAATGGACAAATGGGATCACATCAAGTTAGAAAATTCTGCACAGCAAAGGAAACAATCAACAAAGTAAAGAGACAGTCCACAGAATGGGAGAAAATATTTGCAAACTACCCATCTGACAAGGGATTAATAACCAGAATATATAAGGAGCTCAAACAACTCTATAGGAAAAAATCTAATAATCCAATTTTAAAATGGGCAAACTATATTAATAGTTATTCCTCAAAAGAATACATATGAGTGGCAAACAGGCATATAAAAAGGTGCTCAACATTGTTGATAATAAGAGAAATGCAAATCAAAACTACAATGAGATATTGTCTCACCCTAGCTAAAATGGCTTATATCCAAAATACAGGCAATAACAAATGCTGGTGAGGATGTGGAGAAAAGGAAATCCCCATACACTGTTCATGGGAATGCGGATTAATATAACTGCTATAGAGAACAGTGTGGAGATTCCTCAAAAAACTAAAATGAGAGCTAATACACCCAAAGGAAAGAAAATCAGTATATCAAAGAGATACCTGCATTCCCATGTTTATTGCAGGACTATTCACATTAGCTAAGAATTGGAAGCAACCTAAGTATCCATCAACAGATGAATGGATAAAGAAAATGTGATACATAAATACAATGGAGTACTATTCAGCCATAAACAAGAATGAATGAGTTTCAGCAATTTGCCACAATATGGATGGAACTGGAGGTCATTTTGTGAAGTGAAATAAGCCAGACACAGAAAGACAAACTTCACATGTTCTCACTTATTTGTGGGAACTAAAATTATTAAAACAATTGGACTCATGGAAAGAGAGTGTAGAAAGATGGTTGCCAGAGCCTGGAAAGTGTTGTCAGGTGGTGTGGGAAATTGAGATGGTTAATGGGCTCAAAAACATGGTTAGACAGGATGAATAGGATCCACTATTTGATAGCACAATAGGGTAACTATAGTCAATAATAATTTAATTGTACATTTTAAAATAACACAGTATAATTGGTTGTTTGTAACACAAAGAATAAATGTGTGAGGGGATGGATTCTCCATTTACTATGATGTGATTATTATGCCTTGCATGTCTGTATTAAAAAGTCTCATGTAACCCATAAGTATATATACCTACTATGTACCCACAAAATTAAAAATTAAAAAATAAATTTCCCTATTGTGGAAACAAATTGCAACATATAACATTTATTAGTAAGGACAAAAATTGTATTTTTGGACAGGAAAAAGGAACGGATAGGCTAACTCTACTGTTTTGTGCAAATGCAGTTGAGTTTATAATCAGAACTTCTCAAATCTGTAAAGCTGCTACCCACCCCCAACCCCCCATCCTTGAAGGGAAACAATATAGCACCAGCTGTCAGTCTTTTGGTCATACAAAAAGAAGGCCTGGAAGATGAGAACCCATTTTCTGGATTGATGCTTTGTCCCTGAAGTCAGGAAATACCTTGACAGCAAGGGACATCCTTTTAAATTTCTTTTGATACTGACAATGCCTCTGACCACCCAGAGATCCAGGAGATCAACACCAAAGACATGGAAGTTGTCTACTTGCCCGTAAACACAACCTCTCTAATTTAGCCTCTAAATCAGGGGTCATAAGGACTTTTAAGGCTCATTACACACAATACTCTATAAAAAAAGATTTTCAATGCTATGGAAAAGAACTTAGAACATCATGAAAGTCTGGAAGATACACTATTTAAGAAAAAACATAAAAGTCATCAAGCCAATAATAAATTCCTGCTGGAGAAAACTGTGTCCAGATGTGTGTGCTTTCACAGGATTTACAACAGAATCAATCAAGGAATTCAGACGATATTGTGGGTTTGCCAAAAAAGGTGGAATGGAATGAAGAGTTTCAAGATACAGATCTTGAAGAAATTCAAGACCTAATAGAAACTACACCAGAGGAATTTGCAGAAGACAACTTGATGGAGATGAGTGCTTTTGAACCAATGCCAGATGATGAGGAAGAAGACATAAAAGAAGTAGTACAAGAAAACAAACTGACATTAGACATCTAGCAGAAGGATTTCAATTATTTAAGACTGTATTTGATTTCTTTTACAACAGGGACTCTTCTATGATATGTGCACCGAAACTAAAGCAAACAGTGGAAGAATTGGTAATATATAGAAACATTTTTAGAGAAATGAAAAAAAAGTCAGACAGAAATTACAATGTATTTCTATAAAGACACACAGAGTATGCCTGTTTCTCCTGCCTCCCCTTTCATGTCCTTCAACTCTTCTGCCTGCGTCACTCCTGAGGCAGAAAGACCAACTCCTCCTTTTCTCTTCCTCCTTACCCTATCTCAATGTGAAGACAATGAAGATGAAGAAATTTAGGATGATCCACTTCTACTTAATAAATAGTAAATACTGTATATTTCTTTTTCCTTATGATTTTCTTAGACATTTTCTATTTTGCTTACTTTATTTCATGAATATTGTATATAGTACATATAATATACAAAATCTGTGTTAATCAACTATTTATGTTATTGGTAAGGCTTCCAGTAAACAGTAAGCTATTAGTAATTAAATTTTTGGAGAGTCAAAAATTATACATAGATTTTGACTGCACAGGGGAGTCAGTGTCCCTAACTCCTGCATTGTTAAAGGGTGAACTGTATTTGAACTAGGGTTCTGGATCCATCTGGTGGACAGCATCACAGAGTATAAACCCAAGTTCTAAATATAAAAGCAGTGTAAGTGCCTAAGCAAGACTGGAATATGATACTTGGAGTTAAAACACTATATATGCAATGGTATTTGCCACATTTGTTTGTGTATTCTCATATTTCACATACTCACAGATTTTTTCCTTTTTTTTTTTTTTGCTTTGAAATAATACCTCTTACTTCCAGATACATTCTTAATTGCATTAAATAATTTTATAATTGACATATTAAAAGTGGACCTCAATAATCTTTATCTATTAAGAAAGGGTAAATTAAAGCACACTATTAAAGCTAATAGCACACGATTACCTATTGTTTACTCGGGATGGGACTGGGAGGAAGGAAGACTGAGTCAGCATTGGTTCTTCCTTAGCCAGTTTCTCTTCCTCTTTCTGATCATTTTCTTACGTCAGTCTCCCTCCCAAACTGATAATATGACAAAAGAAATGTGTGGCTATTCGAAAGCTTACTAATTTATATAAAAGATCAGAGAGCCTGAAAATAGCCTAAGATATTTACCTAGTCAAGAACCAAAGGAAGATGTAAGTGAGGGAGAAAAGAGTATTGAGATGTAGCTTCTTATGAATAAGGGAGAAGTAGACCACATCAAGAAAGTATTTTTATGCATGTTTATCTTTCATCAAAACTCTGGACTGAAGAATGGAGATGAGAGCAATTGTGCTATCTTTCCCTGCCCTGTGGAATTGCTTGGTATCAAGTTTTGAACCTGAAACTTTTAAGTAATTAACCATGTATTACAGTTATTTTTTAGGTTTGTTTTGCTTCATTATTACAATTATATTCTCTTCGGAGGCAGGAACTTAGTCTTAAACTTCTGAATCTGCTAACTAGTGGATGGATATATCATGGTATTGAATGAATATTAATTAATTGATTAAGGTCAAGATGCAGAGTTGAAATTATTCAATTAGCAGATAACCCAGATTGCCATGTTCAGAAAGAGAGCTGAAACTATATTAGTTTTTTTTCTATTACAATTATGTGCATCAATGTATTTTCTAAAAAGTAGTATTATTGTAAAAATAAAACTGGTATTGCTTCTAGTAGCAACCTGAAAGTGAATTTTATATCATAAGAGCAACATATACTAAAACAAAAGCATGGTAAGCTTTTATGTGGTTCTATCTTGATTATTGTCAAGACTGCATACAGGGAAAGGAAAAGTTGTCAAATGTATAGCGTTAGAAAAAATAGAGATAACTCATGGCCCAGAGTTACTGTTCTTTAAATCAAATGTCATGTTAATTGTCCTGTTTTTGCCTGAATTTGCAGAACTGCTAGGCTAACAATATTTTGACTTACTCTGCATATTTAACTTTATAGTTTAGTTTATTGGGGAAGAGGGAGACTGAAAAATATGCTATGTCTCAGTGCTGACGTTTCCTTCATAACAACCTTTGGGCATAAAACGCAGGGTCATCTATGGCAGCAGCAAGAGGGGGCTGACAAAATCTCAGAAGTTTTTGGGAAAGTGTTTTAGCATCTCTGATTTTCTCCTTCTCTCTTTCTTTCTTTCTTTTCTTTTCTTTTTTTTTTTTTTTTTTTTTTTTTTTTTTGAGACTGTCTTGCTCTGTGAGCCATGCTGCAGTGCAGTGGCGCTATCTCGGCTCATTGCGACCTCTGCTTCCCGGGTTCAAATAATTCTGTCTCAGCCTCCCGCATAGCTGGGAATACAGGCACATACCACCACACCTGGCTAATTTTTGTATTTTTAGTAGAGAGGGGGTTTCACCATCTTGGTCAATCTGGTCTCAAACTCCTGACCTCAGGCGATCCACCCACCTCAACCTCCCAAAGTGTTGGAATTACAGGAGTGATTTTCTTAATAATATGATGTTGGCATATAATCTACCCTAACAACAGAAAAGGGGCAAGGGTATGCAAAACTGGATGAAAAGAAAGTTTTGGAAATATCTCTTTTTCTCTTACTTAAGTAATTATCTCTACAAAATACATAATGGCAGTGGTCCTTTGACTCTAAAGCTAATTCCAATTAACAATGTTTTTGATGGGCCACAGCAATAATATTTTGTTGTAGGGTCATTTATTTCTCCTTCAATGAAAAAGCTCTCTAAAAGACAGCTACAACCAGGCTACAGGACACAGACAGAGAAATCAATGTTAAGAATAATGGCTCGAGTCCAGAGAATAGGATGCTGTGGTGTATGAGTTTCCTTCTTTATTTAATGTTTTTATTAATAGAAGAAAAATTAAATTAATAACTGCTCCTTCTCTTCTCTTCTTCCCACCCCTCTCCTCCTTTTCTCCA
Organism: Homo sapiens; assembly: GCF_000001405.40. Classification (NCBI taxonomy): domain Eukaryota; kingdom Metazoa; phylum Chordata; class Mammalia; order Primates; family Hominidae; genus Homo; species Homo sapiens. The sequence goes on along the minus strand of NC_000008.11, from coordinate 89,059,572 downwards.
CTATCCTCTCTAACTAGAAAAAGAGAGATTAGGAAACTTGATTAACACGTCCTAATTCACTGGCTCACGCTCGTCTTTTTGAAACATACGTTTTCTTTCCCTAAGTGTGCTCTGTCACGCGTATGTTCATGTGTATTACAGGACAATGCTACTGAGCTGACGTGTACACATGATCGGGCCAGCTGAAGGGACTTAGCCCTTACTTGACAAGTGCTGCAAAAGACAGCCTTGCATCAGCAGCTTAGTAAAGGTGAAAGGCAAAGAAGTTAAAGGTCTTCTATTGTTCTCTAACCAGAGCATCTTTAACCACTGGGGACTCAGAGCTCAATGATGTTTCCACCCTAGAAAACTCTATGCACTTAACCGACTCACTGCTTTTCTTCCCTCCTCCACCCCCATCTTATGAAGGGTATATTTCATTATATAGTTTTGTGTCTAAGAATTGTTTCATTACATTTTGTTATACTTATCCTTTTTCTTTTCTTTTTAAAAGATAATTCACCATCTTGAATTACCTCTATTTCTGAAAATTTGATCACATATTAGAGTAAAAACAAATAGACTACTTTGACTATATAATACACCATAAAAGTAACAATACATTATAAACCACAAAATTAACTAACTATTTCTATGCTTTTGGTGACATCCTTTTTTCATTTTGCTTTGTTTTTCAAGAAAGCATGAGAAGCACAGAGTAGGTACTTGTACTGGCTGTTGAATGAACTGTTGTTATATTTATGTTAAGTCTATAAAAAAAGAAAGCTATTAATTTATTATTTTTGTCTCTAAAGCCACTGACCATATCAAGCCTTATATTTTTTCAATATTTACTTTCAAATTTTATGTTTATATTTTAATTTTGATTGAAAAAGTTTAATTGTATATGCTTTTGGGATAAAATATGATACAATGATGTATGTATACAATGTGTACTGATTAAATCAAACTTATTAACATACCCATCAGCTTCCTTACCCGTAATTTTTTTATGGTGAGATAAATATGCTACTTTAACTGGTTTTCTTCTGCTTCTTTTACTATATTTTACAATATATCTTTATAATCTTCTGGTTATCCACATATTTCCATATTAATATTTTGTTTATTTTATACTTTTCAAAATGTATTGCTTTATAATTAATGATTTTGACTTAGTTTCTATGTATTAAATTTTACTATGCATGTTTTTTCCATTTTTAACAAATTTTATTCCTTTGAAAATATAAAAACATTTTATTGATTATATTTCATTTCTTATTTATTTATTTTCATTTTTAACCTCTACTACCAGTGTTATTTATTTTATCTTATTGATAGTGTAATGGTTTCCATTTGTTTATTTATACTTCTTTAATTTTATTTTAAAAAAGCTTTTGGTTTATTCCATTTTAAATTTTAATCATTATATTAATTAACTTTAATATTTCTATTAAAATTTTTTTATGCTTTCTTATCTTAATGACCAGCAAGAGGCTAGTGCAAGTAGGTGGTATTGTTGAGTATTTGATAGAAATTTACATTAAAAATAAGACTTGATTGTAAGACCTCCTTTCAGCTGCTGCAACCATTGTTCTGACTCCTCCAGGGAAATGTCATTTTTTTCTAAACATAGGACTACTAAAGCGCAAAGCCCATTGTAATTCACAGACACCTAATTAATAATCCTCAGTACAAAATGACTCTCTCCATATAGACAATATATTGAATTACTTTGAAGGTGCTGTTTCTAAATTTATGAGGAAAACAGTGTCCTAAATTTTAAGCTATACGATAGGCCATGCAAATAAAATGTCACAGTACAGAGGGAGAAAGTACATGAAAGTTGTATCGGGACAGGATTATTCTCATATGTATTCCTGCCCTGACCCTGTGTAGGAAACAGGTAATGCCAGCCTTCAAACATGCGTTAGCCCTGGGAAAAGGGCACTGCAGAGGGCCATGTGCTGCTATCTCTGTTCCTTCTCACCAATATATTGGTGTTGGATATTTGTTCTCTACCACTGCCTCTCTGGATGCCAAGATTCCAACATCTGTTTTAGATGTTTTTGAAAGGGGATAGGGTGTCCACATAGGGCGGTTCTGGTAAGACTCATCAAAGTTTTAGAGGAAGTGTGAAGATCTCTTCTACTTCACTGAATAATCAATAGGTAGCAATCACAGGAGTCAGACAACAGGAAAAGCCAGAGCTGCAGTGGCTCTCCAGCAAGTAAATTACTGTACATAGTATTCTGGCTTCGGTTTGTTCACCACATGTTTCTCAGTGCTAGACTGATTTGTTACAACAATGTGGGCCTCTGAAATTGAGCTGATTTCTGTGGGACTCTGCTTCTCCTCATGTGTTATTCCTATAGCCATTCTCTTCTTCTGACTCCCAATCTTTTCTATAGTTACTTTATTCTAATCTTCCCACACAGCCCAGGTGACATGATTCTATTCTGTGTATCCAGCAAGGGGACAGTAGCTACACCATTTTATTTACTGACTTTCGTAACTTCCTGCAATTTTCTTCCACTGCCCCTCAGAACATGAAAATTATTACATATGATTGATCCACTTCCCAAGTAGTCTTATGAAGTGGCAAATTCTGTATTATCTTCTTGAATGAGTACTCATACCTGTATAAATTTTTCATTTCTTTTAAAATACTCCTCTTTTGTTAAAATAATCAGTGAATTCTATCCTGTGAAAGAGAAAATTGTTCAGACATCCTGGAGAATCCTCCAATAACCAGGTAAGTATGTCTATGATGACTTGGTCTAGAGAAGTTGGTCTGCTAAATTCCAGCTCAGGTACTAGGAGAATAGACAGATCGTCAGTTGATGGAAATTATGCTACATACTGAAATATTTATCTAAATCCAGATTTTACGTGGCATGTCTTGTTGTAAAAATGATACCTTTTTAAAAATTCAGCTCTTACAATAAAGATCCTGGTTGCTGTTTAAAAATAATTAACCTCCAGTTAATCTTCTGGAGGTAGCAGGTAGAATGATAGATACCAAAGGCTGGGAAGGATGTGTCAAGGGGGCTAGGGTGGGACAGAGAATGAAGAAAGGTTGACTAATTGGTAAGAACATACAGTTAGGTAGAGGGGATACTTTCTAATGCTCCATAGCACAGCAAGGTAACTATAATTAGCAACAATATATTGTATATTTCAAAATAGCTAGAAAAGAGAATTTTAAATGTTCCCAACACATAAAATTATACATGCTTGAGGTAATGAATATACTAAATACCCTGCCTAGATTATTACACATTTTATTCATGTAACAAAATGTTACATATTCTATAAATATGTACAAACATTATTGTTAAAATACAAAGTTACATGTTTGAGGGTAAAAATAACATTTGTTAGATAAGAAAAGAAAATAATTTGTACATATGTGTATACATATCAGAGGTAAGGGCAGGTTTCCAACCTGGTCTCTCCAAACTCCAGTGAATAATCCTTGAGAGCCCTATGTATAGGACAGTACTCTTGTCTTCGGTAACTTGCACAGTTTCCTAGTAAGGTGGGCATGAATCGGTGAAGTATTTGCTCCCTTCCATCTCTTTTAGTTGATTGGTATAAGCATGGGCATTGTAGTGATGCAGATTGTTTCAATTGTGGTTCCACCACCTTCTAGGTTTGTCATCTCAGTGTTTTCATCCATTAAATGGAGGGAATAATAGAGTTATTTTAAATGTTAAATGGAATTGTGCATGTAAACAGCTTAGTTCAGTGTTTGGTATATAGTAGATGCCTAATAAAATGTTAGTTATCATTATTTATTTTATATGTTTCTCAGCAGAAGTAAAAATTTCCGGAGTATTGAACATCAAGAGGGTCATTCAGTGAATCTGAAGGGACTCTTCTTGGAATTATTAAAGATTAGAGAATTGCCCTCTCAAAGATATCTGTACTGGGGGAACAGATAGGGAAGTGAGAGGACATAATTTCCCACTTACAAGCCGCGCTAAGAATTGCTGACATTTTGGCACACAGGATGTGAAATCTGGAAATTTTTTATATCTCTATGATGGTGACTAGTGTCATAGACACCATTGTATTTACGCCCTACATATTCATCCTTAGAATGGATATTTTGGATTTGGGGAATGAAAATACTTTTGTCTCTCTAACCTTGCCAGAGCTCTTTCAGCATCTGTTTTTTTTTTTTTTTCTATTATTGGACTGTGATTTTCAAGGACTGAGAAACATGAAATGGAGTAAATGGCAGTATGTTTGACTGATTAACATTTAATGACTGAGTATTTATTAAAATTTTCACGGGTATTTTTAGAGAAAAGCATTCACTCCATTTCTTACTAACAAATAATGGCATTCTGTTTTATTTGCTTCATATTTGAGAAAACATAGGCACAACCTTCTAGACACTACTTTAGTAAGGATGGTTACGTGTAAAATAATAGGAAAATAAAATAGAGATACATAATTGAACATTCAGACTACCTGGGATCTTACTAAGTTTAAGTTGTTCTGTAAGTATATTGTTGCTTTTAAGAATCTCAAGAATGATAAACCCTTATGCCTGGTGTTGGGAAATAGAATCAAAAATATAAGTGAATCCACAGTTACACCTGTAATAAACATACATATCAGTTATTATATTCTGGATAGAGTTCCAAGCTATTTATAAGTATTTGCTCACTCATTTTTCATAAACTATAAGGGAGGAATAATTTTTATCACAGTTTTTCAGATAGGAGACTGAGGAATATTTAAGCTATTTGGTGGTCAGACCTTTAGTAATCAAATCTGTGCTCTTAATTCATATTGCAGGTTTCTTTCAGCCATTTACTTCAAAGACTAAATTCTTAGTGTTTGTTAGACAGAGACTGCTCCCTGGACATATTTCATTTAACTATTCATTCATTCTTTCTTTTATTCATTCTCTTTTAAAGCCCATATTAATTGATTACCTGTTATATATCAGGTATTGTATTAGTCATAGGGAATCACAAAACAAATAAGACAAGGTCTTTCCCCCAGACAAACAACTTTACTTGTTTGCTTTCTATCTTTATATTTCTTTCTTGTATTTGTTGCAAAAATCATCAAAATATGACTATATATAGCAGATATGTACAGTTTAAATAATAAAAGTAAAGTAAACACCTATGTACTTAACACCAAATTTAATAAACAGAAAATTATCACAAACCTTAAGCTTCTTCTTTCTCCAAAAAACAAATACCTTTCTGTATTAATCAAATCATACTTTTCTCATAGGTGTACTGCATTTTTAAGTTAACTAAATATTGTATTTTTAAGTTTGCTTATTTTTAAATGTTTCATAAATGTATTGGTTTGGACTTATCGTTTGCTATCTCCTGTACTTTTTGTACGTTCAACACCACATTTTTGTTGCTGAATGTAACATTAGTCCATCCCACTCTAAGAATAAGTAATTTATCCATTCCATTTTGGTTGACATTTGGATTTTCCATTTTTTTCTGCTATAAAAGTTGCTACATAGAGTATTTTTATAGTTTTTTTCTAGAGATAAATCTAGAAGTCAAATGACTGAGTTGTAAAGTATGCTCATTTTCCACTTTATGTCCCAAAGGAATTTTAGCAATTTAAATTCACATTAGTATATAATAGTTCCTATCATAATATTTATATTTCAGGGTCCTATCAAGAAATAAATTGAGCACTCAACTCGGTAATTTGAGAAGAGTTTAACTGAGGGATTATTTATACTGGATATGGTCAAAAAGAAGCCAGTGAGGCATAGTGAAATACTCTAAGGTTAGCAACATCAAGGAATTGTTTCCATCCCTATCCCTAAAGGTCAAAGAAGGAGAGATTTCTGGAACTTGAAGTGAGTTGCTATATGGAAAGGGTCCCCTAATGTGAGTCGTACCTAAGCTTTGAGATACAGTAGAGGGACACCAAGACCTGCAATGACCTGGTAAGGAAGCAGCTCGGGGAAGAAGTACTCTGAGCTCACTCTTCTTGCTCTCCAACCTTACATTTGAAATTCTCTTTTTTTGTCATTTGCCTTCTAATTTTATTTATTTATTCATTTTTATACTTTTTTTATTTCCATGGGTTTTGGGGGAAGAGGTGGTGTTTGGTTAAATGGATAAGTTCTTTAGTGAGTGATTCCTGAGATTTTTGGTGCACCCATCATCTGGGCAGGGTACACTGTACCCTATTTGTCGTTTTTTTATCCCTCACCTGTCTCTCAAACTTTCCTTTGAGTCCCCAAAGTGCATTGTATCCTTCCTATGCCTTTGCATCCTCATAGCTTAGCTCCCACTTATGAGTGAGCACATATGGTGTTTGGTTTTATATTCTTGAGTTATTTCACTTAGAATAATGGTCTCCAAATCCACCCAGGTTGCTGCGAATGCCATTATTTCATTCCTTTTTATGGCTGAGTAGTATTTCATGAAATACTATCCATGGAATACCATGGAATACTATACCATGAAATACTACATGTGCCATTGTGATGGCACAATAAATTGATTGTGCCATCAATCAGTCTCATTGATTGATGAGCATTTAGGCTGGCTTTATAGTTCTGCAATTGCAAATTGTGCTGCTATAAACATGTGTGTGCAAGTATCTTTTTGTATAATGATTTCTTTTCCTCTGGATAGATACCCAGCAGTGGGATTGCTGGATCAAATGGTAAATGGTAGTTCTACTTTTAGTTCTTTAAGGACACTCCACACTGTTTTCCACAGTGATTGTACTAGTTTACATTCCCACCAACAGTGTAAAAATGTTCCCTTTCACCACATCCCCACAAATATCTATTATTTTTTATTATTTTTTGATTATGGCCATTCTTGCAGGAGTAAAGTGGTATCACATTGTAGTCTTAATTTACATTTCCCTGATCATTAGTGATGTTGAGCCTTTTTTCATATGTTTATTGGCCATTTGTATATTTTCTTTTGAGAATTTTCTATTCATGTCCTTAGCCCACTTGTTTGCTTTTTTTCTTGCTAATTTGTTTGAGTTCCTTGTAGATTCTGGATATTAGTCCTTTGTCAGATATGTAGATGGTGAAGATTTTCTCCCAGTCTGTGGGTTGTCTGTTTACTCTGTTGATTTGCTTATTTTGCTCTGCAGAAGCTTTTAATGGCTGATACCAATAAGGCATTGAAAGACATGGTAGTACATCAATCTGTCCACATACGTTAGCCTTCCAGACACAGAGCCCAGTAGCATTGAGAAGCAAGTACATTTGATATTCGTAGCTACACTTGATAGCTTCAGACATTTTCATTTGTGTCAAGCTGGTGGGTGTGAAACAGTCCCTGATAATTAATGACATAGAATATCTTTTCATATCTTTATCAAGCATTCATTTTTCTTCTATAAAATTACTATTTGTAGTTTTGATCATTTTTATAGGTTGTTTGTATTTTCTCTTATTAATTTAGAAGAGTTATTGATATAGTCTGTATAATAATTTGTGTTGATATTAGAATAGAAATGCCTTATCTCAGTGTTTGGCTTGGGTTTTCATTTTTATTTGGAGTTTTTTGAAGAAAAAAATAAGTTTTAGTATTTAAAGAAGTAAAATTTACCATTTATTCTTATAGTTGTTGCATTTGAGGACTTTCTAAATCCTCTACTACTTCAAGATTTTTTTTCTTGTATTTGATGTTAAAAGAGTTAGATAGTGACTTCCATACTCACCACTTTAACTTATTCAGAATCATTCTTTCCACTTAAATTCCACTATTCCACATAAATAACAAGTTGTTTCATTACTGTTCGTGAAATAGTCCTACTTGGGTTTACATTTGTGCATCAGTGTGGTTTGAGTTTTCAACTATCTGCCACTGATTTCTTTGATCCTCCCTGAATCAATAGTATGTTATCTTAATCACTGAAATTTTACCATAACGCAATATTTGGAAGAGAAATCCTCCCATCTTGTTCTCATTCCTTAGGAGTGTCTTAGTTCTTCTGGGCCATTTGTTTTATTACTTTAGAATTAACTTGTCAAATTTCCGGAAAATCCCTACTGTTATTTATAAATAAATCTGATTTATAAATCCATTTGGAGAGATTTGATCATTATAACACTGCTATTTTCAATTTATATTTTTAATTACTTTTCAATAATGTTTTATATATTTCTGCATAAGTATTTTACATATTCTGGTAGGTTTATTCTTAGGCATCTTATTTTGTTGCTATTATGAATGTTCTCTATTTAGTTGCATACTTTTTCTGTTTGTTGCTTGGGTGCAGAATTTATTCATTTAAATTGATCTTACATAGAGCAACCTTGAAAAAATCTCTTAATTCTAAAAAATTAATTGTTGATTCTCTTGGAGGGAACTTCAGTGCATGCAACTATTTGTAAGTAACAATAGCTTAATTCATTCTTTTCTCATTGTGATATTTTCCTTACATTTTTCTTAAATTATTGTACAGACTAGGCAAATGATCAAAAACAGTAATCATAATGAGTATCATATTGTGGTCATAATTTGAAAATGAATCTAGGTAATATTATACTAGTAAGAGCAATATTTGGTATAAATATTATTGTACAAGTTAAGGAAGTTGGCTTTTTATTATTAATTTGCTAAGATTTACTTGCACATGGTTGTTCTCTTCTGGCTGGGTTTCTACAAATATCCAGTTCCAGATTCCAGGAAAAATAATTAAGATTAATAATTAACAGTTAAGATTGTTTTGCCACTAGATTTACTGAAAAATTGCAAAGTAAAAATTTAGTTAAGAATTAAACTCGATTCTCCAGCCAAGATGGCTGACTAGAAAGCAACTAGAGTGTGCCACTCTCAGGGAGAGAAGAAAGAATGGTGAGTAAACACAAAGTCTTCAACGGGATCATCCAGGGGTGCACACTAGGCTTCACCAAGAAATTAAGGTGACCTACTGAGAACAGAGAGGAGTGAGATAGGACAATGGCCTGAGAGTGGCATGGAGCCAGGGGAGGCCCCCCACCACAGAGAAAAGGTGAGGAAGTGAGAGTCCCCAAGGACCCACACTTCTGCCTTGAACCTTTGCAACCTTGAGCTAAAGAGATCCCTCATGAGCTCCTCAGTGGGGCCTTCAGACTGACATGGAGAGCTGTGTGGTCTCGGCAGAGCTGCCATTCAGGCACACAAGGAGTTCCAGGAGCCATGGATCCCTGAGCACCATGGCACCAGTGGCTACAGCTCTAGCAAGGGGTGAGGCCAGGCTCCTTCACATGCCCCCAGAATAGGGGCCATATCCACAGGGCTAGACAATAGATGGACTGTGGGCCTAGTCTTCACTGAACCTCATCAAATGGTGCCCACTGCACTGGCACCCTAGCACAACCACCCCAGGTCCACCTGAGCTCTCTGGCCAGGAGCAGCTTTGCACTTCCCTGGTATGGAGCTCCCAGGGAAGTGGGAGTAGGCAGGTCACCATTTCTCCTGCTTTGCAGCCCTAGCTCCTATTGTCCTCAGGCTCAGGGGGGAGCATAGTGATCACAGACTAACAGGGACACCCAGCACCTTGCAGCTGCCTTACGGAAAAGCAGTCAGATTGTTTTCCATGTAGGGCCTCCTCTACTATGCCTCACTGGACAGGGCCCCCTGACTTGGTACCCCAAGGACCCTTCCACCAGGGCTTTGGGTCGGTAGCAGCTCTGTGCTTCCCTGGGAGGGAGCTCCCAGAGGGAGCCAGCAGGCTGCTATTTTTGCTGCTCAGCAAATCCTATGAATATACACACCATGGAATGCTACACAGGCACGAGAAAAGAATAAGATCTTGTCATGTCAAGGGAGGTGATTGGAATATGGGGGCAGTTTCTACCATGCTTTTTCATGACAATGAGTAAGTTCTCATGAGAGCTGATGGTTTAAAAGTGTATGGTGGTCCCCTGCCACCTCCTGCCACCATGGAAAATATACCTTGCTTACCCTTCAACATCTTCCATAATTGTAAATTTCCTGAGGCCTCCTCAGCCATGCAGAACTGTGGGTCAACTAAACCTTGTTTATTTATAAATTACCCAGTCTCAGGTAGTTCTTTATATCTGTGTATAAGCAGAGTGATACAACTACCAAACAGAACAAGCCCAGCACCAGTCAGAATGACTGCCAAATTTTACCAGATATATAAAAAAAAGCTGAAACTATTCTTTCAGAATCAGTTCCAAAAAATTGAGGAGGAAAAATTGCTCCCTAGCTTATTCTCAGGCTAGCATCATCTTGATACCAAAACCTGGCAGAGACACAAGAAGAAAAAAATAACACTTCAGGCCAATATCCTTGATGAACTTCAACGAAAAAAAATCTTCACAAAATACTAGCAAACTGAATCCAGCAGCACACGAAAAAACACCAATCTACCATAATCAGGTAAGCTCTATCCCTGAGATGCAAGGCTGGCTTAACATATGCAAATCAATAAATGTGATTTATCACATGATCAGAACTAGAAACAAAAATTACATGATCACCTCAATAGATGCAGAAAAAGCTTTTGATAAAATTCAACATCTCTTAATGTTAAAAACTCTCAGCAAACGAGGCATTGAGGACCACACTTTAAAATAATAAGAGCCATCTATGGAAACTCAATAGCCAGCATCATTCTAAACAGGCAAAAGCTGGAAACATTACCCTCAAAAACCAGAACAAGACAAGGATGCACTCTCTCTCTCATAATTCCTATTCAACATAATAATGGACATCCTAGCCAGGGCAATCAGGCAATAGAAAGAAATAAAAGGAGGCCAAGCACGGTGGCTCACGCCTGTAATCCCAGCACTTTGAGAGGCTGAGGTGGGTGGATCACGAGGTCAGGAGATCGAGACCATCCTGGCTAACATGGTGAAACCCTGTCTCTACTAAAAATACAAAAAATTAGCCAGGCGTGGTAGTACACACCTGTCATCCCAGCTGCTTGGGAGGCTGAGGCAGGAGAATCGCTTGAACCTGTGAGGCAGAGCTTGCAGTAAGCTGAGATCATGCCACTGCATTCTAGCTTGGGCAACAGAGTGAGACTCCATCTCAAAAAAAGAAAGAAAGAAAAGAAAAAAGAAATAAAAGACATACAAACAGGAAGAGAGCAAGTCAAACTATTGCTGTCTGCAGACAATATGCTTTTGTAACTAGAAAACCTCATAGTCTCTGCCCAAAATCTTCTTGATCTGATAAGCAACTTCAGGAAAGTTTCACAATACAAACATCAATGTACAAAACTCAGTAGAATTCCTGTACACCAACACTGTCAAACTGAGAGCCAAATCAAGAATGCAATTTCATTTAAAATACTCACAAAAAGAATACAATACTTAGGAATACAGCTAACCAGACAGGTTAAAGATACCTACAATGACAATTGCAAAATACTGCTCAAAGAAATCAGAGAAGAAAGAAGTAAATGGAAAAACACGCCATGCTCATGAATAGAAAGAATCACTATCATTAAAATGGATATACTGCCCAAAGCAATTTACAGATTTAATACTAATCCTATGAAACTACCAACATTTTTAACAGGCAGAACTAGAAAATACTATTTTAAATTCATATGGAACCAAGAAAGAACCCAGATAGCCAAGGCAATCCTAAGAAAAAAGAACAAATCTGGAGGCATCTCGTTATCTGACTTCAAACTATACTGCAAGACTATAGTAACTAAAACAGCATGGTACTGGTACAAAAATAGACACATAGATGAATGGAATAGAACAGACAGCCAAGAAATAATGCTGCACACCTATCTAATCTTTGATAAAGTTGACAGAAACAAGCAAAGGGGAAATGGCTCCCTATTCAATTAATGATGCTGGGACAACAGGCTAAACATATGCAGCAGATTGAACCCCTTCTTACACCGTACACAAAAATGAATTCAGGATGGATAAGGACTCAAATGTAAAACCTAAAGCTGTAAAAATCCTGGAAGTTAACCTAGCAAATAACATTCTGGCCATAGACCCTGGCAAAAATTTCATGACAGACATTGAAAGCAATTGCAAGAAAACCAAAAATTAACAAATTGGATATAATTAAAACAATGAGCTTCTACAGAGCAAAATAAACTATCAAGAGAGTAAAAAGACAATGTACAGAAAGAGAGAAAATAATTGCAAACTATGCATCTGATAAAGGTCTAATATCCAGAATCTATAAGGAACATAAACAAATTAACAAGCAAAAAACAAACAACTCCATTAAAAAGTGGGCAAATGACATGAAAAGATACTTTTCAAAAGAAGACATACGTATGGCCAACAAGCGTACAAAAAAATGCTCAACATCACTAATTATTAGAGAAATGCAAATCAAAACCAAAATGAGATACTATCTCACACCAGTCAGAAAGGGTATTATCTAAAAGTCAAAAGGTTGTGGAGAAAAGGGAACACTTATACACTGCTGATGGGAATATAAATTAGTTCAGCCATTGTGGAAAGTAGTATGACAGTTTCTGAAAGAACTTAAATTACCATTCGACCAAGCAATCTAATTATTGGGTATATAACCAAAGGAATATAAATCATTCTACCATAAGGACACATGCACTCATATGTTCATCACAGTACTATTCACAATGGTAAAGACATGAAATCAACCTAAATGTCCTGTCAACAGTAGATTAGATAAGGAAAACGTGGTACATATACACCATGGAATACTGCACAGGCATAAAAGAGAATGAGATCTTGTCCTTTGCAGCAACATGGATGCAACCAGAGGCCTAAGCAAACTAATGCTGGACCAGAATACCAAATATAGCACGTTCTCACTTTTAAGTGGGAGCTAAATATTGAGACCATGTAAACACCAAGAAGGAAAAAACAGACACTGGGGCCTACTTGAGGGTGGAGGGCAGGAGGAGGAAGAGGATCAAAAAGCTACCTTTTGGGTACTATGCTTATTACCTGGGTAATGAAATAATCTGTAAACCAAACTCCCATGACATGCAATTTACCTCTCTAACTGTCCTGCACGTATACCCCTGAACCTACTAGATAAGTTAAAGAAACAAACAGATAAAAGAAGAAATTTAAATGTGCCATAGAAAATAATGAGAAAGCTTAAACTCCTTAAGAGTCAAAGGAATACTAATAAAGCAAAAAAGGATTGTTATTTTTTACTTCCAAAAAAATTAAGTTCCACTTTGAAGGTGTTGATAGTTTTGAATTTTTTATCGAAAATTTTGACAGTTTTTTATGTTTTAGGAAGTGAGTTAAATCATTTTATTTTTAAAAAGCCAGTTTCTTGATTCACCCAAAATATCAGATTATTACCTAGGATTGTTTAACACTGGTCTGATTTCTTTGTTCTGTAAACAGAATGCAGTTGCTATTACTACAATTTCAAAAGTGTTATATTCTCCCTTCAGGAAAGATGTGTATAGAATAGTATGTGACTGTTTGTATTGTACTTGATTTCCTCTTGGATCTTGACACCATTTGAAAGAGCTAGTTATAGTCTCAGCATAATCCTGTGGTTAATGACTTTTTCTTTTTTGGTAATTAAATTACATTTTTAAATGACTGCAAGGACCAAAGGGCATCAAATACCCAAGAATATATCTAATGAAATCACAGTAAGACTACTACACTGACAATCACAAAATATTATTGAAATAAGTTAAAAGCATAAATAAATGAGATATATATCATATTCGTAGGTTGAAAGAGTCAATATTTTACAACGTTACTCTTACCCAAATTTATCAATTAAGTCAATACAATGCCAGTCAAAATGCCAGAATTTAATTTTTTTTTTGCAGAAGTTGACACCCAAAGTGTAAAAATTATATGGAAATACAAAAGCCTGGAATTGCCAAAACAATTTAGAAGAAAGTAAACAAAGCTAATGAAAGTCTACATTACTAGATATTAGGACCTATTATAAACCTGTAATAATTAAGAAAACATGGAATTTGTGCAAGGATAAATAAACTAACCAATGGAACATAATAGAAAGTCCAGAAAGAGAGCCACATATTTATTCTTACCTGATTTGTGAAAAACATGACTCACATGTTATGGGAAAAGTATATACTTTTCAATAAATGGCCTTGAGGCAACTGAATACCTTATATCAATATTATGTGAAAAAATAACTTTAAATGGATTTTATAATGAAAGATAATACAATTTTTGTGAAAAGCATAGGAAAAACTTTGCAACTCTAGAGTAGGCAAAAATTAGTAAAACAAGAGAAAAAACACAAGTCCATAAAAATGAAAAAATGAAAATTAGATAAAACTAAGAACTTGTGTTCATTGAAACATACAATTAAAAAAGTAAAAAGGCAAACCAAAGTTAGAGAAGATATTCACAATACATCTATCTAACAAAGAACTTGTATCTAAATAGGCATGCACATATATTTATGTGTGTCTCTACATACAGTTCCTATGAATCAATAAGCAAAAGAGAGACAACCTCCCTCACTCAAAAATGGGCAAAAATGTTGAACAGGTACTGCATAAAGGGCAACATCAAAATGGTTAATAACTATAATAAGTCTTACAAGTGTTGGCAAGGGCATAGAGTAATTAGAATTTCATACACTGCTGATGGAAATGTACATTGGTTAAACCACCTTGGAAAATTTTTAACTATTCCTACTAGAATTAAACATATGTAAAACATTAACATTACAGAAAAATCTCACACAGCTTGTGTGGACAACAAAAGCGAAAAAAAAATGCCAAATACAAACCAATGCATTCTATATTTTTTCAGGTACAAAGAGTAGGAAAAAAAAAGGTACCACTAGTCTGTGCTTGTTAGAGGTAAGGGTGGTGGTTAAGCAATGGAAATGGAGATGACTAGAAAGGTACATAAAGGCAATTTCTGAATAAGTGCTAATGTTCTGTTTCTCAACATACTTGCTGGTTTCACTTTTGTGTTAAATTAATCCAAATTCTCCAAATTGGACATTTACAACATATGTGCTCTCCTGTATGTATGTTATCCTTCAATAAAAAGGTTTTAAGATCTATAAGGGCCAGCATTAATAAAACTGTTCTCTTTATATATCAGATGGTTTTCATCACTTTGAAATATCTTATTTTTTTAACTCAAACATTAATTATCACCTAATGAACACACTTCTGATCGAGATAAATACCTGCCGACTGCCACTGAGAGTAGAAAAGCTTGCACTATGCTGATTATAACATTTCACTGTCACCAACTGGATTTGACCCTAACAGATCATTGCCTCATTCTTTATTGTCAGAAAGAAGCATTCAAAGACAATTATTTTTCAACCCAAATCATCATTTTTGAAAAATGTTCTTCACAGTTAGGTTGACTTATAGCCAAAACCTTTGTTTAGCAAATCAGGTAATGCAGTTTGTTATCATATATTTTGCAAATAACCGAGCTTGGAGGGGGTTTCACAAAGTCCCACAAATATTTCTGAAATTTAAGATTGCAAGGATACTTTTTGGAATTTATTTATCATTATGCTGAACATTTGATTTAATATGCTTTGAATGTCCTATGCTAAAATTATTTTGACCATGGTTTATTATCAGGGGAATCAGCCCTCAGTATGTCAACGTAGGTTCTTTTCTATTTTCCCTAAGTGTCGGCCGGTCTGAGAAATAAAGGGAAAGAGTACAAAAGAGAGAAATTTTAAAGCTGGGTGTCCGGGGGAGACATCACATGTTGGCAGGTTCCCTGATGCCCCCTGAGCCACAAAACCAGCAAGTTTTTATTAGCGATTTTCAAAGGGGAGGGAGTGTACAAATAGGGTGTGGGTCACAGAGATCACATGCTTCAAGGGTAATAAAAGATCACAAGGCAGAAGGTCAAGGCAAGATCACAAGGTCAGGGTGAAACTAGAATTGCTAATGAAGGTCCATGTCCCACTAGGCACACATTGCCATTGATAAACATCTTAGCAGGAAACAGGGTTCAAGAGCAGAGAACTGGTCTGACAAGAATTCACCAGGCTGGAGTTTCCTAATTCTAGCAAGCCTGGGGGTGCTGTAGGAGACTAGGGCATGTTTCATCCCTTATCTTCAACTGCATAAGGCAACACTCCCAGAGCGGCCATTTTACAGGCCCCCCTCCGGGAATGCATTATTTTCCCAGGGCTGTTAATTATTAATATTCCTTACTGGGGAAAGAATTCAGCGATATTTCTCTTACCCGTTTTTGGTAACAAGAGAAATACGGCTCTGTCCTGCCTGGCACTCAGGCAGTCAGACCTAATGGTTATCTCCCTTGTTCCCTGAACATCGCTGTTATCCTGTTCTTTTTTCAAGGTGCCCAGATTTCATATTGTTCAAACCCACATGCCCTACAAACAATTTGTGCAGATAACACAATCATCACAGGATCCTGAGGCGACATAAATCCTCAGCTTTCGAAGATGACGGGATTAAGAGATTAAAGTAAAGACAGGCATAGGAAATTATGAGTATTGATTGGGGAAGTGATAAATGTCCATGAAATCTTCACAATTTATGTTCAGAGATTGCAGGAAAGACAGGTGTAAGAAATTATAAAAGTATTAATTTGGGGAACTAATAATTGTCTATGAAATCTTCACAATTTATGTTCTTCTGCCATGGCTTCCATCGGTCCCTCCGTTTGGGGTCCCTGACTTCCCGCAACAGTTTATGGTGCAGAATTTTGGACCCTGATTACTCAATTTTCTTATTTTGAAGAACATTCACAAATGTCTTCTGAGGAAATTAACCACATCTGAAGTAAGACTTTTGAGGAAATGAGCTATATCTTACTGTCTGACTCATCACTCATCACTGTTTCTCAGAGTCCACATGCAATGAATATTGAATAAAATAAATAACATAGTTAAGGCATGTATTTAGACCTTTACCTCAGTAGATTTTTTAATTTTTAAAGCAAATCTTTATTCTCCTTTTGACTAGTTAATATGTAAAATTTTGTCCTCCACAGACTTTACAGCCTCACTATATTAATGTAAAATTAGCTTCTCTAACAAATAATCCCAGATATCTACAATGCCTTCTAAGGGTGTCCAGAGGTGGGAATACAGTCATTGGTTCTTAGTTTCTGTTTCTGTTTGGGCCAGTAAAGCCTCTTCCTCATGCCTCTTTTCTGCTTACCACTAGAGACAGAAACTAAAAACCAAGGCTTCAGGCTGCTAAAAGCCTAAAACAAAACAAAATAGAACAACAAAAAAATAAGGTTGGTTGGACAAGCTTGCAAAAAAAGTTTATTTCTTGCTTACATCACAGTTACAATAGGTGGCTTATAAAATCACTCCACTCATTTACATTCCAGCCAATCAGAAGTTGACTAAAGCAAAAAGAAATATGCTTAGGAGATTCTTATGAAGCGAGCTTGTAAGCGAAATGCTTTACTTTCATCCCAGCGTATTATCTATTGCTCAATTAAATGGCTACTGCAAGGGAGACCGAGTGTGCAGTCAAGCTGTGTGTCCACAAAGTTAAAGAGAATATAGATTTCAGTGAATAATAGTTCCTGCAACACAACTAATCCTCAAAATATCTTAAATTTTTCTATTTGTTAAATCAGTGGTTAAAACAGTGGTTGGTTAAATCAGTATTTTCTTTTAAATGTAACGTTTTTTGGCACCAGGGACCAGTTTCATGGAAGACAATTTTTCTACAGACCAGGGTGTTGGTGAGTGGATAGTTTCAGGATGATTTAAGGGTATTACATTTGCTGTGCACTTTATTTCTATTATTATTCCATTTACATTGTGATATATAATTAAATAATTATACAATTCACCATAATGTAGAATCAGTGGGAGCCCTGAGCTTGTTTTCCTGCAACTAGATGGTCCCATCTGGGGATGATCAGAGACAGTGACACCCGAAGTGTGTTGCTTATGTTCACTCTACTTTGTAATTTCATTTTGGTTACTGTCACTACAGAAAACCCCTCTTTCAAAAATGGGATGTTCGAAATGGAAACAAGCTCTTTAGTGTTTTTGTAGCAATCTCAGGATATTCTGCCTTGACTTTAATCTGAACATATGGAGATTTGAAGTTGTCTCAAACATACTTTTAAGGCCACCATCATTTATGATCTCAAACAGTTAATCCTCTTACCACGGACAAAGGTGATTTACTGGGCTTATTCACAAATGGGTTGTAAATCCATTCCTTCCCAGTTTGGGGAAGTTTCTGGTTTGGAAGTAATGCTCACACTCTTTTGAAAGCTGAGACAGGTGATCATTCACCAGATGGGAGCAAGAAGGCCCTGGTTCAATCTCTTTCAGAATTTCTGCTAGTGTTTGAAACAGGTCAAAAATGTTTACTCGTCACCCCCATAACTCCAGTTTGGCTTTGAATGCAACCATTTTATCTGCCAACTTAAACACAGTAGTTGTTCTCCCCTAAAGTGATAGATTGAGTTTGTTGAGCAGGTTGAATATGGCACACAAGCAAGCAAGTTTTGTGACTCATTCTGTGTCACTGGAATGTACTGCCAGTGGTGACTGTCTGTCTAAAAGAAATCTCTGGAGCACCTCTAATAACTCAAAAACTCTGGTCAGTGATCTACCTTTAGAAACTTCTCTCACTTCTGTGTATAAGAGAGGACTTATGTGCTCTGCATCTGTCTCCTCACAGAGCTGCATCAACAGTCATGAATTAAGGGAATGTACTTTAATGTGGTTGATAGTTTTAATCACATACTCCATGAAAACCATCTGATATATAAAGAGAACATTCCGAAGAATTTTGGCTCTTATAGATTTTAAAAACTTTTTATTGAAGCATAACATACATACAGGAGAGCACATATGTTATGAATGTCCAATCTGGAGAATTTGGATTAATTTAACACAAAAGTGAAACCAGCAAGTATGTTGAGAAGCCAAACATTAGCAGTAATTAAGAAATTGCCTTTATGTACCTATCTCGTCGTCTCCATTGTGTAACCACCACCCTTACCTCTAACAAGCACAGACTCTGCAGAAACAGAGATAAATACCTCACTGACTTTGACACATCTTTTTAATTTTTGCATTTTTGTCATTGGAATGCATCTTAATCAATGACATCTTTGAATCACAATTGCTCAAGTGGCAATTTTGATGTGGTTGTCATTCTTAGTGTTTCCTTAGTTGTTATTCCTGTTGTCATGACTGGACATCTGCAATTTTTTAATGTTTCAGATAAAAACCATGTAAGAGATATTTGTGAAGGCTCTTACGTGAATCCTGATTGTTGTCTTAGGAACTGTTTAATGACATCTTGTAAGTTCAAGAAGGTATATGCATCAAATTTTGCAGAATTGTATCCAGAGTTTGGAATAATATTTCTGAGATACCACTAAAGCACTTAAAAATGCTGTATTACTAATACTTATGATGGTATGGAAGATAATGTTATAAGGGAAAACTCAGACATTAGTAAGTCTGAGTAAAAAAATTATTCAGAAGTGTCTGAATGTAAAATTATTTTAGAAATTCTTAACCCACTAATTTCACTAGAAAATTTTTATATATGCTCGACATTGATATATAGTAAGACATTTGTATAAATATGCCTAAAATATATTTTAATAAGCATAATAAATATTAAGAAAAACTTACTGGAGTAATTCGACAGCATTTTTTAAATAGACAAAATAACGATGTGTCTTAAACTAGATAGGATTTTGGCTTCAAAGAAATATAATGTATGAGTACAAAGCTCACAAGAGCTCAGTTACGCCTGGAGTTAGATAGATAATAATATTTAGTAGGTGACATATCTTAGAGGAAACAGAAGACCTTGAGTTGAGCCTTGAGAAACAGAATCGTTTAAGGAAAAGCTAAGAAAAACAAGATAAATAAAGAGCTGATCAGAGAAGCCTAAATAAATTAGGTCAGTCATGGAGGCCATGGAATGAGAAGGAGTTGTCAACAATGTCAAACATTTCTGAAAGTTAAGGATAAGGATGAAAGAAATTTGGTTGAAGTAATATAGATACAAAAATCTTGAAGAAACAAAAAAAAAGAATATGTACTAGATTGATCATTAACTTAACTTGGCCATTAAAGTCATCCAGGGTGATGAAGTTTGGGGTGGAGAGGATGACTGTGAGTTATATGTAGGGACCTTGAGAATTGGCAAGGATGGGTTATGGCTCAATGGAATTGTTTACAAGAGAACTAAGCCCTCCTTTGAAAATGGTAGTAAGGAAGTCACTGATCCCAACTGTAGACTCTGAGTATGTATATTATTCTTTAACAATTAATTTTTCAACTTTATTAATGATACAATTCATTGTATATATGTTGTATGGATATATAAAATAGTGTTGGTATATTCTGTGTGTCCCAGGTTTTGTGATAGTCAGTGCTTTTTATTTTATTTTATTTTTAAAGAGTGTCTGCTTGC
The DNA here is from genome assembly GCF_000001405.40 of Homo sapiens. Classification (NCBI taxonomy): domain Eukaryota; kingdom Metazoa; phylum Chordata; class Mammalia; order Primates; family Hominidae; genus Homo; species Homo sapiens. Next base: position 89,039,253 of record NC_000008.11, on the reverse strand, counting down.
AATTTTGTCTCTTTTCTGGAGATATAATGACAAGAAATGAAGTGACCACAATTAGGAACATTTTACCCATGAGTTTGAAATGTAGACAACTAGAATACTGTCATGTGTCACTTAATTATGGAGATACATTCTGAGAAATGCATCATTAGACGGTGTCATTGTGCAAGCATCATAGAGTGTACTTAGAAAAACCTAGATGGTATGGCCTACTACACACTTAGTATACATGGTCTAGCCTATTGCTCTTAGGCTACAAGCTTGAACAACATGTTACTGTACCGAATAATGGTGTAGGTAATTGTAACATAATGGTAAGTACTTGTGTATCTAAACAGAGCTAAACAGGAAAGTTACAGTAAAAATATAGTATTATAATCATAGAGGACCACCATTGTATATATGGTCCATTGTTGACTAAAAAATTATGTGGTGAATGGCTATGTACCCATATCCTTCTTTCAAATATTCACTAAAAGCTACTTTTCAAAAATTTCATTACTTTACATCGTTTAAACATGAATTCCTTCTTTTTATAGGAATATATTTCATGTAAGTGGTAATAAAAGCTTATTTATTCCATTTTTATGTATTATTTACAGCAGATTTACTTTCCGAACTGATTTCCACTGGCATCCCAATATCCTGTCACAGAACATATGGGTATGTGTGTACACACACTAGTACATGCATATGTAATTCCACATGTCAATATTGACTCTCTCTTGGAAAAACATCCAACATTCAAATGGTGTGCGCTTATCTGTGGTTTTGACTTCCCATGCATCATTTTCCTCTACTGGTCTGTATTATGATGAATTGAAATTTCCTAGAGTTTTTATTCCTTTAAGATTTCAGTATTCAAATAGTTGCCTGTTGCCTAAGCAATTGGTTTATTCTAGTTTCATGCAGTGTAGCATGAGCACCAGGGTATCTTTCTGACCATTTTCTATATGTTTGTGTTGTTATTTCAATAGCTTTATGAAAGATTTGCCATACTGAGGTTTAAATATTGGGAGTGGTAGAATGATGGTAGTAGTAGTTTGACTTTGGCCAAGTTTGTTGATCTTTCTATCCACACTTTATAATTACCTACAGAAAAGAAGCAATCATCTTGCCTGAAAAATACTTGATAAGGCTTATTGTGTGACAATGGAGTACATGCTACTCTGTCCAAGCTGCCAACACATTTTTTACTATGACATTTGTGAATGTTTTAGGCAAGAAGCTGTCTCAGTGAATTTAATGGAAAAGAGATCACCTGGAAAATGACTCGTTTGCCCATAATTCATTGCCCCTCCCTTCTGGTCCTGTAGTAAGATAGTCTGACATACATTTTGTACTCTCTGAAAAAGGATGTCTTGCATTTAGGATTTTGTCGTAGCTACAACAAAGCTACGACAAAGGAGAAAATAAGAAATTCTTTAGTCTCCCTGTCTAACTTACTACTATAGAAAGCTGTCCAGAATTAAACTCTGGTTTTCTCTTGTCAGGTTGCGTTATAGAGCCTGGTCTTCCGACAGGAGAGATGAGTGTGACAACATGGACTGGAGGTGGAGGAAGATAAATCAAATTCAATTGATCACTTTCATTCCAGAGGACAAGCTAATTCCCTATAGAGAGAATTAGCTGATAACTGACTCAAATTGTGATAGGGTTTACAGAAACGCCTAGTGGCTTATGAAGCATATGTGTGTCTGAGTGTCTCTGTGTATGTTGCGTGTGTGTATTTATGTAGGTGTGTGGTGTTACCTTAGAGTTGCTTATTGTCTATATCAATCTCCTTATTTGGCATGGTTTAGATCTTTATTTGGGAATCCTTTTTGTACAACCTTTGTGATTTGGGTGCTTCTAGAGTAATGTGAATATTGAATACTCTCTTTAGAAATCTTTATCTTGATTCCGTGTATTCAAACTTTGAATATTTTTAATTTCCAACTTTTATTTCAAAATGATCAACACCTTCTATTTTTGTTTCCCTGACAACATGAAGGAGGCACATGGTCCACAACAGCAACTACTTGATTGTGTTTTTTTTTTTTAATATTACTCTTTCACTTCTCTGACTACAGGCAACCAATGCAAATAGTGCAGTACATTTGTTTCCACTCTGTTTTTTTCCATGCTCAGATAAGCACATAAAAATATACAGTTTCTTGTTTGCATGGCTTTATGTAAATTCATCCATATTACATACATTTCTCTGCATCTTGCTTTAGTCACTTAAAATATATTGAGGAAATAGCTCCAGCTAACTAGTATAATTATAAACCATCTATGGTATGAAAATATCCTAATTTATTAATTTATTAAACTATTACCCTTTGGTAGCTTTCAATTTATTTCTAGATTTTTGTTTTGTTTTGCTGAATATCTTGTTGTGATAAACTTCCTTGTTCCTAGATGTTGTAGCCTTTCCATTTCATGTGGTAGCTTAAGAAGAATGCCATTGTGGGGTTGAACATTATGTGTATTTTTAATTTAGTACACATAGCTATATTTCTTCTTCTGAAGGCTTCTACTAATCTTATTTTCCTCAGCCATATAGAAGAGCACATTTTTCCCCATATACTGTCAGCAATGAGTGTTACTATTTTTAATCAATTTCAGTGGTAAAGTGACACCTTATAATTGCTTTAATATACATTTTACTAATTATTGAGGCTGAGCCCCGTCCTAATCTGTAAATTACCTTTCTGCATTGTTGCCTATGTTTGACTATCTTTTATCCCTACCCATTTAAAGATTTATTTCTATATTATAGAGACAAATTCATGTTTTATAGAACTAAATGTTTTCACTTCTAATGTGACCTCTCTTCTAATGTTTTTTGTCATACGACATTTTTTACACTTCCATGCAATCAAATGTATCTTTTCCTTATTTTCCTTATTTTTACAGCTTCTAAGTTTTCTGTTTTGCTTCAGAAGGTTTCCTTGATCTTTAACTCGTTTGTGTTTTAAATATTTTTAAGGTAGTTTATCAAGAGGTAAGGTCTCTTTGAGAAGCTCCACAATAAATCTACATGTCTGTAGTACTCTGATTTCTGCCCTTATTTGAATATTTATATGTGTGTTCAATATGCTAAGAACTATGGCAGATAAAAAGGCAAATCAGAGTAAAGCCAAAGCTTCTGAGAAGTTATAATAAAGGAGGTAGAAAGGAATATTTAAATTAGGACTGGAAATGACAAGTACCCTAGAGAAAAATTGATAAATTACTGCTCTCAGAAGAAATCTCTCTCTCCTGTTTCAGTGAACTGATTGGTTTCGGCAGGAACAGTCAGTTGTAACTTGTGAAATATTTGATTCTGAGAAAGTCACATTATACCATAAAGCTGATATTATAAATCCATTGCATTATATTTTTTATTTTATCACTTATAATGATATATCTTTCATTCTGTATATATTTATTATTATCTCTCTGGGTCTCCCACTGTAGATAGATAGATAGATGACTATTTTACACTGGATATGTGTATATAGATAAATTCACACAAATATTATGACCAAGAAATTATAGTAAATAACACAGACATACATTTATAATTATTAAAATCTATTCTTTGTTTTGCAATTACCACATACCAAATTATTTGTATACATTATTCTAGTCATTCCTTGGAGAAGTCCTGTGTTGGGTTTTATCACTCTCATTCAATATTATAAACTGAGATTTATAGGGTAATTTAGAGGGTAACTTGTCCGCTAGCACATACATGGGCAGCTAGACCTGGCATTCTGACCCATGACATTTGACTTTGTGTCCTGTGTTTAACCACATCAATATATATCTGTCATGAGTTGTCCAAACCATGGGGTATGCCGTAGATCACTCCAGATTGGTTATTTGTTTCTATATTTTATCCTCTATTTTCCCTTCAGGAAACACTATATGCTTTTTGTCAGTCATGGTGTTAATGGCACAATAGAAATATTCCAAAAAATCAACCCAGGAAGCAAAAATGAACAAATGTTTATAGAATAGCAGATAAGCTCTAACAATTTTTAATGCATATTATTTAATGTACTGAGCAGCTAGAATTCATACAGTCAGTTCCCAACTAAAATGGTAAACAATTAAGATCAAGTGCATGCTGCCTTCTGCATTTTTGAAAAAATCATAATGGGAGGCAGATTAGACCAAGAAAAGGCAAACATTTTAAGAAAATTGCTGCTTAAGAACTTCCATCCACCAGTAAAGGAGCTGCTGCTGTAGTCAAAAGCCACATAAAAATATTAGTTTCCAAACCTATGTAATAGACAGAAACTTAAATTTTAATTGTAGCTGAAAGCTGTGCTTATTCATAAACTGCAAGAATCTCTATTGCCATGGAGTTGAGGATTAAAGAAAACAGTTCATAAATGACATATTGCTGAACTTTTACTAACAGGATTTTACTCCCCAGTGAGTTTTACTGCCAGGTGTTACGCACATTTATTTTGAACAGATGTTCTGTGGCCTGCTCTTCTCAAATGTCACAGTAACTCTGGGCATCCTTCCCTAAAATCACTTTTTTCCCCTAGCCAGGGCCTCTCAGGTGGGAAATGGGAGAGACAGGGTTCAAACTCATGTTTGGGAAGTCTCTGAAGTCTTTCCATTTGAGGCTAGTGATTTTTCCAGACAATATCAAGTGCCTTTTTCCTTGCTCTTGGTAAAGCTGATTCTAGGTTGTTTCTGTCCTCTGTAGTGTGAGATAATATATTATTTCCAGAATCATTACAGGGATCAAGTGAGTAGGAATATATATTCTTAGATATACACATATGCACTAATTTAGGCCTCGTATGTAATAACACACAATATATATTGAATTTTCTATCTCCCAGGAAAAATTTGGGTTATCTGGCAGTGTTTTAGAATTGATGATCCCCTGTATTATTTCTTTCTTTCTTTTTTAAATAATATCAACTTTTATTTTAGATTCAGGGGGTACATGTGCTGGTTTGTTACATGGCTATATTGCATGTTGCAGAGGTTTGAGGTATGGATCCCATCACCCAGCAAAGTACCCAATAGGTAGTTTTTAAATCCATGCCCTCCTCCTCCTTCCTCCCCTCCAGTAATCCCCAGTGTGTATTGGCCCTGTCTTTATGCACATGTGTACTCAATGATTAGCTCCCATTAATAAGTGAGAACACATGCTATTTGGTTTTCCATTACTGTGTTAATTTGCTTAGGATTACGGCCTCCAGCTGCATCCCAGTTGCTGCAAAGGATATGATTTCTTTTTATGGCTGCATAGTATTCCATGGTGTGTGTGTACCATGCTTTCTTTATCCAATCCACCATTGATGGGCACCTAGGTTTATTCTATGTCTTTGTTATTGTCAATAGTACAGTAATCAGCATGAGTCCTTATGTCTTTTTCATTAGAATAATTTATTTTTTCTTTGGTTATATAGCCAGTCATGAGATTGCTGGGTTGAACAGCAACTCTGGTAAGAACTTTGAGAAATCTTTAAACTCCTTTACACAGTGGCTGGACTAATTCACATTCCCACTAATAGTGTATAAGTGTTCCCTTTTCTCTGAAGGCTTGCCAGCATCTGTAATTTGACTTTTTAATAATGATTTAACATTTTGACTGATGTGAGATAGTATGTCACTGTGGTTTTGATTTGCATTTCTCTGATGATTAATGATATTGAATACTTTTCTATGTTTGTTGGCTGCTTATGTGTCTTCTTCTGAGCACTCTGTTTATGTCCTTTGCTCATTTTTAAATGGAGTTACTTGTTTTTTGCTTGTTATTGAATCTGAAGTTTCTTACAGATTCTGGACATTAGATATTTGTTGCATGCATAGTTTGTAGTTTCTTTGTGGGTTCTCTATTTACTCTGTTGATAGTTTCTTTTGCTGTAGAGAAGCGCTTTAATTAATTAGGTCCCACTTCTTAATTTTTGTTGTTGTTGCAATTGCTTTGGGGAACTTAGCCAAAAATTCTTTGCCAAGGCTGTGTCAAGTAGGGTATTTCCTAGATTTTCTTCTAAAATTTTTATCATTTGAGGTCCTACATTTAAATCATTAATCCAACTTGAGTTAACTTTTGTATATTGTGGAAGGTAGGTGTGTTCGTCCATATGTATTCCTATGAAGGAAAACTTGAGGCTGGGTAATATTTAATGAAAAGAGCTGCCACACTCTTTTAAACGACTGGATCTCACATGAACTACCATAGTGAGAATTCACTCATTACCACAAGGATGGCACCAAGTCATTTATAAGGAATCTGCTCCAATGTCCCAAATACCTCCCACTTGGCCTCTCCTCCAAATTGAAAATCACATTTCAACATGAGATTTGGAAGGAACAAACTTAAAACTATATTGGTACAGATCCAGTTTTATTCTTCTGCATATGGCTAGTCAGTCATCTCTGCACCATTTATTAAATAGAGAATCACTCTCCATTGCCTGTTTGTTATTGGCTCTGTGTAAGATCAGATAGGGTAAGTGTGAAGCTTTATTACTGGGCTATCTATTCTGTTCCATTGGCCTATGTGTCTGTTTTTGTATCAGTACCATGCAGTTTTGGTTACTTTATTCTTGTAGTATAGTCTGAAGTAAGGGAGTATTATGTTTCTGGCTTCTTCCTTTTATTTATGATTGCTGTGTCTGTTTGGGCTGTTTTTTGTTTCCATATTAATTTTAGACTAGTTTATCCTAATTCTGTGAAAAAATGACATTGGTAGTTTGACAGGAATAGCATGAATCTGTAAATTGCTTTCAGAAGTTTGGTGATTTTAATGAAATTGAATCTTCCAATCCATGAGCATGGAATATTTTTCCATTTATTTTTGTCATCTCATATTTCTTTCAGCAGTATTTTGTAGTTCTCCTGCAGAGATCATTCACCTTCTTGGTTAGCTGTATTCCTGGATATTTCCTCCTTTTTTGGCCATTGTAAATCTGATTGCATTATTGATTTGACGCACAGCTTGAATGTTATTGGTGTATAGAAATAGTACTGATTTCTGTACATTGATTTTGTACCTTGCAACTTTACTGAAGACATTTATCAGTTCCAGGAGCCCTTTGGTGTAGTCTTTAAAGAGTTTTCTAGGTATAAAGTTTTAGTGTCAGCAAAGAGAGATAGTTTGACTTCTTGTTTTCCCATATGGATGCCTTTTATTTCTTTCTCTTGCCTGATTGCTCTGGCTAAGGGCTTGTAATACTATGTTGAATAGGAGTGGTGAGAGTGGGTATCATTGTTTCAGTTCTTAAAGGGAATTGTTCAAGCTTTTGCCTTTTCAGTAGGATGTTAGCTTTGGCTTTCTCATACATGGTTCTTACTATTTTGAGGTATATTCTTTAAATGTCCAGTTTATTGAATGAAAGAATGTTGGATTTTATCAAAAGCTTCTTTTGCATCTATAGAGATGTTCATATGATTTTTGCTTTTAATTACGTTTATGTGGTAAATCATATTTATTGATTTGTGTATGCTGAAGAAGCCTTGCTTCCAAGGAATAAAGCCTCCTTGATCATGATGAACTAACTTTTTGATGTGTTGCTGTATTTGGTTTGATAGTATTTTGTTAAGGATTTTTGAATATATGTCTATCAGGGATATTGGTCTGATGTTTTCTTGTTTCCTTGGGTATGTGTCAGATTCTTGTTTCCTTGGGTACCTGTCAGGTTGATACTGGGTTCATAGACTGGAGGAGCTCCTCCTGCTCAATTTTTGGAATAATTTAATAGAACTGGTACCAGTTGTTCCTGGACATATGGTAGAATTTGTTTATGTATCCATCCAGGGATTTTGCTGGTTGGTAGGTTTCTATTACTGACTCAACTTCAGAATTCAATATTGGTCTGTTCAGGTTTTTATTTCTTCCTGTTTCAATCTTGGGAGGTTGTGTTTTTCCAGAAATGTATCCATTTCTTCTAGATTTTCTAATTTATGTCCATAGAATTTTTTATAACGCTCTCTGATGATCGTTTGTATATCTGTAGAATCAGTTTTAATGACATCTTTGTCATTTCTGATAGTACTTATTTGGATCTTCTCTTTTTATTTTTTTATTATTGTTTTGTAAATTATTATACTTTAAGTTTTAGGGTACATGTGCACAATGTGCACGTTAGTTACATATGTATACATATATCATGCTGGTGTGCTGCACCCATTAACTCGTCATTTAGCATTAGGTATATCTCCTCAAGCTATCCCTCCCCCATCCCCCCACCCCACAACAGTCCCCAGAGTGTGATGTTCCCCTTCCTGTGTCCATGTGTTCTCATTGTTCAGTTCGCACCTATGAGTGAGAATATGCGGTGTTTGGTTTTTTGTTCTTGCAATAGTTTACTGAGAATGATGATTTCCAGTTTCATCCATGTCCCTACAAAGGACATGAACTCATCATTTTTTATGGCTGCATACTATTCCATGGTGTATATGTGCCACATTTTCTTAATCCAGTCTATCATTGTTGGACATTTGGGTTGGTTCCAAGTCTTTGCTATTGTGAATAGTGCCACAATAAACATACATGTGCATGTGTCTTTAAAGCAGCATGATTTATAGTCCTTTGGGTATAATCCCAGTAATGGGATGACTGGGTCAAATGGTATTTCTAGTTCTAGATCCCTGAGGAATCGCCACACTGACTTCCACAATGGTTGAACTAGTTTACAGTCCCACCAACAGTGTAAAAGTGTTCCTATTTCTCCACATCCTCTCCAGCACCTGTTGTTTCCTGACTTTTTAATGATTGCCATTCTAACTGGTGTGAGTTGGTATCTCATTGTGGTTTTGATTTGCATTTCTCTGATGGCCAGTGATGGTGAGCATTTTTTCATGAGTTTTTTGGCTGCATAAATGTCTTCTTTTGAGAAGTGTCTGTTCATGTCCTTTGCCCACTTTTTGATGGGGTTGTTTGTTTTTTTCTTGTAAATTTGTTTGAGTTCATTGTAGATTCTGGATATTAGCCCTTTGTCAGATGAGTAGGTTGCGAAAATTTTCTCCCATTTTGTAAGTTGCCTGTTCACTCTGATGGTAGTTTCTTTCGCTGTGCAGAAGCTCTTTAGTTTAATTAGATCCCATTTGTCAATTTTGACTTTTGTTGCCATTCTCTGTCAATCTAGCTAACAGTCTTTCCATCTTGTTTGTTATTTCAAAGTACTAACTCTTGGTTTCATTGCTCCTCTCTAGGTTTGTTTTTCTCAATTTAATTCAGCTCATCTCTAATCTTAGTTATTTCTTTTATTCTGCTAGCTTTTGGATTGGATTGTTCTTGTTTTTTAGTTTCTATAGGTACAGTGTTAGATCATTAATTTGAGTTTTTTCTAACTTCTTGATGAAGGTATTTAGTGCTATAGGCATTCCTCTTAACACTGCGTTAGCTTTATCTCAAAGATTTTGGTAAATTGTGTTCCTATTTTCATTAATTATTTCTTATTTCTGCCATAATTTTGCTCTTTGGGTAGGAATTATTCACGAGCAAGTTGTTTAATTTTCATATATTTGTATAGTTTTGAGGGATCTTGATATTGATTTCTATTTTTATTTCACTGTGGTCTGAGAGTGCACCTAGTATGATTTCAATTTTTTTAAAAATTTGAGACTTGCTTTATTAATGAGCATGTGGTTGATCTTAGAGTATGTTCCATGTGAAAATAAGAGAAATGTATGTTCTACGGCTGCTGGATGGAGTATTCTGTAGATGTCTATTAGGTCCACTTGGTCAAGTGTCAAGTTTAAGTCCAGAATTTCTTTGTTAGATTTCTGCTTCAATAATCTGCTTAACACTGCCAGTAAGGTGTTGAAGTCTCCTACTATTGTTCTATGACTGTCTAAGTCTTTTCATAGGTCCAAAAGGACTTGTTTTATAATTGTGAGTGCTCCAATGTTGGGTGCATATATATTTAGGATAAATACATTTTCTTGTTGAATTGAATCCTTTACTATTATATAATGTCCTTCAAATTGTTGTTGGTTTAATGTCTGATTTTATATGTATGTATGTATATATATATATATATATATATATATATATATATATATATATATATATCTGTAGCAACTCTTTCTCTTTTTTGTTTTCTGTTTGCATGGTAGCTCTTTCTCTCTTACTTTACTTAGAATGTCTGGGTGTTGTTACATGTGAGATGGGTCTCTTAAGAACAGCAGATGATTGGCTCTTGTGTTTTCATCCAGCTTGCCACTACATGCCTTTTAAGTGGGGCATTTGGGTCATTTACATTCTGGGTTAGTATTGATAGGTGAAATTATGATTCTGTCATTATGTGGTTTTGCTTGTTTTGTAGAGTTGATTGTGTAGTTGTTTTATAGTGTCTGTAGTCTATTTGTTGAAGTGTGTTTTTTTGGTAACATGTATTGTTCTTTTGTTTCCATGTTTAGGTTCCTTAAGGACCTCTTGTAAAGCTGGTTTAGTTGCAACAAATTCTCTCAGCATTCACTTCTCTGAGAGGGATTTTATTTCTCTTTTGTAGATAAAGCTTAGTTTTGTGTATATGAAATTCTTTGCCAGGGTTTCTTTACTTTAAGAACACAGAAAATAAGCCCCAATCCCTTTTGGCTTGCAAGATATCTGTTGAGAGTTCCACTGTTAGCCTGACGTGGTTCACTATGTATGTGATCTTACCCTTCTCTCTAGCTGGCTTGAAACTTTTTCTTTTATGTTGACCTTGGTGAATCTGATGACTATATATGTTGAGATGATCATCTTGTATAGTATCTTTCCAGGATTCTCTGTATTTCTTGAACTTGCATGTCAACCTCTTTAGCTATATTGAAAAATTCTTTTGTGAACTATATCCTCAAATAGGCTTCCCAAGTTGCTTACTCTTTCCTCTCTCAGGAATGTCAGTGAGTCATATGTTTGGTCTTTTTACATAATCCCATATTTGTTAGAGGTTTTGTTCACGTTTTAAGTTTTTTTTCTTTATTTTTGTCTAACTGAGTTGATTCAATAAACTGGTCTTTGGGCTCTGGGATTCTATGCTCAGCTTGGTCTTTTCTGCTGTTAATACTTCTGTTTGTATTATGAAATTCTTATAGTTAATTTTTCATTTCCAGAATTAAAATGGATATTTTTTTCATTCTTAGAATGGATATTTCTTAAAATTGATATTTTATTTTTCAGCTCCTGGATAATTTTATTGGACTTTTTGGATTCCTTGGGTTGGGTTTCAACTTTCTCCTGAATCTTGATGAGCTCCCTTGCCATCCAGATTCTGAATTGTATGTCTGTCATTTCAGCCTTTTCAATTTAGATAAGAACCATTGCTGGGAAGCTAATGGGCTTAAGTGGATGTTTAGGTTTTTGAATATCAAGAGTTCTTGCACTTATTCTTTCTCATCTGAGAAGGCCGGGGTTCCTTTAACTGTGGTGTATGGTGATTATACTTAATTGGCTTAATTTCTAGGTGCTTTCAGAGGGCCATGACTCTGTAAAGGACCTTTAATTTTGGCTGAATTTCTGTCCTGGGTTTCACAGAAATGTATATTGGCAGAATGTTTTTTGGTGTTATAATTCTGGCTGTGATCCAGTAGATGGCCCTTAAGAGTAGTGGCCACCAGATAGGCTTTTACTCAGCCACATGAATCTTTTGTTTTTCTTCACATTCTCAGTCATACTTTGTGGTGAGGGAGGGGAGAGACATGACCCCTTCTCCAGGTTTGCTCCCGATCTTTGGGCAAGTCCCCTCTGATCACTGGTGCTGAGCCTACATTTCCTTTTTAAGATGTTCTGGGATATGGGACTCCCTTGGACAGAGGCCAGGCCTGGAAAATAGGCCACACTTCTTCTGGACTAGCCCTACAAAGGGATGGCTTCCCTGCTCCCTTGTTGGCCCATAAGCCCATGTTTCTCAACCCTGTCAGTATTCTGAGAGTGAGGGCTCCTTTCCTGCTCAAGTGTCAGGCACAGATCTTAGCTCAGTACTCTGGAGCTGTGCACTGCAACCCTGAGGCACAGGAACCAGCTCATAGTTATTTTTTTCTGGCCCCTTGGGATAAGGTACTGGTTACATTTGGAGGTCCAAAATGATCCAGGCCCCCAGCAAAGTACTTAAGTGCATCTGTTAGTAAAGCACCCAGGCTGGACAGTGGAGGCTGCTGCTATGCACACCCTCCTTCCTGTTTGCAGGCAGGGGCCCTGGGAAGAGCTGTCTGGCAGGAGGGCCTAAGGAACAGATGTACCCTAGTCATCTGGAAGAAAGGATATCACTGACTGAAGATCAAATTAATGAAATGAAGTGAGAAGACAAGATTAGAGAAAAAAGAGTAAAAAGAAATTAACAAAGCCTCCAAAACATATGGGACTATGTGAAAAGACCAAATCTGCGTTTAATTTGTGTAACAGGAAGTGATAGGGAGAATGGAACCAAGTTGGAAAACACTCTGTAGGATATTGTCTAGGAGAACTTCCCCAAACTAGCAAGGCAGACCAACATTTAAATTCAGAAAATATAGAGAACACCACAAAGATACTCCTCGAGAAGAGCAACCCCAAGACACATAATTGTTAGATTCACGAAAGTGAAAATGAAGGAAAAAATGTTAAGGGCAGCCAGAGAGAAAGGTCGGGTTACCCACAAAGGGAAGCCCATCAGACTGACAGCTGATCTCTCGGCAGAAACCCTACAAGCCAGATGAGAGTGGGGCCCAAAATTCAACATTCATACAGAAAAGAATTTTCAAACCATAATTTCATATCCAGCCAAACTAAGCTTCATAAGTTAAGAAGAAATAAAATCCTTTACAGTCAAGCAAATGCTGAGAGATTTTGTCACCACCAGGCCTGCCTTACAAGAGCTCCTGAAGGAAGCACTAAACATGGAAAGGAACAACCAGTAACAGCCACTGCAAAAACATGCCAAATTATATATTGATGCTATGAAAAACTGCATCAATTAATGGGCAAAATAACCAGCTAACATCTTAATTACAGGATGAAATTCACACATAACTATATTAACCTTAAATGTAAATGGGCTACATGCCCCAACTAAAAGACACAGACTGGCAAATTGGATAAAGAGTCAGGACTCATCGGTGTGCTGTATTCAGGAGACCGGTATCATGTGCAGAGACACACATAGGCTCAAAATACAGGGATGGAGGAAGATCTACCAAGCAAATGGAAAGCAAAAAAAAGCAGGGGTTCTAATCCTAGTCTCTGATAAAACAGACTTTATACAAACAAAGATCAAAAGAGACAAAGAAGGCCATTATATAATGGTAAAGGAATCAATTCAACAAGAAGAGCTAACTACTCTAAATATATAAGCACCCAATACAGGAGCACCGAGATTCATAAAGCAAGTCCTTAGAGACTTACAAAGAGAATTAGATTCCCACACAATAGTAATGGGAGACTCGAACACCCCACTGTCAATATTAGACACATCAGCGAGACAGAAAGTTAACAAGGATATCCAGGACTTGAACTCAGCTCTGCACCAAGCAGACCTAATAGACATCTACAGAACTCTCCACCCAAAATCAAAAGAATATACATTCTTGTCAGAACCACATCACACTTATTCTAAATTTGACCACATAATTGGAAGTAAAGTGCTCCTCAGCAAATGTAAAAGAACAGAAATCACAACAAACTGTCTCTCAGTCCACAGTGCAATCAAATTAGACTCAGGATTAAGAAACTCACTCAAAATCACACAAATACATGGAAACTGAACAACCTGCTCCTGAATGACTACTGGGTACGTAATGAAATGAAAGCAGAAATAAAGATATTCTTTAAAGACAATGAGAACAAAGATACAATGTACCAGAATCTCTGGGATGCATTTAAAGCAGTATGTAGAGAGAAATTTATAGCACTAAATGCCCACAAGAGAAAGCAGGAAAGATCTAAAATTGACACCCTAACATCACAACTAAAAGAAACTAGAGAAGCAAGAGCAAACAAATTCAAAAGCTATCAGAAGACAAGAAATAACTAAGATCGGAGCAGAACTGAAGGAGATAGGGACACAAAAGAGCCATCAAAAAATCAATCAATTCAGGAGATGATTTTGTTAAAAGATCAACAAAATTGATAGACTGCTAGCGATACAAATAAAGAAGAAAAGAGAAGAATCAAATAGACACAATAAAAAATGATAAAGGGGATATCACCACCAATCCCACATAAATCCAAACTACCATCAGAGAATACTATAAACAACTTTACGCAAAAAGAAAAAAACTAGAAAACTTAGAAGAAATGGATACATTCCTGGATACATACACTCTCCCAAGACTAAACCAGGAAGAATTTGAATCTCTGAATAGACCAATAACAGGCTCTGAAATTGAGACAATAATTAGTAGCCTACCAACCAAAAAAAGTCCAGAACTAGATGGATTCACAGGTGAATTCTACCAAAGATACAAAGAGGAGTTGGTACCATTCCTTCTGAAACTATTGCAATCAATAGAAAAAGAGGGAATCCTCCCTAACTCATTTTATGAGGCCATTATCATCCTGATACCAAAGCCTGGCAGAGACACAACAAAAAAAGAGAATTTTAGACCCATATACCTGATGAACATCAATGTGAAAATATTCAATGAAATACTGACAAACTGAATCCAGTAGCACATCAAAAAGCTTATCCAACACTATCAAGTCGGCTTCATCCCTGGGATGCAAGTCTGGTTCAACATATGCAAATCAATAAATGTAATCCATCACATAAACAGAAGCAATGATGAAAACCACATGATTATCTCAATAGATGCAGAAAAGGCCTTTGACAAAATTTAACAGCACTTCATGCTAAAAACTCTCAATAAACTAGATATTGATGGAATGTATCTCAAAATAATAAGAGCTATTTATGACAAACCCACAGCCAATATCATACTGAATGGGCAAAAACTGGAAGCATTCCCTTTGAAAACCGGCACAAGACAAGGATGCCCTCTCTCACCACTCCTATTCAACATAGTGTTGGAAATTCTGGCCAGGGCAATCAGGCAGGAGAAAGAAATAAATGGTATTCAATTAGGAAAAGAGGAAGTCAAATTGTCCCTGTTTGCAGATGACATGGTTGTATATCTAGAAAACCCCATTGTCTCAGCCTAAAATCTCCTTAAGCTGATAAGCAACTTCAGCAAAGTCTCAGGATACAAAATCAATGTGCAAAAATCACAAGCATTCCTACACACCAATAACAGACAAACAGAGAGCCAAATCATGAGTGAACTCCCATTCACAATTGCCTCATAGGGAATAAAATACCTAGGAATCCAACTTACAAGCAATGTGAAGGACCTCTTCAAGGAGAACTACAAACCACTGCCCAATGAAATAAAAGAGGACGTAAACAAATGGAAGAACATTCCATGCTCATGGATAGGAAGAATCAATATCGTGATAATGGCCATACTGCCCAAGGTAATTTATAGATTCAATGCTATCCCCAACAAGCTACCACTGACTTTCTTCACAGAATTGGAAAAAACTACTTTAAAGTTCATATGGAACCACAAAAGAGCCCACAGTGCCAAGACAATTCTAAGCAAAAAGAACAAAGCTGGAGGTATCACGCTACCTGACTTCAAATGATACTACAAGGCTACAGTAACCAAAACAACATGGTATTAGTACCAAAACAGATACATAGACCAATGGAACCAAACAGAGGCCTCAGAAATAACACCACACATCTACAACCATCTGATCCTTGACAAACCAGATGAAAACAAAAAATGGGGAAAGGATTACCAATTTAATAAATTGTGCTGGGAAAACTGGCTATCCATATGCAGAAAGATGAAACTGGGTCCCTTCCTTACACCTTATACAAAAATTAATTCAAGATTTATGAAAGACTTAAATGTAAGACCTAAAGCCATAAAAATCCTAGACGAAAACCTAGGCAGTACCATTCAGGTCATAGGCATGGGCAAATACTTCATGACTGAAACACCAAAAACAATGGTAACAAAAGCCAAAATTGACAAATGGGATCTAACTAAACTAAAGAGCTTCTGCACAGCAAAAGAAACTACCATCAGAATGAACAGGCAACCTACAGAATGGGAGAAAATTTTCGCAATCTACTCATCTGACAAAGGGCTAATATCCAGAATCTACAAGGAACTTAAAAAAATTTACAAGAAAAAAACAAACAACCCCATCAAAAAGTGGGCAAAGGACATGAACAGACACTTCTCAAAAGAAGACATTTATGCAGCCAACAGACACATGAAAACATTCTCATCATCACTGGTCATTAGAGAAATGCAAATCAAAACCACAATGAGATACCATCTCACTCCAGTCAGAATGGCAACCATTAAAAAGGCAGGAAACAACAGATGCTGGAGAGGATGCGGAGAAAGAGGAACGCTTTTACAGTGTTGGTGGGAGTGTAAATTAGTTCAACCATTGTGGAAGACAGTGTGGCAATTCCTCAAAGATCTAGAACTAGAAATGCCATTTGACCCAGCAATCCCATTACTGGGTATACACCCAAAGGATTATAAATCATGCTGCTGTAAAGACACATGGATGCGTATGTTTACTGTTGCACTGTTCACAATAGCAAAGACTTAGAACCAACCCAAATGTCCATCAATGATAGACTAGATTAAGAAAATGTAGCACATGTATACCATGGAATACTATGCAGCCATAAAAAGGATGAGTTCATGTACTTTACAGGGGCATGGACGAAGCTGAAAACCATCATTCTCAGCAAACTATCACAGGGACAGAAAACCAAACACCGCATGTTCTCACTCATAGATAGGAATTGAACAATGAGAACACTTGGACACAGGGCAGGGAACATCACACCTAGGTCCTGTCGGGCATGAGGCTCTGGGGGAGAGAGAGCATTAGGAGAAATACCTAATGTAAAGAATGAGTTGATGGGTGCAGCAAACCAATATGGCACATGTATATCCATTTAACAAACCTGCCCGTTGTGCACATGTACCCTAGAACTTAAAGTATGGAAAAAAAAAAAAGCGTTAAAAGTAGAACTGCCATTTGATCCAGTAGTCTCACTACTGGGTATCTACGCAGAGGAAAAGAAGTTGTTGTTCAAAAAATGTACTTGCACATGCATGTTTATAGCAGCACAATTCACAATTGCAAAATCGTTGAACCAACCAAAATGCCCATCAATCAACGAGTGGATAAAGAAACTGTTTATATATATATATGATGGAATACTACTCAGCCATAAAAAGGAATGAATTAACAGCATTAGTAGTGACCTGGATGAGATTGGAGACTATTATTCTAAGTGAAATAACTCAGGAATGGAAAATCAAACATTGTATGTTCTCACTGACATGTGGGAGCTAAGCTATGAGGACACAAAGGCATAAGAATGATACAATGGACTTTGGGGACTTGCGAGGAAGAGTGAGGTGGGACGAGGGATAAAAGACTACAAATAGGGTGCTGTATATACTGCTTCGGTGATGGGTGCACCAAAATCTCACAAATCACCACTAACAAACTTATTCATGTAACCAAATACCACCTGTACCCCAATAACTTATGGAAAAATGAAACAACGACAACAATGAAAATATAATAAAATAAAAAATAAAAACCTAATGCCCAGGAAGCTTGCTACCATAGCAAATCCAAACTATTCTTATAACTTACTAAGACAGAGTCAACATCAGCAGATTAGATGATAATTTTGAAGACTCTCTTGCCCACCATAGTCTTGAGTAGTATTGAACTCTCTAGTTGTTACCTTGATTTTAAGATCTTTGAGCACAATTATTTGTGTTTGCCTCTTTAATTACCTTGAACTGTATGGAGATCAGAACTGAGTCTGCCTTTCCTAATATTCACCCACCATTGGCTGCCAAATGTTTTCTTTTCTGAAACTTCATTGAATGATAGAAGTTAAGTTGAAACACTATTGGGAGCAGAGCAAATGAAACTGAAGAGAAACGGAGAGAACACTTAATTTATCTTATCACAGCAGACAAATTCTGCGAGAGGTCAGGTAGTTAAACTAAAATTTTCTTCTCTCTTCTTTGCTTGTGCAATAAAATAGGATTACATATTATAACTTCGTGTAGGTTTTAACACTTAATAAATTATAAAGACCCAGTAGTCTGTCTCCTTGGGCAAGCAAAATGGATCTACCCCATGTTTAGATAACTACACACTGCAGAGCACAGGCCATTGGTTCTAGGAATCAAATAGCTCACAGATACAGCTGGTGTGTAAAAGGCACCATCTCATGAAGTGAGACTGCTTCATCACTTTTTAAGTTCCTCTCTGAGAAAGAAAACAAAAAGTTCTCATTCTTGAAGAGAGAGATAAAGCAACTGGATTTTATTGGCAAGCTGAATAATAGAGATGTTAGAAATAAGTGTTGAATAGGATTTTGTGGACTTTCAAAATTCCTATTTTCATCTAAATCATCTAGTAGTTTGTGACTAAAGATTTAAAATGAAAACCGTTATTACAAATGGCAGTGTAAATTAAAATCAAATGATATTTTGTATCAAAACAGACCATTTTCTTTGATCTGTTTAGAGGCTCAAACCCATACACTCCATAGTAAGATGTCTTCTTGGCACTTATGAAAGACAACGGCAGTAGAAGACATTTTTGTCCTTTATGCAGGAGGAAAATGGCTGCCCTCACATCTCCTTGTTGCCACCCTTGCAGTATTAGAACATTATCTGGATAGTTTAATAGTTAAATAGAATGATTATTCTTAATTATTCTATAATTTATTTGAATAGGCATGTGCTTTCCTCTTCTTGAATTGTTTGGTTCCTTTCCTGAGAGTGTGCACTGGTTCACCTTTGGAAATGGCCATGTTACATACCGAAGTGAAGGATGGGGAATCACTTTGAGCACTACCAAAATGTCAAAGGTTTGCCTTGTTCATTTGTATCACTAAAATAGCAACTACCCAACAGTTTTCAATTTGTGATCAGAATTTTCCCACTTCTGCAGGTAGAGAAAAGGGATTTCCCTGAAAGTGTTCAATACCCTAGGTGGAAACATGTATCACAGATATGTAGGGTCAGGGAGGAATCTCAATCACTATTTTTTTTCCAGAGACAAAGAATGACTGAGCAAGGGATTCACTAGTGAATCTAGGTGTGCATGTTATTTTTCATCATTTTTTAGTTTCATAAAAATCTCCCATTTTCAATATTTTATTTGCTTAATTAAAAAAGTATTTTGCTGCTTTGGCATGATTTTTGTCTTCAAACAACTATCAAAAAGCAATCTAAGATAAAGTTATATCTGGAACTCCAGCTTTGCCTTCAATAATAATAGACAGAAAATGTGAGGACAATACAAGTAGAGTATGAAAATCATCATATTTGTATAGATTTAAAAATTTCTGTGATTATAAAAATAACTTATTCATTTTCATTAAATTCATTTTAAATTGTATTTTTTTGAAGATGAGGGATATACAGGATTCTCTAAGATTAAAGTGTATGAACCTTACCATTTTTATAAATAAGCCCTTTTTTAAAAATTATATTTTGTTCTCGACTTTTCACATGATTTAAGAAATCTACCCCATTTGCAATACTAAAGTTTGTGAGAATTTCTTAAATTCTTTAAAGAAACCAGAACTTTCTGTAGTAATTCAGGTTTTTTTCTGTAATTGTAATTTGTTTGTATTTATTTGCATTTAATGTCTTGAAATTGTTCCTTTTCTTTTTCTTTTTTTTTTTTTGAGACAGTGTCTCTCTTTTTTGCCCTGATTGGAGTGCAGTGGCAACAATCATAGCTCACTGTAGCCTGGAACTCCCTGGGCTCAAGTTATTTTCCTGCCTCAGCCCTGTGAGTAGCTATGACTATAGGCATACACCAAGTTGCCCTGATAATTTTCTTTTTTGTAGAGATGGGGTCTCACTATGTTTCCCAGGCTGATCTTGAGTGCCTTGCCTCATGCAATCCTCCTGCTTTGAACTCCTAAAGCACTGGGATTAAGGCATGACCCACCTTGCCTTGCTTCACATGGGCTAATTATTTTCTAACATAAACTACTGATATCAATAAAACATATTTAAGAATAAGAAATAATTTCAATTTTGTTAGTAGTGTTGGTGGTGGCAGGACATGAGGTTGAAAAAGTAATAAGACCAAACTAAAAGGTGTTTGATACCTGAGAAAACAGTTTAGACATTTTTTAAATTATAAAAAGGAGGAGCCAAGAAAGTTTTCTAAGGAGGACAGTAACAATTTAACTTTAACTTTAGATCCCTTCTGATAAACAAAATGGAGTAGGGGAACAGGGAAAAGCAGTTGCAAAAGTCTAAGACATAGACACTAAAAATATTTGATCTATACTATTATAATTTATTTTTCTTAAAGAACTCTATTCATAGGAAACTTGGCATCTCTTTTTCTCTTTTTGACATCTTATAAACTTTGGAAGTAAGGTGGATAAGTGCATGTCCCAAATATTTGTGTGATGAATGATCAAAGTCAATGTAATAATTTTCCATGAAGAAAAGAAGAAAGAAAATCAGAGAGGAAAAAAGAAAATGAAAATGAGAGACAAAAAGAGAACTGGAGAGAGAGAGAAAGAGAGTCAGAAGAAAAAGATTGAAGTTGAAAAGACCCAAAGAAAGAAAATAAGGATGGATGGAAAGAAAGAAGGGAAGAAGGAAGGGGAAGGAAAGTAAAATAAATAAGACCATACTGGAAGGATGAAACCAAAATTTTATTCCCAGCTTAATAATGTCAGTATTTCACCATGAAAGACTATTTTTTCGATGAATATTGTTTCTGTTCTTAAAATACGGCAATTTTATCTAAGATGGTTCATACAGTTTGGCCGTGTCCCCACCCAAGTCTCATCTTGAATTGTAACTCCCACAATTCCCACATGTCATGGGAGGAACCTGGTGGGAGGTGATTGAATTATGGGGGCGGGTATTTCCTGCACTGTTCTCATGATACTCAATGAGTCTCATGAGATCTGATGGTTTTAAAAAAGGGAGTTTCCGGGCATAAGGTATTCTTTTTTCTTTTCTTTTTTTTTTTTTTTTTTGCCTGCTGCCATCCATCTAAGATGTGATTTGCTCCTCCTTGCCTTCCTCCATGATTGTGAGGCCTCCTCAGCCACATGGAACTGTGAGTCCAGTTAAACCTCTTTCTTTTGTAAATTGCCCAGTTTTGGGTATGTCTTCATCAGCAGCTTGCAAATGAACTAATATGATGGTGTTCTCTGCACTTATCTTTGGGTACAGTGGTTTTATACTTCTTTTAACAGCTGTTGCAGCAAGAGTTGAACCACCTCATTTCATTTTTTTTTAAAGACATTTGTTTTATTTTGGATTCAAGGAGTACATGGATATATTGCATACTGGTAGGGACTGGGCTTCTAATGTACTCATTACCCAAATAGTATACATTATACCTGATAGGTAATTTTTTAGCTCTTATCCCCATCATCTCCCCCATTTCAAGTCCCCAGTGTCTATTATTTTTATCTTTATGTCCATGTGTACCCATTGTTAGCTCCCACACATAAGTGAGGACATGCAGTATTTATCTGCTTCTGACTTAGTTCACTTAGGGTAATGACCTCCAGCTCCATCTATTTTGCTGTAAAGAACATGATTATATAAAATATATATATGCCCCACATTTTCTTTATCCAGTCAACCATTGATGGACACTTAGCTTGGTTCCATGACTTTGCTATTGTGGATAGTGCTACACTGAACATACAAGAGCAGATTTAAAAAATATGTAATTACTTCTTGTCCTTTGGTCAGATACCCAGTATTGAAATTGCTGCACCAAACGGTAGTTCCATTTTTAGTTCTCATAAATCTCCATACTGTTTTCCACAGAGGTTGAAGTAATAATTTATGTTCCCACCTACAGTGTATAAGTGTTCCCTTTTCTCCACATCCATACCAATATCTGTTGTTTTTTGACTTTATCATAATAACCATTCTGACTGGTGTAACATCATGATATCCCATGGCAGTTTTAATTTGCATTTCTCTCATGACTAGTGATGTTGAACATTTTTCCCTGTGTTTTTGGTCACTTGGATTAGGCTGGTCTTGTGTTGCTATAAAGAAATACCTGAGACTGGTTAATTTATAAAGAAAAAAGATTTAATTGCCTCATAGTTTTGCAGGCTATACAGGAAACATGGCACCGGAATCTGCTTGGCTTATGGGGAGGCCTCAGAGTGCTTTTACTCATGGCAGAAAGTAAACAGGGAGCAGTCGTCTCACATGGCAGGGCAGGAGCAAGAGACAGAGAGTGGTGGGAGAGGGGAGTGCCACACACTTTTAAATGACTAGCTCTCATGATAAGTCACTATTACGAAGACAGCACCAAACCATGAGGGATCTACCCCCATGATTCATACACCTCTCGCCAGGCCCCGCTTCCAGCATTGTAGATTACAATTCAACATGTGATTTGGGTGAAGACCGGTATCTAAACTATACAACTGTTTTTATTTCTTATTTTGAGAAATGACTGTTCATGTCCTTTGCCCAATTTTTAATGCAGTTGGGTTTTTCTCCTTGTTGTGTGAGTTCCTTGTAGATTCTGTATGTTAGTCTTTCGTCAGAGGCACAATTTTCAAGTATTTTCTCTCATTCTGTAAGTTGACTGTTTATTCTGTTGACTATTTCTTTTTCTGTGCAAGAAGCTTTTTAGTTTGTCACATTTTTCAATTTACTCCCCACTTCCTTTTTTTCCCCAAATAAGATTTTAAGTGAAGTCTTTCGATATAAACTAGATGAAAGTTGAACATCTCTGTTTGAAGCCAGGGTTGAAACTCTGGCCTCCTTCTGGTTTTCACCCTCATTTTATGCAGTAGCCTTCAGGTAATTGTGCAGAAAGCCGAGCTCTAAGAAGTATCACTTACAAACCTCTTCCTTAGGTTTTATGATTCCATTAGCTAGTTTCATGAGAGCAACTTTAGGTACAAATGAGGCAGAGTGTGAAGGCCCTGGCAGAGTGAGAGATGTGCATTGGCAGAGTGAAATGGTGAAGTGGCTCAAAAAGGTGGCTAAAAGAAAATAAGGGCTTTCTTTACTAGAGATGCTTGGTTTATTACTTTTCAGTTTTGCAAAGTTTAACTCTGGGTTTGGTCTCAGGCAAGAAGTAAACAGCTATTGAATGTCTCCTGCAGACAGAACAATGATCTAGCCTCAGCTTTTATTTTCATCAGCTTAAAACAAAGCATCTTGTTGTCCCCTTTTCTTTCAAGAAATTCCCCCCTTAAAATATCTGATGATAAACAAATAACAATAGAGGAGACCTGAGCAAGCAAAATGATTATATTTAAGCTGATAAACATGCTTTTATGCCTCTGTTCAATTAACAGGTGATATAAATCTAGATGCATATTTTTATAATTTACAGTCATTTTAAAAAAATATTATGCAGTGGATTTTCTCTTAGAGCAAAATACCTTTGATGGGGAACCAGAACAACAAACTACTGAGACAGCATGGCAGAGTTTTGAACTTTTTTTTCTTTTGTCATTTTTGATCTTTTATTTAACAAACTCATGTGCTGACATTCAATATCAAATTGATTTTAACTTGTTTGTTCTAGGTTTTTTTCTCTGTCTCTCTCTGTCTCTTTCTCTTTCTTTCTAATTTTGTTTCCTGAAATGTAAAATGTTATGATTTATTTGAATTTCCATATCTCGTGGAATATTTTTGGGAGACTTAAGTTCTCATTATGAATTGTTGAATAATACATGGCTTTGATGTGCTGATGAAAGTGTGTTTTTTTCTGGTGTCTGAAACAATATTGAGGGCTAAAATATCCCTGAAGCATAAGTCACTACATGTTATTAAGTTAAGCAACTAGAAAGGAGTCCTTTTATCTGAACCATTTCAGTTTCAGGTGACAGAAATTTAAACTGAAGATGGTGAGAGACAGAGAAGTGAGAGAAAAATAATATATTGACTGGCTTGTGTAACAAAAAAGCCTACAAGTAGACCTTGATTTGCATCTACAATAAGCTCACACAGTGTTGTCAGAACACAATTTCTCTACATTTTTTAGCTCTGCTTTGCTCTGTGTTAGGTGTAGTCTCAGTCAGGCTCTCTCTTTATAGTGAAAGGATATTTAGCAGCAGTTTCACATATACTTCCTACAAGTTCAGCATATTTAACTGAAAGGCAGTGCATCCTTCTTAAAAGATCCATAGTCTTGGAATTTATCCTGCTTAGCCCATACAGAGCCACTTGATTTCTGAACTAACCACAGAGGCCAGTGCCTGGGTCATGTGGGAATCAGTCAGATTAGGCTAGTGTGAAATGCATGGAGCATGAAACTAGCAGGAATAGGGTAGGAGTTGGATAAGTTTCCAGGAAATACAGTTTGTTTGCATAAGGAAGAGCAATGTTGGACAAGCAAAAATAACGCATACATTTTGTAGCTGCCTAAAAGTGCGATGCTTCCCTACTTTCATTATTTTCTTTTCTCTAGACATTGATTGCTTATGCTCTGTCCTTCTCTTACCATTATGAAAAGAAATGGAATGGACGGATATTAAGGATGTGTTCACGTGAACGATGAATAATTTCTTTTTACAATTAACACGTACAGAAAACTGGTCAAGACATACCGGTTGGATAGCAAGAAGTGTGTTCCTTTAAGTGTCAACCTTCATCAAGCCATGGGTATCACCAAAGGAGAATCACTGACTATCCAAAAGTGATATGTAGACACAGACACAGTATTAAGGATCAATTATCTTAGTGTTTTAGGGGATCTGGTTTCCAGGTTACCTTGAGACATCATTTTCATTCTGGTGTCTGAAAAAAAATTTTTTTTTTTTTTTTTTTTTTGAGACAGAGTCTCGCTCTGTTACCCAGGCTGGAGTGCAGTGCCGTGATCTCAGCTCACTGCAAGCTCCACCCCCCAGGTTCACGCCATTCTCCTGCCTCAGTCTCCCGAGCAGCTGGGACTGCAGGTGCCCACCACCACGCCTGGCTAATGTTTTGGTTTTTTAGTAGAGACAGAGTTTCACCGTGTTAGCTAGGATGGTCTCAATCTCCTAACCTCGTGATCTGCCTGCCTCGGCCTCCCAAAGTGCTGAGATTACAGGCGTGAGCCACCAGGCCAAATTGCCACAATTTTTGAAATCTCACGCATGGTATTTGAAAGCCTACGGGTGATACCTCAGAAATTCTTGGGTTCTTTCTGTGTTCTGACACTTAAATGCTGTGTTACTAAGTACAGGCCACCGTATACATCTGCTTTAGTCTATTCTAAGACTGCAATTCTGATAGCTTTACTCTGTCATAGTCTATTCTAAGACTGTAATTCTGATAGTTTTACTTGCTGTGTATGACTTGAAGAATGGGGAGAAAATAACTCCATTTAATCACACATACAACTTTAACGATTTGATTTATACCTGTGTGAAACATACATGCTTCAATGGAAGCATATAACATAAGAAATCATGCAGTAAAATGGATCTTTATGAAAGAGAACAAAAGGAGGAAAATAAAACAGAAATATAAAAAATATTATTTAGATAAGAACTTTTAATCATGTTTCTACCTCCTTTCTCCTCTTTCCAATATATTTACCTGTAATGTTTGGTGTCCTTGGATCTGTATATATTAGTGACATTCGATATATAAAATAAAAAATTGTTATTTTAAAATACTATTATCTGAAAAATTTTGCAGAGACTCTAAATGCAAACCAAGACTATTGATTTAAGACATCACAATCTTTAGAGACATAAATTATGACCATTTAGTAACTGATTTACAAATCTTCAGAATCTTATCCTTGTAATATATGAAACAGTAAATTACTACATATTAATAACAGAAAATGCATTTATAATTACCTCAAATAATAGAAATTGTACACTTTGTATTTCATCCAAATTTTGACTGATATGGAAAAATACATCAACATTAAAGACTATATTAGTAAATTGCTGGATAACTTATTATTTTTTCATTTCTTTATTTGGCAAAAGAAGGAGTTACAACTAAGTTTTTTGGGTGATTTCATCCAAAAGCAAGGTTTTGTTAAAACAAATAAATAAGCAAAACAAACTCTGTGGAGCTTGGCAGTTCAGATATTCAGAACCTAAGAATCTCTTAAAAGAATACTTCAGATTTCATGGAAAAACTCTTTCAAAAGGCACTCAGATTGAGTGAAAATAGAGATCTCAAAGGCACTCATATTGAGTGAAAATAGAGATCTCAAATAGATATCTCAAAAGACCTACTATATTTACATATAATTGCTGTTTCAGCTCAATCTTTTTGATCTCTATGAGGCAGCTATTTGTCAAAATACTTATATTTAAATATCTAGTTTCCCTGATGGAATCATAATAAAAAAGCATATCTTCCATTTATTTTTAGTCTTTTTCTGTATGTTTAGTATGTAAAGTATTGTGAGTCCAAAGAGGCACTTAGCACATTAATTTGTTTAAATGAAGATAAATTAAAGATTATCCTAGCAATCTTTGTATGCACTTATTTGTTCTGGGTCATTTATTGGGACACCAAGTACTTAAAGTATTCTTTAGAATGACTCTTCTCTCATTATAGTATATCCATGAACATGCTCACCTGAGCTCTTTCCTGAAGTTTGATATAGGTATTAATTGCTTGTCTAGCTCATAAACTATTTTTATCCACTAGCATCAAAGCCAGCAAGTTTCTTATTATACCCTAATCTCTGCCATTTGTTCAGTCAACACATGATTATTTAACCTCTCTATATATGCCAGAAAACATGGTGGCCATGATACTGAATCTAGTGAAGGACCGTGAAACCATACTCTGAGAAATGATTTCATGAAATAAACGCAAGAATAAGTGATGAGTCGCAGAAAGAGCTAGAGAAGACCACCGAGTTGTGTCTGTTTCATAGGCAGCCATCTTGAATTGCCATGTGGTTTCTCATCTACTTTGTTCTGATCTCTTTGGCTCCAATTTGCATATAGGTGCTATCCTTTACAAGTTCCTTGTCCGTGGCTTATTCTTTGGCTTTTAACTCTTTGCCATTTTCTCAGCAGATTCCTCATTTCAGGGGACAGGTTCACATGGTTTGCACTTAAGAGCTTCTTCTGAGAATTTCCCACAAACAGATACACCATTTCTTAGGGGTTAGGGCTCCCCACAAACTTAATACATAAGAAATATTTTAAAAGGTTCATTCAAACAGTTTTTCATACAACGTGCTAATGTTCTAAAACAAGAAGTACGGACAGTCAATCAGTAGAATGTATTACTGAATGTATTCTATAGGAGTAATGTTCATTCTGGGAGCTGCATCTATCGTCATGTGTTGTGATAAGCTACCTGCTCCAGAACCTGATGATTTGTATTTACATTAAGATAAGTGCTAATTTTACTTTGGTTTGGTAAATTTGCTTGTGCTCAGATATTTGCACCATCTTGAAACTATGGTAAAGTAATTCATTCAGTCATTGTTAGTCATTAAGGTAACAAGGGCTGCTTAGAATTTTTACTACAGAAATTTTATTTTGCTTAGAAATTTTACTTATCCACTTTCTAAAGGCCCTTAGGCTTGTAGGTTCTCCTTGCAGCATCACACTCTCACAATAATTAATTGAGCTCATTTTCCATAATTAGCACCGTTATTCCACCACCAATTAAAAACTGAAGTGCTGAGATTGTTGACATTTTTATACCTACAGGTTATACTTCAGCAATTTTGTCTTGTAAATGGTGTGTTTCTTAAATATACAAGTGTTTTACATATCAAATTGTGAAGTAATCTATGAAGAACAGAGAGGTATTTGCAATGGAGATGTTGTTTTGCATACAATATGGTATGTATAGTCTCTAATCTTAATGCTGTCTATTGGTGCTTTCATGCTGGGTGACGACCAATTATAATCTGTCCACATGGGAATAAATGTTTTAATAAATATATCTTACTGTAATTTAAAATCTTTATATGATGAGTGGGTGCCAGAATGCTACAACCTGCAGGATTCTGAGCCTTTTCCAGGCCTTTTACTTTACTTTTTTGAGAGCAGGTAATGGCAATATTTAATAGCTGAGCATAGTATGTGCCAAATCAAGTTTAACCATTAATACAGGAAAATTTTATTTGCAAAAGCAACACATTCACATACATCAACGACAGACTTATGTAAATATTTAATGGGTCTACTGACTCCTATTTTGTAGAAATAAATGCTTGCTGACTATATTTTTGACGGCGAGGGACAATAGATTCTATAAAGCATGAAACTTCTGTTTAGGAATTCTGTATGTCACTAAGTGTTTTGCACATATCCAAGAGAGATTATTAAAAGAGATAATTCAGTCTAATTGTTAGTGGACAAGTCTATCTATACATTTATACTGGATGAGTTTGCCTTTATATTCCTAAAACTTATTTACATAAGTTTTACATATAACATGAAATTCCAGCTTAATTCAATTTGTATTAAACAATGTGGCACATTGTCTGATTCCTAAAGACGTGAGAATAATATATTTAAGTATAATCCAGGAAATAATTTAAATTATGCCTCTCTGTAATGTTATATGAGCTGAAGGTAATATTTTTATGTTTGTACCTTAGATTACATTTAACTTCTTATCACCTTTATTGAAAGTATAATTTGTGATCAATAAACTTCATCCAGTTTAAAAGCTTTTATTTATGCTTATTTGATTTATTCAAAGAATAGTTAGTGAGAACCTATAATATGTAAATACTAAGTCAGACACAGAGAAATCAAAGATGAAATAAGTTTCCTGCTCCCAAAATGTAGGAGATGGAAATATGTACAATCATCAATATATGTAATAATTATAAAAAATGTATTGTAAAATATAGGAAAGATCTTTTAATCTGGAAAGGAAAAAAAGTTTCATTGAGTCCCTACTTACATGCTAGTCACTCTGCTAGTCATTTCTTACACATACATTCATTTAATTCTCTCCCATACCCTCTCTGTTTAGCAGGTATTACTTTCATTTTGGTCTTATATAATTTACAAATCAGGAAAATTCTCAATTTTTTTCTTAAAGTTCTAAGATTCGAGTAGATAAAATATTTTCAAGTGACTCATCCTGTTGCTAGCTTGAATGGCCTGTCTGGCAAAAATAATAATTGAGAACTGGAGAGGAACATGTTTCTGTGTGGGGAGAACTGTGTGGTTTCTTATACATGCTACAAAATAAGTGCAGCAATCTTGTATACACCTTTAGTAATGCTGCAGAATACGGAAGACACAGCTTTAGCAGGAGCCTGGCCCTTTTACTCAACATAAAATCAAAATGCGAAGAAGTTTTTAGGTGACTGGTTTGTTCAATTCATCTTCTATTTATCTAAATTTTCAAATAAATTCACATTGGAAAATAGGATTGAACTAATTTGTTTAATTTAATTAAACCAAGTCATCAATCTGTGCTGTGAAAGGAAACCTAAACAAAATCATCCAAACAATGACAACAAAAGAATGCAAGAGTGAGTGAGAATAAAATAAAACACTTTTTCTTCTTTCCTGATAAATGTCTCCTCTTTAATGAATTCACAAGATTGCTGATAGAGACAAGAGAACATTGTGGGAGGACAAGTGTCCTCGTATGTAATGGTAGAACCATTTCTGGGGACTTTGCACTGGTGGCATTTTCTACCCTGTGGTTTTTTTCAATAATAAATAAAGTGTTGGAAAAATTAAGTGTTACTCAAATGTGGATAAATACTTGCATACCTCAGTGAACTAAAGTCAAAACTACAGTTTGAGGAACTGGTGTTTGTTAAATTCCTATTAACTTCCTTAAAATATTGGGTATTTCAGTTCATTTAACTGATTTGATTATCAATGCAGATAATAAGATGATGTCCTTTGTAGTGATATTGAAGTTTTTCTAAAAGGTACTGATAATTATGTTGATGTTTTGTTAGATCCTCCACAAATTATACCTGAATAACAAATTTGGTGACTGTAGAGAATTACTGTTTTTTTAATGTTCACTTTTTATTTTTTTCCATAGCTTATTAGGGTACAGGTGGTATTTGGTTACATGAGTAATTTCTTTCGTGGTGATTTGTGAAACTTTGGTGCACCCATCACCCAAGCAGTGTACAGTCCACCCTATCTGTAGTCTTTTATCCCTCACCCCGCTCCCAGTCTTCCCCGCAAGGCCCCAAAGTCCATTGTATCATTCTTATGCCTTTGCATCCTTATAGCTTAGCTCCCACGTATCAGTGAAAACATGCGATGTTTGGTTTTCCATTTCTGAGTTACTTCACTTAGAATAATAGTCTCCAATCTCATCCAGGTCGCTATAAATGCAGTTAATTCGTTCCTTTTTATGGCTGAGTGTGTATATATATATATATACACACATTGGAATACTAATGCAACTCTAAAGATTGAAATTCCGAAGTGTGTGTGTGTGTGTGTATGTGTGTGTATACGTATATATGACATATATATGTGTGGATATATATACACACACACACACACACATATATGTATTCCTAGGTATTTGAAAATATGTGTACATACACGCACACATACACACATACACTATGATGTATATGGTCTGTTTCAGATTCTGAATAGGAAAGAATTGTTAAAATGTCAGAGTAATTGCAGCTTTTAAGGTTTGTTAATATACTTTTATGTCACATATTAATTTCAGACTTTTAACAGTAATACTCTTAATGAAAAGCATAGGGGCGGTTCTAACTTTTATAGTTACATAATGAAAACCTGAAACATGCGTTTGTTTAGTTTCCACAGATACTGCTATTTTATCTTATTTTCTTTGCCTTTAGAGTTGCATGTGTTGACCACATAAAAACTATATGTTTTATGAGACTGCTAATAAAAGGCTGTCACTTATGTTCAATGTTTGATATAGTTATATTATGGAACAAATTAAGTACTAGGAAAAATGTGCTTAACAATAAGGCACACTTCTGTAAATAGACAACGAAAAGTGTGAAAAGCATTTCTTTCCCTTTTTGCCTTGGCTGCTAGAATGCCCTGAATTAAATGTACTTGTATGATTTCACACATTTAGCCTTGAGTTACTGGTATAATTTCTACTCTCTGAACCTTTTATTCTCTTCATAAATCTTCCCCGCCCCAGACATTTCTCATGCACTCCTATTCTTTTTACCTTATTTAATGTTTTATTGAATATGGGCTTTTACTATAAGCTGTCTCAAAGTCATTTTAGAAGTAAGATGTGTGTGAATAATTAATAAATGGAGGTCTGCATAAAGCCTTTGTTAAAAAAAAATGCCTTATGCTTTTTTATCAGTTGCTAGTTTCCAGCACAGCAAGGCAGTGCTACATTGCTTAAAGTCACATATCTTTGCGTCTCTATAATATTTATTACATTCACAGGCTCAATTTAATAATTTTACTTAAATGCATTTCTACATGTGATTTTGTGGATGTGGTCATGATTCAAATATGACAATATTCACTTCATCAGGAAAATATTTTTGAGGGAAGACTTTAATTTTTTAATTAAAAATGTTTTTATTATTTAGCATTTAATTGGCAAATAAAAATTGAATATATTCAAGGCATATAACATGATTTAATACATGTATGCACTGTGTACTGGTTACTACAGTCAAATTAATTAACACATCTATTACTACCTATAGTTAACATTTTTGGGGATGTATGTGGTGATAACATTTAAAAGATGTTTTCTTATCAAATTTCAAGTAAGCAACACAGTATTATTAACTACAGTCACTATGTGGTACATTAGTTCTCAGAACTTATTCATCTTATAATAGAAATTCTGTACCCTTTGACGAACATTTTCCTATTTTCCTTACCCAAAGTGCACATGATAAAGAAACTTAAACATCGCATCGCCTGTTGTGTTAGTCAGGGTTCTCTAGAGGGACAGAACTAATAAAATAGATGTATATCTGAAGGGGAATTTATTGGAGAATTGACTCACGCTATCACAAGGGGAAGTCCCACAATAGGCTGTCTACAAGCTGAGGAGCCAGGAAAGCAGTCCGAGTCCCAAAACCTCAAAAGTAGCAAAGCCGATAGTGCAGCCTTCAGTCTGTGGCCAAAGGCCTGAGAGCCCCTGGCAAATAACTGCTTTAAGTTCAAGTCCAAAATCTGAAGACCTTGGAATCTGATGTTTGAGGGCAGGAAGCATCCAGCATGGGAGAAAGATGGAGGCCAGAAGACTCAGCAAATCTGCTCTTTCCAATCCTACTTTTATGCTGGCAACTGATTAGATGGTGCCCACCCAGATGGAGGGTGGGTCTGCCTCTCCCAGTCCACTGACTCAAATGTGGCAACACTCTCACAGACACACCCAAGAAAAATACTTTGCATTCTTCAATCCAATCTAGTTGACACTCAGTATTAACCATCACACCTGCCTTGTCTGTCTTTAAAACTCTAAGCAACATTTTTAATTTATCTTATCCACATTTCCAAGATAGGGCTATACCTTGGCCTTGTGAGAACAAGCAGAATTTAAAGGGTAAAATAAAGAGCAATTATGGAAGACTAAAAATAAAAATAGAAAACAAATTTTGAGCTACCTTACTTCAGTGAGAGTTATTGAGCTACTGGCTAAACTGAGCTGTCCTGACTAAAAATGGAGTAAATATGGGCAAGCAATTTCAGCTCTGAGTGCAATGGCGCCTTATAAATCAACTGGGAAAAAAGGACAGGCTTATGCTTTGTGTCCTCGAGTAAACTGACTTTCAGCTAGTAAAGATCTGATAATAGGTCTAAAGAAATCAGGTAATAGGCCCTAAAATAAATGAAAGTATTACTGCTCTATTATTTTACTCTCTCCTTGTCTAAAACTTTAATTGGAATTTTTGTAAGGGAACTAAAATCTGTGTTTACCTGAAGTAACAATGAATATTTTTGATAAGGATAAAGTACCAAAAACATTTATGAGAACCGGTGACTTGTCATCTAAAAGGCAAGAAGCATTTAGTGGAGTCCCATCATGTTTTTCACACCCATATATAAATGGCTCTATTTATCGGTTTTGCTCTTGGTGTTCAACCCAGTTGTTTTGGGACCCATTTTGAGCTTGCCATAAGAGCCATCAGGTCCAAGGTGTCATCAAGGTGTAATTGTGATGCAATGTGAAACTGGAGAGATTCACCGCCTCATTGTAGATGCAGTGACAAGAAGATTTGAATATATTTATATGATGGGGATGACATTATGAAAAAAAAGATAGATTAAATGAAAAATAAAGATATAAAGCATACTTTATTAGTTATTACTACTGTTATTACAATTATAATCACTAACTGTTCCATCTCGATTTTACACACCGTGATTTCCCATATTGCATATTCAACTTTAGTCTTTATCAGTATCTTACATGCTCCATCATAGCTCTAAACCACCTTTCCTGTGCAGAATTCAGTGTTTCATACAACATCTGCTAATTGATGATTTCAAGCTATTGTAGGCTAATGTTGCCCGCTAGCAGTGTTATGAAGGCAAAGATATTCTCATCCACCTGCTAAATTGCCATGGTATGAATGTTACAAAATCTGTTGAAGCCACAATTAGGGTTTTTAGTATTTGTTCAGCTCTCTGACAGGTTTGTTATCTAAACTTTAGGTCCGTGGTTCTAGTTTTGTAGATTTGAGTTGCCTTACATATATTTTGAAATAAATTATACAGTAAATAGAAATACATTGATAATTACATGTTTTTAACACTTACTTGGGACTAATTACAGAAGAATAAAATGAGAAGTAAAAGGTTAATCTGTAAGAAGTGATAGGAAACTTCTTTGCTGCAGTATGAAGAATGCAGTAAGAAATAGTTGAACATTAAAAGAATAGGTGACCAGCACTTTGGGAGGCCAAGGCAGCTGGATCATGAGGTCAGGAGATCAAGACCATCCTGGCTAACACGGTGAAACCCGTCTCTACTAAAAATATGAAAAATTAGCCGGGCGTGTTGGCCGGCGCCTGTAGTCCCAGCTGCTCGGGAGGCTGAGGCAGGAGAATGACGTGAACCTGGGAGGCGGAGCTTGCAGTGAGCTGAGATGGTGCCACTGCACTCCAGCCTGGGCGACAGAGCGAGACTCCATCTCAAAAAAAAAAAAAAAAAAAAAAAAGAATAGGTGAATATGAAGCAGCATCATTAATGCTGAGTAACAGACAGAATCTGTTGAAGAATCTGGAGTTAGCAACGTGGGCAAGGTATAAAGCCCACGGGATTTGAGGCTCCCAGCTACATCATCACTAGTTTTGAGGCTCGCAGCTACATAATCACTAGGTTTACTGAGATTTTCTTTTTCTTTCTTTTTTCTCAAATTTTGACAAAATGGTTCATGTAAGAAATATCAGATAATTTCTGGGGAAATTTAGAAAGAATTTTAAAGAAGCCATAGTTTTTCCCAATAGTAAAGTATATTGTGATATCATGATCTTGAAAATAGTTAGAAATTGATATTATTATAAATTGATGAATCAACTATAAATAAATTGATTTATTATTTACTATCGAGATAATAGTATATAATAATAAAAGAGTACAACTACTGCTAGATAATAAAATAGTACAAATAGCCTCTCTCCTCTTAAAAATATGAGCATATAAACATATAATTTAGTCTGCAACTTGGCCACATCAAAAACAATAGAGAATGGAAAGATTATTTAGTAATGATGTGGGTACAAATGGGTTTTGTTATTTAAATTGTCTACTCATGTTATACATGTGTACATTTTTTAAGTCATACAGTTCTATGAGGCTTTTTACATTGAACAATTGCCCTCTGCTTGCCCCTTCCCACCATATCCCCCATTCAAAATGATAATCATCTTCAAATCTCTTAGCTCTTTCTGTGGTTTCCTTGATTTTTCTTAGGTTTTCATGGGATCTATCAGCTGCCTTCTACAGGCTGTGTGAGGCTGTGAGAAACATTTTGTTTTTTTAGAGCTTCCCCTCCCCACTGTCCTAACCTTTCCCTATTCTCCAGTATCATTGTATCATAATTGTTTAAATGAGTTCTTACATGATCATAGTTATGTAAATGTTAGTCACAACAGACTCATGATTTCATTTACCTTGCTTTACAACTGATAGTTTTACCTGAAGTTAAGAACTGACATTATTTTTATTATTTGCTTAGTTTTTTTAAACAAGTTTTTAAATCACTAATTCATTCCCAAACTCTGCCTTTACTGCAAGGTGTTTTCAGTACATTTAAGCCTCTCAAGTACCCTGTTAATGTCCTCTATTCATTCCTCGGACCTGGACTGGTTTTCTTCTAGGCATGGTGTGCATTTCTCATCCTGGGATCCCCTTCACCATCATCCACATGACATCCTTCACTTTTCTGCGTGTTTTATGCCTTACTTCCTGCATCCCACAGCTTCCTCATTCTTGGTTTTCTTCTCTTTCTGATGGAGAATCTCCAGGAAGTTGTCAAAAAAAGTGCATGGACAATGCATAATTTGAGGTCTTGCGCATCTATCAATGTATTTATGTTGTCCTTATACATGACTGATAACTCATATTGATATAGAATTCTAGTTTAGATATCACCATCTTTCCGATTTTAAAGCGTTTTTCACTTGTCTTTCTACTCTTAGTATTGCCTTTCAGAAGTCAGGTGAAATTCTGATTTCTAATCCATCTTTTGCATGTGCTCATTCTTTCTGGATTTTTTTTTTTTGCCAGTGCTATGAAATTTCATAAAGTGCCTTATCATGGGCTTTTCTTGTTGTCGTTGTTGTTCATTCATGATATTGGCACATGATGGATTTTTCAATTTAGTCATTATTATTTTTGAGATATAAAATTTCCTGAACTATTTTTATTAGTTTCTAGGGCTTCCAAAACAAAGCTCCACAGACTGGGTGGCTTAAACAAGAGATATTTATGTTCTCATAATTCTGGAAGGCAGTAGTTCAAGATCAAAGTGTCTACAGGATTGGTTCCTTCTAAGACCTCTCCTTGGCTGGAAAATTGCCCTCTTCTCTCTGTGTCTTTACATCATCTTTTCTCTGTGAGTGTCTGTCCCAATCTTCTCTTATAAAGGCAACAGGCATATTGAATCAGGGCCCACTCATATGACTTCATTTTACCTTAATTATGTCTTTAAAGGCCCTATCTCCAAATACACCCAAATTCTGAGGTGCTGGGGGTTAGGGCTTAATAAATATACATTTTGGAATGGCACAATTCAGCCTATAACCCTATGGTTTTTGATGTTTTATTTACCTCTGTTTTTCTGTCTGCTCTTTTTGGAACTCCTTTTACTTAAGTGATGTAACTTCTGGACTGATACTCTAATAGTCCTCCCTCTTCCATTTTCTACCAATTTATCCTTCTGTTATATGTGTGAAAGGACTTTCTCAAGTTTATATTTTCTCCATTCTATTTAATTTTTTAACTGTTCTAGTATCATGTTTTCAATTTCCACAGTTCACTTACTCTCTCATTTTCTCTGGATTAAAAAAGTACTACTTTATCTTTTGATAGATATTAATAATGGATGTTTTAAAAATAAAATTTTTTTCTTGCATTGTCTGTGTTTCTTAAACATTTTTTGTTGATTCTGTCTCCCTTCTAAATATAGAGGCTTTTCATCTAGTGCCTCCTGATCCCTGATCATAGATGCATGTTTCAGAGTGACTCACTGAAGAGCTCTGTGGGTGGGAAGAACTTTTGGACACTGACATTCTCTGTAGGATCATCTGGCATGACAGTTCAATTGAGGGAATCCTACTTTCAGTACTTCTAGGTCTTCACTTCTTAAGCTATGCAGATTCACCAGAGGAAAATTTCTCTGTTTTCTGCCTGGAGGGTTTAACAGAGGTGACAAAATTCTGTGAACTGAATAGGAGAAGTGGGCTGGGGTCTGACTATTTGATATGTAGAAAACTCCTTAACTTTTGTGATAATTTTATGTGTAAACTTGACTGGGCCACACAGTAGACATATATTTAGTTATATATCATTTTGGGTGTGTCTGTGAGAATGTATCTGGATGTGGGTACCATTTGAATCAGGAGACTCAGTAAGGCAGATTGCACTCCCAGTGTGGGTAAGCCTCACCTAATTTGTTGAAGGCCTGAATAGAAGAAAAATCCTGAGTGAGGAAAATTTGTTCTCTCTCTGTCTTTGAGTTGGGACATTGGTCTTCTCCTGTATTCAGACTCACAATGGAACCATACCATCAGCTCTCTTGGGTCCACAGCTTGTGCACTCACTCTGCAGATCTTGGGACTCCTCCATCTTCATAACTGTGTAAGCCAATATCTTATAATGAATCAATGTCTCACTCTCTCTCTCCTTCCCTCTCTTATTTTCTCTCCTCAACCCATCGTCCACCATCAACACACACACACACACACACACACACACACACACACACACACACACAAACAAACAATACTATTGGTTCTGTTTCTCTGGAGAACTCTGACTAATGTAACCCTAATTACTTTCATTTGCTCTCAGCTCTCCTTATGGCCCCCAGCACAGATATTTTCTGATTTACTCTTACCAAAGAGAAAATGTTGTGGTAGGGAGATGAACACCCATCCATCCAACCATCCAAGACATCTGGAATTCTAATTATTTCCTAAATAGAAGTTTTAACCTTGTATCTTGGTTTGTATTTCTGCCTTGATTACTGCTTAGTAGTAGGTCCTGCCGCCATCTCTAAGCTTTTCTTGAGCTTTAAAGAGTAAAGTGGTTTACATGTGAAGTTCACTAATTTCATGTCTGAGTTTCAGCTTTCCCAAATCTGCCAGTTTAATTACCTAATTTTACCTGTTTTCTAAACTCCAAAATGTTGTTTTCTTTCTCCCTTTCTCTTTTCCTTTGTGGGTTTGTATTATTTTATCCCCTTGTCATTTTGGTAGGGTGTTAGAAAGAATATGAAGATATGCATTCAATCTGTCTTCTTTAGCTGAACTACAATTAGAAATCTCAAACTATATAACAAAATGATATTCAGACAAGTTTCAGAGTTAAAATTGACAAGTAAAACCATCTTGACTAATATAGGAAAGTTTAATGTATCTTTGGATATGAAAGGACTTTTAATGTCTAAAAATTATTATAGAATTAAGAAAGATGTTACACAAATATAAATCTCATGTGTGAAATACTTTTATGTCAAAATACACTAAAAATCAAAAATATCTTAAATCAACAATATATTGATTTTTAACATGGATTTATATAAAGTATAATATAAATATAGGACCTAAATAGATAAAAGGAGTAAAACCTAAGATCAGGCTATTGACAGAAGTAGAATTATAACCAAATTTGTCTTTATAAATATTTACAATTAGGATATAATTTTAAACCCAGTATTAATCAAGCCTTACAAATTGAAAGCAAAAATATATTTTTAAACCTATCATATTAGAAAAGGCTTTTAAAAATTTCAATATTGAACAATTTGGAAGATAGGGTGAGGTAGACCCTCATAGATTATTGGTAGAAAGCCAAATTTCTATTCTCTTTTTAGAAAGCAATCTGGAAATATGTATCAAAAGCTTTAAGAACATGATTTTTTTATACATCTTATTCTTGGAAATTTCTTTCTAAAGAAAATTTTAAAACACTAAAATAGATTGTATTCAAGATATTTTTTGATAATAAAATACATAAATGACCCAAATAGCCATATAACTAGAAATGGTTAATTAAACTTCAGAAAATTATTAAGCAACCTTTAAAAGTCATCTCTGTTAGACATGACTCTTGTTTTTATCATGATTAAGCCTGTTATGAGAGAGGAAAGTTCATAAACTAACTCTAAAATTAAATGCAAACAAATACCAAGATACATGCAGGAAAGGAGAAACACAGAACATTATGAGGGATGGGTGGAGAGTGGTCCTAATCAGGAATTATCATATTGATAAAGGAATTGGGGATCATGGGATTCATAATATGTGGAGATGTGTTGATAAGCAGAACATCAATGACTTTGAGGAATAGGGAGGTACCAGGGGACTTGAGGCCACGATGAGGAAAAGGAACAAGTGGCATGAAGAAATTGGAAGAAAGAACATTCGAGGGAGCAAGTTTCAGAATTCAAATTAAGGCACTGGAACAATTATGAATGCTAAAATGTAAAAGAGTATGGTGCTGATTAAATAACTAGAAAGCCTCTGAGAGCTAACAGGGTCACACTCCATAGAGAGTGAAAAGCATTAAACACAAGAGTGTGAGGGTGAGGCTTGAAAACCAGTCCTCTCACCAAGCATGAGGGTGAGGAGAATCAGATAGAATCTAATTATCATCTTAAATACGTTTTTTTGGAGGCTTCTATAGGCACTGAGCAGCAGTGATTACTGCGTTTGAGATGGAAGGGCAATTTCATTATCCAGATGGCTGTATCCTGGATTTAACGACGTTTATGTCATGTTGAAGTATCAAACATACATGGCAATTTAGCCATTTGTTTAAGTAGTTTTAGAAATCCAGGCATAGCAGTTTACTCTGGTTTTCTTTTGTATGGAAAATTTTGACTTCCCTTTGTGGAACATTTATCTTGGTATGTCTAGAAGAGACAAAATGCAAGTATTATATTCTGTGATACTGGAATAGAGAATATTGGAATTTTCTTTTTAGTTTAATGATCACAACTTGGCTTGACAGTGGAAAAAATAGTCAAATTCTAGGTACTTAACCTCATGTCTTCAAGCTTCTAAGACCTTCATATATTCTGAGCTGCATATATTATAATTTTCTTTCACAATAAGATTTAATAAGCTCTGTCAATTAAACTTGTGAGCTGCACGCACCATTATTTTCTTTCACAATAAAATTTAATTAGCTCTATCAATTTAACTATGACATATTGTCAATTTTTTCTGTTCATGCCTAGTTCAAAAATGTTAAAACACTGAAAAGTGCACCATTGAATTGATTAAAAAGTGATAATGAAATATTATTTTTGAATAGATTAATAAAGAAGGTACAGTTTTGAAGTGAACATGAACGCATTGATGATCCTTAAAGCAGATCAGAATGAAGACCATGTTATATTCTCTTTCTGAGTCTTGAATCCTTTAAAAAGTAGTACGAGTTTTCCTGAGTTGAAGTAATATTTTAAATTAATGTCATATGTTTTGAAGTCAATTATAAGTTTAGCGTTATCTCCATTATTAACTTTGATGTACAGATTTCAGAATGTGAATAAAAGTTCACAGCTGTATCTTCAATTTCCTCTTTGGTATCGTGACTATTTGAAGGAGGATTATTTTGCAGTTTCATAAAAGCTTATTTTAAAACTAATATGCAAGCTTTTATTTGGATATAGTTTTTGGACTGCCCTTAAACTAAAACTTTCCTTGTTCATTTAATATCAAGTCAGATAACAATCATAATTTCCTTTAAAGTGAAAAGGTTAGAGAACTTGCAAGTGTATAAGAATTACACAAATACAAGCTTTCATCTATTCAAAAGTATCTTGCAATTTTACCATGACTAGTTTCCATTCCTCAAGAAAATTCAAGCTCATTTACTATCATAGCTTTTATTCTACTTTGAAGGACTACATCTTGATTGATTCTGTTTCTTTCACATAAAATTTCTGGACATAACGTTAGTATTCTGTGATTTTGTAAAGTGTCTACCTCATTATTAAGGGCACAAGTATATTATAATCACATTTATTACCTTTCTCTCTATAAAGCCAAAACACGCTCTTATTTTGTTGTTCCTTTGTTATAATCATTGTTGGATTTACCTGCATCTCTAAAGTAAAATTCACTCTGTATTTATTCATCTGTTCATTCACCTCCTAATTCTGCAAATATTGATTGGGTACCAATGATAGCGTGGTATCGGAAAGACAAATAAGAACACAAATGCAAAAAAAAGAAAACATACACTAAAGTACTCAGAATTTAGGGGAGGAAATAAAGTTGAAGACTACCATTTTTAATAAAATGTACTATCTATAACAATAGAGGTGTGCTTAAGACATAGCACAAAAGAGGAAGTGATCACTTTAGCCTGCAGCAATCAAGGAATTCTTAGTGGAGAGGGTTATGATTAATCTGAGGCGTCGGAAATGAGGAGAAATTCTCCAGAAAGGTAACTGGTTTCTCTTAAGAAGAAAGGGCACGGCATTCCAAGTGGAGTCAAAACATGTGCAGATATATGAAAGCACAGGATTTGAAATGGTGGAGTACGCCAAGTGTTTGAAAATTCTGACATATGATATTAGAGATAGAAAATGATGAGTTATGATGCTCACTAGAAAGAAGTCATAACGCAAATGACCACACATGCCATTTTCATGATTTTTGAGTTATTCTTTAGATAAACTATTTTTGAAGGGTTTTAGGTATATTTACAAATTAGTTTGTAGGAAGAATTAAAGGGCAGAATCTTAGGTAGTAGTAGTCAGGAGGTTAGCTCAGTGAGACCAGGTAAGAGCTAATGAGATTCTGAACTCAAAAAGACATTCGGACATAAGAAATATATAGATTTGAGGGTGTGGGGTGGCAAAATTGACAAAATTGTTGGTATTTAATTATGTGGGGAGAAAAAGAAATCTGGATTGACTCCAAAATTATCCTTTTAAAAAATGTTATTAATTTTTAATTGAAAAATAGTAGTTGTATATATTTATGGCATACAATTTGATGTTTTGATCTACATATACATTGTAGAAAGATTCAATCAAGATAATTTTGAGTATCTGGGTGGATGGTAGATTAAAGGAAGAGAAACACTAAAATCATTGAGTTAAAGAAGGAATTGCCAAACAATATTGGATTAGACATACACATAACATGTAAATACTCTTGAGGCCCTCATAATTGACTTAAAAGTATTTACACAAATTTTAAACTTATTAATATGAAATAATAAAAGAAGCTAAGTGTTCGCTCTGACCTGTCTTTTCTAAAGGAAGACATTATCATCATTATTATTTTTAGCCAATATTCTGGAAACCCTCAAACAATATTTGAAAACCACATTACCTAGAAACTGTGCCCTGTCAACTTTTAATAATCATATAGCAGAGAAAAATGGGCTATTATGAGAATTTTTTAATATTTCCTTCATGTTCAGATGGAAAATTGAGCTACAAGATTTGCTACATGATGAATTCAGACATATTTTGTGTAGTGGTCAAGCCATAATTCTCTCCTTCCTTTATAAGCCCTTTGCTTGGAATTATAGCTTCAGTGACAAAGAGACTGTGTTCTAATTTAAAATGAAGTGCTTCTTTTTTTTACAATTAATATTTCTTCAGTAATAATATCATTGTATCATCATTAACACTGGAGCAGCAGACTGTGAATCAAATCGGAAAGTTGTCCATGACTCAAGTGTAGTGACAAGATGACTTTCAGGTGATGGTAAAAAGAAAGTGCTGGTGGTAGACACATACATTCCATTGTAGGCTCAGAAGCACAAGCTTTTATCAAGAGTTTTCAGCAAATAATAAGCTGCTTATGTCCTCCTCATCTCTGGAAAGGTTTATGCAGATGCTAGAAGAAAATCTTTTAAATGATATAATAATTTACTCAAACATTAAATTAGCCAGCTTTTAGATTTCCTCCCGATAATAAGATGCAGTATTTCTTTGAATATACAGGGCAGCAGCTATTCACTGTGGTAATGGTTACAAAATTACTATGTTTGTAATGTAAATTCTGTGGATTGAATCTGAATTTTATAGTCACACACACACACACTGCTCACTTTGCACAAGGCATTGTGTATAACTAGTTCAAAACTACATTTGCAAGACCTCTTCTTTTGTCGTATTTAATCTTTAATAATTAATCTGAGATTATTTTATGTCAAGGACTATTGCATGAGAAAGCTTTGTTATTTGGTTTTGATAACATGCATTTTCACTGCTGATAAACTGTAACTAAGAAAATATGGAAATGAATTCTGAAAGCAAAGATAAAATGGCCTGGCGTGATTTGTGTTTGGGATGATCCCTTCCAAAGCTCTACTCCATTGGTTTGGATAATCAAAAATTGATTATATTTGGGAATAGAAATTTATATAGAAAACAAATAATCTGTGGGAATTATTGATATGATTACTGAAGAAATATTAATTGTACAAAAAGAAGCACTTTATTTTAAATTAGAACACAGTCTCTTTGTTACTGAAGCTATAATTCTAAGCAAAGTGCTTATAAAGGAAAGAGAGAATCATGGCTTGACCAGTACACAAAATATGTCTGAATTCATCACGTAGTAAATCTTGTAGCTCAATTTTCCACCTGAACGTGAAGGAAATGTTGAAAAATTCTCATAATAGCCCATTTTTTTCTCTGCTATAATTATAATTATTAAAAGTTGACAGGGGCCAGGCACAGTGGCTCATGTCTGTAATCCCAGCACTTTGGGAGGCCAAGGCAGGTGGATCACGAGGTCAAGAGATTGAGAGCATCTGGGCTAACATGGTGAAACCTCATCTCTGTTAAAAATACAAAAAAATTATCCAGGTGTGGTAGCGGGCACTTGTAGTCCCAGCTAATTGGGAGGCTGAGGCAGGAGAATGGCATGAACCCAGGAGGCAGAGCTTGCAGTGAGCCGAGATGGCACCACTGTACTCCAGCCTGGGCAACAGAATGAGACTCTGTCTCAGAAAAAAAAAAAATGTTGACAGGGCACAGTTTCTAGGTAATGTGGTTTTCAAATATTGTTTAAGGGTTTCCAGAATATTGGCTAAAAATAATAATGATGATCATGCCTTTCATTAGTAAAGACAGATCAGAGCTAAACTTACTTCTTTTATTATTTCATATTAATAAGTTTAAAATTTGTGTAAAAACTTTTAACTCAACTATGAGGGCCTCAAGAGTATTTATTCTCAGCATTAGAATGCTTTATCAATACTATTTACCCTCAAGTATCTGTATTGTCACTGATAAGAATACCAGAATAAAGCATATAGGGATAAGAAAGTCTTGATGTTTTTTCAAAATTAATATATTTATAAATATTATTAAGATTATTTTTGCCAGATTAAGTACTTAATGGTGGCTCAATTCTTCCTGAAACTTCAGCAAAACCCCTTAGAGTCTTCCTTGCTTTCTCTCTTTATCATACTTCACTCATTCTGTTGAGACTATCTTGAAAATATATTTAGAATTCCATCGTTTTTCAACTACCTTCTCCACCCATACCAAGTCCAATCACGATGTTGTGTCATAAATTACCAAGAAGTTTCATTAATTTGTCCCATTGCTTCTGCCTTACATATATATTCAACACAGCAGGAGTGGTTTGTAGTGTCAACCAGATCATGGTACTCATCTATCTGCTTAAGCTCTCTCCTAGCTTCCTTTATCACCTATGAGTCTAGTGGTTCTCAAGCTACAGTGAGTTTCAGAATCCTCTAAAGGGCTGGTTTTAATGCAGATTGCTAGACACTGTCCCTAGAAGCTCTGATTCTATAAGTCTGGAGTAGGGCTTGCAAATTTGTATTTCAAGTTCCTAAGTAAGGGGTGATCATTCCGGGTGTGGCTTCTGATGCTGATCCAGGAACCATGAAAGTCCTTACCATGACCTGTAAAATCTTACACGATCTGTACCATTACCTCTTTAATCTCATTGCTTGTTTGATTGCCCA
This sequence comes from Homo sapiens, assembly GCF_000001405.40. NCBI lineage: Eukaryota > Metazoa > Chordata > Mammalia > Primates > Hominidae > Homo > Homo sapiens. The sequence continues at coordinate 88,994,716 of NC_000008.11, read as the reverse complement.
TTGCACATTCTGCAATAACTACCCCCAACCCCTGTCACATTCCTGCCCCAAGGCTTTTTTCTTTGCTCTTCCTACACCTGGGATGCTCTTCCTCCAGGTATCTACATAGCTAGTTTCCTCACATCCTCTAGGTTTTTATTCACATATCTTCTCAGGGAGGCCTTTCCTGAATATAATGTGTTAAATGCAGTTATATCTATTTTCACCCCACAGTGCCCTTGACATTTCCTACTCCCACTTATGCTTTATCTTTTATCTTTTGACATATATATTATCTGTATATACTATATAATTTATTTACTTATCTTTTATATTTTCTACCCTCTATAAGAAAGTAAAATCCATGAGGACAGGAGTATTTTTCATTGTTGTATTTACAATGCCTAAAATAGTGATTGGCCCACAGTAAGATCTCAATATATATTTGTTGATTGAATAACAAAAGAATGAGAAAGTCAAGAGAACACATGGAACAAGGAGAATGGACATGTTTGGTTGATATTGCCGTTGTGGCAAGAAGGAAAATAATATTAATGTCTGACTTACTATTAGAATTTCGCATTGTTTGTTGAATTTTTATAGCAGTGTTACACTGCAAGGTCCACATAAACTTAACTTGTCGAACTTGTACGTGCAGCCACTTGGTCAGATGATCAGCTCAGAGAAAAAAGTAGAATAATTACATATATATTTGCTGCCTACTTAATATATCTTAGATACTATGCCAAGTGCTTTATCTATGTGATCTTAGTCATTCCTCAAAATTGGCCCATGAAATACGTCTTACTTAGTCATATTTCATAGATGAGGAAACAAATCTTACATAAATTAAGCAACATCCCCAAGACTGCACAATTCATAAGTGACCATCAAGTCCTCAGGCCTAGGTCAGTCTCTCTGCAAAGCCCAGATGTCACTGGCATCATTAACCTTATGAGCAAGAAAAGAAAAGGGCAATGCAACAGTGAGGGATTCAGAAATCATGTTTTATAAACATAATTATGTCTAGGATGCTCTTACTCCAGGTATTCATATGGCTAGTTTCCTCACATCCTCTAGGTTTTTATTCAAACATGAACTTGATTAAGGGACTGCCATGTATATCCTAGGAAAGTGGAAACTCAATAACAATACATCTTTAAATATTTGAAGGTCTTCCATGTGAAAAATAGAAAATAAATGCAGTTACCCCTAAGAAAAAAAACCTAATAATAACAAAAGATAAAAATTGCAGACAAGACAATGACCTTTGCAAAGAGTATTTTGATGATTTTTTCTATTCAGCAACAAAACAAGTGGCTGCGTTATATGCAGAGATTGAGCCGCCCTTCCCTGGAAATGTTGAAACAGAAACATATGAGCACAATTCAAGAATATTTTAGATTCAATTTCTTTATTGAGAGGAAGATTGGCATAGATAGTTATAAGATCTTCTCCAACTCATTGGATCCATGAGTTCAGAGAAACTGTTGGTTTCTATGAGTAATTAAAGTGACTCATTAGTTCAGTCAACCAACCCTTAATTCAGTGAAAATTAAATTCATTTTAATTTTGATTGAATTTCACAGTACTGCTCAATGAACCCTCTAATTCACTGAGCAAGCAAAACAAAACAACAAAGCCTTCAGACAAAATCGCGAATTTCCTTTTGCTCTTTGCTTACTATTTTACTTACATCTATATTCTCCCATGTTCTTCTTTACTTCTTTCTTTTCTCTGTAAGTGTAAGTGTTGTTCCTTCTTGAACAAAATATGCAAAACAGCTATTTTTCTTCTGGCTCTGATCTTTTCTATCTTCACTACTGATCCTTTTGTTTAGTCAGCATCTTCATGTTCTTCTTCTTCGTTGGTTCTTCCCTTCAGCATGTTCACATATTCAAGTCTTTCTCAACACTGAAATTCTTCTAAACCATATACCTTCTCTTGTATTTCCCTAAGTAGTTCCTTTTTATTTAAAGGCCAAGTTCTTGAAAAAGAAATCTGTACTCCATCCATCGCTTCTTCACCCTCATACATTCCTAAACCCACTGAAATATGGTTTCTACCTCTACCACTCTTCCAAGAAATGTACCTGTGTGGGTCCAGAGGCAATCTTGCATATTCCTGTCTCAAAGCTCCCCAAGACCATCCATACATTCTGCAATTCACTAGAAAGACTTACTGCATTAAGCATGTAGCTGTATGCCACATGGCTAACATTTATTATAGAGTAAGGGTTTACCAACAGATCAGTGAAGGAAAATTACACAAATGGATCCTGGTGGAATCTGTGCTCAGGGTTTCTATGTTCTCTCCTTTCCAGGAGAAGTCACATAGAGCACACTCCCCCTCCAGCAGTGACAGTGCAGCCACACGTGTGCAGCATTCATGTCCAGGGAAGCCCAATTGAGACTCAGAGTTTAGGATTTTTATTCAGGTCTGCTTAAGTAAGCATTCTCTGCCTAGAAACTACCAGAATTCCACATTCCAGAAGAAAAGCAGGTATTCACCATTGACACATTTTTTTGCACAAACAGTGTAGCCAGAGCAAAACAAACTTATCTGGGAATGCTTCAGAGACCAGCTTCCCAAATGCTAGCAAAGGGCCAAGCTTACAAGCAGGCCTTTCTAAAGATAGCCATCTCAGGCTCCCTGTATTCTCTCTCCTGCACACTTCCCATAACTCCAAAAATTCTCCTGATGAATCCTGTAGCACTCTCTGTATCTTAAATAGTGCTCCTCAGCAAAACTTACATATCCAAATGCCTACTAAGAATTACCATTAAAATGTCCCACAAAACCTCTGATTCACCCCATGCATATCTAACGTTTAAAACCTTTGCATCTAGCTCTTTCGAATGCTTGCCTGGAATTCACTGCCTCAGCAAATGGCAACACCATTCACCGAATTTATAGAGCAAGAAAGTTGATAAACACCCTATGCTGTTCCGTCTCCCACACCCAACACAACTAAGTGAATCTCTGAATCACATAGATTCTACCTCCTTAATTTCCATATAATCTGACCTCTTTGTTTTATCTTCACTGCCACTGCCTTCATTCATGTTCTATGTTGTCTTATCTCAATATTTCTTACCTAATTATCTTAGCAGTCCTCTAAATGTTTATCTGACTCTGGACAGGACCACTTCAAATTCATTCTTCATACCACTCAGACCCTGGACAAGTTACTCAGTCCTTGTGAATGCCCTATTTCATGTATGTAAAGTAACAGTGCTAATAGTCCTGGCCTGTGACACAATCACTATGAAGAGTAATTGAGATAGTAAATGAAAATAAGCATGCATATTAGTTATTAACGTTGTCAGAGTTTTAAATACTTTAAAAACTAAAGCATTTTTCAAAACACAAATCTGATCATGTTACATCACTTAAAATTACCAGTGGCACTACAAGGCCCTCAGGATAGTTCAAGCTCTTTACCTGGTGCTGCCTCTCTCATAATTTCACACTGACACTCTTAGCTTCAGTCACAGTGACCACTTGAGAGTTTCAATGTAGGTCAGACTTTCCCTTTTCTCTCTAAAGCCTTTCTACAGTCCTTTCATCTGGAGTTCTCCTACCCTATTCATCTCCTCCTCCTGACCCCTTTTATCTCATAACTGCTTCTCATCTAAAAAGAATAAACCTAAAACATTATCTCTCCATGAAGATTTTCTCATCTCCCAGCTGGGTTATGTGCCTTTGATATGCACTTTCATAGCAACTGATCATTACCTCTGCATACACATATCACACACTATTGCAATTAACTGCTCGGGTGTTTATCTTTACAATTAAGCCTGTAACATTTGAGGACAAAAACTATATCTGACTCAACATTGTATCTTTGCTTCAGTCTAGAGACTGGCACAGGTAAATGTTTGATAAATATTTTCTTAACAATAAAATCAACTGAGTGGGTTGTAACTGTAGAAACAGCTTCAAAGTTTAATAGATGAATCAGTGACTCAGAAGAATCTAAAGTACAAATTAAATGTGTTTTAAAGGCAATATAGCTTTATCTTTCTAAATAGCTGAAGCTTGGATGTAGCTCTTTAGAAAATTCAAATAGGTTAGGTTAATTTGAAGGGGAAAACTCTTTTCTTGAGCAAATTTTTCCTGAATGGTCGAGAATGATCTGCTTTTTCTATTATCTTCACAAAGTCCTAAACTCTGTTTTAATGCTCCTCAGCATGGCCCAAACATCTTACCTGCTGTGCCAGAAGCTGTGAAGATAAAAATTGCAGCAGTGCCTCGTCCATAACTGGCCTGGGTCTCAAAGGGCCTTTTAGTGAGAAGAGTAGCCTTAAGCATGATTATCCATTGGACAAAGACAGATAATCTAGGGAAAAAGAGTGAGCAAGCTAACCCTAGACCTATTTCCATTACGGAGTGGAAGGGAAGACGAGGATCATACCCTTGTGTAATATATGTGGACACTTCTAAAAATTCCAATAAGAGTCATAGAACTTCAAAAATACCAGCTGCATCTGGCTTTCCATTCTGAGCTATCTTTAAGAAGACATAAGCAGGAATGGAATAGAGAGTATCTTTGTGTAAGCTGACTTTTACTCATCAAACTTACTTTGTAGACTGTAAAATTGATTAGGTCAGTTTAAAGTCAACTCAAAATGTCATAAGTAAGAGTCATGGTTCCCACCCAGTTCAGTAATCTCAGTGCCTGTGTTCCATGTGTTCTACCACATTCTAGCACTCCTTGCCACCAGGTGTTGTGGATATTGTGGTGTACTTCTCAGCAGTCCCTTTTCAGGATCCAGGCCCTTATTCCCATCCTGCAAGGGATGTGGGCTGCTGATAGCTCACAGCTGTTTCTCTCAGTAAATTGACCTCAGAAGAGGGTGCTGCTACGCCCTCAAAACCCGTGGCTTGGGACAGCCTGCATCCATTGGCTGGTCAAGGAGTTATATACAAAGGGACAACTCTGAATGAACATCTCAATTTAGAGCTCCTAGTGTGATTGGCTGAAGCTTTTGTTGCAAATGGAGCATAGTGGGATTTCTTCTGCATACACATATTATTTCTCACTTACTTACATCTGCTGTTCCCTGGAGTGTACTTTCACCAAACTGACCAAAGCTAGGTTACTTTTGCTAAGTAATATAACATCCCAGACATCTAAATTCCATGGAGAACAGTTAAGAAAATGATGGAATCGAAGTTGCTGCAGTCTTTATTGATAGCTATTCCATCTTTATCTAGCAGATCAGGAAATAGAGATGAATAAGTAATTGAACCAAAGTGACTTGCATTTTGGAATATAGAATGATGAAAAAAACTTTATCTTTTTTTGAATAAAATATATTATATGCAACAATTCAAAGAAAAGAAATATAGCAAAGTTGGTTTGTTTAAGTTGCTAACATGTAAGAGGCAGACTGTATTTTCAATTACATTTTTGCCTTATAGTTAAATATATCTTTTGATGACAGTTATTCAAAATCACAGTCACTACTGAATTCTTATTATTTATTTTCCATTGTGGGCACACCATTAGTCATCTTGGGTTTTCCTTGGTTTATCCTCTTGTTCTTCCTATATGTTAATGAGATTTTATCTTTCTGAAACATGGAATCATGTGGTCAGAGCAACTGTGGTGGGAAGCATAGATACAACACTTTTCTACCACCACAGAAAGGTCTGCTGGTCAGTGTTGATTTTGATAGATTCATTCACACAATTAACAAATATATATTAAATACTAAGGGCTATGTTCTAGGCACTGGGGATGGGGATAAAGCAATGAACAAATTAGAATTGCTCATGGAATTTATATTTTAGAACTGGAAGTGTTCTTTTAATTCATTTTCTCCAGATACATAACTTTGTAAATGAGAAATGAGAGTCCTGGAGAGTTTAGGAAGCTTGACATGATCTGGCTCCTGCCTACCTTCTTCCCCCTTTCGCATTGTAATCCAACTATACTGTCTGTTGGAAGCTCCCAGGCACATTCTTTTTTTCTGTTTAAAAACTGGTATATTTTATTTGTCGATTATCAGCAAAATGAAAACATAACATTAAAACATGAGTCTCAGGGACTCATGGCTCCTGGGGACAGTATTGGCTCCTGAATATACATTCTTATGTTACACTTTGAGAAAAACTTTCATAAATAAACTATAATGATACAAGAGAAATTTGTCCCATTTGAGAATTCAGAAAGAAGATGATGTTTTATATGAGTCCCTTAAGGATAAGGGGAGATGATGAAGGGAGAAATATGGTGGGAAGAGGAAACAGCAGTTGGTCATGACAGCAACCATTTTTTTTTTTTTGAGAGCACATAAAATGTCACTGTAAGAACTTATCTGCATGCACATATTTGAGGGCATGACATGTTCTAGGAAGTGTGGGAAGTCCAGTATAGCTGGGCTGTAATGTGTATTATTGGGAAGCCACTGGAGAGGACAATGATATAAGTGGTTACTTTTGAAGGAGCTTGAATGTATATTAAGGAGTTAGGATTGGATTAAGTCAGCCAGGCACATTCTTGACCCTCTCTCTCCCTGGAATGCTGAACTCACAGGAGCTGTCAGTGGCCACTCAACTAAAAAACCCCTTAGTAATTTGCTATTTCATTTAATTCTGAGATTTCTCTTGTTTATGTATTCATGTGTTCATTTGTTTCCTTACTGTCTGGCCTGTCTGTACCCATTCCCTTTTAACATAAACACCATGAGAATCCCCATAATCTAGCTGTGTGCCTGTCATAGAGAAGGAGCTCAAAAAATATGTAGAGTAAATGAATGAATGTAGTTGAATGATGGGCCCAAAGTCACATACCTGATTACAGTCAGAACTGGACCTGAAAAACCAAAGCTCTTAACTACAGTTTAGTGTTTTGACCCCTATCACATGTTACATAGAAAGAATTCCCTCATATTTATGAAAACTTGCTATGCAAAAGACACATTTTGTTAGTCATTGGGGATAATTCAGATATTAAGATGCTGTCTATGTCATGTCTATAGACTTTGTTCATTGAGATTATTTTTGCTTTTTAGCTTATCTGAATCTGTCCTGTATATTTCACTATTTCCTGATATTTGCCACTGTTTCTTTTTGGTTTCACTTCACTTTATTAATGGAAATGGCTACTCCACATTTACACAACATATATACTTAATTGCCTTTTAAGAAGTAGCTTAGAGGCTTAAACCCCAGCTGTTTCATCCTGAATAATTAACTAAGTGTAGAACATTGAGTTTATTTACAGAATGCCATATCTTTACTGCTTTTATTTTTCTTACCCTTGTTTTAGCTAACAACTTATATGGAAAAGTCTATATTTAAACTGATAATCTACAAAGGAAATAGGTGAATATAAGACAGTTTGTATGTGTTACAAAATCCAAAAGCTACAAGGCAAAAATTTAATCAATTCTCAGCCCAGGTTCATAAATGACAAACATAAATGTTAAAGTGGCAAAAGTACAGAGCTCTATATCTCCCTAGCCCATTGTTCTCACTCCACAAATTAAACCTACCAGTGTGAAAATGCCAAATGCCCATTGAACCATTTCCAAGTTAATAACATTTCTGTATGAATCCATTTGGATTTTTTCCTCAATCTGGCACATTTAATATCATTTCAAACCCAGTCAGTTTGATTATAAATGAAATGCAGTGGCATTTCCAGGGTGCAAATTCCACAAACTGGATCCAATCACCAAATTTGCAAAAGTTTTTTCAGCATGAAATAATTTGCCTTTGCCTACCATAATATTGCAAATGAATTTAAAATGAGGGAGATAATTTTTGTGTGCCTGCGCTTATTTATCTTTTCTTTAATTTTCAAGATATTTGCCTTAGGTTTTTGCATCCAGGAATGTGCCCAAAGACAATGGATGCAAAGTACAAAAACTAGTTTATCTGTATGTTACACATACAGAATTTTCAAACTATACATAGCTTATCTTGATCGACATTTGAAAATTATGTTTTATGTAACACTACTTCCGTGAGGTATTTGTAGATATTCCATGGAAAACAAAATAAAACAACACAAGCAAACAAAATGGTTCTTTGAAAAATAACTAGGGACATGCTGCACACAATATTTCTCTATTTGAAATCTACACTGTACTTTAGCATATTAAAGACCTTGAGGATTTCTGCAGACAAGGAATTCCTGCTGGGACATCTTTTTCTGAGATATTTTTTGACCATTATTTTTTAAAAATTAGAACTTTTAAATATCTTTTTGACTTTTACGAGTCAAGATCCAATCAAGAAATTAGAATCCACTATACAATAGACTTGCCTGGAGAGCTGGGAGCATGGTGGGAACGTTGTCTCATAAACAAACAACCCTATTAAAAAGTGGGCAAAGGACATGAATAGACACTTTTCAGCAGAAAAAAGCTCAACATCACTGATCATTAGAGAAATGCAAATCTAAACCACCGTGAGATATCATCTCACACCAGTCAGAATGGCCATTACTAAAAAGCCAAATAATAACAGGCACAAATGAGGTTGTGGAGAAAAAGGAGCACTTATATGCTGTCGGTGGGAGCGTAAATTAGTTTAGTCATTGTGGAAAACAGTGTGGTGATTCCTCAAAGTCCTAAAAACAGAACTACCATTCCACTCAGTCTTCCCATTACTGGGTATATACACAAAGGAAAATAAATTGTTCTACCATAAAGACACATGCATACATGCATATGTTCAATACAGCACTATTCACAATGGCAAAATCGTGGAATCAACCTACATGCTCATCAATGGTACACTGGATAAAGAAAATGTGGTGAATGTACACCATAAAATACTATATGGTCATTAAAAACAATGCAATCATGTCCTTTGCAGGAATATGGGTGAAGCTATAGGCCATTATCCTTAGCAAACTAATGCAGGAACAGAAAACCAAATATTGCATTTTCCCACTTATAAGTGGTTGCTCAATGATGAGAACAGATGGGTACACAGAGGGGAACAACACACAACGGGGCCTACTTGGAGGTGGAAGGCTGGAGGAGGGAGAGGATTAAGAAAAATAACTAATGGGCACTAGGCTTAATACCTGAGGGACAAAATATTTGTATAATAAATCCCCATAACAGGAGCTTACCTATATAACAAACCTTCACATGTACCTCTGAACTTAAAAGTTAAAAAATAATAACAATAAATAAAATAAAATTAAGAAATCAGCCAGGCATGGTGGCTTATGCCTGTAATCCCAGCACTTTGGGAGGCCGAGGCAGGTGGGTCACGACACGAGGTCACGAGTTCGAGACCAGCCTGACCAACATGGTGAAATGCCGTCTCTACTAAAAATACAAAAATTAGCTGGGCGTGATGGTGGGCACCTGTAATCCCAGCTACTTGGGAGGCTGAGGGAAGAGAATCGCTTGAACCCAGGAGGGCGAGGTTGCAGTGAGCCGAGATCACGCCACTGCACTCCATCCTAAGCAACAGAGCGAGACTCCGTCTCAAAAAAAAAAAAAAAAAGAAAAGAAAAGAAATCAAGGGAAGAAAAATTCCAGTTGGTATTAGGGATACCACTCTAGGCAGAGTAAGGGCTGGAAATACTTTGCCCCCCCGGATTGGACACTTCCAACTCTCACCATATCTCCCATTTGCAGATTGTAGCCAGAAGCCTGTTGGCACAAACGTCTGGGAAATGCAGTTCCCTGTGTTACAGAATATATTATAAGAACAAGGGAGGATTTGAAAAGACATGCTAAAGACCAGCATGGTTAACATCTTATCATGGTTAGTATTTTATGGAACCCAGCTGGGAAATATTAATTTTGGTCATTTTAACCACCAATGCAGTCAATTTTCAAAAAATGTATTTAATGATTATGATGCCACTGAGTATCTTTCATGAGCAAAGCATACCTACTTTTCAATTTTTTGCACATATATGTATGGCTTTAGTTAAGAAATATAAAAAAGCTAATGAATACACTTATAGTTAGAGCAAGCCTTTCCAGAATCAATCAAAAAATAACCATGTTTATTTACATGCCATTTTGGAGAACATTCTAGCTAACCAAAATATAATTGTATATGTTTGTATTCCATTTCACGAAGTTCAGTTACCTGACAGAGAACACTGCTTGTTTGGGGAGTGCTTTTCCTCATGTGTGCCTCTCTAACTGGCCTACCATGTAGTTCCTGTCTTGGCTCCAAATCATAGCCAGATGGACAGTTATGTCTACCTGGTTCAAGTATGCCTGATTTACAACACCTGAAGTTGTATGATAATTTAGACTAATGACAGTAACAAAAAGAATTAGATGAGGGAACATGAACAATATTATTGATAAATTACATATGGGTTTACCTAACAAACAACTTAGACACCTGGATCCATTAGCAATATGTAGGCCATCAGTGTGATCTTGTTTATATTCCAGTCTCTCTTCACCAGGGATCTGTAAACTCTCCTCCTTCCTTACCCTGAGATATTATTTTCTTTATTTCCACTTTACTGCTGATATTTATTGAAACATTACTATATGCTAAACTTGAGATATTCTAGAACTTTTATACATTTAAAATCCTTATTAATACCCTTGAGGTAAGAATTATCATCCATTTTTTACAGATGAAGACAATAAGGTTCAAAGCAGTTGTGCCATAGTACAATGAATATTAGACCTCATATTTACAACCATGCCCCCTTTTATACAATAGCAAATGTTAAATCACACTATACAAAGCCTCTCAAAGTTCCCCTTCATACTACTGATGTGCTATTACTCCGTGTTCATTTACACATTGGAGAAGGAATGATTGTCAACTCTGTCAGTCGTGCTGACCTTACAGTGACTTTAACTTTATAGTTACTAAGGTTTTTGTTTTCTTTTATTAATACTCTTTGCTTTGGACTTTTGAATGTACATGTTACAATACCTAGTGCTAGATTTGTTTTCTCCTGTAATTAATTTTCTTTGTTGCAGTTTGCATGTTATCCTTAAATATGTACTTCTTTTCTTTCTTTTTTTTCTTTTTTAGAGATGGGATCTCACTATATTGCCCAGGCTGGTCTTGAACTTCTGGTTTTAAGGGAGTCTCCCATTTTAGCCTCGTAAAGTGTTGGGATTACAGGTGTGGGCCACTGTGCCTGATCTAAGTATGTACTCCTTAGGACACTCTAAACTCAGGCAACCAATTAAACAGTTAATCACCCAATTAACAGATCTTAGACTTCCCAATCCCCTGTGAAAACTTATTCTGCTTCAAGGCAGCAAGATAGGTACTCTCATTGTTATGTTTTCCTCTTTTTGGTTATTTTGCCTAACATGGCTAGATTGGCCACATAATAAAAGTGGCAGTCAGTGACCACTCGAATCTCATAACCAGTGGGTAATTAAGCTGATGATCTCTTCTTTCAAATTTCACTAATTTCCACTCTGTACACAGATTGAGTCACTCCATGATGTCTGTCACTAATCAAATATTTACGAGCCAAGCTCTGCCCTAGGCATTTTCCATATATTATCTGATATAATACAACAATACACCAATGTGAATATTATTATTTCCATCTTACCCTGTAGAAAGAGAGGTAATCTTGTTATAGCGTGTAATAAAGTTCTTTCAAAAACCCGGGGGTCCAACTCAGGTCCTTTCTTCCTCTCATACTCACATCTAATCCAATAGTAGATTCCACTGGAGCTACCTTCAAAACATATCTAAAATCCAAATACTTCTCACTACCTTCACTGCCACCTCTGTGTTCCAAAGCACTGTTATCTCCTAGATTATTAATGTACTCTCCTAACCAGTAGTTTTGCTTCTGACCACTGCCCCCACCTCTTCTCAATCCATACCACCAACTCCAGCTCTTCATCCTAAGTAGCAAGGGGGGGCAGTGGGAACAGGCAGAGAGATTTGAATCATAATTTGCATAATTACACACTTAAAAGAGAAATGTTTATTGATGATTCAAATTATTTTGTTTTTATACAGTATAGTAAAAATATAATAATTTTACATATGACCCCAGTAGTTCACAAATATTTGAACATTTATACAGAAGCAAATGAGACCCCCAGAAAAAATCTTTTATTCATAAAATATATGAACATCACAAAGGTGGTATGTGTCTTATTAAATTGCTTGATAAACTGTTCAGGTGATTTATAACTGAAATGCATATGACAGTGTTTGTTAACTTTCACTGCAGACTAGAATCATCTGGGGAGAGTTTAAAAATCCAAGTACCAGGAACATGCCCCAGACAAATTAAATACACATCTCTGGGAGCTGGAGGTGAGGCTGAAGTACCAATTTTTTTTAGGCTAAGTCCTATATTCAGTTAAGTTTGTGAAGCACTGATACAAGAGGAAGAAGCCAGAGACCTGGGAAGTGTGGATGGAGAAGGTGGGGCTTAACTAGGGATTCATGATTAGCACTTAGAGTTGAAAAGAAAAAGGAGAAGACCACCAGGTAAAGAAATTCTGAGGCAACAAACAAAAGGTTTGTTCCAGTCCTCGTGGGATAACCATTTGCCTATACTGCAGAACTTGTGTAAGAAAGAGACCTTGAGGTCTGTCAACTGTGAAACACATTGAGTGCCAAAATAAGGTCTGGAATTCAACCTATACATAACTAGGGAGTAGCTTGTTTACACTGACTTCCAGGGGCTAGTGCAGAATGATGTAAGAGTGGAGGAAATCCATTCAAGAGATAAGGTAGGAATTTATTGCAGTTGTCCTGACATGAGGTGGTAAAGGTTTGAGTAAGAAAGGGAGCTGAGAAAATAAAAATCAATGAATATACACTTACTAAACTAAGGAAAAATTACCAAATCTTCACTTACTCCCAGCTAGGTAGACACCATTTAATAATAACTTGCAGATAAACATCTCATTTGCAAGGCAAGCTTTTTACATCTCAGTCATTAAGGCTGTCTGGGCCCACTTTAAGTCCACATCACAGTGCATCCATCACCTAGGGAAATGAAGAGTTTGCAATTAAACAGTGGGCAGTCCAACCAGTTAATTCAGGACGAGAACTCCGCAGGGAAAGTATCCTGAATACTGTGCTTCCTAAGTACTTGTAACATCTTGGAAAACTTTATCAACCCAGTCCTCAATTTCTGAACTAAGCATTTTCTCCCTTTGAAGTTGGAGTGGCTATATTTCTACTATCAGTTATGTATTGATTTTAGAAGGAGGAGATAACATAAAGTATGGGAAATTCTGATAAAGTATGGGGAATTCTGATAAAGTATGAGAAATTCTGAAGTTACACACAAAAAATTTTTCATAGGATTAAAAATCAGAAAAAATATTTACCAGCTGTTAAAGTTGGTATTTCTGAAATTGACTTATTTAAATTCCAGGAAATATTGGGGGTTTTGCTGTTGTTGAAGAGTTGAGAGTCTCTTAGGTAATAGAGTGAATACAAACAGTTTCTATAAAATATTACAGAGGATGAAATGAGAAAGTAAACAACATTGACTACCTTTGAGTTGCTTACATTTTTTCGCAGTGTCCCTAAACCAAAACTATAAAGGAGCTATGATTATTCCTACTTTACAGATGAAGAAATGGAGTTTAGGTAAGGTGATATAACTTGCTTGAGTATATAAAAAGTGCCCACATTGGATTTAAACTTAAGGATATCAAACACTATATCTTTATTGGATAGACTCTTTACTCTTAATATTCAGATATTAGAAACAGACATTATTATTTCATCTCAAAGAACAAATGAAATAAATTACAGTTAGCTTATATAGCAATTATACAGTCATGCATTGCTTATTGACATGTTGGTTAACAACAGACCATATATATGATGATGGTTCCATAAGATTATAGTCTCACATTTTTACTGTATCTTATCTATGTTTTGATATATTTAGATACATAACTACTTATCATTGTGTTACAATTGCCTACAGTATTCACTATAGTAACATTCTGCACAGGTTTGTAGCCTAGGAGCGATCGGCTATACCATATAGCCTAGTTGGGTAGTAGGTTGTGTAAGGATACTCTATGATGTTCCCACAATGACAAAATCGCCTAACTATGCATTTCTCAGAATATATCCCTGGTGTTAAGCAATGCTTACAATTAACACATTATTGGAAAATTTGGTCATTGTGAGAACATCGTACAGTGTCCTTACATGAACCTAGATGGTAGAGCCTACTACACACCTAGGCTATATGGTACAGCCTATTGCTCCTAAACCACAAATCTGCGCAACATGTTACTATACTGAATACTGTAGGCAAATGTAACACAATGGAATTTGTGTATCTAAATATGTCTATAATTAGAAAAGGTACAGTAAAAATATGATATTATAATCTTGTGAGACCATCATATGTATGGCCTTTTGTCGACTGGAACATGGTTATATGGCACGTGACTGTACATTAATGTGACCTAAATGTAACTTTTTGTTCTTATATCAAGTAAATCTCTTAGCTTTTAAAAACTGCATAATATAGAAAAAGAAATGAGGGCTAACAGATATTTGAAGATGATAGTTCATTCCCATCCTTCCCATGCATACGCTTTATGTTTCAGTGTATCACACTTCACTAAATTGAAATAATTGAATTTGAAATAAAAAATAATTAATTACTACTGTAAGGAAAGCAAAAATAAACCCCTCAAAGTCATAATAAATCTATTATTAAAAATAGCTGTAAAAAGTGCACTAGACTCAGGAGAAATATCTGTCTGTATTTATCTATTTATCAGTTTATCTACACACACAGAGTAGTGCTTGAAAAAATTATTGAATGAAAAAGTCATTCCTTTTCACTGAAGCACATGGGCGTGGAAGGATGAAAAGCAGGGCTCCAGGTGCTGCTCTGAGATAAACTTGAAATCTGACCTTAGGTACTATTTCACCTTTTCATGCTTCAGTTTAGTGATCTAAAAGACAAGAGATTGGGACTTTATGATTGTTAATTTCTACATAGGTCTATAAATCTATGTAATTTTTCCTGGTGGTATGAATATTGTCCCTCTTTCCGAGTTCTTAACAGCATTATATAAGCTGGCATAAGCTGGTGTTCCAGCTGGCTGCCACAGTGGCTTGGGCAGTTAATGGAAAGAATCATAAAAGAAGATTAATTTTCAAGTCTGGATTTTCATCATGGCATTCACTCTTGACATGTTTATATGAATAGAGTGAAGCTACAGAGTTCAAATATGACTTAAGAAGTTTGGATCACAGCCACTGACTCTGCTTGAAAGTGTTGGGATATTTAAAATTTCTTTACTAAAAGAAAAAAAAAGCTAAACCAAAAATAGAGTTTAAAGTTAAATTTAAATAGGCTTAGTAGTAACACATTTAGTAAAACTGCTAAATGATGATATAAAGAGAAATGAACTCACCTTTTTACATATATTTTCCTTCATATGCAACCATAGAGACTTTTCAACCAAATGCCATCAACAATGACTTATATGGGCAATCCCCCCAATTTTTTCTACTTCATGTTTTGTTACTCATAGTTCTGTGATTAACAAAGACCTTAATTACTACATTCACCCATTGATTTAGTGGTATCAACTGATATCTGAACAGCTAAATTAAGAAGATGACATTGTTAAGATTTTCTGATTAAGGTGGTGCCATGAAAATATGCTCCCCAAAAATGCATTGCTGCTGACATTGTGATCCATCTAGTAATTATTTCATGTAGTAAATGTATTGTAAGCATATGCTGACCACATATAAAAAAGAAAGCAAGACTACATAGACATGCCTTGGTATTAAGTTTGAGTCAAAAGAAAACTCAAAAGTAGGAGATTTTTTTAAAGCAATGTTTAATGAGAAACGCCTCATCAGACAATATCAGATTGGCAGAATTTCAAAAGCTTTCAAATACAATCTGTCGGTAAAGTTGTAGAGAACCCATCATTCTCATTAATTACTGGTGTGAGTTCCAAACAGTACACTGAAAACAGAGGAGAAAGTAGAAATATCTAATACAGTCACTTATGCATCTACTTTTTGACTCAGAAATCTACTTCTAGGAGTCTATCATGATGATACTCCTCCATAAAAACAAAAGTCTATGAATACAACATTTTTTCATTGTGGCATTTGTTATAGGAAGACATTGGAAAAATCTAAATATCTATCAACAGGAAGCTGCTTGAGTAATCTACGTGATATTTTCCAAAAATGGTTGCTATGCAACTGTTTTATTTTTTTTTAAAAAAAGAGGAAGAACTGTTAGCAAGTGATTTGTGGTTAGTAGGTGAAAACAATACAGGACTCTATGTATATTAGGTACCTTTAATGTAAACATGAACATCTCTTTCTCTCCATCTATCAGTGTGTCTGTCTCTCATCTCTCTCTCTTCTTTTTGCTTATTTTTGCAAAGTGAAATACAGAATGGGTTAACCAGAAAGAAAAGGTCAACCAGAACCCAACAAAAATAATTACTCTAGTGGGATGGTAGAAGGAAAGGAAAGAAATAGGGATGGAAGTAACAATTTGTTACACAATTCATTATGTAAAATAAAGGTAAAAATACTATGTTAAAAAAATCTAAGGCTGAAATTCAAGGGAGATAGACTTTATAGCAAATTGATAATGTATACACAGAGAAAAATACTAAAATAACTATTGAGTAATATTTTGTATATATATATATACATGGTGATATATGTTTTAAGGTTAAAAAGAAGTGCAAGGAAATCTTGAACCTCTAATCAGTATGTTTGTTTCATGGATAACCTGGTATTGTAATTTTAAAACAATTTTGTGTTTGTTGTAAGATAAAGAAAATAACTAGATAACTAAATATCACTGTGAGAAATGAGGTTTTCCAGTTTAAGAAGAAAACATAAAAACATATTGGAGTACATAGGAGTGAAGTATCTTAATATATAAACTTTCTTTCAAATTGTTCTGAATTAAAGAGTGTACCTGGCAAAATTGTAATGATAATTAATTCAAGAGAAAGGTATCTAGGTTTTTATTGTACTATTCTTTTAAATTTTCTATGAATTTAACTTTTTTTATAATTGAATGTTGGGAGAATTAAAAAGTAAAAAATATCTGAAGATAACTGTATTGATTTGAACAAATCCTCACTTGACCACAAACTGGCATAAAACTGAAGTCTTAGGTAAATAGGTTTTTAAAATACTGAACTGTTCCCCTAAGAATCATATATCTTTCATGAAAGGAATGTGGTATATACATGTTTTAAGAACTTCTCACAGCGAGGTGTTCAGAAATTGTACGCAGTTATACCAAGAGAGAATGTTAAAATAAGCCAAGAATTTCTAGATATATCCAGGTAAATCCATATATTTGAATGATATATTTTTCTTGCTCTCTCAAGTGACTTAGACTGTATAGATTTTTCTGTAAATATATATAAATGTCATATTTCATTTCATATTTTATTTTAATTTGCAGGAATCATATGCATCTCATGCTAAGGCCATATTTACATAGGTGTCTAGTTGAAAATAATTTGCTGTGTTTTTATTTTGGTAAACTAACATTTGTTGAATTCTTTTATAGTAAATACAGTAACTAAATAAAACTTTTAATTTTGGAATGCTCTAAATAAGTAGTATCTACCAGAGATCAGCAAACTAGAATATTATTTTCTTTATTTTTATTATTATACTTTAAGTTCTGGGGTACATGTGCAGAACGTGCAGGTTTGTTACATAGGTATACACGTGCCATGGTGGTTTGCTGCACCCCTCAACCCATCATCTACATTAGGTATTTCTCCTAATGCTATCACTCCCCCTACCCTGATGACAGGCCCTGGTGTGTGATGTGCCCCTCCCTGTGTCCATGTGTTCTCATTGTTCAACTCCCACTTATGAGAACATGTGGTGTTTGGTTTTCTGTTCTTGTGTTAGTCTGCTGAGAATGATGGCTTCCACCATCATCCATGTTCATGCAAAGGACATGAACTCATCCTTTTTTATGGCTGAATTGTATTCCATGGTGTATATGTGCCACATTTCCTTTATCCAGTCAATCACTGATGGGCATTTGGGTTGGTTCCAAGTCTTTGCTATTGTGAATAATGCCACAATAAACATATGTGTGCATGTGTCTTTATAATAGAATGATTTATAATCCTTTGGGTTTATACCCAGTAATGGGATCACTGGGTCAAATGGTATTTCTAGCTCTAGATCCTTGAGGAATTGCCACGCTGTCTTCCACAATGATTGAACTAATTTACGCTCCCAACAGTGTAAAAGCGTTCCAATTTCTCCACATCCTCTCCATCATCTGTTGTTTCCTGAACTTTTTAATGATTGCCATTCAAACTAGCATGGGATGGTATCTCATTGTGGTTTTGATTTGCATTTCTCTAATGACAAGTGATGATGAGCATTTTTTCATGTGTCTGTTGGCTGCATAAATGTCTTCTTTTGAGAAGTGTCTGTCCCTATCCTTTGTCCAATTTTTGTTGGGGTTGTTTTTTTTTTTTTCTTGTAAATCTCTTTATGTTCTTTGTAGATTCTGGATATTAGCCCTTTGTCCGATGGAAAAATTGCAGAAATTTTCTCCCATTCTGTAGGTTGCCTGTCCACTCTGATGATAGTTTCTTTTGCTGTGCAGAATCTCTTTAGTTTAATCAGATCCCATTTGTCAATTTTGGCTTTTGTTGCCATTGCTTTTGGTGTTTTAGTCATGAAGCCTTTGCCAATCTCTCTGTACTGAATGGTATTGCCTAGGTTTTCTTCCAGGGTTTTTATGGTTTTAGGTCTTACATTTAAGTCTTTAATCTATCTTGAGTTAATTTTTGTATAAAGGGTAAGGAGGGGATCCAGTTTCATCTTTCAGCATATGGCTAGCCATTTATTAAATAGGGAATCCTTTCCCCATTGCTTGTTTCGGTCAGGTTTGTCAAAGATCAGATGGTTGTAGATGTGTGACATTATTTCTGAGGCCTCTGTTCTGTTCCTTTGGTCTATATATCTGTTTTGGTACCAGTACCATGCTGTTTTGGTTACTGTAGCCTTGTAGAATAGTTTGAAGTCAGGTAGCCTGATGCCTCCAGCTTTGTTCCTTTTGCTTAGGGTTATATTGGTTATGCAGGCTCTTCTTTGGTTCCATGAAATTTAAAGTAGTTTTTTTTTTCCAGTTCTTTGAAGGAAGTCAGTGGTAGCTTGATAGGGATAGCATTGAATCTATAAATTACTTTGGGCAGTATGGCTATTTTCACAATATTGATTCTTCCAATCCATGAGCATGGAATGTTTTTTCATTTGTTTGTGTCCTCTCTTATTGCCCTGAGCAGTAATTTTTAGTGCTCCTTGAAGAGGTCCTTCACATCCCTTGTAAGTTGGATACCTAGGTATTTTACTCTCTTTGTAGCAATTGTGAATGGGAGTTCACTCATGATTTGGCTCTGTGTTTGTCTGTTATTGTTGCATAGGAATGCTTGTGATTTTTGCACATAGATTTTGTATCCTGAGACTTTGCTGAAGTTGCTTATCAGCTTAAAGAGACTTTGGGCTGAGATGACGGGGTTTTCTAAAAATACGATCATGTCATCTGCAGAGATAATTTGACTTCCTCTTTTCCTGATTGAATACCCTTTATTTCTTTCCCTTGCCTGATTGCCCTGGCCAGAACTTCCAATACTATGTTGAATAGGAATGGTAAGAGAGGGCATCCTTGTCTTGTGCCGGTTTTCAAAAGGAGTGCTTTCAGTTTTTGCGCATTCAGTATGATATTGGCTGTGGGTTTGTCATAAATAGCTCTTAATATTTTGAGATAAATACCTGGTTTATTGAGAGTTTCTAGCATGAAGGGCTGTTGGATTTTGTCAAAGGCCTTTTCTGCATCTATTGAGATAATCATGTGTTTTTTGTCTTTGGTTCCATTTATGTGATGGATTACCTTTATTGATTTGCGTATGTTGAACCAGCCTTGCATCCCAGGGATGAAGCTGACTTGATCGTGGTGGATAAGCTTTTTGATGTGCTGCTGGATTTGCTTTGCCAGTATTTTATTGAGGATTTTTGCATCCATGTTCATCTGGGCTATTGGCCTGAGATTTTCCTTTTTTGTTGTGTCTCTGTCAGGTTTTGGTATCAGGATGATGCTGGCCTCATAAAATGAGTTAGAGAGGATTCCTTCTATTTCTATTGTTTGAAATAGTTTCAGAAAGAATGATACCAGCTCCTCTTTGTACATCTTGTAGAATTCGGCTGTGAATCTATCTGATCCTAAGCTTTTTTTTGTTGGTAGGCTATTAATTGCTGCCTCAATTTCAGAACTTGTTATTGGTATATTCAGCAATTCGGCTTCTTCCTAGTTTAGTCTTGGAAGGATGTATATGTCCAGGAATTTATCCATTTCTTCTAGATTTTCTAGTTTATTTGCATAGAGATGTTTATAGTATTCTCTGATGGTAGATTGTATTTCTGTGTGATTGATGGTGATATCCCTTTTATCATTTTTTATTGCATCTATTTGATTTTTCTCTCTTTTCTTCTTTATTAGTCTGGCTAGTGGTCTATCTATTTCATTGATATTTTCAAAAAACCATTTTTAATATTAGTCTAAATCAAACTCTATTTTACTAGTAATTTCTGTCATCCTGAGGATTCAGTGTTACATTACTAGGAGCTATTTGTGAGTCTGTGAATGTTATACTGTACTTTTCCTTTAGTCATGCTTGTTGGGACATAATTTACCATGGGTCTCTCATGTTTCTGCAGTCTTGCAAATAAGTAATTCACTGCCCTTATTATACACTATCTTTTCAATAATTTTGATATAGCAAGCAACCTTGATTGATAGAGATAGTATCTCCCTCTAGGTCAAAAAAGGGAATTTTCACTGTGCAGTAGGATAATGTCTTTCTTCAGAACAAAGGGCATCAGGCTTACTGCCCGTTAAAAATAATGTGTGCTCCCTAAGCTTAGAGTTTCTCTCCTGCACTGAAGCTACTGCATGTGCAAGCACTTATTTGAGCTTCTTCACTTCACCCCTATGCTACTTGTGGGTAAAGAGGTATTACACAAATACCCTGCTCATGCCGCTTTTCAATGAGTAATGATGCCCTTTATCTCTGACCCACGTGGTTTGTGTCTGTTTTCAATACTCATGAAACTGTCAGCTTCCATGAGTACTACTCGTTATTAGGTTGGGCAAAAGTAATTGTGATTTTTGCCATTACTTTTATGAAAAACTGCGATTACTTTTGCACCAACCTAATACCTTACAAGTAGTGCAAAATCTCAGAGCTTTCCTAGTTCCTGACAATGTCCTGAAAGACAATTTATAGAATTTGGGAAAACTTTCTTTCATAGTTATATCTAATGAAGATTATTAAAACACACACATACACACATTCAGGTGAGAAGAAAAACATCAACATAGCACAATACATATAGATATACATATAGACATTGATAATTTACTGTATATACATATGTATCTTTTAAAATACCTTATTTTTAGAAAACATCTCCAAACCAAAATTTTTGAATATTTTGGTTCATTTAAACTGTTGAGGTTTTTTCACTTACCATACTTTAGAAATAATTGAATATAATAGTTCAAAATATTATAATGGCCTAGATACTTAAAGTAGAAATCTCTAGAAAGAATGTTTGATATAAATAAATAAATGCTTGATATAAATAATAACATTTTAAATATTATTTTACTGAAAAGTAAGGTACGATTACTAAGTTAGTAGTGTTGATAGAAACCTTTACATTTATACTTTGCCATCTACTTTACAATATATCATTTTATTTATCTATGTTGTTATTTTAAGGACATTTCAGGACAGTCTCGTGTCCGTTAATGATAGGAATATGTTCTGAGAAATGTGACATTAGGCGATTTTGCTCTTGTGTAAACATCATAGAGTGTACTTACAGAAACCTAGATAGTATATCCTGCTACATGCCTAGGATATACGGTATCGCCTATCACCCCGGGCTACAAACCTGTGCAGTATATTATTGTACTAAATAGTGTAGGCAACTGTAACACAATGAGAATTATGTGTGTATCTAAACATATCTAAATGTAGAAAAGGTACAGTAAAAATATGTCATAACTTTACAGGATCCCCATCATATCTGCTGTTCACTGATGAACGAAACAACATTATGCAGTGCATGACTCTGCTTTAAATCTCTTCCTGGAAGATCAAACAATTTCTGGTACTACAGAGGGTCATGTTATTAAAATAGCTTAACAAAGAAGAACTTGTTTAAATAAAAAAGATACATTGGAAACGCTCAACTTTTAATACCACATAACTGATGGCCATTATCCTTAGCAAACTGAGGCAAGAACAGAAAACCAAATACCACATGTTCTCAGTTATAAGTAACAGCTAAATAATGAGAATACATGGACAAAAAGAGGGGAACGACAGATACTGGGGCCTACCTGAGGGAGAGGAGTGGGAGGATAGAGAGATTCAGAAGAAAAAAAAAGACTTTCTGGGTGATGAAATAATCTGTACGCCAAACCCCAAATCACGAATTTAACTATATAATAATGCACATGTATTCTGAACCTAAAATAAAAGGTAAAATATTAAAAAAATAGTAAGTTTAATACTTTTACCATTTGGGCTGATATAAATTGTGCTACTAATGTAGACTCCCCCACTAATATTGCAACAGGTGTCAGCATTATCTGTTATTTTAAAAAAATTAGGCTAGAACATTTATTTCCATATTATTCAGGACTAGATAATGGAGATGAAACTGTATTTTGTCATTCATAAACTTTTCTTGCACAGCAAAAAGTTTAAGTAGAAATTACCATCATTGAGGGATGTTTTCTTAGATATTTAATACAAAATTAAAAAATACTTTATTAAAGATTTATAGAAAAATTCTCCACATTCAAATATATCTATATGGACAATCTTATTCTGGTTTATCAGTCCTCCTATTTAGCAGTAGATGACTCTTTAAAACCAAGCCCTGTTCTCTGCTGCTGCCTTAGCTTATGCCTTTCTCCTGCTTTGTCTTTATGCCACCAATATCTATCCACTGTTAAGCCTCTTCTATGCCTTTCTCACAATTATCATTGAACAAATTGTATTACTAATGGCAGTGTCCTCTTTTAGATGAAAGATACATTCTAAATATTTTAGCTTGACTTAGGTCCACTCTTTCTTTCCAAATTCTCTGTATCCACCCAACATTTCCTTAATATCTCATCTTAAATGCCATATATTCTGTGAAGAATGTCACATTCCTATATGCAGAAGGACTTCATCCATCAGCTATGTTCCCAGTGAACTCTGTACCTAGTCCATTCTATTATGAATACCGTGAATTTCAATCAGCATTTTGGCTTTGAATTCTGGACTGAGACTGCTGTCTGGCTGCTAGCATTTTGGTAATGGTGATTTCATCTGGAAATAAAATTGAGCTGTTGGTGGACTCAGAGGGAGGTCATTTAGTTCATCTTTTCAAAACAGAAAACATAGCATATTCTGGCAGTATCAGTGAAAATATAAAATAATTATTTTAATATCTAAAGTAATGCAAATAAATTTTCTAAATAGGGCTTAATTTGAGCCACCAAGGTCCCCTGCTAACCAAGATGGTAGAAAATTTTGAACATGGACACTAAGAAGAGACATGCACCAAGGGCAAATCTGATGAAACTACTCAAAGACCACATCCTTGAAACTGCCTGCTCAAGCATCCCCAAAAGCTGTCCAAATTATTCTTTAGGAAAACTCTGATCTAGATAAAATTGCCATATACAAATATAATTAACAATTTAGAAAAGAATCAACACTATGTAGTCCATACTATATTCCAAGAACTATTATAATCCTTAAATTATATTAACTCATGAATTTTCCAAAAATGCCTGTAAGGCAATTACTACCTAACTTATAGGGTAAGTTGCAGTCACAGAGTAACCTATCCAAGGTCACAGAAAAAGTGGCAGAGAAGAGATTGAACCTAGCAACTGGCCCCAGAGTCAACACCTTAATGTCCAAACTATTCTGCTTAAATATAGAATACACATTTCTGAAAATTCTGTCAATATCAGGGTGGAGAGTCTTGAGAAAATTGAGCCAAATGAAATGGAAAATAATGCAAGAGTAACAGCATTATTTATTTGGCAACTTTACATATCGGCACATTTAGATATACCCTATTTTTGATAAAAGCCACAAGGTATTCCACTTCATGTGTGAACCATAATTAATATAATCTGTCCTTAATTATTGGGCATATATTTTGTGCAGATACTCTTAGAGATAAATTGCTGGGTAAATGAGGATGAACATTTAAAACTTTAGTACACAGTGATGAATTATCTTCCCTTTAAAAATGAACCAAGTTACACACTGTAAGCAGTAGCATGCGTCTTTTTCCCACACATTATCAACATAGGGCATCATTAGACTTCAATCCTTGTCAATATGATATGTGAATAATTATTTCTAATAGCTTTAATTAATATTTTAAGAATTATGAAGTTTGTTAATTATCTATTGCTATGTAACAAATTCTCCTAAACCTCAGTAGCTTAAAACAACAAACATTTATCATCTCCCAGTTTATGTGGAAACAGGTGGAACAAAACAGGTGCGGGTTTGCTGGGGGCCTTTTCCATAGGCTACAGTCAAGGACCTGCAGTCATCTAAGGCTCAAATAGAGGAGGGACTGCTTCCAACCTCACTTGCTTGCTGGTAGGCCTTGGCTCTTTGCCACATGAACCACTCTACAGGATGCTCAAAGGTCCTCATGACATGGATGCTGGCCTCAGGATGGTCAAGGGTCCTCGTGACATGGATGCTGGTGATCTGAGGGGTACAGAGAGACAGAGACAGAGATAATAGAGAAAGCAAGAGCAAAAGAGAGAGCCAGAGAGAGAGAGAAAGACAAGAAAAGAGAATGAGCCATAGTCTTTTTGTAAGCAAATAATGGAAGTAAGATCCATCATTTTTGAGATTTTCTATTTGCTAGAAACTAGTAACTAGGTCCAGCCCACACTTAACGAAAAGAGAATATACAAGGATGAAGACCATTGGGAGTCACCTCAGAAGCTGTATAACATATGAGGGATGTAGGGCATTTTTTCTATGTATTTGCATGTTTATTTGTGTCCATAAGGACTCTTTTAAATGCTTATATTTTCAGAATGATCTTTTATGTAGTCTGAGTTTATTGCAGGCCTTCCTCACTTTTGGATTATTTTCAAAAACTTAGAAACTAATAAGCTTTCTTACATTATTGTAAAGACTATCTTTATATTTAAATATTTTACCCACCTGAACAATTTGGATGGCCTCTAGAATGAGGTAAAGATACTACTGTATTTATTCTATCCAAATGGTAAGCCAGTTCTCCCAAAACTATGTATTCATAATTCAGCTTTCTTTACCCCAATTTGAAATGTACAATGACAGTATTTTACCCCTTTACATTAAAAATAAATAAGTTCTCCTCAAGTTCCTGTAATTGCTTGATACTACAAAATAGTTTTAATAGATAAGAACAAGTCTTGTTTTTCCAGAATGTTTGGAAAAGATCATCTAACTCTACATGTCAAAGAATCATTCTGAATCTTGAAAAGAACATATACATTGTCCATGCTATCATGCCTCATGTAGCCTGAACTCTTAGAGAATTAGTTACTTAACTTACATAGGTACAAAATTTATATCTACTAAATGAAACAGTGTTTTATAAACCATCAGCAGTCCCTCAGTTTTTGTAACTGTGAAAAAATATTTCATAGTCAAAATGAGAAATTAATGTGTTTTTTTTAGACAAATTGTTTACACATCAAGATCCTTACTCCTACTCACCAAGACCTAGGAGTGTTGTGGAGGTGACCTATTAGGCCTACTTGACAGCTATCATTTGTCAATTACATACTTATTAATTGAAAAAGTAATCAACTTCCTTCAGTTTCTCAATACTCTCACCATACCACCTGTCTTCTTGCTGAAAACTCCATTCAATAAAGTGGGTATTATTTTGTCTATAGAAACATGATGGGCTAATAATGGCATAGTAGGTTTTACAATTCTGTGGCATGGTTTCACAAAGTGGTCTACTGCTCCACTCTGAATGGCAGGGTTCTTATTACCTGTTGTGTCTTAGTACGTTTTGTGCTGCTATGACAGAATACCTGAGACTGGGTAATTTATAACAAAAAGAATTTTTTTTAATAGTTCTGGAAACTAGAATGTCCAAGATCAAGGTGCTGGCATCTGGCAAGGGATTTCTTCCTGTGTCATCCCATGATGGAAGGTGGACATCAACATCGAACTCACTTATTAATAATAGCATCAATCCCACCCATGAGGATAGAGCCTTCATGGCCTAATTATCCCATCATCTCTTAAATATTCCACCTCTTTACAGTGAGCCTGGGTGACAGAGTGAGACTCCATCTTAAAAAAAAAAAAGATTTTACCTCTTATTACTGTTAAAATGGCAATTACATTTTAACATTAGTTTTGGAGGAAAGAAACATTCTATCGCATTCTTCCCCTGTACCCAAAATTCATGTCCAACTCACATACAAAATACATTAATTCCATCCAAATAGCCTCAAAATTCTTAACTCATGCCAACAACTTTCCCTCCAGATGTAAGTAAGCCTATGAAATTTAGTAAGTCCTTCCAAAATACAATGGCAGTTCAGGCATAGACATAGATAGACATTCCTATCCCCAAAAATGAGAAACAGGAAGGAAAAGAAAGGGAGTAATCTTTCTCAAGTAAGTCTCAAATCCAACAGATTGGACAATATCAGATGTTAAGGCTTCACAATAATATTCTCTGACTGGATGTCCCACCTTCTTGGCACACTGGAGTGGGGATTAGGCCCTGAAGGCCTCCAGCATCCCTGCCCACATGGCTTTGCTGGGCTCGGCCTACACAGTAGCTGTCATAGATTGGAGTCTTGAGCCTGCAGCTCTCCTAGGCTGGCATTGCATATTGGTAACTCTAGAGTTCTGAGGTCTTGGGGGTGGTCCCACCTTTATAGTTCCACTCTATCTAGTGGGGACTCTCTGCAGTGGCTTTAACCTGCAACACGTCTCTGCCTAGGTTCCCAGGCTGTTTATAATATCCTTTGAAATCCAGGTAGGGGAAGCCACACCTTCACAGCTCTTGCATTCTGTGTGCTGCCGAATCAACATGTGGATGTTGTCAAGGTTTATGGCTTGTACCTTCCAGAATGGCAGGATGAGCCACACCTATGCCCAGTTGAGCCAAGGCTGGGGAAAGCAAGGAGTACTGTGCCAGAATGTGGGGAACAGAGACTTGAAGCAGCCCTGGGTCATAAGCCCCAATGTCCCAAGGGTGCTCTAAACCTGTCTGTTAACATATTTTTTCCCCCAAGGCTGTCACTGTAGGCCTGTGATGGGAGCAGCAGTACTGATAATCCCTAAAGTGCTTTTGGGTTTTTTTTTTCTGATAGTCCTGGTGAATAGCCTCTGGCTTTGTTCTATCCATACTAATCTCCTTATCAAATGGTCCTTCAGCTGCACCCTTTATTTTCTCTCCAGAAAATATTCTTTCACTCTTTACCACATGGCCAGTGTGAGAATCCTTCAAATTCCTAAACTTTGGTTGCCTTTTAATTATAAACTTCATCTTTATATCACTTCCCTCTTCATTTGTCTTACTAAATGCAGTTAAAAGAAGACAAACAGCACCTGATGTCTTGCTTCTCAGATACTTCTTCCACCAGATACCCTAGTTCATTGCTCTTAAATTCTCTCTTCCATAAAGCCCTTAGCTTGGACACAATTCAGCCAAGTGATTTGCTACTTTCTACAAAGGATGGGCTTGATTCCAGTTTCCAATATCTTGTTTCCTCTTTCCATCTGAGACCTCATCAGAATGGCCTTTGCTGCCAATATTTCTACCAACATTCTGACCATAACCATTTAAGTAATCTTTGAGAAGTTTCAGACTTTCCCTACAGCTCTTCTTTTATTTCAAGTCTTTACCAGTGTCACCCTTAATGCTCCATTCATGGAAATGAAGGCTTTTTCCAGCATTCACTTCAAAATTGTTGCAGCCTCTATCCATTACCCAGTTCCAAAGCTGCTTCCACATTTTCAATTATTTGTTATAACCATACCTCACTCCTGGTATTAGTTTTCTGTCTTGTTTCATTTTGTGCGGCTATTAACAGAATACCTCAGTCTGGCTAATTTATAATAAACAGATAATTTTTTCTCACATTTCTGGAAACTGGGAAATCCCAAATCAAGGCGCTGGTATCTTGCAAGGGCCTTTTTGCTGTGTCCTCCAGTGATAGAACATGAAAGAGTGAGAGAGGCCCAGGCGCAGTGGCTCACGCCTGTAATCCCAACACTTTGGGAGAAGACCGAGGCCAGGCAGATCACCTGAGGTCAGGAGTTTGAGACCAGCCTGGCCAACATGGAGAAACCCTGTCTCTACTAAAAGCTGTAATCCCAACTATTCGGGAGGCTGAGGCAGGAGAATCGCTTGAAACCAGGAGGTGGAGATTGCAGTGAGCCAAGCTAGTGTCATTGCACTCCAGCCTGGGCGACAATAGCGAAACTGTCTCAATAAATAAATAAATAAATAAATAAATAAAAAGGCACACAAGAGAGGAAGGACAAACTTGACCTTCTATAATGGCACCAATTTCACCCATGAGGATGCAGTCCTCATGCCCTAATCACCCCT
Source organism: Homo sapiens (assembly GCF_000001405.40). NCBI lineage: Eukaryota > Metazoa > Chordata > Mammalia > Primates > Hominidae > Homo > Homo sapiens. The sequence goes on along the minus strand of NC_000008.11, from coordinate 88,966,087 downwards.
TAATGTTTTCACTTCCTAATATTGTTAAAATGGCAATTAAATTTCAACATGAGTTTTAGAGGTGATACACAGTAAAACCATAGCATATTGTATTGTTCTCAGCTTCTAAAAATCTGAGACTGAAAGGGTTCCGTTCATTATCCAACTAGACTAGTTTATTTGTATTTTTCTTATTGTTACTATACTTACCTTATTATTATATTTATCTTGCTTTATGACCATCAATGATTATGTCATTTCATCTAATGACTGTTACTTTCTTGAGATCAGGGTGCATTTTATAATTTTTATGTGCTCTGCAGAACTTAACACAGTGTCTTGCACATAGTAGACAATGGAAAACATTTATCAAATAAACTAAATCATAACACACAAATTGGTGCATACTGTCTATGGATGAAAAACTATCTTTTTGTATACTGAGGATACATGATGTTTGATGCCCCACATTATTTTTTGCTTAATTCATGGTCTATTTTAGCTGACAATACTCTCTGTTAGAATACAAAAGAGTTTAAACTTTTATTTGGAAAGAGACACTGATTTTTTTAGGTGAAAACTTGAAGAGTTTTCTGATTGTAGATACTCTTTGCCCAGTATAATTTGCCCAGTATAATTATGTCAGGTAGCTAGAAGCTACAGTAAGTCACATACACAAACTCCCTGACTCTAATACTGTCATCTTTCTTCACACGTTTCCTGTCTAACAAAGTAAGGTTATCATATTTATCAAGTTAATGTTTGAGGAATGACTACATTGTAGGGCTTTATTGGTGGTGATTTTTGCCAATCGCTTGAAATTTATCAAGGCTTCAAATAAATTCGAGCTCATTAGATTCCAGTTTAATCTAACATTGACTTCCAAAGTTGTGCCTTCCTCTTAAATTTCATGATCCTGTCCATAGCACAGCATTATAACACTATAATATTCTATCATGAGAGCAATTTCAGAAATCGTGCATACAATATGCACTCACTATAAACATTTTAAAAATATAGCTAAATGGGAAGAGAAAATCAAAATGAACATAGTATTTTGGTGTTTTCTTCTAGATGTATTTATTTGATATAATACAAATATATAATGTACATATACACTTATTCATTTAATGTGTCATGAGCATTATTTTATGCCAAATAAAATAATGTGTGTCATCAACTTTACATAATCAAATATACTTCTTAAAAATCAAACTCAGTAGCTTCATAAAACTAAATTGTAGCATATTTGTTTGCTTAATTCTTGATTTTTGACAATTTAAACTCTTTCCAGATATTTGTCATTATGCAAAATCTTGCAATTAACTCACGTGCCTAGGTCTATTCATACATACACACACTCCCCATTGTAATATTCCTGATGCACAATATTGCTATAATTCTTTTACTTAACTATGTTTGTTTATATTAAAATCTATTCCCTTTCCCTTACTCCATGATTACAATCTCTCTTCACATTACTATCAGTGTGACCTTTTTACAATGTCATTTGTGTAATGCCATTCTAAAGTTGAATAATCTCAAAGGCTCTCCATTGTAAAATTGCATGCTCGAAAGATGAAACCATCATCCTAGCCTTTATATTCTGCCTCCTCCCAATTAGGATCTCTTGATTTTTACCTGCAGGCTTATCTTTTTTCCAAAATATCCAAGAAAATCCTGAAGATTTTATATTTGGAAGCATGCATTTCCCCACAAATGCTATTAAAATTCAGTACCTTCTTACAATGACAAAAAAAAAGATGTAGGTAATTTATGATAAAGCAGAATTTGAGTCTCAGTCATAAATTCAAATTGCTTTGTTTGAAATAGACATGATTTGGATGATGTGAGCATTTCACAAAATAAGTAGTAGGAGATAGTTTTGATAAAAAAAAAAGGTAGTACCCAGAGGAAGCATTTAATTCTACCTTTTAGATGTAAAAGCAAAAACTAACATGCAGAAGAATAAACTCACTTTTTGTACTGCTTAGCTATGCAGTCTCTTTCTATGGAAAGCAGTAAATATTGATTATAGGTTAAAGGCAATTAAAATAATGGACCTGTAGCTGGCAGCCATGCCAGATAGTTCTTGGCACTGACAACATTTACCACATAAGCAATGACTGTCAAATTTAATGAGCAAACACATTTTCCAGGAAAAAGCATTTAATATTCATTTGCCAAGCACAGGCTGTATTCAATTTGTTGGTTAACACTTCACAAAATAAAGACAAGATGCAGGAAATGTTGATTTTAAAGGAAGAAAAAGAGGACCTTTTAAAATCCATTTAAAGTTAAAACTTTTTCACAGACTCTATAAAGGTATAAAATAAGCTTTTGTCTCAGTAGAAGAAACAGGCTCATTTATGCTGTCTAAGACTATTATGCAGACCCTTCTTTCAGGTCATGGCACTTTTACCAATTTGGCACAGACTTAAGAAGAAAGGAACCCTTGTTTTCATGACTTAGGATAAAAGATTGCTGTTATTTCTTTCCAAAACTTCTATTTAAAATTTTTTATTGTTGTATTTATGTACCCCACCATGCAAGGGTTTCAAAAACACCCCTTGCCCCCCATGCATCAGGTGAATAACTATTGGCATAAAACAGAGGATCCATAATTTTTTAAGAGGGACCTGGCTTCAAATTGGATTCAATTAGAAGAAAGTTCCTTTTATCACCACCTGGGAAATAAGCTAAAAGTAATTAGAGACAGAAAGGCAGGAACAAGCTAGGACTATGAGCTAGAAGGAAAAGCCATTGACAGATTAGTAAAACCTGGATAAAGACGATTAACATAGATTATTATGTGAATTTAGCTCACTATAAATTCAGCAAAAATTTGTCTTAAAAATATACTAAGAGCAATTTCAGACTAGAGGAAGACACTTTTATATAATCACAGGAAATTCTATCCCTATAATGAAGGGCAAAATATAATGGTATAAATGGAATTAAAATAATGACTACTATTTTGAACATTTGCATAAGAGAAACATTACATATATTTTATAATTCATGGAGAGTACATTTTATTTTCAATCACTCCTTACATGCTTTGAAGCACAAAATTCTATTAATTTTACTTCCATCATATCACTAGTATCTTCCCCCTTCACTCCACTTCCTCTCAATGTTTCTAGATCAGACCTCCATCATCTCTCACTCAGAATATATTAAAATGTCTTCTTAACTGAATACCATTTCCCCAGCCTTGAGCACTCCTAATTCATTCTCTACAACACAACTAGAAAAATCTTAGTAAAACTTTGTACCTTTTTAGGTAACACTCCAGTTTAACAGTTATTAGTGGTATATTTTACTTTCAGTGAGGACAAAATCAATGGTGTGACATCTGAGACCTTTCATGATGCAAACTTTGCTTACTTTTTCAGACTCATGCCCCCCAACTCTATCTCAAATTTACTACCCATATGTCACCTCTGCCAAGTCACCTGCAATTTCCTCAAAGTCCCAGTTTCTTTCTCCTCTGAACACTTGCCTGTTCCATGCCTTCTGACACCATTTGTTTACCTCTACATTTTTCCCAAATTCCTCTTGATTACCATCATACTTTGCTTTATTACACTTCACAGATATTGCATTTTCTACAAATTGAAAGTTTGTGGCAACCCTGCATTAAGCAAGACTATTGGTGCCATTTTTCCAACACCATGTGCTCACTTCATATCTCTGTGTCACATTTTGGTAACTGTTGCCATATTTCAAAGTTTTTCATTATACCCTATTATAGTGACTTATGACCAGTAATCTTTGAAGGTATTGTAATTGTTTTTGGGCACAACAAACTGTGTCCATATAAGGTGGAAAACTTAATAAATACATGTGTGTGTTCTGACTGCTCCACTAACCAGCTGTTCCCCATCTCTCTTCCTCCTCTTGGAGTTTCTGATTCCCTGACACACACACACACACACACACACACACAAAATTGAAATTAGGTCAATTAACAACACTACAATGGCCTCTAAGCTTCCAAGTAAAACAAAGAGTTGCAAGTCTCTCGCTTTAAATCAAAAGCTGGAAATAATTAAGCTTAGCGAGGAAGACATGCCAAAAGCAGAGATAGGCAAAAGCTAGGCCTCTTATGCCAAACAATTATTCTAATTGTGAATGCTAAAAAATGAGTTATTGAAGGAAATTAAAAGCGCTACTCCAGTGAACACACAAAAAACAACAAAGCAAAATAGGCTTTTGCTGATATTGAGAAAGTTTTAGTGGTCTGGATAGAAGACCAAACAAACAACAGCATTCCCTTAAGCCAAAACCTAATCCAGAGCAAGGCCCTCATCCTTTTCAGCTCTGTGTAGGTGAAAGAGGTGAGGAAGCTGCAGAAAAGTTGGAAGCTAGAAGAGGTTTGTTCATGAGGTTTAAAGAAATAAACTATCTCTCAAACATAAAAGTGCAAGGTGAAGCAGTAAGTGCTAACCTAGAAACTGTAGCAAGTTATTTGAAAGATCTAGTAAGATCATTGATAAAGGTGGCTATGTTAAACAATAAATTTTAAATATAGCTGAAACAGTAAAAGAAAGAAGATGCCATCTAAGGCTTTCATAGCTAGGAGGACAAATGAATGCCTGGCTTCGAAATTTCAATGCACAGGATGGCTTTCAGTAAAGGACAATTGATGACTTTAAGTTGAAGCCAATGCTCATTTACTATTTTAAAAATCTCAGGGCCCTTAGGAATTATGCTAAATCTACTCTGCCTGTGCTCTGTAAATAGAACACAGCCTGAAGGAAAGCACATCTGTTTACAGCATGGTTTATGAATATTTTAAGCCCACTGTTGAGACCTACTGCTCAGAATAAAAAATAAGATTACTTTCAAACTATTATTGCTAATTGACAATGCATCTGGTAAACCAAGAGCTCTGATGGAAATGTACCATAGATTAATGTTCCTTCCATGCATGCTAACACAACATCCATTCTGTAGTCCAAGAGCCATGGAGTAATTTTGAATTTCAAGTCTTACTATTTAAGAAATACACATTATAAGACTATGGATAATAATTCCTCTAATGACTCTGGGCAAAACAAATTGAAAACCTTTTTTAAATGAATCACCATTTTAGAAGCCATTCAGATAATTTGTGATTTATATGAGGAGACCAAAATATCTACACTGACAGTAATTTGGAAGAAGCTGATTTCAACTTTCATGAATGATTTGAGGCTTCAGTAAAGAAAGTAGTGAACTTTTTAGCAAGAGAACTAGAATTAGAAGTGGAGCCTGAAAATGTGACTGGATTGTTGCAATCTCATGATAAAACTTTAACACATGAGGACTTGATTCTCACAAATGAGCAAAAAAGTGGATTTATGAGATGGAATTTGCTCCACATGAAGATGCTGTGAACTTTGTTGAATAACCAAAAATTATTCTGAATATTCCAAAATATTAGTTGATAAAGCAGTGGCAGGTTTTGACAAAACTGAATCAAATTTTGAAAGAAATTTTACTGTGGGTGAAATGCTAAAAAGCAGCATTGCATGGTACAGAGAAATTTTTTGTGAAAGAGTCATTGATTCAGCAAATTTTATTGTTATTTTATTTTAAGAAATTTCCAAAGCCACTTCAACCTCTAGCAATCACCATCAACAATGAGGTAAGACCCTCCACCAGCAACAAGTTTAGGACTCCTGAAGGTTCAAATGGTTGTTAGCATGTTTTAGCGACAGAGTATTTTTTAATGAAAAAATGTGCATTTTTTAAGATATAATGCAATTGCCCACTTAATAGACTACAATATAGTGCAAACATAACTTTATGTGCACTAGGAAACAAAAATATGTGTTTGACTGACATTATTGCAATTATTATAGTGACCTGGGACTAAACCCACAATATCTCTGACGTATATCTGTGTAATTTTGGATTAGTCTCAGGTTTCTTCTACTATATCATAGCTTTTCATAATTACTTGTAGTTTGGGCTTGTTGTTTCCTTTAGAGATTCCCATAATACTATCCTGACCAAATTCTCATAATACTTATTCCAACTATTTAATGGTCTCATTTGAGGTCATGGACATAACTGAATAATCAGAAATGAGGAAGGCACTGAATGTCCAAAGGCATTTGAAGAAAATTACACACAAAAGGAATTTGAAATATAAAAGCAATCTCTGTCAACATTATAACTTGTCTTAAGCATTGCCTTGGTGACTAACATAACAGTGCATGTGGGAGATATTGAGGCTTTAGGCTATGAGTCAAAAGAGCAACAAATATTGATTGATGTAAAACAAAGAGAGTAATAAAAATGATTCATTAATTTGTGAACTAAAGAGTAAAATACTGAAGAGAAGAAAGCTCTAAAGTATCCAGGTTTGGTTAAAAAAAAAGTTTTTTTTTTTGTTTCTATTTTACAAGCTTACATAACTTAACACAATTTCCTTTCATGAACCACTCATGGGAAAACAGGCTGTATTAATCCATTCTCATGCTGCTATAAAGAACTGCCCAAGACTGGGTAATTTACAAAGGAAAGAGCTTTAATTGACCCACAGTTCTGCATGGCTTAGGAGGCCTCAGGAAACTTACAATCACGGTGGAAGGCACCTCTTCACAGGGCAGCAGGAGAGAGAATGAGTGCAAGCAGGGGAAATGCCAGATGCTTATAAAACCATCAGATCTCTTCAGACTCACCCATTATCACGAGAACACCATGGGGGAAGCCACTCCCATGATTCAATTACCTCCACCTGGTCTCACCCTTAACACGTGGGGATTATGGGATTACAATTCATGGTGAGAGTTGGGTGAGGACACAGAGCCAAACCATATCACAGGCTACATTTTTCACTAAACGTCTTAATAAAGTGGGTTACCTGTTATTCATACCACTACTATGCTGCTTTTACAAATGTGACAGTCTTCATTAAATACATTTATCTTTAAATATCTAATAAATTAAGATGTGGGAAATGAGAAATCTTTAAGAAGTACTGCTAAACAATAAACGCCACCAAACTGTTAATGGATAGGTTTAGAGTAAAATTTTTAAAAATGATTTTAGTATGTGGTTTAGAATGATCAGTGGCATTTTGTTAGTCAAACCTCATGCATGCCTAGAGCTCTCCATAATTTGGTACAAACTATCACCCTAATTGTGTTTATAACACTTCCCCTACATATTTTTTTTCAGCTTACATTTATTCACTCTCTCATGAGCAGAGCTTGTGCTGACTTCCATTGATACCTTTGTTGACACATTTGTCCCTGCATAGAGTGATACCTACCTCTCTCTACATAGTTCCAAACACTACTGGTATTCATGTCCCAGTTTAAATTTTACCTCTTTCATAGGTCAAATTTTGGCCAATGCCTATTGAAATGCTTTCTTTTTGCTCTGAACTACATACAGTTTGAGTTATCTTTTCCTTTAGTGTGCTACGTTAACTATAACCAGACAAAAATGAGAAGTCTTTTGTATTATTGGCAAATTGGGTCTAAAGAAAACTCGAAACAGAGATTTCAAGAATATTTTAGCTAATCATAGTATTTTATTGCTTCCTGGGGTGATTTTGTGAAGGAAATTACTTATGAATGCACACATTCTGCTAACAATTTTATAATGAGAAAAATACTTTTAAGATATTACCTTATCATTTTAAGATATTTCTTAAAGCACTGAGTAGGCTGCTGTGCATAGATGAGGTACTCCTGTCATTCTTTGCCCAATCCCTAACTAAATGATTTTGTCCTACTCTAAATTGCTGTAGGATGATAGATCTTTGTATGTAATGACCTCTATTAGCTACAACTATGCAAACATGAGATTGAGTATTGCATGTCTTGTATATTGGGTTATAATTTCAAGTGAATAGTTTGACTATATTTTTAGCTATTCTAGTATCATCAGAATAAGTTTCACTTCTTTAATGATTCTATGAAGGAAATCACTTACAGATGTACTCATTCTGTGAACATTCATGTAACTGGCTGATAATTTTAAAGGGATTCCCCTAAAGCACTGAGCAGATTGTTATGCATTGAACAGATGACTATCCCCTAAATATTAGTCAACTGGTATACTGAATTAGGTAAGTGCTGAATTGAAATATAAAAAGGCCTTTTCTGACTCACCATGATGAAAGAGATCTGGGTATGAATAGTACTGTAACAATAATGTCCATAGGACCTTTAACTCTTCAGTGAATCTCATAGCAAAGCTCCGTAGTTATTTTCCATTAAGTGTCAAATATCTCAGCTGGCTATGTCCCTAAAGAAAAAGCTGAGAAATTAGAGTCCTGTGTCTTATCTTAGTAATTTCAGGAAGTGGTGGAGGTTGACATCTGGAGACCTTCCAATTTTTTTTTCTCACAGTCAGAAATCAAAGATGTCTGAACTAAGCAAAGGTGCAATGAAAGCGTAGGAAGAAGCAGAATGCCAGATGACTCCATCATGACACTCAGATAGTTTGATGTGTGTTTAACATTTAGGCTAGATAAGGGATATTTCTTATGTCTGAGGCAAATGGCATAATACTTTCACTCAGGAAAAGTGACAGAGAATGAAAAGAATGGGCTCTGTTGGGAGAAAAATGAATCGTTCATTATCTGCCAAGAAATAGAGAGGAGAGATCACTCTTGTTAGTTGAACATGCTTTCTCTTTGTTTGCTTTGTCTTGTCTTCTTGTCTTATTTTTAACTGCTCTCTCTCTCTCTCTCTCTCTCTCTCTCTCTCTCTCTCTCTCTTTCTCTCCCTCCCTCCCTCCCTCTCCCCCTTTGTGGTTAATGCTAAAAGGGTAACACTGGGGGGTTGGTACTCTCTTAGGTGTCTCACATCTGAGGTCTTTAATTATGAAATCTATCGTTAAGTGTAGCCAAGTCTACTAATAGCTTTTATGATGACAAACAGGTTTCCTGACACAGACACAAATATGCATATCTATGGTAATTCCTTAATAACTCAATGCATGGTCATATCTTCATTTTGATTTATCTCAGATGACATTACAGTGTTCAATAATACTCAGCTGAAAATAATGAGAAATTGAAAGTTGACTGTAACTCCATGATTCTACCTACCCCGCTGCCACGTTTCTCTATACCCATGTGTTTTCAGTGTCGTTTTTCACAATGGTAAAGTTTATACAGAAAGAAACAATACCATCTAAACACTATTAAATTGGAGCATTTCAATCAAGAGTTTCTCAAAATGTGTCTTGCAGAACAACAGTCTTGGGCTGCTATTTGAGGAAATGGTTCCATGGTCTACTAACTTTGAAAAATTATAAATTTTACATCTCCATTCTGAGAATTCATAATGTACATTAGCATATTACAGTATCTGAGAAGTCTTTCAGTAAAGACACCTTTATTTAATTCAGTATTTTCCAAATTTACTTGATGATACAACTATTTTATTGCACATAAAAATTATTATTGTCTTACTGAGCTAGTGTTACTTGGGACATAGTTAGAGAAAAACAGCTTGAATTTTTCCTTCATTGTGCAGCTAGCTGTTTTCCTAAAATGCAGATTAGTTACATTGTTCCTCTGCTTGAAATATGTCACTAACTCCCCATTATCTGCAGGGAGATAAAAATCTAATTTGCTTAACAGACAAAGACTTTACATATGGTTGCTACCTATATATCATCTCCACATCTAATATTCAGCCATCACACATGTGAAATTATAGATATGCTGAAATGACTGTGTGTTTTCTGATCATTCTGTTTACTTCTTCCATCTTTGTGCCAATACACATTTTGCTTCCTCGAATTTTATTTTCCTCCTTGTAGATAAGAAAAACTTGTTTATCCTTCAAAATCTAGCTGAATCACTATATTCCAGAAATCCTTCCTGATTATTCTAGGCAGATTTACACCAAATCTGTGATTTTTATCGTGTAGCTGACTGAGCTAGAAATAACACAATTCCTCAGAACTTTTTTTATCTTAAGACTTTTTAATATTTCTACCCTACATTCCTCCACTTGATATGATTTACCTTATCTGCTGTCTATTAGACTAGGACACCTGCATTATGATTGATTTCTACTTCGTTTTTCAACAGATACCTTAAGCTTAACATTTTTAATGAAGATCTTTTTTTATTCCTGTTATCCCTCTGATCATCTAGTGTTTTCTATCTCAGTTAATATGGTACCACATTTCAATTATTGCTATAACAGAATACCTGATACTGGGTAATTTATAAAGGAAAGAAATTTATTTCTTATAGTTATGGATGCCTAGAAGTCCAAGGTTGAGGGGCCACATCTGGTGAGAGCCTTCTTGCTGGGGTAGGGAGGACTCTGCAGAGTCCCAAGGTGGCTCAGGGCATCAGGTGACAAGGGGGCTGAGTGTGCCAGCTCAGCTCTCTTTTCCTCTTCTACTAAAGCCACCAGTCCTACTACCATAATAATACATTAATCTATTAACCTATTAATCCATGAATAAATTAATTCATTCATAAGGACAGAGGCCTCATGTCCCACTCACCTCTTAAAGACCCCACTTCTTAACACTGCCACGTTGAAAATTGAATTTCAACATGAGTTTTGGAGGAGACAAATGCTAAAACTATAACACAAGACACACAAGCCAAATACCTGGAAATTCTGCCCCACTCTTTCCTTTCCCTTGCCCCCTCCATGAGTCAGATATTACCTTTCTCTAATCCACTTTTCAAATAGCAACCAGATTAATCATTTTTAAACACTCCCAATTTACAACTGCTGCTATGGTTTCTACTTACTCAAAGCATAAAATTCAGATTCTTAACATAGCCTAAAAGCTGCACATTTTTGCTCCTGTCCACCTCTCCGGCATCATCTCATACCACTATTCAAATTTCCTCTTTTCTCCATATGGTATAATTCATTTATGTGCTTAGAAGAGCTATTTGTTGTACATATACAAATTGCTAAAAAACTTTAAACCACTGCTAGTTTCCATTTGCTTTCTTTCCAAGTCGCCACAGCTATCTCATTTGTGGACTATTCTAAACAGCAGAAATATTAAAATGACTTTCAAAACAAGCTGCAAAGAGCTTTTTAATAATTTTGCTTAATAGTTGTAACAATACAATAGGAAATAAGGGTTACAGTATATCGACTGAGATGAATATAGAATTTTGTTGCTTACAAATTCAGATATCTTAGTATTTTTTAGCCACTGGTAATCATTTTATATGTCATAAATAAAAAGGTTGTCAAAAGGAGGATTTTGAAGGTAAAAATACAATAATACAAAATTTTAAAAATTACCAATGACAAAAAGAAATACAAATTTTCCTCTGGGCAAAACTATAGAATTTATAGAGACTAAAATGTATTCCTAATAAAAGTCTCATTATTATAAATACTTATTTTAAGTCTTACATAACTGTACATCTTCCTGAGTTTGAGATTTTTTTTAAATTTCTATGCTTATTTTAGATACAAGGGGTACATGTGCAGATTTGTTACATGGGTATATCGCACCAAGATGGTGAGCATAGTACCCAGCAGGTAGTTTTTCAACCCACGCCCCCGTTACTCTCTCCCCTACTGGTAGTCTGCAGCGTGTATTGGTTCCACTTTTTGTGTCCATGTATGTTCAATATTTAAGTGAGAACATAAAGTATTCAGTTTCCTGTTCCTGCATTAATTTACTTAAGATTATGGCCTCCACCTCCATCCATGTTGCTGCAAAGGATATGATTTTATTCTTTTTTATGGCTATATAGTATTTCATGGAGTATATGTGCCACATTTTCTTTATTCAGTCCACTACTGATGGACACATAGGTTGATTCCATGTCTTTGCCATTGTGAATCACGCAGTGTTGGACATATGAGTGTATGTGTCCTTTTGGTATAATGATCTATTTTCCTTTGGATATATACCCAGTAATGGGATTGCTGGGTCAAATGGCAGCTCTGTTTTAAGTTCTTTGAGAAATATCCAAACTGCTTTCCACAGTGGCTGAATTAATTTACATTCCTACCAACAATGTACAAGTGTCCCCTTTTCTCTGCAACCTCATCAGCATCTGTTGTTTTTGACAATTTCTATCTTGACTACATTTCTACTGGAATTTTTCTAATACTTTGAGCCATGGTCTCTTCTAGCATGGGAGCACTGAAAATTCTATTACTTCTGCTTGGAATACTCTTTTAATTGATCACACAAATAATCCAATTAACTTCTATACTCCTTCATTAGCTTAGATGTGTCTATATTATGCTTCCTTACATAACATTCTCCAACATCTCTCTGTCCTGGCTGTAGAATACTAAAAAGTGGGAATTATGTCTAATGCTTTTCTTTAGCTTAGTTTAGTTACCAACCAAAAAAACCATGAAGTGCTCAATAATTATTTGTTAATTAATATATTGTTCTAATTTTCAGTCACTATGCTGAAAGTTCTGTTCATTTTTTAAAAACCACTTGTTTTTGCAAAAGGGCATATATTCTTTTCGCTTACTAGTTTTTCTACTGGTATTATCAACCCCAGGCTACTTTCTATCTTAATTTCTTCATGTAGCCATTTCCAAGACTCAGGTATTATAAACAGAAATTTAAATGTAAGTAGCAAGAGAATGGTTTGGGGAGTATAAACGTTCATGAGAGACATTTTTTAATGGAGTGCAGGCCAAGATAGTGGATCATCTCTGTTGTGAAAGCATGAGTAGCTAGTTTCTGAAGGGAATTTAGTTATTGTTTCCCTTATTGGGGCAGATGCCTCATTTTCCATTCTGTAATGTTCGTTAAAATTCAAGGTTATTGTTATTCATTTGATCTAGCTAAACTTCTCAGGACAGTTCCAATGTCAGATTGTGCCCATTATTGCGGTCTTATGGTAATGCATTTGAAAATTTAGATAAAATGAAATTTCCAGAAAATAGAATATGTCAAATTTATAGAGAAAGAAAAATGTTTTAATGTCCATTAAATGAATTTAAGATATTACTAATAATATGATCAGAATGTTATTATTACCAACTCTAGAAAGAAAACCTCAGGTAAAAAGGCAAATCACTTCTCTCTGTCACAAATTCTCATCCAAGAAGATTTACTTATTGTATTAGTCTGTTTCCACACTGCTGATAAAGACATACCAGAGAGCAAGCAATTTACAAAAGAAAGAGCTTTAATGGACTTAAAGTTCCACGTAGCTGGGGAGGCCTCACAATCATGGCAGAAGGCAAGAAACAGCAAGTCACATCTTACATGGATGGCTGCAGACAAAGAGAGAGAGCCTGTGCATGGAAACTCCCCTTTATAGAACCATCAGTTCTCATGAGACTTATTCACTATCACAAGAACAGCACAGGAAAGACCCGCCCCCATGATTTAGTTATCTCCCACCAGGTCCCTCCCACAACATGTGGAAATTATGAGAGTTACAAGATAAGATTTGTGTAGGGACACAGAGCCAAACCATATCACTAATGTAACAAAATATGGCTTTTTCTTACTCAAATGTTATTTGTGAAATATCAGAATTCTATCTGACTTATTTCAGAAATTTTTATTATAACCTAAATGCTACTAGCTTTACTCCTTTAGAAAAAATTATTTTTGTATTTATATGAATTAAAGTGGAGTGGGGGAAATAAATAAGAAGTAATGTTATCAATCTTAAATCCCATATCCCAGTTAATTCTAAACCTATTGCTTTTGAAGGCCAGTAAATTGTTTTACTATCCTGAAAGCTAAAAATAAACATTCCTTCCTGGATTCAAATTTTAAAATCAGTTTTTTGTTTTTATGAACTGTTAATTCTCATTTTAAAGAAGCTGAGTTTTGCATATTTTCTTCAATTTTTATTTATAAAAATTAAAAGTAAATTCTGGAAATATACCATAATGAATTGACGATTAAAATATTTTCTAAAATAGACACAATCTATTTTTTCAGGTAACAAAGACATCTGTTATAGAGGTAATTGGAAAGAAATATGCACAGTGGTCCTGAGAATATCTAAATCTTATATGTTCTTTCTCTTTGTACTGTGTTATTACTAATGTGGCAATCAACATGGGTCTCTGCTTTAATCACTCACCTGACATCAGCCTGTTGGGTATTTGCCCCATCTATATATCAGCATTTTCCAGGCACCTGAAGAATGGGATTTAACATTCAGCAGAATAACATTGAGTATTTTGCTCAATTTAAAAATTCTAACAATTGGATTTCCACCTCTACTTAAATTAGATGAAATAAAGCACCAGAAACTATACTGTAGAGAATAATTCTCCAGTGGCACAAGGAATTTCTTAATGATTGAACATTTTGGAGTAGAAATATGTAAATTTATTATTTCTGTGTATCAACTTTTTTTTCTCATCTTGAGATGTATTTTCTTTAGGAGCACAAATCATCTAAATAATATCATAGAATAATTAGCATAGAACTGTTAATTTTAATAAGATACTACTCAGAAATTCTAAGTAATATGTTCCCAATAGTCATATTGAAACTTCTTGTCTAGGCCTCTGTATTTCATAACACAGTCTGATTTTTGGCTTATTCTAACTACCAAGTACTGATTTTTAAACTACTTTTATTCTGTCACCAAAACCTTTTATTTCACTCAGATTAAATTACTGCTTCATCAAACCCAATTTGCATGTGATAGTCACGCTACTGATAATAACAACTAACATTTGAGTAGCTTTTATGGAAGTTTAGCATTTTTAAATATGCCACCTCCTTTGAGCCCACCATCAATGGCATGAGACATAAAAGGCAGATGTGTTAAATATTCTCAACTGAAGGATAAAGACATTAAAGTTCAGAATGTGAAAATGACTTGTTTAAGGCATAAAACTAATAGGTAGTGGAACCTAGTCCCATGTACTTTTCACTTACACAACATTGCCTGTATTCTCTTTGGCTCACATTTTCTTCTGTACTGTTATTATTAATGATTGTATAAAATAACTTTTGAAGCACAATAGTTTCAGAGACATCAATTAATGACCCTTATAGTCCTATTCTTTTTCACATTTTAGACTAGGGTTTTTAAACTTTAAGAAGTAATACTTAAGTTTTCTTGAATATAAAATGTCACTTATTGAAGGTGGGAAGATAGTAAAAGTGAATTTATTGACTGCTATTTCTTTATTCCATCTTTCGTGTTTTCTCCATCCCCATCTCCACCCCATACATGGTGTTTGGGAAATTAAAGAGAAAATCAGACCACTTGCAATAAGCAGTGCTTATTTAGAATATTCTAAATATTTACCTAAAATTGTTGATTTATATGAAATCTATTCTAATTGCATTATTGTTTTAGGTAAGCTTAATCATTTAACACATTATAATACTCAAAAAATGTACAGAAATGTTGTGTTAATAAGTAGTGTGTGATGTTTTTTATTTTTAATCTGCATTTCAACAGAATTCACCCTTTGTCAGTAACTTCTCTAAAATTTACGATCATTAACCCACAAAAGGCTGACTCTGTGAAATATGTGACCTAGCTTTTAGCCCACAGAAATTCAATTGAAGGACAGCTGTCAGATAACAAATTTTAAACAGAGGTACAGGTCTCCATGGTATAGACTGTCACTTAGACCTGAAATCCTGAATCTGTATCCCCAGGTAAGTGTGAGCTTCTTGTCGTGGACTGATCCAGAACCCAGATTAAATGTTGACTGTGGGTGGAACAATGTCACACAATCGTGGCCTCTAAAGTGTTTACTATCTAGGTAGAAATAAGGAAAGACAATATAAATGTTCTATTTTACTGAAGTTATTAAAATGAAAAGCTTAGGAAAAATTTATCATGGAAGGATTTTCAGGGGATAATTGATTTTGAAGAACAGGCTAGACTACATAGAAACATAATAAAAGAGTTCATTTTTCTCCTTTCTTCAGAAACTCTTACTAGCCTCCATCCTGCTTTTATTTTGGGGGCATATTTTACATTTCTAACTTGGTCAATAAGTTTAAAGTAGGAATTTATCACTGTCGGTGCACTAGTGCCATCCTAACATTCTGAGTCAATACACATTTGAAAATTTTTGTCATTTGAATACCTAAAATAATCACAACGTACAAAATCCAAAATGTGAAATATAAAAATTTAGTTTTTCTCACTTTCTTAACCCAAAGCTATCAAGGTCCCTGTTATGGAAATAATTATAATAAACTGTGTTTTGAAGATTTTTCTTAAGTATTATTTGCATTCTCTAGCATGTGCATTCAAAATGCAATATAAAGTTTTGAAAATTCTTCACTAGTTAAAACTTCCTTTATAGAAAATTTTAATATACTCATATTTACTATCACACATTTTTGAAGTGCAATACCTTTCAACTTTAAGTAACTCTTATTAGCAATTATTAGAAACAGAAGGCCTGGAAATAGCATTAGAAAAAAATCAGAAAATAAATAATGGAGAAGTAGAGTTTTTTTTGAAATGAAGATTTAGAAAAAATAAAATAAAATGAGGAAAAAATAAACCCAGGCCCTAAAACTGCACTACTGCATTTGGCAAACAAAAGGGAAGGAACTGAGATACAAAGGCTTTGATAATGGATTTCTTGCCAAAAACAAAGGAACCACTGACAGTGCGCAGAGGATTAGAAACATATATTGAGACTGGGTATGGTGGCTCAAGCCTGTAATCCCAGCACTTTGGGAGACCGAGGCGGGTGGATCACTTGAGGTCAGGAGATCGAGACCAACTTGGCCAACATGGTGAAACCCAGTCTCTATTTAAAAAATACAAAAATTAGCCAGGTGTGGTGGCAGGCACCTGTAATCCCAGCTACTTGGGAGGCTGAAGCGGGAGAATTGCTTGAACCTGGGAGGTGGAGGTTGCAGTGAGCCAAGATCACACGACTGCACTCCAGCCTGGGCAACAGAGTGAGACTCCATCTAAATATACATATATATATATATATATATATATATACACATACACACACACACACACACACACACAGAGAGAGAGAGATGTTAATCTATGACTTTTTCTATCACAGGACTCCATTGTATTCTGGAATTGGCCATCTAAAACTCTGTATATATACTCAGATAGGTATTTAACATAAACATGTTGTAGTGAATGTTTGTGTATTCTTCCTCCCTCAAATTCATATATTGAAATACTCACCCCCATGGTTTTTGTATTTAGAGTTGGGGCTTTGGGAAGATGACTAGGCCATGAGGCTGGAACCCTTATAAATTGGATGAGTGCCATTAGAAAAGGGACCCCAGATAACTCTTTTTCCCCTTCTACCATGTGGGAACATAGCATAAGGGCTACCTTCTACCTGTGAGCCAAGAAGTGAGCCCTCACCCAACATCAAAGTGCCAGTGCATTGGTTTTGGACTTCCCAACCTCCAGAACTGTGAGAAATGAATTTCTGTTGTTTACAAGCCACCCAGAATATGGTATTTTTTTTTAATAGCATCCTGAATGGATTAAGACATGGGCCCATAAGCAAACACTGACTAACTTAAATAATGCAACACAAAGACGTGCTCTTTGTTGAACCCATGAGAGGTAAGAGCTTGTAAAGTTTCTAACAAGGAAAAGGAGGCTTTTCCTGAAAGATTCCCTTTTATTGGTTTCAGGACCCCCCCAAATATACTGAGAAGACACTCTTTCTTTGTCAACCATTCCATGAATTTGTTGAAGCCTGTAGGCAATATAACGAAAGTGGCTGATGTAGCTTCTTGGATGACAACTTTTTAGAATTGGGCACCACAGTTATGTTTGATAGGGAAGGGTGAGGTTAGCTCTTGATTGACTGCATGATTATTCTGCCTGCGAAGGTTTGTATGTGAGCAATCTCTGATGTGATTAAGTCTTCCCCAAATCATACTCTCTTCTTCCACAATTCATTTGAGTTGGTTTTGACTTCTGCTTCCCTGGCCACTCCCATGAGGAATCATACCCAGCTTGTTCTAGGGAGAAGTGCCAGGTACTGTAGGGTGCTGCTTCTCCCAGTGACAACCAGAGTTATCAGGAAGTGCTCTCTTTCCCCACATTGCTGCAATGAACCTGAAGGAAATTCTGGCCATCTCCTGGCCCTCTATGACCTAGTCAGTGTTCGGATGACTTATTGTCCTCAGAACAACTATATCTTTTCCCTTCTTCACCTGCATTCATTTATCTACAATGAGGGGCTAGAGCCTGTTGGTCTTTTGGCTTGAACTCCCCTTCATTTATTCTCCTCCATGATTTGGTAGAAAAGGAGAAAGTATAAAGCCTGCCTTTGTTTTTGTCATACTTGGTGAGTCCAAGGGTTTCTAGAAAGGTGCATGGAACTAAAGAAAATAAAATCTTTTTAAACTCTAACTTTCGAACCAGAAAATTGGCATTTAATAAAATCAACACAAATGCCAAACACAGATTACTATTATTACACATTTAAAAAATTGTAATTGTACAATGCTTAAGAACATATTAAATACTTTTCCTATGGTATCCTATGTTTACTGAGGACATATTTCTCTAATCCTAGTTTCGAATAAGGATTCCTTATTGCTTTTTCTTACAGTAGAAGAAGTAGAAGCGTTTTCAGGAACCTAACTCTTCTGGTTGTGGTGGGACTTTTAATCTCATCTCCTACTGGTAGTGTCAGGCCTAATGTACACACATTATAGATAGTGCTTACTCTGGCAGTCAATACTATTTTGTGTTAAAAGAAATTCAGTAAAAGTTTAATGCACTTACATTAGATCTTTAAGCCTTGTAGTATTACTTGGGAGTAAAATAATGACTATGACATAAAACTACATTAAAAAGATTTAGAGTCATGGGGGATGTAAATGTTAAAAAATATAAATACTGCTCACATTATGGACACAGAGCAGGGATATTTGATAGGGGTTGGAGGAGACAGAATATCAGAGATCCCCTCAGAAAAGGAATTATTTGTGGTCATTCTTCACATGCAAGCAACAATAGTTACCTAAAAGAAGGAGACACACATGAAGGGTATCATTTACTTAGGCAATAGTAGGAGTGAAGAGTTTGTATATATTCGGCATTTCTCAAGAAGTTTGATGCTGCTTGATCAAAACTAATGAGGTGGAATTTGTTGTCAGACAGACATGAGAGATAAACAAGGGTCAGTTCAGGGTGGATTTTTCATGTCATAGAGAGATACTTAGTTTATTACTTATGTAGCCTACAAAAAGAAATGAAAGAGTTGTATTCAGGCTGAATTCAGACACAGATTTTTTTTGTGGGCTGGTTGGAGGATGGGGTAAGGCTGAGTAAGAAAGTTTCAAGTGCTGATACAAACCTGTGAGTTTAATTTTGCCAATGTCCATTTAGAGGTACAGAGAGATCTTTAGCTAGATGTGAACATTACTAAAGTAATATTTCCAGGTTTAAAATATTTAATTTTCTAGCAAATATGGCAAGAGTGCATTACTAAAACGTCGACAAGAAGATTAATCAAAGTAATGTCTTTGAAAACTCTAAACAGTCCTCAAGGTACCATTTTAAAATGTAAAATATTAGCTTGAATGCTCAAAATGTAATTTCTATAAAATACTTTTTAAATGAAAGAAAAATAAGCCATTGTTGGTTAAATGAAATACCAATCACTGCTCTAAGCTCAACTTATAGGAAAGTTTACTAAATAAAACTATGAAATAGATTACGTAGGGAGGGCATATTCTTTCTAACACTAGATACATCTGAATATAAGACAGCCAGTCATTTCTTTAAACTGATTTATGTATATCTCTGACTAATATGGTAAAATGGAGAAAAAAATAGCCATTTCTGCTCTTTCTTTTCTATTATTCTATTTCTGTGACAGCAAGCTCATTTTCTATACTGATAATCTTTGAATATAAATTTCAAAGAAAATACCTCATGTGTTTGGGAGGCAGCCTTATAACCGACACTGAGACTTTT
The DNA here is from genome assembly GCF_000001405.40 of Homo sapiens. Lineage (NCBI taxonomy): Eukaryota > Metazoa > Chordata > Mammalia > Primates > Hominidae > Homo > Homo sapiens. Next base: position 88,946,247 of record NC_000008.11, on the reverse strand, counting down.
CTATCTTTTAGTGCTACTGTATGTAGAATAAATATTTTAATAATGTGTTTCTGTGGGATGAAAATATTTATATCAAAATGCAAACACAAGAGTACAGTTTTTCTGCACTGTTTTATTCAACCGTTCAGTAAGCAGTAATTTAATATGAAAATAAAGTACATATTATTTAATTCTAAAATGCTTCTTGGCTGTTCTGATGATAAGTTGCTGGCTTTGAATAGAAGCTGAGTTTAAAAAACAGAATTACTAATTCCAATTTAAATACTACCAGGCATTTTGAAATTACCAACAATAGCAGGGTAAGATTAGCATTGTTGATCCCAGTGCAGTGGAAGAAGAGCTGTATAGAGCCAGAAGCCTGGGAGAGGACTGTGTCAGTTCTATACAATATGCCTTTGGCAGAAAAGGGGCAGGCAGGAAAGGGCTGGGTTGTAAGAATAGGTGTATACATGGGCCCAGAATCCATCAAAGGCACTCCAAAACTACAGTCAGTCAGAAAATCAAAATCCCATCATGGAGAAGAAAAGCAGATACTGTTGACATGAGGATGTACCTATTTATAATTAGAACAATTCTGCCCAAGCCATATTTATCTCATTGTTACATATATTGGGCTGTTGCCATTCCATGGGCACATATTTGGTCTCTGAAAATTATTTATTAAAGTGTAAATATTCCACTTCCACATTTAAAAGTCCAGGTTTTGGCATGATTCAAATGCCTTTTTTTTTTTTTTTTTGCAATAAAAAGTTACTGTTATAGTATCTAGAACCATCTAGAACCTTACTATCTGCCAGGAACTAAACCAAGAGGTTTCTGGGCAGTATCTAATTTATTCTTCACAATAACCATTGAAGGAAGATATTGTTGGAGAAAAAGAAGTTATTTCCCCAAAGTCACAAACCTCACGGTTGATAGAATCAAGATTCAAACTAGGTCTATCAGAACTTTGAACATAAGAATTTAACTACCAAGATTTAACTACACTGCTAAATCTCATTCCTTAGGAATTAATATCCTGAAGCAATTTCAAGTGGTTCCTTTATTTGTGATGATTGAGAATACTATATGGGGGATAGAAAAAACAGAAGCGTCAAGGAAACGAGCAATCCAATTTCAAGAAAATATACCTCATTTTCATTACTAATAGCATTGCCTACAATAAGGTAAACATAAATGAATATTCCATATATGATAGTTTACCTGTAAGACAATGGTTAGGACTTCTGGATCAAGCTGGTAATCCCACGATTCAAATTCGCTGCCCTTCATACTTCAAATCACATTGAGGTACAATAAAAATAGTAACAAAATTATAGCTGTGCTAGAAAACAGAGAAGACGGATATCCATCAAAAATAACATTTTAAGATTTGTGTGGTTTATGGCAGACATTATACAAGTGACACTGAAAACAGGCAGCAAACCAGCATTGTAACTCTTGTGGAGGAAGAGAAGTATCAGAGTTAACCCAAATGAAAACTGGAAAATAAAAAATCCAACCTCAGAGTCAGCAAGAGCTGGGAGTAGGAGTAGGCCTCAGGGCAAGTAACTGGATAATTAATTGTAAAACAGCTAGATCTGAGCCAGCACAGGCTCAGGGTACAACGGCAAAACTGCTGAGGTATTTGCAGCAGGAAAAGCTTAGTAAACACTGCTCTGTAATTAATTGTTCAATGTAGTCTACTTTCAGGGGATCTTAGGATGTGCATTAGACGGGAAAGGGAAGAGGAATAGAGTGCTAGACACTTAAGACACACACCAGGACAAAGAAGGAGAGAAGCAGTGAGGAAAAGAGAGTTCCACCCCACAGCAAACAACACCAAAATTCTGTCTCAAGCTAAGAATCTTGCATAATATGGCAGTTGTGAAAATATTCAATTTTACCTGGATTATCCCAATCCATTTTTCCTGAGAGAAAACCAACTCTTGGTACAGCCTGTCCTACATCTGCAGAGGCATATAGTGGGAGCCTGTATCAGAAGAGGCCTGAAGGAAGAATAGATCCCCATATGTAGTGAGTCATTTCATCTTAGTTACCCATGCCAGTAAGGTTTACCAATCTATCGGTATCTGTTTGTCTCAATCTATCCACCAAATCTCCCTAGATACTGACAGTAATTGATGAAGCATCATCTATATTGTGTTCATGTAAATATGAACATATATTAAAAAGCACATACAAGAAAACAGAATCACCAGACACTTATGAGAATACAATATAATAAAAAGAAGGCACTTCAGAAAAAAAAAAAAAACAACTAAATAACTGAGTGGGAAAATTTAGCTAATGTTAAAAAAAAGTTTTAAAAAATCCAAGCTAGTATAGTCAAGAGATTCAAAAAAATACTATTTTCATAAATGTATAAAAACCCACTTCTCTAGAATAGAAGCAATCACAAAAATTAAAGAAAATTCTCAGTATTAAATATGTTTACTGAAATAAAATAATAATAATTCAATGATGAAATAGTAAGAGACAATATAACTGAAAACACAGTAATCTGTAACATAAACTCTTCTTAGACCTCTACCAAAGAATTCAAGTAATGGAACTTATAATAGAAAATAAAAAGAAAAATATTATTTATAATATCTAGTATTTGTTCAAATATATATAATTATATATCTAGTATTTGTTAGAATATATATATATTTGAGACAGAGTCTTGCTCTGTCTCCCAGGCTGGAATGCAATTGCCCAATCTCAGCTCACTGCAACCTCTGCTTTCCAGGTTCAAATGATTCTCCAGGCTCACCCACTCGGGTAGCTGGAATAACAGGTGCACATCACCATGCCCGGCTAATTTTTGTATTTTTACTAAAAAGGAGGTTTCACCATGTTAGCAAGGCTTGTCTCAAACTCCTGACCTCATTATCCACCCACCTCGGCCTCCCAAAGTGCTGGGATTACAGGTGTGGGCCACCATACCCCACCAAAAACTATTTTTTCATTCAAAGAGCTCAGAAAATCAAGAAAGAGTACATTTTGGAAATAAATGAATGTATAAATAGACACACTTTTGTGAAAATTTTAAATACTAATAAAAAATACAAATCCAGCCAGGCATGGTGGCTCATGCCTGTAATCCCACTACTTTGGGAGGCGGAGGCGGATGGATCACTTGAAGTCAGGAGTTTGAGACCAGCCTGGCCAACATGGCGAGACCCTGTCTCCCTAAAAATACAAAAAATAATCAGGTGTGGTGACGTGCACCTCTTGTCCCAGCTACTTAGGGAGGCTGTGGCATGAGAATGGCTTGAACCTGGGAGGTGGAGGTTGCAGTGAGCCAAGATTCCACCACTGTACTTCAGCCTGGATGACAGAGTGAGACTGTCAAAAAAAAATTCCAATAATCCAATAAGTTTCCAGAGAGTATGCAAAAGACATCTATTAAAAATTAAAAATTGTAGTGAAAATTGGCTTTTTAAAATAATAGTAGAGTACAATGAAGGACTATCTATATAGTTTTGAAGGACAATAAACTGAACCCAGAAATTTATAAAACATTCAAGCAACTAACCAAATGCTATCCGAATAGGAAACGCTTGTGAGCAAGAAACCAAGAAAATATATACTAGTATCCAAATAATTATTGATGATGCGGGCATACTACAAATATGAGTATTAAGAAAGTATCCTTCAAATGAAAGGGCACATGTAAATAATAACAGTAGTCTTATAGATAGCTTTTATGATTCGTATTTGCAGACTTTCTTGTGAGTATAGCAGACCTCAGTGAAAATTTTGCAGTCTTATAAGCCTTTATTTGGAAAAAGACAAGTTGGTTGTGGCAGGGGCAGTGATGTGATTCTTTAGTCTTGAATCATCACACAAGAACAGACAGAATAATTGGTGTAATAAATCAAAACCCTAAAGATAACAACTCCAACAAAACCATATGCTAGTATCTCATGAATGTCTGTATCAAATGGGGAGGAGCCAAGTTAGCAGTAAAGTCATGTTCAAATTGAGAGGATGCAGAAGACAGGATTATGATGGCCCTGTGAGCCATATATCATTGATAAGCACCCACTTCCCCAATGATGGAATTTCATTTGTGAATTGAAATTCAGCAGCCCAAACCTTTTCAGTCCACTTAGCAAGGGACTTCACAGGCTCACAATCATAGACGAGGGCAATGAGACCACAAGAAGACTGAAAACACTGAGGGAGTCTTGATCTGAAATCTCTAAAATGTAACCAGTCCAAGTTTACTTCCTACAAGGCTCACAGTGAAATGACATGAGTAGAATGCAAATTAAGCATGGCTTAGAATTTAAGACAAAGGAAAAAAAGAATTGTAATTCAATGGATAAATGCTTGAGGGAATAGATACCCCATTCTTCATGATGTGCTTATTTCATTTTGTATGGCTGTATCAAAACATCTCATGTATCCAATAGGTATATACACCTACTATGTACCCACATTTTTTTAAGTTTATTTAAAGTGAAGGAGAGAAGGGAAGCAGATCTCACTTTTGAGTAGGCACTTAATTTACTTCTTGGTAACAACAAAACAGAGAGACTTCAAACTGTGAAGCTAGAAATGCTCTATTTGTTCACCCCGACCACTTATTCTGGTACCTCTTCCTAAAAGTAGAATAAAACACCACTTTAATTAACGCAAACACCAGAAAACAGCTGCAGTCAATTATCATGTAAAATTCTTATTTAAAGAGAGAAAACAATAAAATAACTTGATACGAAGACATGCTAAAGTATATGCCAACAAAGCAGATGGTTATAATTCAAAAAGTGGATTGGAACACATAAAAACAGTTAGATACATTGGTTCATATACACTAGTTGCAACTCATACATCACTTTGGAGGATACCATGAAACCAACACTCTATTCTGAACAGTAGTAAATAAAGGGAAATAATCATATATTTATCCTTACTATACACACGTAACATTATATAGTGAAATAAACAGTTCATAAAACAGCATTTATGCGTACCATATGTCATACATTTTATTTTCCTATCTTTTAAATTTTATTTCTTCATAAAAATGATTTCATGATGCTCTAAATTGTTTTCCCACTGCCCTAATAAGTAACCTGAGATTAAAAAATGATATATTTATCCCAACTCTTAAAATTTATAAATATTCAAATGTGATTTAATAATTTATGTATATTTAGTCAAAATAATTTGAAAATATTTAGAGGTAGTAGAATATGGATTTGTCTAAATAATTAAATAAAAATGAATAAAATAAATTAGGTCTACTTCTGGAGATTTTAATCCATCAAAGAAATATAGAAGGGAATTACAATAAAGGCAAAAGTTCCTGGATTGCAAAATAAGAAAAGAAAATAAAAAAAAAAAAAAAGAACCTTAAATTAATTAATTCACCAGTGACACAATAAACCTGTGAAGATTCCACCAAATATGACATTTAGAAATATAAAGTAAAAACAGTAATCAACATTTCTATTTAGCAATTATTTTGAAAAACAGTGCATCTTTATAATAAGCAAAATGAAGAATACTCAGAAAAATAAACTATCAAAGTGAAACAAGACAATAAGAAGCAGGACAAACTAATCCAGGCAAAAACAAATGGAAAATGATCAACTACTAAAAAATGCCAATACAAGCATTTATAACCATATGAGAAATGTTTTAAACTTCCAAAGTAGTTTTTATTATACAAATCTGATCCTAAATAAAAAGAAGGATGAAATGTCTTTCAAATACAGCACTAATCCTAGAGCCTGATGATGACGGCAGTAAAAGAAAATTTATAGTTTAATGGTCTTTAGAAATGAAAAATATAACACAACAGACTTAAATAAGATCAGAGTAAACAGCAGTCAGAACTACTTTAATGAAGACTTTACCACAGGAAATTGCAACTGGCATAAGTGAAATCTTAAACATAATACTATATGTCAATATGACTAGTAATAGGTAAGCTTATAATTTTACCAATGTCATGTAACAAGCACTCAATCTAATTAATGAAATTTAATCTTATCATTTATGCTGAATTCATTCATTATAAGTGAGTCACAAAGTTCAACCCACACTCAAAGGAATGGAATTACACAAGAGTGTGAATACCAGGAGGCAAGAATCATAGAGGGTTAATTTAGAGGCTGCTTACTTCTCTCTCTCTTTCTATCCCCACAGTGGGTGGTGACTGCCCAGGCAATGCCATCCCTGGATTCCTATACTATTGCTCATGCTTCAGATATATTTTATGTTTTTTAAATTCAACCCATTTGAGTTATCAAAACAGGAGGGTGTGATCTATGTCCTGGTTTACCCTGAATGACAGAAAAAAACATTGTATTTATGCATAGGGGTTTCATGAAAGCTCTTATGTACTATTAAATATAAATACACAATTTTGTGAAAATGAGCCTATAAAATCAAGATGTTCACAGGCTGTTTTTAAGTTTATAAGTTCATTTCACTTAACTAGCACATTTACCATTTTGTCATTATGATTAGCAGGTGTTTCATCAATTGTAGGAGCTATTAATTTTATTAAAACAATTATTAACATAAAACCAGGCATGTATTTATTTATGTTCACCAGCTGCTGGTTCATATGTTGTGAACTTTTTACATATCAAGTAATATTTAATCTTATTCAAAAGCAGGGTACTATTTCATTTAATAGATGTGGTAAATTTCATTCCTGTGATAACTGTGGAAGTCAAATTGCTAGGTCAGAGAATACTATGGTATTTAGAGCCAATTTTCTCTGAAGAAAAGTTTTTCTAATATATACTTCCACAAGATGAGTGTAAGAAAGATTGTTTTCAGATATCCCTGATGGTATTATTAACTATCTTTCTTTAAGATTTATCAATTTGATATTTAAATTTCTTCCTGTTATTTTAGCAGGACATGTAAACTTCTTCCTCCTATTTTAGCAGGACATATAAACACATAAATAGCCTCTCTGAAAATTGCCAAAAATGTTTGATTGTTATGAAATTGAACAAGTTTTCAGAGAGGCTATTTATATGTTTTAGATGTTAGTAAATTCTCTATAGTACTTATGGATTTGTAAAAGTGTTTATTAATTTTCTTATTGATTTGTAAAAGTCCTTTATTTATTACCCATCACCTATTTTGGTAATGCTTTCCCCTGAGTTTTATGTTATCTTTCCTCTCGATCTTCTGCGTGTCTCTATCAAAATATATTTGAAATTTTTCAAGTTCAAATATGTTAATTGGTCAGGTATAACATATCTTTATATCTTTATTTGAAGCTTAACAACCCTATACCTTCCTAAAATTCACTTATATATTTTTTCTAGGCTGTTATAATTTAGTACAAGGAATTTAAGCCTTTGAGTTTGCTTTATATTTAATTAAAATCAAAACCAAATATATTGTTGCTGTTGTCAGAGATTTTTGAGTTTTTATAAACACTTCATTTTCCCTTGTCGCCCTTTCCCACATCTGTTAAAGCTCAGATGTGCCCAAATCTTCAGTCTTCTCTTCCTTTACACCACCGAATAGAGATGATGTCAATATAAGAATATGATGTGAAATAACATTTTGAAAGGTGTGAATTTTTAGCATGGATGATAAAGAAACCTTTTTTGTGCTAAGCTACTGAAATATCTTTGTTGATTATTACCAGTACAAAACCTATTCTGTTTTCTGACTAATGTAGGTAGCAAACCAATCATAAGGCAATTTAAAGCGAGTCTCTCTAAATGTTAACATAAGGAAATGGGGATCGGTTTTCACAATTTTTTTAGGAAGGCAAGGCATATGGCTGACTAATCAAAACTCTGCATGCTACTAATAAATGTAAATGAATGTCACGCTTTCCTCTAAAGCAAATTGCCGAGTGACAACCTTAAGGAACATTAAGATTAATTTTAAAAGTTTGTCAATCAACTCTATAAATATTCATTTAGCAAAACAACCTGATCACCTGTTATTGGCACTCTACTGGGTCTTAAATTCATAACTTGCAGTTGAAGTCAGTTCATATATTAACTTTGCTTAAGGTATAGTCTGTCTCTTGATAGTTTGTGTTCTTTTCCTGTTACAGGTAGTGAGGCATACACAACTCATCTGAGAGCCTTGGTTCCAGCTAAGTCTAAGGAGAGCCTTGGTTCTAGGGTTCAAGCTAAGTCTGTCTATCACCAACAGAGAAAATCCTTTTCAGCTCTTTCAGAGAAACATGAAAATGAAGTTCAAGTTTGCCACTGGAAACATGAAAAGATTTAGAAGACTGAGTAGAGTTCACTCAGGAAGAGCTCTGAGGTTAATTGTGAAGTATAGCTATTAGGTGGGTTGATTCTTCTGTGTGGCTAGCTGTTGCTCATGTCAATGGACACAATCAGTGGTGATGGTGGAGTGTGAGGTGATGTGAAAATAAAAATACAGATTTGGTAATATCTAAAAATATTTGGGCTTAACTTGGGAATCAACATAATGGTTAACGTTGGGGAAAACAGAGTTTAATTTTTATATCTACTTGTAAACATACAGTTAGGGGAAATTTTTTATGTTATTTAGCCTTTCATAAATAAGTACTCTGTTAGTTTTTAATTATAATTTTATTAATATTCAAATTGAATATCCTGGAAACTAGGGAGAATTGACATCTAATTAGAATCTCATATTTATTAGTAACAAACCAGGAAATTACTCATTAATTTCTTTTCTTTCATTTAATAAGTGATGATTTAAAGAAAGCTCAGGAATGCCAAAATATGCACTTTTATTAGCCTGTACAGTCTCAAATGACTCTCAAACTGGCTTAGATATCATTAGTTTTTGAGAACTGTTATGTGAGAATATTTTACTTCGATCATTGTTCTAGCTACTTACAGGCACTCCCTGCTATAATAGCAGTGTCCTACAGAAATACAATGCAAGTCACAATGTGATTTTAAATGCTTCAGTAGTCACACTAAAAAAAGTAAAAAGAAGGTGAAATTAACTCTAATAATATATTTTATTTGACTCAATATAACTAAAATCTTATTGTTTTAATGCATAATCAACATAAAAGTATTAACGATATATTTTATTTTTAAATTTGTTTGGAGGTGAGTGGAAATCCAGTGTGTGTTTTACACTTGCAGTACGTCTTAATTTAAATGAAGTATTACAAGTTCTCAATACCCACGTGTAGCTACTAGCTACCGTATTGGACAGTACAAACCTACTTTATCCTATTTTTTGTGTCTTTTTTAATCCATGTTTGCAGCCTAAACTGACATTCATTTTCTGTTCTCTCTTTTCTGTATGCCATCAGTAACTTTCTTGTTCATACAGTTCCCTTGGTCCACAGTCCTTAATGCTGTATTTATTAATTATTATTTTAAAATGTATTTATGGCATTATGAAGGAATAATTAACATGCAATAATCTGCAGCAATTTAAATTGTATCATTTGATACATTTTGACATATAGATATACTGGAGAAATCATCACAATAATCAATATAGTGAACACATCTATCATCCTCTCCATTTTTCCTATCCCCCTGTAATTTTACTTTACCTGACCTTTCTGTTTTCCTCTCTCTAGGCTCTGCCTACTGTTAGTACAGTTTAGCTTGCATTTTCCAAAGTGTTATATAAATAGAACCGTGATCCATGTACCTTATTTTCTTCTGCCTTGTTTTAGATTAAGTAATTATCTTTATGCTTCCGTTTTATCTTCTTTTTTGGCTTACTAGTTTAAAGATTGTTTTGACATTTTTGTGGTTGATTTTGGTTTACAGTATACATCTTTAACTTAATCTCAGTGATACTGTATCACTTCACATAAAGTACAAGAACCTTACAAAAGTATACTTCCATTTCTTTCTTCTCAATCTTTATGTATTGTTATGGTATATGTCAAACCTATGTGAGCGATCGCTCAGTGCAGTCAGCCCAAGATGGAGGGTTTGTGCTGTGGGCCCAAGCCAGGGGTTCCCTGTCTGGTGATGTGCCATGCTGGGTGTGTAGGACCCATGGGAGACAGAAGGGCCTCCTCTCCTTGGGTCAACTGTAGCCTGTTGGAGCTGTGGATAAAGCAGTTAGGGTCTTTGCTGCTTCGTTAGTTTCAGGGTGGCAAGGGCAGTTCTACTGCAGATGCAGTGGCAGAGAGGCTTTCAGTCGCTCCTGGAGGCTCTGTCCTGGTTGTTGCTGAGTTAGCACTGGCTTGATAGCTCTGGCAGGGGGTGGCTGGAGGCCCAGGCCTGGAGGACCTGCCCAGTGAGGAGATATGGGAATAGCCACCCATGTAAGTCTGGCCACTTTTCAGTAGGGCCACTGCAGTATGCTTGGGGCCCACTCCAGTCCCTAGTCACCTCAGATTTCTAAAACCTGGAGATGTCACCAGTGAAGGCTTCAAAACAGCAAAGGTAGAAGACTGTCCCTCTCTCTGGGAACTCTGTCCCAGTGGGTATGGACCTGTTACTGGTCCAGAGGCACCTGTAGGAAGTGACTGGGGACCCTGGCTGGGAGCAATTGCTGACCTGCATCTCTATGGGATGGAGTCCCCAGGAGCCAAGCAAACAACCCTTGGCCATGACCACTACTAAGATCTCTTCCTCTGCTGCCTCTAAGCTGAGAAAGGAACAGAAACACTGAGATTACCCCAAAGCTGCAGTGGGCAACCCAAGAGTGCCAAGTCATGAAGTACAGCCAGCACTCAAGGGGCAGAGGAACCCACACTTTCAGAGCACTAATGGGGAGCAAGGCTGCAAATGTAAGGAAACATAGGGGAGCCCCACAACCAAGCAAGAGTCTACCAACCGACGAATAAGACTATGTCACCTGCTATATCACACCCCCAAACTTCAACACCAAAACACTTCACTAGCATACCTCCCTCTGAAACCAGAGATAAGAAATCAGCTTCAAATAAAGACCCTACACAAAGCCTCAGCCTGGTGAAAACATTTAGAAAAGAATCTATCGGCCGTACTCAATCTACACTGCAGTTAAAGGAACACCCACACTCAGGGATAAGAAAGAGAGTGTCATATGTCCCCTGAATGATCTCACCAGTTCTCCAACAAGAGTTCTTAACCAGGTCAAACTGGCTGAAATGACAGAAATAGAATTCAGAAAATGGATCAGAACAATGAACATTGAGATTCAGGAGGGTGGCAAAATCTAATCCAAGGAAAATCATGATCACAATAAAATGATACAAGAGCTGAAGGATAAAATAGTCGGTACAAAAAAGAACCTAATGGGTCTGACAGAGCTGAATAACACAATACAAGGATTTCAGAATGCAATCACTGGTATTAAGAGCAGAATAAACCAAGCTGAGGAAACAATCTCAAAACTTGAAGACTCGTTCTCTGAAATAAGACAGTCAGACAAAAATTTAAAAAAGACTAAAAAGGAATGAACAAAACCTCCAAGAAGTATGAGATTATGTAAAGAGGCCAAATGCATGAATAATTGGCTTCCCTGAAAAGGAGGGGGAGGAAGTAAACAACTTGGAAGATATATTTCAGGATGTCGTCCATGAAAACTTTCCCAACCTTGCTAGAGAGGTTAACAGTCAAATTCAGGAAATAAAGAGAACTCCTGCAAGTTTCTACACAAGAAGATCATCCCCAAGAAACTCAATCATCAGATTTTACAAGGTCAAAATGAAAGAATGTTTAAACCTGCTAGAGAGAAAGGGCATATCACCTACAAAGGGAACTCCATCAGGCTAACAATGGACCTCTCAGCTGAAACCCTACAAGCCAGAAGAGACTGGGGGCCTATATTCAGCATCTTAAAGAAAAAACTTTTCAACTAATAATTTTATATCTAGCCAAACTAAGCTTCCTAAGTGAAAGAGAAATAAGATCCTTTTCAGATAAGCAAATGTTGAGGGACTTTGTTACCACAAGACCTGCCTTACAAGAGGTCTTGAAAGCAGCACTAAATATAGAAAGGAAAGACTACTACTAGCTAATACAAAAACACACTTAAACACAGAGATGAGTATCACTGTAAAGCAACCACAAAAACAAGCCAACATAATAAGCAGCTAACAGCAAAATGACAGGTTCAAATCCACACATATCAATAGTAACCTTGAATGTAAATGGGCTAAATGTCCCACTTAAAAGGCACAGAATGGCAAATTGGATAAAAAAAGCAAGACCCAATGGTATTATGTGTTGTCTTCAAGAAACACATCTCACACGTAATGACACTCATAGGCTAAAATAAGGAGATGGTGAAAAATCTACCAAGCAAATAGAAAGCAGAAAAAAGTAGGGATTGCAATTTCAATTTCAGACAAAACAGATTTCAAAACAACAAGATTAAAAAAAAAGACAATGAAGGGCATTACATAATGGTAAAGGGTTCCATTCAATAAGAAGACCTAACTCTCCTAAATATACATGTACCCAATACAGGAGCACCCAGATTCATAAAGCAAATTCTTAGATAAATACAGACACAGACTCTCACACATAATAGTCGGTTACTTCATCACTTCACTGATAGTATTAGACAGATCCCTGAGGCAGAAAATTAACAAAGATATTCAGGACCTAAACTCAACATTGTACCAAATAAATATGATATAGTTTTAAAGACATCTCCACCTCAAAACAACAGATACATATTCTTGCCATTGCCAGATGTCACATACTCTAAAATTGACCACATAATTGAACATAAACAATCCTCAACAAATGTAAAATAACTGAAATCATAACAAACACATTCTCAGTCCACAACACAATAAAAACAGAAGTCAACAGAATGAAAATGTCTCAAAACAATACAATTACATGGAAATTAAACAACATGCTCCTGAATGACTATTGGGTAAATAATGAACTTAAGGCAGAAATTAATAAGCTCTTTGAAAATAATGAGAACAAAGAAACAACATATCAAAATCTCTGAGACATGGCTAAGTCAATGTAAAGAGGAAAATTCATAGCAATAAATGCCCACATCAAAAGCTAGAAATATGTCAAATTAACAAACTAACTTCACAACTGAAAGAATTAGGGAAGCAATAACAAATAAACCCCAAAGCTAGCCGAACACAGGAAATAACAAAAATCAGGGATGAACCAAAGGAAATCGAGACACAAAAAAATTCATTCAAAAGATCAACAAATCCAGGAGTTGTTTTTTTGAAAAAATTAATAAAATAGGCCACTAGCTAGACTAATTAAGAAGAAAACAGAGAAGATCCATTAAAAAATACAATTAGAAATAATGACAGGAATGTTACTACTGACCCCACAGAAATAAAAACCATCAGAAACTACTATGAACACATCTATACACACAAACTAGAAAACCCAGAAGAGATGGGTAAATTTCTGGACATCCTCCCAAGGTTGAGCCAGGAAGAAATTGATCCCTGAGCAGACCAGTAATGAGCTCCAAAATTGAATCAGTAATGAATAGCCTACCAAGCAATAAAAGCCCAGGACCTGATGAATTCACAGATTTACAAAGAAGAGCTGGTACAAGTTCTACAGAAACTATTCCTGCAAATTGAGGAGAAATGATTTCTCCCCAACTCATTCTATGAGGCCAACATCATATTGATACCAAACCTGACAGAGAAAAAACAAAAATTGAAAACTTCACGCCAATAGCCTTGATGAATATCAATAAAAAATCCTCAACAAAATACTCGCAAATTGAATTCAGCAGCACATCAAAAAGCTAATCCACGTTGATCAAGTAGCCTTCATCCCTGGGATGCAAGGTTGGTTCAACATACTAAAATCAATGTGATGTATTACATAAACAAAACTAAAGGCAAAAACCACATGACTATCTCAATAGATGCAGAAAAGGCTTTTGATAAAATTCAACATCCTTCATATTAAAAACTCTCAATAAACTAGGTGTTGAATGAATATACCTCAAAATAATAAGAGCCATCTATGACAAACCCATAGCCAACATTATACTGAATGGGCAAAAGCTAGAAGCATTCCCCTTGAAAGCCAGCACAAGACAAGGATGCCCTCTCTCACCACTCCTATTCAACATATAATTGGAAGTCCTAGCCAGAGAAGTCAAGCAAGAGAAAGAAATAAAAGGCATCCAAATAGGAAGAAAGGAAGTCAAACTATCTCGGCTTGTGGATGACATTATTCTATATCTCAAAAACACCATAGTCTCAGCCTAAAAGCTCCTTCAGCTGATAAACAACTTCAGCAAAGTTGCAGGACACAAAATCAATGTACAAAAATCACTAGGATTCCTATACACCAACAGCAACCCAACTGAGAACCAAAGCAGAAAGGCAATAACATTCACAATTGCCACAATAAAATAACTTAGAAATATAGCTAACCAGAGAGGTGAAACATCTCTACAATGAGAACTACGAAACACTGCTCAAAGAAAGCAGAGAAGAAACAAATAAAAAAAATTGCCATGCTTGTGGATAGGAAGATTCAATATCATCAACATGTTTATACTGCCCAAAGCAATTTACAGATTCAATGCTATTCCTGTCAAACTACCAATGACATTCTTCACGGAGCTAGGAAAAATATTTTAAAATATTTATGAAAGAGAACATTTGGTGTTTGGTTTTCTCTTCTTGTGTTACTTTGCTGAGAATGATGGTTTCCAATTTAATCCGTGTGCCTGAAAAGGATGTGAACTCATCCTTTTTTATGGCTGGATAGTATTCCATGGTGTATATGTGCCACATTTTCTTTATCCAGTCTTTCACTGATGGGCATTTGGGTTGGTTCCAAGACTTTGCTGTTGTGAACAGTGCTGCAATAAACATACGTGTGCATGTGTCTTTATAGCAGCATGATTTATAATCCTTTGGGTATATACCCAGTAATGGGATTGCTGGGTCATATGGTATTTCTACTTCTAGATCCTTGAGGAATCGCTACACTGTCTTCCACAACGGTTGAACTAATTTACACTCCTACCAACAGTGTAAAAGCATTCCTATTTCTCCACATCCTCTCCAGCATCTGTTGTTTCCTGACATTTTAATGATCACTGTTCTAACTGGCATGAGATGGTATCTCATTGTGGTTTTGATTTGCATTTCTCTATTGACCAGTGATGATGAACATTTTCTCATAAGTTTGTTGGCTGCATAAATGTCTTCTTTTGATAAGTGTCTGTCCATATGCTTCACCCATTTTTTGATACGGTTGCTTTTTCATGTAAATTTGTTTAAGGTCTTTGTAGATTCTGGATATTAACCCTTTTTCAGATGGATTGATTGCAAAAATTTTCTCCCATTCTGTAGGTTGCCTGTGTACTCTGATAATAGTTTCTTTTGCTGTGCAGAAGATCTTTAGTTTAATTAGATCCCATTTATCAATGTTTGCTTTTGTTGCCATTGCTTTTGGTATTTTAGTCATGAAGACTTTGCCCATCCCTATGTCCTGAATATTATTGCCTAGGTTTTCTTCTAGGGTTTTGATGATTTTAGGTCTTACATTTAAATCTTTAATCCATCTTGAGTTAACTTTTGTATAATATGTGAAGAAGGGATCCAGTTTCAGCTTTCTGCATGTGGCTAGCCAGTTTTTCCAGCACCATTTATTAAATAGGGAATCCTTTCCTCATTGCTTGTTTTGGTCGGGTTTGTCAAAGATCCGATGGTTGTAGATGTGTGGTGTTATTTCTGAGGCCTCTGTTCTGTTCCATTAGTTTATATATCTGTTTTGGTACCAGTACCATGCTGTTTTGGTTACTGTAGCCTTGTAGTATAGTTTGCAGTCAGGTAGCATAATGCTCCAGCTTTGCTCTTTTTGCTTAGGATTGTCTTGGCTATGTGGGTTCTTTTTTGGTTCCATATGAAGTGTAAAGTAGTTTTTTCCAATTCTATGAAGAAAGTCAATGGTAGCTTGATGGGGATAGCATTGAATCTATAAATTACTTTGAGCAGTATGGCCATTTTCACAATATTGATTCTTCCTATCCATGAGCATGGAATATTCTTCCATTTGTTTGTGACCTTTTTTATTTCCTTGAGCAGTGGTTTGTAGTGCTCTTTGAAGAGGTCATTCACATCCCTTGTAAGATGGATTCCTAGGTATTTTATTCTCTTTGCAGCAATCGTGAATGGGAGTTCACTCGTGATTTGGCTCTGTGTTTGTCTGTTATTGTTGTATAGGAATGCTTGTGATTTTTGCACATTGATTTTTGTATCCTGAGACTTTGCTGAAGTTGCTTATCAGCTTAAGAAGATTTTTGGCATGTATATGTTTATACTAACTATACACACACACACACACGCACACACACACACATAATAAACCCAACAACATTTTGATATTATTTTTGTTTAAAGAGTCAATTATCTTTTGGAGAGATTTAAAATATAAGAAAAGAATTCTGTATGTTAACACATATCTTTATCATATTTTGTGTTTTTCATTTCTTTGTGTAGATCTATCATTCTGTTTACTATTTTTCAGCTTCTGCTTGAAGGAATTTCATTAACACTTCCTAAAGTGTTGGTCTGCAGATAGTGAATTCCTTCGGCTTTTGTATTTCTGAACATGGCTTTATTTTGCCTTTGATATTGAAAAATATAGGTGTAGCATTCTAGTCTGACTTTATTTTTATTTCAGTGCTTCCATAATGTTGCCCTGGTTTCTTCTTGCTTGCATTGTCTCTGATCAAATCTGCCAACATCCTTGTCGTTATTATAATGTATGAAACATGTCTTTTCTCTGGCTGCTGTTAAAATTCTTCTTTTTACCCTTGGTTTTGAACAGTTTAATTGGATATTCTTTGATGTAATTTTCTTTAATATGTCCCGTGCTTGGAATTTTTTAAGTTTCTTAAATCTATGGATTTATAATTTTCATCAAATTTTGAAATGTTTGGCTATTATCTCTTCATTTTTCTTCCCTTACTAATGTTCTAACTGTCCTTTCACATCCTCAAGAAAGAGATAATGACTGGATTTATCTCTTCCCGGATGTTCATTTATAGGGCTGAATGGTGTAGGAGAATGGGGAAATTGTGTGGAGTCTAGTGTCCTCTCTCTCGCTCTCTCTCTCCGTTTCTTTGTTTTTCTCTCTTTTGTGTAGTATGGTGCTCTCATGCATTGGTGGTCATTTAATGGTAAGCCTGAAATTTGGATTAGAAAAATATTTGCTTGGGTCTTGAGCATAAATTACATACCCCAACCAAGTGTCATCACTGTTTTGTTTTAGGAGTTACTGCCACCTATTTTAAACAGTATAGTGGTTTGATTTCCTGTTTAACATTGTCCTTCATGTGTGTAACTCTACTGGAAACCTTATGTGTAATATATAAGCTGCGTTTGAGAATTCTTTGGTATTCCAGAGGAATACTAGTGAAATTCAATCAACATCCCAGGGGGAAGGTAAAGCGTTAAGAAGAAAATAAGGGAGCATGAAAGAGAACATTAAACTTGAAACACGGAATTTACATTTTATGCACAAGAAAAGGAATATGTTGGGGACTGTTTGAAATGAAATTAAAGAGTTATTGAGGAAGTATGTATTTTATCCATAATATAATGCAGAAATATTTAAAATAGTATCATAACAATGTTATAGTATTCAGATGAGAAATAATAAGAATAATAAAGGCAGTAGCAGTGAGAATACAAAGAAGAGGCAGTATTTGAGAATAGAAATATTAATGACGTAACATTTATGAGATTGGTTGGAGTAGACAGTAAGAGAAAAACGGTATGGAGTAATGCTCAACTTACTGGCTTGAACATCTGGGTATGTTGATGCTGTCGATGATCAGGTTTGGGAAAAAAATGTTAAGCAACATTTGTGAGAGCTTCAGAATCATGTGAGTTTATATAGATAGAGTCATGCACAATTTATGATATGCTAGTTATAACATCCATCTTCTCCCACTTAAGAAAACATAACATAAGTGAATAAGATGATTTTTATTGCAAGAATGGACTTGAATCTTCTCTAAATAATTTTTTAATTTTAGTACTTTATTAGCAATTATTTGTGACATTTCTTGCAGCTTCTGGAAACAGACCAACATATTACTTTACCACCAAATTAGAAGTTATAATCTCCTCACTTGTCTGCTTACCTCCAGCCTAACCTGATTTAGGACTATCTTCTATTATGGCCATGCTTATCCTAAAAGTTCCCATGACATTGCATCTTTCAGTTAGATTTCTCAGACTATTGATTAAAATAAAAACTTCGTATCTTAGCCTACATATTTCTTTAATGTGATTCTTAATCTATTATTACAGCCTCATTTTAAGTGTCTCTCTCTTCTTGCGTGACACTTCCAAGATGTTGCAGATCATTTGCAACTCCATACCTTTGCAGATGCTGTCCCTTTTGACTGGAATAACTCATTCTACTCTTTAAGCTGCTCGTGGCCTTAAAAATATCTACTCATCTCTCAACTTTCAGCTCAAATACCACCCCTCCAATAAAATCTTCAACTTCCTTAACAAGAGTGAACTGCTCTGCAACAAACTTTGGCCACATCTCTGTAATAGCACCTCTTAAAATGTATTTAATTTATTAAAATAGGCAATGGCACAGTTTATTTTATCTGTTTTTATCTGTCTTGTGGTTAAAAATTTGAACTTCTCAAAAACACAGTGTGTGATTAATCATTGTAATGATTAACACATTGTCATGTTCAATATAGACCCAATGAATTATTGAGTGGATGAAATTTAAAAAATTTAAATTAAAAAAATTAGTGATTGTGTTTTTTCCCAATCTTCTATATATATGTGGTGCTTTTGATTACACTACGTATGAATTACTGAATGAGGCATTTTAAAGTTCCTAGTAATAATTGTTGATTCATTCTGTTTATTTTTAGTTCTGTCAATTTTTAGATTTTGACATTGATTTTAAGTGTATACATATTTGGATTGCTCTATTTTCTGGAGGAATTTCCTTTTTTATAGTTTTGAAATATGCTTCCTTATCTTAAATTGTACCTTATATGACAGGAACATAAATTTTATGACATGAGTTACCATTGGATACATTTTCTATGTATTTACTTTCCATAAATTTTCCCCATAAATGTACTTTATATTTAAAATGATTCTCTTATAAACTTCTTATAGTTAGGACTTAATTTTTGTCCAGTTTGACATTTTTGCTTTTTAATTTGAGTGTTTATTCTTTATACATGTAATGCAATTAACAATAAGGTTAATTTTGTTTACCATCTTGCTATTTGGTTTCTTTTGCCCTGATAGTCTTTATTTCTTTGTCCCACACTGCTAATTTCTTGATTAATCTATGTATTTTAGTATAAAATTTTATCTCTTTTATTGGCCTTTTAGATATATCTCTCTGATATGTGAAATAAATTTATGTAAAGATGTGTCATCCTTTATAAAAGTGAATATAAACATCTTTGCTGTGCTTGATATCATAACAATTTCTTGCCCACAGTGTTCTTTTGCTTGTAAACATGTTTTCCCAAATTTCTCATTAATGTCTTTCTCCAAAGAATTGAAAATCATGTTTTCCTTAAAAAGCCTGCAAAATTGCAAACCCACACGCCCATCTACTGATAATTATAATTTATTCATGAGAACTTGTTTACTAGCACTGTTATAAACAAGTGGCTACCTTGGCCAAAAGAGATAAGTTCTCCAAAAGTTATAAACAATATACATAACCCATGATTTAATGTATGAGATGACTGTGGGTGTAACTAATTAGAGCTGGATGATACAACTGTGAGTCAATAGACTAGGAGAGATTTTGGCTGCCCAAGCACCCCAGTCAGCATATAAGCCCACAGTCCAGAACATGCTGAACATCAATTGGGCATGAATTCCCTGGGCATCTCTCAAGTGCCCTACATTGTTTGACGACCTAATACACACCAACCATAAGGAAACTGCAACTCCCAGTGCAGATGATGGTAACCCATCTGCAAGAAGATGTCATTAGACAGACCAGCTGTGAGCAAGTAACAGACAGTAAAGGTAGTGAGAGAGCCTGCCAGAAAAGGCAGCATGTGCATTCTTGCCCTTCCCCTTTTTTTTTTCTTGTAATTGACAGCTTTTTGAAGAATTTATTTAAACGTAGCGGTTTTCAGTTCAATCTCTCTGAGTATGCTTTCTTAGAGATATTTTGAAGCCAAGGTTCAGTTTTGATCTTCAAGTGATATTACCTAGCATAAAACAACCTTGTTTCTACTGAGTAATATCAGTATATTTTACAGATGCATATTATATTGAGTAATATCTTCTTTTCTTTAAAATTTTGTAAACAGTTGCTCTAGCAATTGTAATATGTGTCCTGAACTTGTGCTTATACTAGAATTAGTATTTCACCACTGCACATATAAGACACTTCTATTTATTCTTTCCAATCTTTGTGTTGCTATGGTAAATACACTTCTATCTATTTTATGAACACCATAATACATTATTATTATTGTTGGTTCAATTGTTCTTCTTGAAAATCCAAGTTTATAGAGGTCTAATTTACATACATTAAGAGTCACCATCAGTTTTTATTAAAGATGTTAAGAATAGAAAATACTTAGTCATTTATATTTACTCACATATGTACCATTGCTGGTATTTTTCCTTTATTCCCTTAGACCTACATTTCCATCTGGTATCATTCTCTTCAACCTGAGGAATTCCCCTAGTATTTTTTTTTTTTTTAGTCCAGGTCGGCCAGTGACAAAATCAGCTTTCACAGTTAAAACTTTATTTATATTACACATGTTTTGAAGGATAGTTTCACTGAATATGGAATTCTAGTTTTCAGCTTCCTTAAGAAAAAATAACTTTAAAAATGTAACTCCACTCTCTTCTGGCTTGCCTTGCTTTTGATGACAAGGTAGCTCTCATTTTTTGCATTGTTCATCATATTATAATATTTCTTTGTCTTTTAGCTTCTTTTAAACCTTTCTTGTTCTTTGCTTTTTGGAAATTTGACTATAATGTGCCTAGTTATGGTTTTCTTTCCATTTTTTTATTCTTGCACTTCATTGAACTTTTTGAATCTGTGATTACTACTTTTTATCAAAATTGTAGCATTTCTGTCTATTAATTTTTCAAATATACATCTTTTCCCTACACCCAATCAAATGACACATATGCTATATATCTTGATAGTATCCTATAGGTCATGGTACTCTGTCCTCAGGCAATCTCCTCAGCACCCATAAACTTAACTAGTGTTTATATTTTCTTGTGGCAAATACATTGCATTTTAATGTAGATATTACAAAATTTTCTTATTTTCACTACTCTGTAAGCTCATTGATGGTAAATGATTGTATTTTTTTCTTTTACTGAAAGTTATTTTTAAACTGCTAGTACTTTAGAAGGTTTTTTGAATAAATATAAGCATTTTGAGGCTGAAAAACCACAAAAAAATTATACCATAGTATTTATTTTCAGAATAAAATTAAGCAGCTAAAATCAAATCGAATTATTTCATAACAAATTTAGAAAATGTATGTCAAACTTATCTTCTTCTGAGTTACACACAAAAGAAAATGGCAACTACTAATACACTATTTTCTAAACCATATATAATAGAGGCTCATGGAAGAGATTTCCCCTCAAAGGAGACTGTAAATAATGGGGATTTTTCTCAGACTAATCACATTTGCCACAGTGATCTATGGTTTATACTCTCATGTCAGATCAACTCTCCATAGGATTAAAAGGTTTATTGAAAATACAGTCATTTATTGCCCACCAGTCATGGGCCTCAGAATTCACCACCTGGAATTTGTTCCAAGTTATACAACTTGACATGAACCTTAAGATGTATTAAAGTGTCTGTCAGAGGTTTGCCACTGTGAGTAAGTGCACTATTAGGGTGTAAAGATAACGACAGTGATTTATTGGTAGGAAATCAACCTGGGAAATATTCCCTTTTTCACTTCTTGTCTTTGATTTTTGAGTTTTCTTGGTGGCATCAACAACAGATTTAACATGTAATTACCACATGTAATATTTAAAAAATAATGTACCTTACCACCAGATCTAAATTACTTTTGTCTTTTCTACATTTATCCATAATGCAGTAAATTCAACATTTATAATAAGTGGTAGTTTGCATTTATTCTGTAAATTGTAGTATTACATTCGAATCTTACAAATATTCAGGATTTTTTTTTCTTTTACGAATTATACTTCTCTTTAGAGGAATCACAAATATTGTAATACAGGCTTTTTATCTGGCACATTTGAGAATATACTAGGAAAATTAAAGCTACATTTATAAATAGCTTGCAAATAGAGGCATAGAAATCTTGTTTATCTGTTTTGTTTGTTGTGTAAAGCTGCTAGAGAGTTCTAAATTATAAATGCTCTAAGAAAGCTTCTTTTTGTCTCTCTGCTGAAGGAAATAAGTATTCAGCTTCTTATGATAAATTGAGAATTATTCTACCAGGTATTTTGAGATGTCTTGCACCATTATATATTTTAATTTTGATTCTTCTATCTAGTTTTGATTTCTTCTATCAGTACAAGAGAATCTGTATGAGAAATACTAAAAAGTTCTGGTGTATTTCCTTTATAATACTATTTTTTCTTGAATTATTTTGTTTATTTGTTTATGTTATCTTCTTACTCCCAACAAGAATATAAAAATTATGATGCAAACACATTTTAATATTTGTTCATTAGGTCAGGCACAGTGGCTTATATCTGTATTCCCAACACTTTGGGAGGCTAAAGCAGGAGAGTAGCTTAAGTCCAATAGTTCAGACCAGCAGGGACAACATGTGAGACCCCTGTCTCTATAAAAACATTTTTTTTAAGTCATTGATTATTATATTCTCTGCACTAACAGTGGTTTTCATATGAACTAAAAATTATTTCTTAGGCTGGGCGCAGTGGCTCACACATGTAATCCCAGCACTTTAGGAGGCTGAGGCGGGCAGATCACCTGAGGTCAGGAGTTTGAGACCAGCCTGGCCAACATGGTGAAACCCTGTCTTTACTAAAACTACAAAATTTAGCTGGGCATGGTGGCAGGCACCTGTAATCCCAGCTACTGGGGAGGCTGAAGCACGAGAATCACTTGAACCCAAAAGGTGGAGGTTGCAGTGAGCCAAGATCGTGCCGTCGTGCTCCAGCCTGGGTGACAAGAGCGAGACTCTGTCTCAAAACAAAACAAAAGAACAAAATTATTTCTTAAATAAATGAATGAATGAATACAATGGTTGATACTAAGTGACTTACTTTCAAAACAAAGTGACTTTCTATATCCTCATTAGAGTATCACCCATGAAATATTGGTTCTGATGAAATAAAATTTTATGTCAGTGAGAATACTATAATTAGGTTCTGTGATGATGTCATACTGGAATTATTTTTTGGCGGGGGGGGGCATGGAGAGGATGTAGGGACAGTACAAGGAAGCAATATTTTCTGCAAAAAGTAAAACTTGGCTTACTTTTCCTCATGAAACTCAGTTTTTATGGTTCTTGTGTACATTCCTTTTACTCTTTTCTAAGTATATATTAATCCATAAGTCACTTATGGATTAATACCATTTACTAAATTGGTATTACACTGTATTTTCATACTGAATAGAATTGTGGCCGCCTAAAAGTGCAAATTGCCATGAAACTAACATATGTGTGTGTGTTTGTAATATGTATTTAAAGTTACATATTTAAAATTATATATGTGTACACTTAAAATGTTAAAGTGTTAATGAGTGTCTTAACAGTACTTATATAGAGTTTATAATTTGGCACTATTGTGAAGAAAAAGTCTGAATTGAATATACTTTTTAAAAATATTTCATAGAAGAAAATGATACTAAAGTTCTTTTTTCCCTCTATTTTTTGTTCCTTTTGGAGGGTGGAAGAGAGTAAATATGACACATGCAAACCATAGCCCTGAATCTTGAGAATTTTTTACATTTACTTAATAGTCAAAAGAATATTTAAAGGGAATGAGTTAAACTTATGTATAGTCAAGGTAAAATGGCTTTGAGTTTCAACCCCAGCTTTACTATCTAGCAACTGTTTGGCTTTGGGAAAGCTTCATGGCCTCTTTTAATTTCAACTTATTCACTCTGTAAAACGGTGATTATAATCTCTAGCTCAAAGAGTTATGGTAAGCTTAAATGATCTTATTCATAAAACAACTAATATAGACACAATAAATATTACCTAATATATAAATATGATGATAGTAATTGACAAATGGTTAAGCCAGTGACTAAATGACCAACAGCCAATAGACAACAGTGGTTAATAGACCAATGGCAGTTTGAGAGATTAGTCTACTCTGTTTGGCTTTGGGGCTTTATAGCACTACAGAGGAATAGAATCTGTAGAGTAAGTTAATTACCATGTCCTTGCAAAGCATGACAGGAAGGATGCTGATTACTTGTGAACATATCGCTTACTGAACAGATCAAATTTAGTGGCAGTTGACTCAATGCAATTCTCTAAATTCATGTTACATAGCATATTTCATAATCAACAGGTAATACAGATCTTCAGGCATAATTATCATATGCTGGGCGAAGAAACTTTGAGAAGAAAGTTTTCATATCTCATTACTAATCCCTGGAGCCATTTCATCATCACCCAAATCATAAATAATATATATTTCCCTTGGAGAAACTAAAGACAAAAATACTGCAGTAAAATTTAGCTGGTATCATAAATCTGTTACATAATCATACCATAGTCATCACTATGAAACTTGAATACCTTGGCCCTACTCACATCATAATTTCTGTCATTTAGTTCAATAAACATTACAAATAAAATACATGTGAATATTTGTTAGCATAATTTAAGTTGCTCATATTGTACTATGGTTACTCAAATTTCTCCTTTTCTAAACGCTAGCAAATAATTGAAATAAAATTCAATTTACACTCTCAATCCTAAAAAAAACTAAAATAAAATAAGTAAATTTTTTCAATTGTGATAAAATACTTTCCCATTGATGTATAGGTGACTATGTACTCAAATACTATATGACTATATTATAACTATATTGGTATAGTTACATTTTAATAATGTAAATACATTTTACGGATATACAATAACGTGTGTAAACATTAATGACACTTCAATGCAATTAACATTTAGACTTAAAATTATTCTATCACAAATTAAAACAATTAAATTTTTAGGCTTGACTGAAGGTAATTTAAATTGCATACGTGTGTATTCATCCCTCCCAAGTATTTCTTGTTTCAATTATGTGTATAAATATAAGGAAAACAAGCATTTTGTAAATGATAGATGCAGACATGTGTCTCATATTATTGATCTCACTTATGTCTAGACTACAAATTAGAAAGGAAAACTTACTACATGAAAGTTCTCATATCGACCCTAGAAGAGTTTGTAGTACAGCATCTAAGAGAACCTGAACATATATAGACCAGATAAAAGGGAGCACTTAACTTCTATATTAGTCCGTTTTTATACTGCTATAAAGAGCTACCTGAGACTGGGTAATTTATGAAGAAAAAAGGTTTAATTGACTCACAGTTCCATAAGCTGTATAGGAAGCATGGCTGGGAGGACTCAGGAAACTTACAATTGTGGCAGAAGGTGAAGGGGAAGCAAGCATGTCTTACTATGGCGTAGCAGCAGAGAGAGAGAGAGAGCTAAAGGGGAAGTGCTACACACTTTTAAACAACCAGATCTTGTGAGAACTCATTCGCTATCACAAGAAGAACAAGGGGGAAGTCCGCCTCCATGACTCAATCACCTTCTACCAGGCCCCTTCTCCAACATATGGGGATTGCAATTCAATATGAGATTTGGGTGGGGACACAGAGCCAAACCATATCAACTTCCTATAGGAAAATTAATTTTAGTTTTGACATATCTTATTAAATCTTTTGGAGATGTGAATCACCTCCTTATAGCCACTGTTACTTCAACCTTATTTTGCTGCCTTAGCAGCCCTCCTAAACACAGGACTCTGCCTGAATAGTTCAAGCAAAAATGTTACCTTTATTACCAAGTTTAGCACCCGACATGGAAAAGATTATGTTGCCGTTTTGTTTATTTAATGGATTATCTTTAGGAAAAAGAAATTGTCTCCAATAAGGATATTTGTAACAATTTATAACAATGTCTTAAACAAATTCTTATACAAAAGAGTACTCACCTAAGATTCCAAAATCAAGTGAATCAGTATTCCCCAAATTCTCTATAACCATATAGACCTATGCAAGCAGGGCTCCAATATAATAATTTCTACTTCCTAATTTATTTCATATTTCAATATTTCTGGCTGATCACCTAGGTACTAAAGTTGACAAATATCATAAAATACATTGAATAGATTTATTATCAGAAGTCGTATACTAAATTTGGCAGAACTCAAGCCAATTTAGAATTTAACTGAAATATCCCAGCCATTTTGTAAAGCCATTAAAAGAAAACTGCTAGTGCCAAGGAAGTTTCACCAGGGGGTACAATGTCAGTACTCTGGGCAGAATAAGACTGAGTTGGTTCTGAATGAGAAAAGGAGTTTCTATATCCTTACAGCTTGAAAATTCTGAGCAGAAATGTCTCTGAGAATGGTAGTCGTGCAGATTTTGTATACCCTCTGACAACTGCCTGAGCAGATATTTTGCTTATGAGGAGAAACCAAGAAAGGACAAGAGATGCACCCTCACTGCTTCCCTTCGGAATCATTACATTTCTGTTGACATTCATAATGGCACATTTGGAAAGGAGGGTGTTACTCTTATTATTCTTGTCAAGGGAGGGTTATACATATATATTTAGCAATTTAGAAGTCATTTAGCTTAATTGTACAATTTATGTATTCATTCACATTTTAACATATAGTAATTTAAATTAAAGTATTAGTTCCAATAGCATTTCTAGGTAGATTTGTTAACAATTAACAATTTAATTATATGTTTTCTACTCTCTACCAAGTCCTCCGCAATGAACACATGATATCAGTGTAGGAAAGAAACACGTAAGAATGCTAGGAACAATGAAAGAGTACCATCTGCCTCACAGAAACTTCGAGGGATGTCTCTTATTTGGGACAGATGATAACAGATTTAAAAAAGCTCCCCCTACAGGGCCAACTCACAACCTTGTCTCCTGATATTTCCATTATTAGGGGAATTAAATAGAAACATCAGCTCAGATTAAACTTTAATTCAGAGGCATGAAGCCTGGAAAAAATATATCTGCTTTAAAAAGTATGAGGAAATGGACATTTTAAAATAACATATAATTTTAGAAAAATAATTTAAGATGATAAAATAATGCTGAACAAGGCAATTGCATGAGATGGATTTAAAACGTTCTCAAAAAAATATGTCTAAGGAAGGTGCTGAGACAAGACTATGTTATTGGCAAGTATTCTATTTGATGAGTTACATTCCTTCATATCTAAATTATTATACAACATAACAAATATAGTTTCTAAGCTCCTTTTATGAATCAAGTATAGTTGTAATGCTAAAACTTGAAGATGGCACTAAGAAAGATCTATAAATCAATCTTATGAAAAAATACATGTGTGCATTTTTGCAATGAAGTGTTTAATACAAGATCAGGCAATAAAATTGATCCCAGTAATTCAAAGATGATTTATCCTAAAGTAATCTATCCATATATTCTGTCACATTAAGATGTACAATGAAGAAAACCACATATTTTCTTGATATTCTTCAACAAAAATTTAACTGAGTCCAGCATTACTTTTTCATGTCCCTCATCTAAAATATTTAATCATGCAAAATGAAAATAGTTTCATTAATGGCAAGATGAAGACAATAATATTCCTTATCATCAGTATCACACAATTATTTTTGGGAAGTTCTAGTCAGTCAGATAAAATAAAATAAATGAGATACATGAAACTATTATGAAAAAATTAGAATAATCATTTGATAATGTGATTATCTACTGAGATCCCAAAAAAGTTTTAAAAACTATAAAAATAAATATAACAGTGGCCTGGCCTATTACAAAATCCCTATAAAATTCAGCAGCATTTCTTTATGCTATCATTAACCATTTGGAAAACATGATTTAAAAAGACTTGATTACAATAGCAATGTAAATGACAAAACACTGACAAATGAAACTAAAAATAAATGTGCTAGGTGTATTTATAATTAAAACCACAAAACTTTAATAAAGTATATGAGAATATAAAATATGTAGACTTTCCACATATCAGTTTAACAGTGTTTAAACAAAATCTACAAAAGATTGTCTTTAAACTTAACAAAATGGATTTTTAAAAATATGTAATGAAGAAGGCATCTATACTAAATTGTTGCTTTAATCAAATAAAAACGTGTTCATCAAAAATATTACAAACAAAATCAAATTTCAAATAATGAAAACACATAATGGAGAATTTTAAACACATATAATGGAGAATATATTAAACACATAATTTTAAACATACAAAGGAGAATATATTAATGTCTTTCATATATAAAGAATGATTAAAATTCAACAGAAAATGAGCAAAGAGTAATCTGTTTGAAAATACACACATTCAGTAAAAACATTGAATATATTTAGAGTTGGTAGTAACCTAAGACATGCATATTAAAGAGTGCAGAGGTTCCAGTTTTGCTCACTCGTTTTCAACTTATTTTATTAATAGGTAGTAGCAGTGAAGAA
Source organism: Homo sapiens (assembly GCF_000001405.40). Taxonomy (NCBI): domain Eukaryota; kingdom Metazoa; phylum Chordata; class Mammalia; order Primates; family Hominidae; genus Homo; species Homo sapiens. The sequence goes on along the minus strand of NC_000008.11, from coordinate 88,917,699 downwards.
ATGATAAATTTTTGAGGTAGTCTTTAGAAATAGAGATTTTCAAGGCTTTGATTAAGCAAGGGTGTCTTTTATCTCTCAAGATTTTGTTTCTTAATGCTTACTCTGATAGTTATTACTGGTTCAGAGCAAAAACAAATAGTATTCTTTGGCCTTAGCTTCCTCCACCATACAATTTAGATAATACATAAATCATAGAACTTAAAGTACTAAAAAAGTCAAATATAATTGCCTAGCAATCTGACTGTCACTTACAAAATAAGTGCTTAATTCATTGCTGGTATCATTGTGATTTTTATTATCACTTTAGTTTGTTTTTATAATTTATTAAAAGACCTTTGAGTTAAGCTTTGGTTAGTCTGAACAGCTCCCCTAAATTTTGATCAAATTTCTTTTTAGTTGTTTTTATTTTAGTTTACATCTGAAATCACGTCTTGGGCCAAACAAGAGTCTGCTTAGAGGGTACCTGCTCTGAGTGTGACCCAAGATCTTCATTTGCAAATATTTTGTTGAAGATGTGTTCAATAAATACAAATCTATTTAGTTTTGCTAGTCTGATATATGAAAGTTTTTCATATCCATAGATAAGATTATTAATGTATATATCTAGTTAGATTATTAATAAAACTAAATCATATTTAACTTTTTAATGAACTGGCATGCACTCTAAAAAGTCACATGAATGCATCTTCTTAATTTTAATTTTAAATCATGCACGCTTTGCTGAGAACAATACACAAATCTCTCATAGGTACATGTAGGCTGTTTGCTGACTTTAGCTTTGACTACATTTGTTTTCTCTTACCTTCCACTCTGCAATATTTATAAATGGAGCCAACTCTTACCAGAGTTTTGAAATAGAGATAACTTTTCATCTTTACTCATGTTCCTCTTCCTTCAATTACATCTCCCGTCACTTCTTGCTGACCTCTGATTATCCTCTTTCTGGTTTCTCTCCTCATAGCCTCATGCCATTCCACTGTGTCTTAACTAGGCCTGCAATCACTGGAGAAGCCCTATGTTCTGTAATTTAAAAAAAAAAAAAAACCCTCCTTGCTAGTACTTATGTGTACAGCATTCCCTTTCTTTAGGTTCCTGCTAAATTCCTGAAGTTAATCTGAGCAACTAAATCATTAGTTGACCTTCACAAACATTAATGGACTTGTCTGTTACTCCATCCTGACAACATCCTGTTTCCAATATAGTTTTTAATAAATAATGTGGCATTTCAGCCACAGGTTGAGCATCAGTGAGGATCAGTTGGATCAAAGGGTTTTCCTCCACATTTTAAGTGACAAGGCATAGGTGAATGTTTGCTCTATGTTTTAGTTTTCTTTTCTTTTTTTTTTTCTTTTTATTTGAGATGGAGTCTTGCTCTGTTGTCTTGGCTGGAGTGCAGTGGTGCAATCTCGGCTCACTGCAACCTCAGCCTCCTGAGTTCAAGCGATTCTTTTCCCTCAGCCTGCCAAGTAGCTGGGACTACAGGCATGCACCACCATGCCTGGCTAATTTTTGTATTTTTAGTAAAGACAGGGTTTCACCATATTGGCCAAGGTTGTCTGGAACTCCTGAGCTCAAGTGATCTGCCTGCCTCGGCCTCCCAAAATACTGAGATTACAAGTATGAGCCACTACCCCAGCCACAACATTTTAGTTTTTTATTGCTCCCATAACAATTCATCACAAACGTAGCAGCTTAAAACAACATAAATGTATTGTTTCATTGTTCTATAGGTCAGGGGTCTTAGTAGGTTCAGTTGGTTTCTTTTCCCTGATTCTCACAAAGCTAAAGTCAAAATGTCAGATAGCTGGCTCTTATGTGAAGGTTCTGGGGGAGAATTCATTTCCAGGGCTGTTATGGCTGTTGGCAGAATTTAGCATGTTGATGTAGGACTAAGGTCCCATTTCCTTGCTGGTTGTCACTTAGGGATCTGTCACTCAGCTTCTAGACACCACCCGCATTCTCTTGCCTATGGCCTCCTTCATCTCCAAAGCTAGCAATGATGCATCAAGTCCTCCTCATGTGCTGAATCTCTCTGACCTCTCTTTCTAGCCTATCTCTCCACAATTTCTCTTTGCCATTCCCTCTCTTTCTCTTTTTTTATTTCTCTCTCTCTCCAGCTGAAGAAAGTGCATTTAAAGGTTCTTGTGATTAGAATGCGCTCAACAGAATAAGCACGGATAATCTCTCTGTCTTAAGATAAGTCACCTTAATTATCTCTGCAAAGTGCCTTTTGCTTTGTACGGTAACATATTCACAGGCTCCAGAGAATAAGACATGGCTATTTTTGGGGGCCTATTATTTGGCCTGCCTATACTCCACATACTTAGTGATCTGGTTATCTAGATTATAGAGCTGGGGCCCTAGAATTTGAAAAATTTGGCTTTTAGGCAATTTCAAACATGAGACGGCTAAATTATTTTGTATAACCTCATGTAACAACAACAGGAGGGCACCAGCATTTTCCTTGAGGCACAGAAAGTAAAATTTGTGTAAGGCAAGGGATAAATTTTTGGTGGAGGGTGAGGTGAGGGAAAGTCTTGTTTTTATATTTTTATTTACTTTCTTAATTAGGGAAGGGCTACTACAACAAATTATCACACACTGGGTAACTTATGTAACAAACATTTATTTCTTGCAGTTCTGATGACTGAAGTCCAAGATCAAGATGCTAACAGGTCCAGTGTCTGGTGAGGGCCCTCTTCCTGGCTTGCTTCCTTCCTACTGTGTCCTCACATGGTGAAGAGCACAGACAGAGGAAGCAAGCTGGCTTGTCTCTTTTTATAAGGACACTGATCCCACCCTCATGACCTAAATACTTCTCAAAGGCCCTACCTTCTAATATAACCACATTGGGTATTAAGATGTCAACATATGAATTTTGGGGGCATACAATAATTCAGTCCATTCTTTCACACTGACAAAAGAATGGCAGATCAATGCCTCAGGTTATGTGGACTTTGGCCTTCATGACCTTCAGACTTGCCCATGATAGCTGTAGAATTGAACTCATTTCACATTCAGAGGTTTTCAGGGTAGCAATAAAGGAGAACTTATATAAAGGATTTTTATTTCTACTGGGACCTCTTTCCTCAGCATGTTCTTCGGAGTCCCAACAGTCCATGGACCCTCAAGTCGTCGCATCCACAATGATAAGGTTATGCAAGGGGTGTTCTTGAAGGTGAGCAAAACCATCAAACATCCATAGGGAACTGATGTCTTTTGCCACTCATCCAGTTCTTCCCTCTGCTTCCCCGTTTATTCATTTCTTTATTCTTTCATTCCACCATAATCTGAGAAGCCTCCACTATGTGTCAGTGACTACACTGATGTACAGGCTACATTTCTAAAAGGAGTCAGACAATTTTTCATCTTTGAGAAGCCTTTTTTTAATTTTGGAGACAGTTAAGAGACAAAGAAAAGTAGATACATAAAAAAGTATTTCTGATTTTGAGTGTTTTATATATTATTAATACATTGACAGAGTAATGTCATAGAGAAAGCAACAGATATAGAGGGTGGTTGTAACTTTAAATGAATGTTGGAGAAGATTTCTCTGAAGGATAAAAAATTCTAAAAGCATATAGCAAAAATAACTCCTGCTTCTAGATGTCTTAAAAATTTAACTTTTCATAGAACTAAAATTATTTAAATATCAAACTATGTGATGCAGTAAGTGTCTTCTTAGACATGGTGGAGTTGCTGTAATTCAAACTGGTGAGAAAGTAAATATTTTTATTGCTTGTTTTCACTTAAGTGTCTGGAGAGAAGAAAAGACTGACATTTTTAACTTCTTCCAGCTCCTTAGAGTAAAAGGTTGAAACATAAAGTATTCGGTGATTCTGTTTTAGAAAAGCATTAAGGAGCCTTTGGATATTCAAAGATACAGAGGAGAGATAAATTCCGTAGCATATTGAAGGAGTATGGAAGAGTCCAGGAGTCTAAGATGGAGAGGAGAGGAGGTGGGTTTATAACTTTATATAGAAAAGAAACTGAGCCACATACGAATATACAACCCCTGCATTTCACAGCTATTAATTCAAAATAGATATTGGAAAAAATGAAGGAAAATAAATAGGGGTCCCTCCACAGGTTGCTACAGTGTGGAAACACAATGGAACAGTGATAGATGATGAGATTATAAAGAAACTGATAGGACAGAGGCTTGTGAAGGCACAGGAGGAAAGTTGTAAGCTACCCTTTTCCCTCTGAATTGCCATAGACTACAGAATTCCAGGCTCCAAGTGTCCATGGGATGGTGTTTAAACAAATTTATTTTAAATTTCAGAGGACAGATTACATTAGTTGACATCAGCATTACACTCACCTGGTCATTCTGTCTCTTTAAAACAGTACTGTGAAGTTGATTGGAAATTTCATCTTCTCCCTATTTGAGGTAAGAGGAAAGTTAAAGATAACATAGAGTTTACTTTTTCATAAGGACAAACTGTATGTGCTAGATTTTCATTGTTTTGTTTTGAGCTTCTTGCTTTTCTTCTCCCCTCCTTTCTTCTCTTCCAGTTCGCTTCCTCTTCCTCCTGCTTGTCTGTTTCCATTTCATTTTAGGGTGTTGGCATTCTCGGTGATACTTGCTCATGCTCTTGCACAATATTTGGAAGACAGAAAGGGGGCAGCAGGTGTTATTTTTTCTTCAGCAGTGGCATCAGACATTTGAACTTTAATAAGTATGATTTTCTTCCTGCCAATCATCTGCCTTTTTACTGCAGGGCAGCTGTGGCAATTGGCCATGGTTCCATTTCCTGATTTATAAGTAACCGTAGCAATTTCTTGATTCTCTAGATCACACCTAAGTTGGTGGTTTTGAAAACCATAGGTAATCTCTCTTGACTTTCACTTCTCCAGTCATTTAGAGATTTTACAAACAATGAATTTCTAATATTAAATTCCTTTCAACTTTCTATACTAGTTTCTTTTTTCCTGACTGAAAATGACTAATAGTTATTTTTCAAACGTTCTTTTAGTACTCTTCTAAAACTCATATTATTAAAGGGTTGATTGCCTTGGCATGGAGGCTTAGAGAATATCATCCTCCTTTATAGCTTCCAAAAGTCTATAAGAAACTTGAGTGCCAATTAAATCAGTTTCCATAAAGCTATTGGAGTATGGTCTGATTCATACACCAAACCTGGAGTACCTCAAGACACGCATTCTCAACAGGACATTGCCCTCCCCACCCCCAACTAAGGGGTGAAAACTGTCCTTGAACATGTAAAAAAAATTAACTACGTATTATGTATAAAACACAGATATATCTGCAATACTAAACAGATATATCTGCAATACTAAACAGATATACAGTAACCTATGATACTAAAATTTCATGGGCTGGTGGTAATTAGAAAGATAATGTTTCAAAAGGCTCTTTAGCTGGGTAATAACAGAAGAAAAAAGAAAACTGGTTCAAGAGAATTAGAGACTAGTTTCATTCTAAGAAGACACTGGGATTTTACTTCCATTCTACCTCAGAATTTCCGATGCATCATTGTATACACTATGGGTGCTCCAGCATCATCCAAAAAGATTCTGCAGGCTATTCTAGACCATTGATTTTCAAACCTGGCAATGTAAATCCTGAGAGTTTAGAAATTTTTTGCCTTACAATGGTGCATAGGTGGTTCAATAATCAGCCAGCTCTGATGAAATTACTGCTCTGCTCTAACTGTAATAAGCCGTAGCTTTTAGAAGGCCAGTTCTCCATAGCTCTATGGATCTAGAAAAAATGAAGACAGTGAGCCCGACTATTCTTTTTGGTGAGTGCATGTATCTAATACATCCTTTTTCATGCTCCAGAAATAATGGCTTTTTTTCCCCTTGTAATTTCTTCAGTTAATCCCACATTTACTTAATATTATTTGGTCCTTTGCTCTGAATACCTTTTTCATTATGAATAACTAATCAAAGCTGTATATAATTTCCAGAATATCCCATTTTTATTGACTCATCATTCCTTACCCTTCTCTTTCCTCACAGACCTACATCATATTTAAGAAGACAACGTATGCTTGTTAGAAAATTAGATGTAGACAATTAAATCCCACCAAGAGTCCTTAAACAAGGATATGTCAGTCCCTAAGAGAACTGTGGCACTCCTAGAGTAAAGCTTTTGTTAATGACTGTAAATACCATACATTTAAAAATGAGTAATGTTTCTCATTGAGAAATTTTACTAAACAGGAGTTGCTTTATTGATTTTTCACTCTTCTATGGCAGTACACCCTGAATATGGAAATATTTTTACTCTGAGAAGATGAATCATTTTTGGTTTATAAGAGTGCTGTCAGAAAGAGTAAAAAGAAATCAATAGACTTGAAGTTACAACCAAAGTTGTTTAAGCAACTTGAGCTACAAATAGGAATTAAATGAATAATATGACTTATGCAGTATGCATTTTTCAAGTAAATTAATGAGGAGTAGTTGATCCTATTTTAAAGAATACACAAAAAACTAAAACCAAAATGAAATCTTTACTATGAGAAGGAACAAAGTTCTTATTGACTTATCCAGGCAGATTTTTGCTAAATATTTGTGTGTCTAAATATCAAGTGTGCATATATTGTACTATTTTTTAAATTCCTATTTCACATTGTAATTAGAATTATTAACCATCAAATCTAGAAGGAATCCTATGGAACATTTTATCCAATGGTATCTTGCTGATGGAAAACTATTTTCCAAAAGATTAAAAGGAAAAGTAGAATCTAGGCATTCCTAATCATCTTTCCCTGCTCTTTCTGTTTCAGAATCTTGAGCTATTTGATGTCAAACATGTCTTTATACTACATTCAATGCTTTTTACCTTATATTTTTCTACATCCTCCAGCACAGTGCTTCACAGTACAGACATGGCCAGTACTTGACTTGTAATGGCTGCCCAGAGTGTTGTGCTGAGGAAGGTGTCAGTTGGATAGATCTTCAAGTGACTGGCACTCTCTGATTGGTCGTTTCCCTTCACTCGTGGCCAGTACAGACAGCACAGTCCAATCATGTATCTAAAATATCCTCCCTAGTCCATTCCCTCAATCACAGTCTATTCCCTTTCCTTGCTTAATTGTCTTCCCAGCATTTCACATTATGTGAAATTATCTTTCTTGTATATTGCCTTCTCCTACAAGAATGTAAACTCCAAGAAGGCAGGGATTTTGTTTATCTTGCTCACTGTTGTGCTGTAGACTTATTAGAGTGTTGGCATATGGGAAACAATAAGCATTTGTGTAATAATTTTTAAAATACTGTACTGTATTGCACATGCTGTATATATGTTCCTAAATTCTTATTCCCAACTCAGCTTTTGTTAATTTAATATCATTTAAACTTTCACTGGAAGTTCAATATTTTAGAATTATTGTTGCAAAAATGTTCTTTATCACAGGATATATTTTGGCAGTCATATTTATATACATATATAAAACATCTAGGGTAGGTTAGGTTTTCCAAAAGCAGGATCTATCTGTATACATGTATACACACATGTGTACTTGGATAGGACTTATCTAAAATGGTACAGGAACCATTATTCTTGGTTCATGTATCATTGTGAAGGGGGTAAAAATTGGCCAAGAGGATTTATTGGATAGACTTTAGCCCTTTTTTTTCCAAAGTCCTTGTAAGCAGAGTCTGAGCTCCTATTCTGATAAAAAAAAAAAAAAAAGAAAGAAAATTCCATCATAAGCACCATCACTTTCTACTGAATTACATAACGAAGTAATAAAAGCCAGTTACCATAAGCCAAATGTGACCATAGTATATTCAGTTTGAAACTATTTTAGATAAAAATTTTAGATAAAAATCTATAGCAAAATTTAGTCTTTTTATAGCTGAGTTCCACTCCTTTCTACTACAAAACACATTATTTTAGAGGCTGTAATTAATCATCACTTTATTCTATATTCATTATCTAAACATTTAATATACTAACAATTCCAGACACTATGCTAGACTCCCAGGATAAAAGGATAATGTCCTTCCTTCAAGAAGTTAACACCCTAATCATTAAAAATAGGACTCTATATCAGATCATGGAAGACTAGAATTCTTCTTCTGGCTTTCCAATTATAACTTTGTACAATTAAGGAAAAATTATTGATATTAATCCATTTAAAAAAATTAATTGGCCGGGTGCAGTGGCTCATGCCTGTAATCCTAGCACTTTGAGAGGCCAAGGTGGGTGAATCACAAGGTCAGGAGTTCTAGACCAGCCTGGCCAACAAGGTGAAACCCCGTCTCTACTAAAAATACAAAAATTAGCTGGGTGTAGTAGCAGGTGCCTGTAATCCCAGCTACTCGGGAGGCTGAGGCAGGAGAATTGCTTGAACTATGGAGGCGGAGGTTGCAGTGAGCCGAGATGGTGCCACTGTGCTCCAGCCTGGGTGACAGGGTGAGACTCCATCCCAAAATAAAAAAATTAATTGATGCATGATAATTGTATATATTTATGGATTACAATGTGACATTTTAATATATTTATACATTGTGAAATTATAAACTCAGAGTAATTAACACATTCGTCACCTCAAATGTTTATTATTTCTTTTCAGTGAGAATATTTAACACCCTCTCCTTTAGCTACTGTAAAATATGTAATACATTATTATGAACTCTAGTCACCTTGCTGTGTAATACAACGTAAGAACATCCCCCTATCTAACTGTAACTTTGTATCCTACTCATTGACCAAGGTCTTCCCCTTTCCACCTCTTCACCTTCCTATTTCCAGTCTCTGGCAACCACCATTCTACTCTCTACTTCTATGAGTTTGACCTTTTTAGATCTCACAAGTAAGTGAGATCATATTGTATTTTTCTCTCTGTGCCTGGCTTAATATACTTAACATAATGTCATCTAGGTTCATTCATGTAGTTCCAAATGACAAATTTCCTTTATATTAGAGGTGAATAACATTCCATTGTGTATATATACCACATTTTAAAAAAGCCATTTATCTGTTGATGAACACTTTCCATATCTTGGCTACTGTAAATAATGCTACAGTGAACATGGCAATGCAGACATCTTTCTGGCATACTGATTTCAATTACTTTGGGCATATACCCAGTAGTGGGATTATTTGGTCATATGGTAATTCTGTTTTTGGATTTTTAAGGCATTTCCATACAGTTTTCCAAAATAGCAATGTGAATTTACTATACCAGATACAATGTATAAGATTTTTGTTTTCTCCACATTTTCACCAATACTTTTCATTTTTTGAGAATAGCCAATCTAACAGGTGTGAAATGATATTTCATTGTGATTTAAATATGCATTTCTCTGATGATTAGAGATGTTGAGCATTTTGTTCATATATCGCTTGGTCATTTATATGTCTTCTTTTGAGAAATGTATATTCAAGCCCAAGGCCCTTATCTTAAAGGGATTGTTTTCTCATTATTGATAGTTTGAATTTCTTACATATTTTGGATATTAGCCTTTTATATGATGCATGATTTGCAACTATATTCTCCCAATCCATGAGTTGTCTCTTCATCCTATTAGTTGTTTCTTTTTGTTGTTCAGAATCTTTTAATTTTTATGAAATCCATGTGTCTATTTTTGTTTTGTTGCTTATGCTTTTGGGTTATATTTAAAATTTTTTTGCCCAGACCAATGTCATAGGGCATTCTTCTATGTTTTCTTTTAGTAGTTTTATAGTTTGAGGTTTTATGTTTAAGTCTTTACTCCATTTTGAGTTAATTCTTATACAAGGAGTGAGATAAGAATCCATTTTCATTTTTCTGTGTTTGAATACTAGTTTTTCCAACACTATTATTGAAGAGACTGTCCTTTACTCATTATGTGTTCTTAGCACCTTTGTCAAAAATCAATTGACCACGTATGTGTGGGTTTATTTCTGGACTGTCTTAGTCCGTTGGTCGATATGTCTGTTTTTGTCAGTACCATGCTGTTTTGACTACTATAGCTTTGCAATATATTTTAAAATCTGGTAATGTAATGTATCTAGCTTTGTTCTTTTTGATCAAGTTGCTTTCACTATTTTGTGCATATGAATTTTAGGATTGCTAACTCTATTTTTGTAAGAAATGCTACTGAAAATTCAATAGGGATGCCATTAAATTTGTATATTACTTTGGGTAGTATGTACATTTTTTAAATTTTTCGCTCCATGAACTCAGGATATCTTTCCATTTATTTGTATCATCCTCAGTCTCTTTCATCAATGTTTTACAGTTTTCAGTATACAGGTTGTTTACATCTTTGGTTAAATTTATTCCTAAGTATTTTTTTTTGATGCTTTGTAAGTAAGATGGTTTTTTAAATCCCTTTTCCAGACAGTTTGTTGTTATTTTATAGAAATGCTACTGATTTTTGTAAGTTGATTTTGTATCCTGCAACTGTATTGAACTAATGTATCAGTTCTAGCAGTGTTTTGATGAAGACTTTAGAATTTTCCGTATAATCTCTAACTGAGACAATTTCAGTTAACAGAAATAATTTTCCTTTGTTATTTCTGATTTGGATGGCTTTTAGTTCTATCTCTTGACTCTGCTCTGGCTAGGGCTTCCTGTCCTATGTTGAACAGAAGTGGTGTGAGTGGACATCTTTATCCTGCTGGTATTTTAGAAGAAACACTTTCTGCTTTTCACCATTAGATGTGATGTTACCTGTAGGCTTCTCATATATGACCCTTGTTGTGTTGAGAAACATCTCTTCTATACCTAATTTGTGGAAAGTTTTTAAATCATGAAACCATGTTGAATTTTTTTCAAATGCTTTTTCTACATCTATTGCGATGATCACATGGTTTTTGTACTTCATTCTGTTAATATGTTGAATCACATTTATTGATTTGTGTATGTTGAGCCAACCTTGCTTGGCAGGGATAAATCCCACTTGATCATGGTGAATGATTTTTTAATGTACTATTAAAAGTGTTTTGATAGCATTTGTGGAGAATTTCTACATCTATGTTAATTAGTTATATTGACCTGTAGTTTTCTTGTAGTGTCTTTGATTGGCTTTGGTATCAGGGTGATATTGGCCTTGTAAAATTAGGAAGTATTCCCTCCTCTTGAACATTTCAGAAGACATTTTAACATTGAGTTAGATCAGTATTAGTTATTTTTAAATGTTTGGTAGATGTCAACCATAAAGCCATCTGATCCTTGACTTTTGATAGCAGATATTTAATTATTGATTCAGTCTCCTTATTTGTTATTGTTCTGTTCAGATTTCCAATTTCTTTTTGTTTTAGTCTTAGTAGGCTATATGTTTCTAGAAATGTATTCATTTGTTCTAAGTTGTCAAATTTGTTGGTATATAATTCTTGATTTAAATTTTTAAATAAATTTGGTGGGTACATATTAAGTGTATATAATTGTGGGGTACCTGAGATGTCTTGATATAAGCATGCAACTGAAATAAGCACATCATAGAGAATGGGGTATTCATTCCCTCAAGTGTTTATCCTTTGTTCTACAAACAATTCAAATGCACTCTTTTAGTTATTTTTAAAGGTGCAATTAAAAGTTATTATTGACTATAGTAACCATGTTGTATGATCACACAGTATGTCTTATTCATTATTTCCAATTTTTTTCACCAATTAATAATCCCCACCTCCCCCCCAGTCTACCACTATCCTTCCCAGTATCTGGTTGTCATCCTTGTACTCTCTGTATCCCAAATTCAATTGTTTTGATTTTGAGATCCCACAAATACGTGAGAACATGTGATCTTTGTCTTTCTGTGCTTGGTTTATTTCACTTCACGTAATAATCTCCAGTTTTATCCATGTTGTTGCAGATGAGAGGATCTCATTTTTTATGATTAAATAGTACTCCATTGTGTATATGCACCATATTTTTGTTATCTGTTCATCTATTGATTCACACCTAGGTTGCTTCCAAATCGTGGCTTTTGTTAATATTGCTGCAACAAACATGAGAATACAGGCATCTCCTGGATATACTTATTTCCCTTCTTTTGGGTGAATACCCAGCAGTGAGATTACTGGATCATATAGTAGCTCAATTTTTAGTTTTCTGATAAATGTCTAAACTTTTCTCCACAGTGGTTGTACTAATTTACATTCCCACTAACAGTATATGGGGGTTCTCTTCCTCCACACCCTCGACAGTATTTGTTACTGCCTGTCTTTTGGATTAAAGCCATTTTAACTGGGGTAAGATGATAATTCATTGTAGTTTTGATTTGAATTTCTCTGATAATCAATGATGTTGAACACCTTTTCATATGCCTGTCTCAAAGACATGTCTTTGATAAATATCTATTCAGATCTTTATTCCATTTTTTGATTGGATTATTAAATTTTTTTCCTTCAGAGTTTTTTGAGCCCTTTATATGCTCTGGTTATTAATCTCTTGTCAGATGGGTGTTTTGCAAATATTTTACCCCATTCTGTGGGTTGTCTCTTCACTTTGTTGATTGTTTCCTTTGCTGTGCAGAGGCTTTATAATTTAATGTAATCCCATTTGTCCATTTTGGCTTTGGTTGCCTGTGCTTGTGGAGTAATGAAAAAGAAATTTTTGTCCAGACCAATGTCCTGGAGATTTTCCCTAATGTTTTATTATCACAGTTTTACAGTTTGAGGTCTTAGATTTAGGCCTTTATTTTGATTTGATTTTTGTATATGGTGAAAGATAGGGCTCTAGTATCATAATTCTCCATATGGATATCCAGTTTACCCAGCACCATTTATTGAAGAGACTGTCTTTTCCCTAGTGTATGTTGTTGGAAACGTTGTCAAAATTGAGTTCACTGTAAATGTGTGGATTTGTTTTTGGGTTTTCTATTTTGTTCCATTGGCCTATGTGTCTGTTTTTATGCCAGTACCATGCTATTTTGGTTACTATAGCTCTTTAGTATAATTTGAAGTCAGACAATGTGATTCCTCCAGTTTTTTTCTTTCTACTTAGTGTAGCTTTGGCTATTCTGGACCTTTTATAGTACCATATTAATTTTACATTTTTTTTCTATTCTTGTGAAGAATATCATAGGCATTTAAGTATGGATTGCATTTAATTTGTAGTGTGCTTTTGTTATTATGGGCATTTTAACAATATTGATTCTTCCAATCAATGAACAAAATATTTTCCATTTGTTGGTGTCATCTTCAATTTCTTTCATCAGTTTTTTATAGTTTTCATTATGGTAATCTTTTACTTATTTGGTTAAGTTAATTACTAGATATTTAATTTTATCTGTGATTGTTATAAATGGGATTTTTTTAAATTTCTGTTTCAGATTGCTCACTGTGGCCATATAGAAATACTACTTATTTTTGTATATTGATATTGTATTCTGCAGACTTACTAAATTTTTTATCAGTTCTAATAGTTTTTTGGCAGAATCTTTAGGTTTTTCCAAATGTAAGATCATGTGATCTGAAAACAAGGATAATTTGATTTTTTTCCATTTCAGTTTGGATGCCCTCTATATCTTTCTCTAGTAGGACCTCCAATACTATTTTGAATAACAGTGGTAAAAGTGGGCATCCTTGGCATGTTCCAGAGTGGCTTTCAATTATTCCTCATTCAGTATGATACTAGCTGTGGATCTATCATATATGGTTTTTATTATATTGAGGTATATTCTTTCTATACTCAGTTTTTGAAGGTTTTTATAAGGAAGAGATGCTGAATTTTATTAAATGCATCTTGAAATCATCATATAGTTTTTATCCTTCATTCTGTTGATATGATATATCACATTGATTGATTTGCATATGTTGAACCATCCATGCATCCCAGGAATAAATCCCACTTGACTATGATGAATGATCTTTCTAATGTTTTGTTGAATTTGGATTGCTAGTACTGTGTTGAGGATTTTTTAAATCAATATTCATCAGAGACATTGGCCTGCAGTTTCCTTTTTTTTAAATTTTTGATGTGTTTTTGTCTGATTTTTGTATCACAGTACTACTGGTCTTGTAGAATGAATCTGGAAGCATTCTCTCCTCCTCTGTTTTTCAGAATATTTTAAGTGTGATTGGTATGAGTTCTTTAAATGTTTGGTAGAATTCAGCCATAAAGCCATCAGGTTGTGGGCTTTTCTTTACTGGGACACTTTTTATTATGACTTTAATCTCATTACTTGTTATTGGTCTGTTTAGGTTTTGAATTCGTTCCTTATTCAATTGTGGTAGATTGTTTGTGTCTATGAATTTATCCATTTCATCAAGATTTTCCAATTTATTGGCACATAGTTTTCTCATAGCAGCCCTTAATGATCCTTGAAATTTCTGCAGTATCAGTTGTAATGTCTCCCTTTTCATTTCTGATTTTATATATTTGTAACTTCTCTCTTTTTTTCTTAGTCTGACTAAAGGATTTTCAATTTTGTTTAACTTTTTAAAAACCAAATTTTGTTTTACTGATCTTTTGTATTGTTTTCTTCATTTCAAATTTATTTATTTCTCCTCTAATCTCATTTCTTTTCTTCTACTAATTTCAGTTTGGTCTGCTCCTGCTTTTCTAGTTCTTTAAGCAATGTTAGATTGCTTATTTGAAGTTTTTCTCTTTTTTTGATGTAGGCACTGATAGCTATAAACTTTCCTCTAAGTACTGCTTTTCCTGTATCCCACGGGTGTTGGTATGTTTTGTTTCCATTATTAATTGTTTTAAAATTTTTTCAATTTCTTTCTTCTTTTTTTATTATTATTATACTTTAAGTTTGAGGGTACGTGTGCACAACGTGCAGGTTTGTTACATAGGTATACATTTGCCATGTTGGTTTGCTGCACCCATTAACTTGTCATTTACATTAGGTATTTCTCCTAATGCTATCCGTCCTCCAGCCCCCTGCCCAACAACAGGCCCCAGTGTGTAATGTTCCCCTCCCTGTGTCCATGTGTTCTCATTGTTCAACTCCTACTTATGAGTGAGAACATGCAGTGTTTGGTTTTCTGTCCTTGTGACATTTTGCTGAGAATGATGGTTTCCAGCTTCATCCATGTCCCTGCAAAGGACATGAACTCATCCTTTTATATGGCTGCATAGTATTCCGTGGTGTATATGTGCCACATTTTCTTTATCCAGTCTATTATTGATTGACATTTGGGTTGGTTCCAAGTCTTTGCTATTGAGAATAGTGCCACAATAAATATGCATGTGCATGTGTCTTTATAACAGCATGATTTATAATCCTTTGGGTATATACCTAGTAATGAGATTGCTGGGTCAAATTTCTAGTTCTAGATCCTTGAGGAATTGCCACACTGTCTTCCACAATGGTTGAACTAATTTACACTCCCACAAAGAGTGTAAAAGTGTTCCTATTTCTCCACATTCTTTCCAGAATCTGTTGTTTCCTGACGTTTTAATGACCACCATTCTAATAGGCGTGAGATGGTATCTCATTGTGGTTTTGATTTGTATTTCTATGATGACCAGTGATGATGAAAATTTTTTCATATGTCTATTGGCTGCATAAATGTCTTTTTTGAGAAGTGCCTGTTCATATCCTTTGTCCACTTTTTGATGGGGTTGTTTGATTTTTCTTGTAAATTTGTTGAAGTTCTTTGTAGATTCTGGATATTAGTCCTTTGTCAGAGGATAGGTTGCAAAAATGTTCTCCCATTCTGTAGGTTGCCTGTTTACTCTGATGATGGTTTCTTTTGCTTTGTAGAAGCTCTTTAGTTTAATTACATCCCATTTTTCAATTTTGGCTTTTGTTGCCATTGTTTTTGGTGTTTTAGTCATTAAGTCTTTGCCCATGCCTATGTCCTGAATGGTATTGCGTAGGTTTTCTTCTAGGGTTTTTATGGTTTTAGGTCTTACAGTTAACTCTTTAATCCATCTTGAGTTAATTTTTGTATAAGTTGTAAGGAAGGGATCCAGTTTCAGCTTTCTACTTATGGCTAGCCTGTTTTCCAAGCACCATTTATTAAATAGGGAATCCTTTCCCATTGCTTATTTTTGTCAGGTTTGTCAAATATCAGATGCTTGTAGATGTGTAGTATTATTTCTGAGGCCTCTGTTCTGTTCCATTAGTCTATATATAGTATATATACTATATACCCAGTACCATACTGTTTGGGTTACTGTAAACTTGTAGTATAATTTGAAGTCAGGTAGTGTGATGCCTCCAGCTTTGTTCTTGTTGCTTAGGATTGTGCAGGCTCTTTTTTGGTTCCATATGAAAATTAAAGTGGTTTTTTCCAATTCTGAGGAGAAAGTCAGTCGTAGCTTGATGGGGATAGCATTGAATCTATAAATTACTTTGGGCAGTATGGCCATTTTCACGATATTGATTCTTCCTATCCATGAGTATGGAATGTTCTTCCATTTGTTTGTGTCCTCTTTTATTTCATTGAGCAATGGTTTATAGTTCTCCTTGAAGAGGTCTTTCACATCCCTTGTAAGTTGGATTCCTAGGTATTTTATTCTCTGTAGTAATTGTGAATGGGAGTTCACTCATGATTTGGCTCTCTGTTTGTTTGCTGTTGGTATATTGGAATCCTTGTCATTTTTGCACATTGATTTTTTATCCTGAGACTTTGCTGAAGTTGCTTATCAGCTTAACAAGATTTTGGGCTGAGATGATGGGGTTTTCTAAATATAAAATCATGTCATCTGAAAACAGAGACAAATTGACTCCCTGTTTTCCTAATTGAATACCCTTTATTACTTTCTCTTGACTGATTGCCCTGGCCAGAACTTCCAATACTATTGAATAGGAGTTGTGAGAGGGGGTATCCTTGTCTTGTGCCGGTTTTGAAAGGGAATCTTTCCAGTTTTTGTTCATTCAGATATTGGCTATGGGTTTGTCATAAATAGCTCTTATTTTGAGATACATTCCATCAATACCTAATTTATTGAGAGTTTTTAGCATGAAGGGCTGTTGAATTTTGTCAAAGGCCTTTTCTGCATCTATTGAGATGATCATGTGGTTTTTGTTGTTGGTTCTGTTTATGTGATGGATTACATTTATGGATTTGCGTATGTTGAACCAGCCTTGCATCCCAGGGATGAAGCCGACTTGATCATGGTGGATTAGCTTTTTGATGTGCTGCTGGATTCAGTTTGCCAGTATTTTATTGAGGATTTTTGCATCAATGTTCATCAGGGATATTGGCCTAAAATTCTCTTTTTCTTGTTGTGTCTCTGCCAGTCTTTGGTATCAGGATGATGCTGGCCTCATAAAATGAGTTAGGGAGGATTCCCTCTTTTTCTATTGATTGGAATAGTTTCAGAAGGAATGGTATCAGCTCCTCCTTGTACCTCTGGTAGAATTCATCTCTGAATCCATCTGTTCCTGGACTTTTTTTGGTTGGTAGGCTGAGAATTATTGCCTCAATTTCAGAAACTGTTACCGGTCTATTCAGAGATTCAACTACCTCCTGGTTTAGACTTGGGAGGGTGTATGTGTCCAGGAATTTATCCATTTCTTCTAGATTTTCTAGTTTCTTTGCATAGAGGTGTTTATAATATTCTCTGATCGTAGTTTTTATTTCTGTGGGATAGGTGGTGATATCCTCTTTATCATTTTTTATTGCATCTATTTGATTCTTCTCTCTTTTGTTGTTTATTAGTCTGGCTAACGGTCTATTTTGTTGGTCTTTTCAAAAAAACAGCTTTTGGATTCATTGATTTTTTGAAGGGTTTTTTGTGTCTCTGTCTCCATCAGTTCTTCTCTGATCTTAGTTATTTCTTGTCTTCTGCTAGCTTTTTAATTTGTTTGCTCTTGCTTCTCTAGTTATTTCAATTGTGATGTTAGGGTGTCGATTTTAGATCTTTCCTGCTTTCTCTTGTGGGCATTTAGTGCTATAAATTTCCCTCTACACACTGCTTTAAATGTGTCCTAGAGATTCTGGTACGTTGTGTCTTTGTTCTCATTGGTTTCAAAGAACATCTTTATTTCTGCCTTAATTGTGTTATTTCCTCAGTAGTCATTCAGGAGCAGGTTGTTCAGTTTCCATGTAGTTGCACAGTGTTGAGCGAGTTTCTTAATCCTGAGGTCTAATTGGATTGCACTGTGGTCTGAGAGATAGGTAGTTGTGATTTCTGTTCTTTTACATTTGCTGAGGTGTAGGGTCCAGCCCTACAGGACCAGTGGGTTTTTCTTTTCGTATGTGGAGATGAGTGATCATAGAAATAAAGACACAAGACAAAGAGATAGAAGAAAAGACAGCTGGGCCCGGGGGAACACTACCACCAAGACACAGAGAGCGGTAGTGGCCTCAAATGCCTGGCCATGCTACTATTTATTGTGTACAAGATGAAGAGGCAGAGTAAGGAATGTGAGTCATCTCCAATGATAGGTAAGGTTATGCGAGTCACATGTCCACTGGACAGGCAGCCCTTCCCTATTTGGTAGCTGAGGCAGAGAGAGAGAGGGGACAGCTTACATCATTATTTCTATGCACTTCTTGGAAAGATCAAAGACCTTAATACTTTCACTAATTCTGCTACTGCTATCTAGAAGGTGCAGCTAGGTGTACAGGGCGGAACATGAAAGTGGACTAGGAGCATGACCACTGAAGCACAGCTCACAGGGAGACATTTAGGCCTTAGGATGGCTGCGGGTGGGCCTGATTGATGTCAGGCCTTCCACAAGAGGTGATGGAGCAGAGTGTTCTCTAACTCCCCTGGGGAAAGGGAGACTCCCTTTCCTGGTCTGCTAAGTAACAGGTGCCTTCCCAGGCACTGGCGCTACTGCTAGACCAAAGTCAGCTAAGTAACAGGTGCCTTCCCAGGCACTGGCATTACTGCTAGACCAAGGAGCCCCCTAGTGATCCTGTCCGGGCATGACAGAGGGCTCACACTCACCTTCTGGTCACTTCTCACCATGTCCCTTCAGTTCCTAACTCTGTATAGCCTGGTTTTTCCTAGGTAATAATTATAGAACAGGTAATAATTATAGAACAGAGATTAATATAATAAAGAGTAATGCTACAAACTAATGATTAACAATATTCATATATAATCATGTCTATATTCTATTTCTGGTATAACTATTCTTATTCTAAATTTATTCTTTATCATACTGGAACAGCTTGTGCCTTCAGTCTCTTGCCTCGGCACCTGGGTGGCTTGCCACCCACACTGAGGAATGTTTTACTTCCAATTTTGGGATCACTTTTAGAATAAGTGCGATGTGGTGCTGGGAAGGATGTATATTCTGTTGATTTGGGGTGGAGGGTTCTGTAGATGTCTATTAGGTCTGCTTGGTCCAGAGCTGAGTTCAAGTCCTAGATATCCTTGTTAATTTTCTGTCTCATTGATTTGTCTAATATTGTCAGTGGGGTGTTAAAGTCTCCCACTAATATTGTGTGGGAGTCTAAGTCTCTTTGTAGGTCTCTAAGAACTAACTTTATGAATCTGGGTGCTCCTGTATTGGGTGCATATATATTTAGGTCACTGTTAGCTCTTCCTGTAATTGATCTCTTTACCATTATGTTGGTTTAAAGTCTGTTTTATCAGAGACTAGGATTGCAACCTCTGCTTTAGCATTTCTTGTAATATAGGTGACAGAGTCTCCTCACTTTTGTTTGTCTGAGAAAGTCCTTATCACTCTTTTGCTTATAAAGAAAGGATTTTGGGGTACTGTATTCTTGGTTGGCAGACTTTTTATTTGTTTTAAAATGTTGAATATTTCATTCAACTCATTCTGGCCTGTAAAGTTTTTACAGAGCAAGCCACTGATAGTCTTATGGAAGTTCCCTTGTATGTGAGGATTGTTTTTTCTTGCTGCTTTTAACACTTTCTCTTTTTCTTTAACTTTTGATAATTTAATTATAATGTCTTGGTGTAGGTCTCTTTAGATTCATCTTGTTTGACATCTTTTGGGCCTTCGATATCTGGCTTTCCTTTTACTTTCTCAGGTTTTGGATTTTTTTCTGCCATTATTTCTTTGAATATATTTTCTGTCCCTTCATCTGTCTCTTTTCCTTCTGAAAAATTTATGATGCCCTGTAAGTTTTTTAAGCTATCTTTACTAATATTCCTTCTTTTCTTCTTTGTGCTCCTTAGACTGGATGGTTTCTAGTTACCTGTGTTTGAGTTCACTAATCTTTTCTCTTGAGTGATCTAGTGTGCTTTTGAACCCTTCTATTAATTTTTTCAGTTCAGTTACAGTACTCTTCAAATCTATGATTTCTATTTATTACTTGTAAATACTTTCTATCTCTTTAAGTTTTCAGTTTGCTCTTGCATTGACCACTCTCTTGACTTTGGTGAGCATCTTTATAATGATTATTTTCAATTCCCTGCCAGGTAAATTACATATTTCCATTTCATTATGATTGGTTACTGGAGATTTATATTGTTATTTCGTTTGGATTATATTTCCCTGTTTCTCCTTGACTCTGTTTTAGTTTCTGCACATTAGATAACACAGCTACTTCTCTCAGTCTTGTCAGACTGGCTTTATGTAGGAAACAGATCTTGCCAATTCATCTAGTTCAAGACTTTAAGGTGCCTCTCAAACATATGTGTTTGTACAGATTGCTATCTCTGTTTTTGGTGGCCCTCTGGAGCTTAGAGTATGCCTGATCCTATCAGTACTCTGAGACTAAAACTAATAGGAGCCAGACTCTCTAGATGTAGTTGGAAAGTTTGGGATGTTGGCTGTGTGTTTCAGGTCTTTCTATAATCATGGTGAGGCTAAGCATGAGTCTTTTTGCTCACACTTCCTGCACGAAGCTGAGTAGAGAATTTGTGGAAAATGTCTGTTTTCACATTCAGGCTGTGCCCTCTGATCCTGGGGAGACAGCTGCTAGAAACGTCCCCATTGTACATCTATGTCTTTGTTTTCTATGGTATAGTGCCATTCAGAAATGCATAGCCCCATCTACTCATAGAGCTAGTCCATTAAAGAGAAAATTTTTTCAGTAAAAGAAGTTGTTGCACTTGCTGCATGATCAAACTTTCTAGAAAAAAGCAGGTAGGCCTAGATTTATCACTGGGGTGAGAGAGAGGGAATGCTTATGAAGTGTTGAGCTTTGACTCTAGCTACTGGTGGGCTGTGGTTTGTTTTCTCCACTAGCTTCCTGATGCAAGTTTATTAGAAGCCAGATTATCAAGTAGACACCGAACGTGAGTGTTGTAAATCCCTTCAGAGAGAAAAGGGGAGTTACACATTCCCAACCCCTTTCTGCACTGCCCCCAGAGAATATAGCCCCCGCAAGTGTTTGCACATCCATTTAAAATTACCTCTCTATTCTGTGATCTAGAGAGACTCGTGGATGCCTACTCATTTTGTTCCAGAGCTAAGAAGTTTAGGACTGAGTCCTTTGGGAGGTAGCTGTGCAATTTGGAGCAGTTGCTGCATAACATCTAACAGAAGGAACCAGGGAGCTGCATTTTCAAAGCCCCTTTTCTGTACTACTTCTGGGAAATGAAGCCCATACAAGTGCTTACACATCCATATAAACCTGACACATTTTTGTGGTCTACATATACTCACATATACTTCGTCTTTTTTTGCTTTTGAGCTAGGAGGTTTAGGATGTATTCCCTTAGGTGGGAGCTTTAAAAGTTGGGGCACTCAATGAGGAAATAAACTCCTTCCAGGAGGGATTAAGTTATATGGAATTTTTGCTAGGGTGAGCCATGAGAGCAGACTGAAAAGAACTAGTCTGCTTCTTAGGTTGTTGGTCAGGCTAATGCTTGTCTGTCTCTTTAACATCCCAATGCAAGTTAGTTAGGAGCCAGCCCAACAAGTAGCCATTGGATGAATGGGTTATTAACCACTTCCAAGTAGAAACATGGGGCTTCGTTTCTTAAACTCCTTCTCTGCTCTGCTCCTAGGGGACAAAGTCCCTAGAAGTGCTCATGCTTTCATATCAAGCTGCTACTTTTTTCCTGTGGTCTACAGAGACTCATATGTGTCTAATCTCCTCTGCTCCCAGGGTTCATTATTTAAGGGCCAAATTGTGGAGAGCCTTAGCCAAATGCTACACGTGAGGTACAAACTTTCCACAGAGAAAAGCAGAGTTTGAGGATTTCTTTCTCAGTTGTATGGTACAGTGTCCAGGGTGGGATCTATACCCTAGTGTTCCTCACCTTTTTCTACTTGTTTGGGGTGGATGCTTTCTCAGTTGCCCAATGGGTAGAAGTCTCTCAACTTGTCTATGATGTCCTCTCAGAGGGAATTGATCTAAAAGTAGATGTTTATTTAGCATATCCATGGGTGGAAGAAGAGCAAGAAAATCCACATTTGTCCATGTTGCTGATGTCACTACAATTTTTAGCTTTAATTTTGCTATTTATAAAATTGGTGATAATAATAACTGCCATATAAATTCATAGAATTGCTGTGTCCCAAAAGGTAATGATATAAAAATAATTTCTGAATAATAAAATCACTTTCTTTACAAAGAAATTTATAATTTATAAAGACATTTTCTTTTGCATAATTCCATTAATGTGTAGATTCTGATGATTAATATTATTTCTCCTTCTATCATGAGCCCTTTTGGTAACCTAGTATTGATAATAACAGAATCTCTGAAATCTGAGAATTAGAATAAATCTTGAGTTAGCCTTTTCATTTTCTCTAAGACCCACATAAAGCTTGTCTCTAAAATGTAACTTCAATCTCCATGAGATCAATCAATATTAACTTGAACACTTGTAGACTGCTGAAACTAATGACCTGTCTATATTTAAGGTTTTCTTTACGACAACTGACATCTTTCTTCCTCTAATTCACAGCCATTAATACTATTTTTGCCTTCTGCTGCCATTCAGAAATTCTTTTTCATGACAGAGTAAAGCATTTTCCTTTTATCTGCTGCTTTCTCCTATTCAAACTCTAAAACCCATGTATCTTCACTCTGACTTGTTCCTTCACTATATTGCCCATTTGGGGGAACAGGTCTGTCTCTTGCTCATTAGTAGTCTTCAGGTAAATAGGGCCAATTGTGTGGGTCTTCTTTGGAGCAATCCCCAGTTCTTGATTTAGAAGGGATTTAAACTGAGCCTTGTTTCTTCCCTTTAGAACCCCACAGAACTCTACTTCCCAGGTTATGCCATGAGGGAAAAATTACCGTCATGAAGGAACAAACTCACGTTAAAATAAAAAGAAACTCTCACATTCTTTGATCATAAATACTTCAGTTTTTAGCATTTGTGGCCCTCTTGTGTCCTCCCTCCTCCCACTCTATACATTAGGTCTTCCTGCTCCTACCTCATGCTCACTATTGCCCTTGACCTGTATGCCTCATCCCCTCACCTTCATCCTTATGACTGCACACCTGCTGATAGCCCTTATCTACTGCATGCATTTTGACAATTCTACATAATTGTTTCCATCAGTTCATAAGTGCACAAACATGCCCTTGCCTCACTGATTTTACAGAAAACAAATCAAATCAATCCCTCATAATGCACAGTTATGACTAAGTTCTTTGCTTGTCTTTAAACTTGTTGAAAAAAATATCTGTAATTCTTTCCTCACATTCTTTCCTCAAAATCCACTTAAATCATACTTTATTTAATTCCTATCACTCCACAAATTGTCAGAGTCCAGATAACCAATGAATATATGGTTCTAAATGCATGGTAAATTATCTCCTTTAAATTTCTTACTTGATTTCTCAGCAGCATGTGACAGAATTAATGATTCTTTTCTTTTGGAAACACCCTCTCTTGGTTTCTGGGAACCCTCACTCATCTGGTTTTTCTTTTTATTCTCAGACTCATTTGATATTATTTGCTGCTTCACCACTCAGTGTTAGTGTCCCTGAGGCCTGCCTTGCACTACTTTCTCTATCTAAAATGTAAGTACCATGTGCAAGTCAATGGTTTCCAAATATGTTTCTTCATTCCAAGAATAACTCTGAATTCCAAACTCATACTTAACAGTTGCTAACTTTATATTTCCTCTAGTATGTCTAATCTGTATCTTAAACCTTGACCTTGTTTATCCTTCATTCTTCCCCAATTTTAATCCTTGTTGCTACAAGGCATTGCAATCTACATATTTGCTCCAGCCAAAATTCTAGAAATTGCTTTTATTTATTCTCTAGCCCATCCCTTCATATCCACCATCACTAGATTTTTACTCTACCAATAAAATGTATCCCAAATCCATTCACTTCTCATCCACCTCTCTCCACTCACAGTTTTATCTCCTCACTGTTATTTTTGTCCTAAGTTTATCTTTGTCTTGAGTGACTGCAATAATCTCGCTGAGTTTCCCTGCTCCCACGTTGGCCTCTCTACAATGCATTTTTAATGAGGCATTGAATATAACACTTTAAAATATAAATAAAAACAAAATTGTAAGTATTTTATTTCATTCCACTAGAATATACATTCCAGGAGAGCCAGGGCTTTCTCTCCCATATTCACTGCTATATTCCTGCTCCTAGAATAATAGATGAGAAGTGGTTGATTCTCAGAAAATATCAGTGAATAACTGACTAATGAACATATTTTCAAGAAGAATGTTGTTAGGCAGGCACTGAAAGTATTGTCACTGGAAATATGGGTGAGAGACCAGAATTTTCTACCTTGTCAGCAGGTCTCTAATTCTCTCTCCTGGTTTCTTTATTCCTCTTGTCTCAATCTTTCTGCATCACTATCTCCTTCTGCCTTCTCTGTTTTCCTTCTCTTAGCTCTGTCACTGCTTTAATTAAGTTTTCACTCCATATGCTGCTTGTCTCAGAGGAAAAAACTTGTCTGTAATGTTCATCAGTGGGATGGGCCCCAGGGAGAGTAGCAATGTGTCCCATTAACTGATTTTTAAAATAAAGAATACTTGCCAGAGAACTCAGCATATACGGAATTCTACCAGCAATTGCTTGCTTTTTACAGGGCATGGCTGTGAATTCCCACACTGGCCCAGTCACACCTCTGGCCAGTGTGTCAAAATCTCTCAAAAGCAGAATGCCCAGACCTGAACTCCAGTTCTCCAAGGATTAGTATGCTCTTTTTAATCAAGCAAATACTCTACTCTTAGAGCTTCATTCTCCATAAGATATTCTGGCAAGCTCATCACATTTTTTGACTCATGTGAGCTAAAGTCTCTTTTCCACACATGTTGCCATTATGTGATACCTCACACACATAAATGGTTTAGCAGAGTATATGGTATATAGTGAACACTTAAAATGTGGTATTTTAATAATTATTAATTTTAATTTATTATTACTGAAACAAATAATAACCAATATCCTTTGGACTCTTACCTCCTACTTCCTATTGATTCAATTAACTCTGTTATTATTCCATCTATATTTCTCCATTTTATTCACAAGGATAAATGTTTGTTAAATGGCTTTCTAAATCCAGACATAATATTTTATACCGTCTTCCTAACAATAAGATAATAAAAAAAAAATCCTCCAGGTTTTTTAAATATATTATCTCACTGGAATTAACCCTGGTGCTAGTATAGGAAATGATTTCAACTATGGAACACACCAATTTGGGCGCATTTAAATTTGTAGATCATTGCAAGTGACTAGAAGATTGGGTTCTCAAAAAGAAAATGATCTTCTTTCTTGTCAAATAAATTAAATCTCCACAAATGATATAGAATTATATAATAATAGATGCTTGGAAATAATACAAGACTTGTCTCTCTTTGTAAAATACCCTAACATAAAAATTTTCCCTTTTGGAAATTCCATTCATAATTCAATTTGCAAACTTGCCTTGGCCACCATGAACAGTTAGTATATGTTTTCATTGGATGTCCCCACAAAATTAATGATAGCAATGTTGGTCATTTTTTAAAAATTATCATTCTGCTCTAAAATATTTTATAAAAATGAATTCATCTTGTTGACCTTTACTATTTCTACTTACATAATTTATTCCTGATCTTCTCTATTCCTCCCAACTCTCCTATCCACCCCCATTCTCCTATTAAACACAACCTTGCTGCACTGTTAGTACATTCTCCCTAAAGGGTAAACTACCTAAAACACTCAGAAAATAACTAGAATGAATTCTTTTGAGAAAATGCAAATAAAATATCTGAGTAAGTATTGGTAAAAATAAATAAGACTATAAACAATTGAAAAGGTAGGTTAGAAGAGAGATCTGAGAACAAGGCATTTTAGTATTAAAATAAAATTATGCATAAAGTTTAAATATTTATAATATTTTATTTATTTTTATAGAATGTTTCTTCATTGATTGTTGGTTTTTCCTCAAGCTCTGCTCAAAAGCCTTTATTTCCTTACTCTCCTCAGTTCTCCTAGATAGTTTCTAAGCTTCAATTGCCATTGATACCTAAATAGCTATGCCCCACCCAACAGACATTAATAAGAGGCTTCATGATTCTTCATACAATTATCGAGTCTCCATCTCCCTATATATTCCTCGAGGTGCCACAAATATGCACATGTTCAAACTGGATTCACACTTTCCTCTGTGAACTTGCTCCAGGGTGTCCCAAGTATGTCCTGCTTTCTTCCTGTTGTACATATCTTTGCATTTCCAATCTTTCATCTGGAGATATTCATCTTTGTGTGTGTGTGATTTCTGCTTATTCTTAGGTCCAGAAATAGACAAACGTTCTTCCAGAAAGGCTTTTCCTGACTTAGTTTGTGATATAGTCTTCCTTCAGTGCTTCCAATCAAAAGGCACTGTATCTCAGTTCAGACAAAACTTCTATTTCAATTGCCTATGTACATGTCTATACCACTGAATGGTCTAGCACCTTGTCTGTTTTGTGTCATTTGTGTTTATTTATAAATTAGCATGGTATCTATAAAATAGTAGGCATTCAATAAATAAATCCACTTATTGAACCCTTCTTAAACATTTGCTATGGAACAGACACTCTCTTAGATATCAAAATCATATAAATACTAGTAAGCCTTTTTCTTATTTTCAAGGGCAACTAGGAGAGCATGCTGGTAGTCAAACAATTATACTAAAAGATGAAGTGTTGTAAAAACCATAGGACAGGTACAAACTTAGTGGTGGCAAAGTCGTGATGGGAGAGAAAGCAAGGTTATACCAAGGGTCGGGATTCATAAGAAAAAAGATAGCAGATGGCTGAATGAGGAAGAAGAGATTTTTTTTTAATTCTGTAAAAGAAGTGTTTATGGAACCATTTTATTGAACATCTACTATTTACCAGTTGTTTTGCAGCAGGATATTTTATACACGTGATCTAATTTAACAAATTTGATTAATTTGACTAATCATAACAAATCTATGATGTTATGATAATTCAGTAATTACAGAATTCTTATTCCAAGCTCATTGTTACCATTTATCAAAGAAAAGATAAAATAATTTGCTGGTAAGGTGCTGAGTTTAGAAACCTAGATCTGCTAGCTCCAAATGAAATGCTATATAGTGAGTCCTTAAATGATGAAGGGTTAGAATTGATTATGTATTCAGGTACTGATGTGAGGGCAGATAGAGTTGCCAGTGGGCAAAACAAACAAACAAACAAAAAACTAATTAAGTAAAAGAGTTGAGTTCTTTAGGTTGGAGTATTGTTAAAGAATCTTTTAATGATCCATGTGTCTCTGAATGTAAATTCATCTGCTGTTCAAGATGTGGCATGGTAGATGCTCCAATAATGATGCATATATATCTTGTTAACTAAATAAAACAGGGCCTAGATTATTTTCAAAGACACTACAAAGAGAGCTTTATATGGCATGCTAATATGAAGAAATCATTAAGAAATTTAAGCCTGGAATTGGGCTAAGAAGACCTCATGTGTTTTTGGAAAAATAAATAATAATTTAATATTTAGAAAATAAAATAAATTCTCTAGTGCTAAGCAGTAGCAACATTCTATCAAGATGTAGGATAAATCATGAGTGAGAACAGGGAACCACCACTGTCTCACATAAATCTTTTTAAATAGTACTTACTAGCATTTATTGTGATTTTCTCTTTGCCTATCTATCTACCTAAACCAAACCATAATTTCTTAAGAGAAGCATCTAGATGTAGCACATTCTCCATTTTAACCCAACATCAGAGCAGTTGTGCCACATAGTAATTTTTTGTTAAATATCTATTAAGTAAACATTCAACGTAGTTATGTGAGCAATATTCTAATTCTAGAGGCATCCTTGTGGACATGTGATAGGGAGATTTCCTTCGTCTGCAATTCATATTTCTATGAATTATATGAGTTTCATGCTGAACTGCTATACTAGTTTGAAGGTAGAGTAAGGTTATAACTATTGAATTTGGTTTCAAACAAAAATATTTGTGAGAATCTGCTATTTTCCAGGAATTATTCTATTTGGTTGAGGTATATCAATGAACAAAGTAGACCTAAACCCCTGCCCTGGTACTACCTACAGTTTAAGATAAATCTTTTATTTATCATTTCCTTCCTTCGATGTCTATAAATCCCAGAAGAAAGCAAGCCTCCAATAGTTAGAATTCATCAAACGAATCTCATAAAATATGTATTATTTATTTTATTTTTGCCATACCTTTAACCAAAATAATTTGATTTCTGCCAAATAAAAATAACATTAATAGTAGTTTAAATGGCATTAAAGGACCTACTAACCATAACCTGTCTTCCAAATTAACACATTTATATTTAATAAATTAACTACTTAGCCATATATAATGTAGAATTGTATCTGAAACCATCGTTTTGAGACTTCCTTCAAAATATTCTCATGCTATGGCACTTTTTAAAATCTAGTCTAAGAAACTTGGAAGAAACAGAAGTTTCATTTAAATACAAATGACTGGTGAATTATATGTCATCCAATATCTCTATATCTCACACTTTCTGTTCTTTTGATGGTTTGGAACACAAATACATTTGGAAGAGAGATAGTTTTCTAGTTATGCTGACCAATTTCATGCACTGAAAGGGCATTTTGTATTATCATACGTCTTAAAAATGTTATTGTTTTAGTCACTTTTATCTTGTCATTCAAGTAAAAAAAAAAAAAGAAAGAAACCTGGCTAAGCTTCTATGGAGGACAAAAGTAAGAACAATTGCTGAAACTTATTAGTGAAGTAAGCACAGTGTCTATGAGAAGAATGAACCTCCAAATAGTTCTCGTGTCTAATAAGGAAGTAGTCTCCCTTGGAAAATTATCTATTGCAATTTCAAACACAGGAAAGGCAAACTTCTGTTAAGGATACCATAGGAGGAGTTTGTATTTTGGGAAAGAGAGTGAACTACAGTGTGCTTCTCTAACTCAGCAAGGTGTGGAAGTCAATATAATAGCTTGTCAATAAAACAGATTTTAGGGTTGCAAATTCATCTATCTTTATTTAATATGTCTGGGATATTGAAGTTTTCAAAGTATATTTTGGAGGGTCATGGCCTTGTTGTTTTCTAGAAGAGACTTCAATGGTCACCACCTAGCAAGGAATATAATTACATGGGGTGGAAGTACGACGGGGGCAGCAGTGGGACAGCGGGATTGCGAGGGGGACAGGGCAGGCCGGGGGTGGGGGATAGGGAGAATGGATTCTGAACGAAAAGGACTTTGGAGTGCCAATCTATACTACAATCCAAAAATTGATTTTTTTAAAAAAATTTAGGAACGTTGTTATTAGAGAAAGACTTTCTTCTCTCACAAACGGTAAACGCCTGTCATCATGTATCACCTTGAAATTTCTTTGTAATGTGAACATCCTATAAGATATTATAAACTAGGCGGGGTGTGGTGGCTCACGCCTGTAATCCCAGCACTTTGGGAGGCCGAGGTGGGCAGATCACGAGGTCAGGAGATCGAGACCAGCCTGGCCAATATGGTGAAACCCCGTCTCTACTAAAAATACAAAAATTAGCCGGGTGTGGTGGCATGGGCCTGTAGTCTCAGCTACTTGGGAGCCTGAGGCAGGAGAATCACTTGAGCCTGGGAGGTGGAGGTTGCAGTGAGCCGAGACTGCCCCACTGTACTCCAGCCTGGGCAATGGAGTGAGACTCTGCCTCAAAAAAAAAAAGATATTATAAACTATATCACCGCCATTTGTAGTAAATTAACTTCACCACTTGTAAACGTTAGCTGTTTCGATTGGACATTTAACACAGCAGCTTTGGGACAATCTGGGAAATCAAATAATGATGTTCAGCCTCCTGCTGCTACTCACTTGGCAGATAGAAATCACTTATCTTAGTCTAGACAGAAAAGCTATCTGCCCTGCTATTGCATCCAGAGGATGTGGAGGTAAACAGATTTCTCTACCAGAAGTTCCTTTTTCTGCCACAGTTTATTTAAATATAGGAATTTAAAGACAAATCAAACAGCAATGCTACTGTGTCATGTTAAAGAAAGAGTTTTCGATTATGCATCCACAAATACAGAGATTTCAGTAGGAAATCATGTCAAATAATCTTTCTCCTAGCATCTTATACCTTTAAAATTAATCAGTACAAATATTCTGGAAGGTCTCTAATGTTCCATTCAATCCTTTGCAAAAATTGTGATGAGTTGTGGTTGGGGAAAGAATTTAGAAAATCTGAAAGAGAGCCTGTTATTCTATGGAGAACCCCTCCAAAATCCAACAACATCATTAAATAAATCTTAATTTAAGAATAGTACAACATAGTAAATTTTAAATCCTAAAGAAACAGAATAGAATATAAATGCAATATACTGTGTTTATATTCATTCACATGTACATGCATGCAAAAAAATAAATTTGCATCCTTAGATATTTAATTTTCCATAGACATCTACCCATGTGAACTTTATTTTATTTTTCTTGTTTTCATTTTTCTTTCTCTACTTTAACTGGCATAAATACAAAAAGAAAAGAGCAGCCTGAAGATACGGAACAACAGTTTCTGCTTTGGAGGCAAAGTGTAGATAACCCAGGTCAAATAATTTATTTCCTCAATTGACTCACTCAATTCACAAAAAGGAAATTTATACTGGAAGATAAAATAGAAAAAAAAATTAATAGCCTGTTATACATTATTAGCTGTTCAAGAGCAAAATGAAATATAACGTTTCCCAGGTTCTCAATTAAAGCTTTTTGAAAATTGATAACATTAAAAATATTAGGAGTAATATTTATTATTTTCATAATTTAATTTATAATTTGTATTTGAAATTCTGAAAATATAAAAGAAGTCTATTCTTTTTTGACTCTTTAAAGTGAAATGAATCAAATAAAAATATCAGGATTTAATACACAATATAGCAGCAGTCCCCAGCCTTTTTGGCACCACGGGCCAGTTTTGTGGAGGCAATTTTTTCAGGATGGGCGGCAGCGGGGGTAACATTTCGGGATGAAACTGTTCCATCTCAGATCATCAGGCATTAGATTCTCATAAGGACCACACCACCTAGATTCCTTACATGCACAATTCACAATAGGGTTCCTGTTCCTACAAGATCTAATGCCATCACTCATCTGACAGCAGATGGAGCTCAGGCAATAATGTAATGCTCGCTGGCAGGCCCCTGACCTCCTGCTGTGTGGCTCTGTTCCTAACAGACCATGGACTGGTACCAGTCCCCGTCCTGGGGGTTTGGGACTCCGCAATACAATAATATATCTTTCCACTTAGAGCTCTCCTAGCTTCAAGCAAAAATCATAAATAAGGCAACATCAAAAAATAAAGAAAAGGTGCTGATTATTTGAAGATATTAAATAATTAAATATTTAGGAACCATACAAAATGTGAATATTCACACTGATTTTTAAATATTTTTTATATTTTATTGCAGTTAGGATTTTCAGAAATAGCAATAATAAATTTCCCTCATTATCATACAGAACCACAGAGCTATAGGGAAAGGGTTGTAGACAGACTGGAATTTTTCCTGCATTATGAAACATTTCAGGAATTGTTCATTAAAAGGGAGAGTTTGCTTTGACTCATTAGTAATTCTTCTCTACATAAAGATTTCTTTTATAATAATAATCCCCATACTGGTAATATGATTTATGTTTTCACAGGTCAGTTGACAGTGAATGTCTTTGTACATACAAATATGATTCATAAACTTGATTTTTGTAGTTAAAATTTCACAGTCAAAGGCCAATCAACTCAGGAAAGCTATCCTGAATATATGCAGGCATTTTGGATTAATCCCTGCCATATATCAGTGTGAAATTACTGTAAGAGGGCCAATTTTTATTTTGAAAGGAGTCAGAAATTTTGCTAGAAATGGGTGTCTTCTTGAACAGTTTATACCTATCATTGCGGACAGTCTGCATATTGGTACTGAACATTTTAATGACACAGTGGTGAAGTGAACCTTGGTGGAAGACATGGAGTTCAGAGTAGAGAGCAAAGAATGGACGGAGAGGAGCAGGTAGCACTCCCTTGTAGCTTTCCAAGCTTGTCATTTGGCCACCCATCTATCCTGCATAGTTCCTTGAAGTCTGTCTGTCAGTTTGAAGTTGTTGTTTGAGAATTGTTCTCTGAAGTATCCCAAGATTCTGAAGATAAAAATAGCAGCTTTTATCCATATGGATAAGAAAACTGGACTAACTGAAGGACATAAGATATGAAAATCCAAACTGAAAAATACTATATTTTTATCTTTCTTGATGTTTTCTTAGTTGTGTGTCTGATCTAAAATATTATTAAAGAAAAAGAACATAGGATCCTAAATATTTTGTTAGAGAGGAGGCAAAAAGCTAGAATAAAATGCAAGTAGGTTAAATTTCTAAAAATGCACATTGGTTAGGTAAAACCTTAAATGTTACACAAATTAAGAATAGACTCTTACACTTCCAAGCATTAGTTTTATATTTGATTCACATTGAGTTGTGTTTTTATGACATCAATATTTTTATGATCATTAAAAAAGACTTTTTAGTTATATAACATATTTAATTAATATTTTTAAATAATTTATTATGTACTTTCTACTCTGGCTGATAGACATGAGTTTCTAAAAACATAATAAAATAGTTTGTACTACCCAAAAACTGTTCAGGCAGTTTAAAATAATTGATGTTGAGGTAAGTAAACATGGCAGTATTTTAAATAATAAGCATTACGTATTTATTTAATTATAGAATAGGACAACATAAATAAAACATGGCATAATAATTAAGTATAATAAGGTTGACTCATATAGCATGTTGTAATAAGGAAATATTTGGTAAACATGGGGCCAGTCTATATCTATGCAAATAAACACAACTTTATATTAACATAAGCACTATTATGTTTAAGTATAATTGGCATAATTTGCCTCAAATCTTGCACCAATAAGTAATTTTGAATGAAGATAAATTACTATGAAATAACTGGTCCATACCTACTAGACATACCTAGGCCTGAGTTCCAGTGATAGAGAAAATGGAGGTTATAGCTATACTGCATCTGAATAGAAACATACATTTATACAATGAAAGTATACTCAGAAATATCACACTGAGAGTTCCAGCCAAGATGGTGGGTTGAACACATACTTCTAATTCTTCTCCTTCAAATTTATCTTGACACTTCAGAAAATAATTATTTGTTAACTGAATAACACTATGCAGCCATAGAGACAGAAAAAAAAAAAAACTCATTAGTGTACCAGCGTGCTTTTTAGAAATGTGAACTCTAAGGCCAATGACAACTACCAAAAGAGTTGAAATTGGTTACCTCTGGGAGAAAAAAAAGATAAAATTGAGAAGATTTCTGCCATTTTTTCCCTTGTAATATGTCTTTTGTTTTAACAAAATTATTTAGTTTTTAATTGTGTGACTATATGTTCAATAAACATAAAATATTAAAATATTATTTTTTTAAAAAAAACTTCTAACTAAGCCACTCCCCCTGCAAATGGGCAAAAGACCTGAATTAGGCAATTGAGAATAGAAGATACCTGAATGACTAATGAATATATGGATAGGAGCTCAAAACCATTAATCATCAAGAAAATGTCATTTCAATTAATAATACATTACTATGACACCCTCAGTAGGAATAACAACAGTAACAATGACAAGACAGAGCCAACTATTGGTAAAAATGTTGAACAAACTGAATTTTCATACACAGTCATGAAGAATGCAAATTGGTACCACCGCTTTAAAAAGCTATTGGCAGTGTCTCCCGAAGCTGAGAATCTGAACATTTGCATAACTTAAGACCTAGTAATTCCTTTCTTATGTAATTCCCAGGAAAAGTAAAGCTCATTTATATTCATATGCCCATAAAAAGACATACTCTGGAATCTTCATGGCAACACTATTAACAATTACCTACAATTTTAAACTATATGAATGCAAATTAAAAGTAGAATGGAAAATGCATGTTGATATATTCATACAGTTAAATGCTATGCAATAATGAGAATGAAAGAGCTAAAATTACATGAAATAATAAAATGGTTAGATCTCACAAAGAATGTTGAGGGGAACAAGACAATCGTAGAAAATGCACACTATAAGATTCCATTTATATAAACTTAAAACAAAACCCAACACAACTGATATATGGTGTCATCATTCCGAATAGTGTTTGGTTTCTATTTAGTGGACTGTGACAGAATTGGAGATCTGGGTAAGGTTAATAAGGGTGCCAGTAGTGTTCAGTTTCTTCAATTTGGATACTGATTATGTGAGTGTGTGTGCCAGGTTTGTGAAAATCCATAAAATTATGATAACATGCTTTTGTATCTGTTAATTTTCAAGATAGAGTTAAACATAATTAATAAAAAAGAATATTTCCTAGAACTAAAGATATGTATGCATCCTCAAAAAAAAAAAATCCAACTTATTGACAAGAAGGCTGAATGCTTATTTGAGTAAAGATCTGAAAGACAAAAAAGAGTCAGTTTCAAGAGCTTTCCGTTCAGAAATGTCAAATATGAAGGTGCTATGGTAGAATTATGACTAGCACGTTTTGAGGAACAAAAAGAGGTTAGCTTTAGATGACAGAATGAGAGTGCTCAGAGAGAGATCAGATTGTAAAAGACCTTTGTCTTTTTTGTTTTGTTATGGAGTTTAAATTGTATTTATCATGAGGGTTTAACACAAGGTAGTAATATAACTGATTCACTTTTTTAAAAGATCACCTTGAGTGTTCAGAAGAGAACACATGAGAGGATAAAAGATGGAGATTATTTAGAAAACTATTATATTAGTCTCTGTGAAAAAAGATGATTATGACTTGAAAATGGGTTTTAGCAATTGAAATGAATAAAAGTGAATAGAATCTGGATATATATTAGAGGTAAAAATGCTAATATCTGCTTACATAGTTGACTGCTTGAATAAGATAAAGACAATTTAAGAATTTCTCACAATAGTTAATTTGAGCAGTTACATTGATGGTGCCTTTAATGAATTGTGTTGTATTGGGGTATCAACAATTCAGAGTAGCAAGGAGCAAGATGTTTTGTTTATGTTGAGTTTGAGACCTTCAGATAGATTCTTACAGCTTCCTGCTTAAATACTTAAAATAATAACCAGCTATTTTATAGCAGTGATAAAATCATCCCATGGTTAGATGAAAACTGCATCCTCAGATCATTCACTACACCTTTAGAGGAGGTCCAGTGCCTTTTCTAAAACTTGCTTGATTTAGAGATTGTGGATTCTGTAAATGATGCATCCATGCAGTCAATATTTCTTTCAGTCATCTGTGTTTTTAACATTCATTAATTCAACATGATGCTGGTATCCATGTTGGCTTTAGTCTATCATCAACTGTTTGTAAATATACCTTGTGCCAAATTCCTCTTCCCTTAGGAGAGGTTGCTTATGGAAGCTTGCTTGGGCCCTCCTGTAGGTATTTCTGTTAACAGTTTGCCCTGCTTGTCTTCCAGATTCACATGCCTGTAACTGAATTCAAGGAAAACAAAGCCTGGGGCTAGGTGAGCATACCTGATAACTCTTACCCAATAAACCATTGCTGTGACTGCAAAAATCTTTATAATAATCTATAAATCTCTTTCAATTGCTAGAAAAATGAATAATTCCTTACTATAATAATTTAGGGTCTCTAATGATCTTACTTTTCATTGAAAGGTGATAACATTTTCATCAATGAAGTAGGTTTATATACACTTCTGTCTAGTACACCAGGGACTGGGTAAGATAAGCCAAATTTCATTCCTCTTCAATGAAAATAATTTATTTATCAACAAGGTTAGAATTTCATTCGCTAACATTAGGTCTTCAAACGTCTTTGCATATTCAGGTGTTAGTGAATTCTATTAGTAGAAGAATGGGTTCAACAATCACTTCACATGGGACTTTTTATAGGATCTAGGATCGGGGAGCCAGTCTATTTTCATTAACTAAATTTATGAATATGGATTGTCTGACTTCCCAGTCCACTGACATTAACTGCAAATGTGCTGTAACATTAAATGACTTTGTTTCCTTTCTATAGGGACCCCAAATCGCGTCCATGGACGTTCTCTCTCTCTCTCTCTCTCTCTCTCTCTCTCTCTCTCTCTCTCTCTCTCTCTCTCTCTATAGCATAGTACCAAGAGTGAGGAACTTTCTTTTTCTTTTTTTTTCTTTTTTTTTTTTTTGAGACGGAGTTTCACTCTTGTTACCCAGGCTGGAGTGCAATAGCACAATCTCGGCTCACTGCAACCTCTGCCTCCCAGGTTCAAGCGATTCTCCTGCCTCAGCCTCCCGAGCAGCTGGAATTACAGACATGTGTCACCACGCCTGGCTAATTTTGTATTTTCAGTAGAGACGGGATTTCTCCATGTTGGTCTGGCTGGTCTCGAACTCCTGACCTCAGGTGATCCGCCCACCTCGGCCTCCCAAAGTGCTGGGATTACAGGCGTGAGCCACCGCGCCCGGCCGGAACTTTATTTTTCATAACTGATAGTACATTTTCTATGGAAAATAGTTACTCCGCTTTGAAATTTTCTTTATTTCTGCAAGTTGAGATCTGTCATTTCAACTTCTATAAAATTACAAGAAGAATTCTTTTTTTAAATTAGCCTAGCTGTGTGTTTTTATCTTATCCTTTGTGTCTATTCCTAAATCTTCAATCATAATTTGATGTAATCTTAAAATGCTGACCTGATATGAGTACATACAGAGAAGTGGCATAGGAAAACTTTAATATGGTAAATCACTGTGAAACACTATGGATTTGGGTTTGCAACACTGAATAAATAGATTATTCAAATACTAGTTCATTCCTTACAGTAGAAATTATTTTAGTTAATCCATTCATGCTTTAAATAATCATTTTACACTGGCTTTTCTTTAAATGTTGAATGAATTAGACACTATTATGTTTTAGTATGTTGTTAGAGTTTAATTTATAATTTTATCCTCAAACAAACATGTTTTGTGGCAAAAGTAGGTAAGTAAGATAAAAGTAAAAAGATGGTTTGACTCCTGTCTTTATTTAAGTCAGACCAAAGAATTCCATAAGGCATGGTGCAAGGAAGTGGCTAAATACTCAATAGCTAAATTATAGAGTTTTATGTGTTATACTAGAGGACTTACACACACACACATATACACATGTTCACGCATCTATTTCCTTGAGTGAAAATTTCCGTTTTCTAAACAGTTCTGCTAGCCTTCTGTTTCTACATTCTAACTAAACCAGCAGAACTAATTAGAAAATGGTAAAGAATGCCAACATGGATTTTCAAATTTCTGAGTAATGTTTTGAAAAGTAAAAAGCACTTCTGTTAGAAGCAGTTGCTGTTGTGTGTAGAGATATATTGTATGACAACATGACCTGAAATTGAACTTGCAATGCCTTTTTTAAGCATAAAACATATCAGGGAGAATCACTTTGGTAAGTTCCCCAAGCAATCAAATAAAATATTTCTAATTAGTAATTGTTTTGAATATGAAAATTTTCTCCTCTATTTCTCTCTCTCCCATCCCCTCCCTGGAAACCAAATCTTCAGGAAACTTGAATAGCTGGACCATGAAGCCCTAATAAAATAGCTTCTATCCATCTGTTGACCAGTAAAGTACATAGGAGGAAATGAATTACCTGCTTTAAGCCACTGTTTGAAAACCCAAACATAATTTGATGGAAAATGCCACACTCAACTTCAGGTTATCAGGGTTCATCAGCTTGCAGACATGACTTTATTAAAAATTAGGAGTCTGAATGATGTATTTTGTTATCATATCTAAACATCCTGGCTACTACTCTGTATCAGATTCCCATAAAAGTACAGAAAACTAAATGATAGATTACTATGTGGCTTATTTTATTTCTAACAGAAAAATTCAATTTCTGAGTAATGCATTTGTGGAAGTTGGCCTTGACAAATGTACAAATTAAAGATAGAAAATGAGCAATATATGTGGTAATTTAATTTATTACTTTTGTAAGCTACATCTGATACATGTCAAGGAAAGGAAATTATTTTAATGTGTACAATGTGGTGTCAGCTAGTTCATATCTGATTTTGGTAAAGTGGAAAGAAACCAAGAGGGAAAAACACAGGCTAGAATTATATGGATTAGGAACAGAATTGCCTAAAGTATTAGAGGGTAGTTTGGATATTTGATTAGCTTTACTTTTCTTAATTATTTATGAGTATTAATGCAAATAAGTCATGTGATCTTCTAGGACTAAAATCCCATTAGTCCAGGACTATATATTTTCTATGTAGTGAACAGCTAGCAAAGACCTCACATTACTGTCTTAATCTCTATTAACCTGTGGCTGGTTGTGACCATTTTTGGCTATGCTTCCCAATTCAAGTTACTTAAATTTTATTGTTTCTGAGAAGTCAGAAGCTCTTGATTTTTGTTTCTCTCAAAGTAACTATTTTCCCTTTTAAGTTAAGTAGCTTTAATAAACTATGTTTAAGTTTAAAAAATTTATTTTAAGTCACCCAAGGTATATATTGATATTGGCTTTTTACCGCTGTTGGGCACAGAAGTTTTTTTTATTATTATTAGTTTAGGAGACTACTCTGATCTCTGGACATGAAGGCGTGATCTCATGAGATTTAAGGCCTGCAAAATTTTGTGTCCCAATGAAATAATCATGTCTCCTCATAGCAAACAGATATTATCCCTGTCTGATTTGTCTCAGGGTGTTGTGGGTGGATTCATTTGGCTAATGGACCAAATCTGAGGCTGAGTCTACATACCTCAGATGTTAGGAAAAACTAGGGTCCCAAGCTCAAATATAAAAGTGTGTCCCAAGGAGTATGTTCTTTTCAGAATGAGAGTTTCTTGAGGGAAAAAAACTTGTCTGTTTCAGCTTTGCATTTTCAGTTCTCAGAACAATGTATGGCACATGTTTCAGGGTGAATGACCACATGATTAATTGAATGAATGGATTGATTTATAAACCCATCAATGGCAAAGATCATGAAGAACCCAAATGTTTTCTTGGTGCCTGCTTTTCTACTGGCATTTTGT
Source organism: Homo sapiens (assembly GCF_000001405.40). Classification (NCBI taxonomy): domain Eukaryota; kingdom Metazoa; phylum Chordata; class Mammalia; order Primates; family Hominidae; genus Homo; species Homo sapiens. The sequence continues at coordinate 88,878,511 of NC_000008.11, read as the reverse complement.
TTGCTTACCTTTGTGTTTCCCTTGATCCTTCCACAACTTTATGAATTTATTTAGTCATCCCTATTCACATTTTATAAAGGATAAAACTGAGTCTAAGGGATAAGAAGTGAGGTACCCACTAAAAGAAAAGCAGTAAACATTGGAACTCCAATTAAAGTACAACATTCCACCTTCAGAATATAAATTTCATAGTAGTAACATAGTATATTAGTACAGTATATAATAACTATATGTATGAATAGGCTCTCACAGGTGAGAGCCAAATGTGTCAATAAATACAAACATACTTTGAGTATTAAAATCCCTATAAAAATGTTATAATGCCTTCCCACCTCTGTATTCTGATATGTGAGGGCACTCATCAGGATTTGTTTTCTTTATCTTACTCTATTATAGTATTTGGCATCCATTAAGAAAATACAAAATACCAAATGGTCTCCAGCTTTTATATAATTAAACTTTCCTGAACACACAGAGCCAGCTCGAGTCATCTCCTCATCTGATCTTCCATAATTACATACACTACTTATATTTATTTATCATATACTGCTTTAAAAAAAATTATTCATGGGTTCTTGGAAAGCAGGGAGAATACTTCTCATAGACCTGTGCCTCTCATCAAACTTTGCCTGGATTTCCAGAAAATAAGTGCTCTTAAATTGTTGTCACTCAAGATACTTTTTAAAGACTCAATAATACAGCTTTTTCATATTTTTATTAAAAATAAAAAGTGTCTATTCAGATGTATATATTTTGTCCTTTCTTTTTTTTATTTTGAAGCAAAGAACAAAACAGCTGAAATAGCTGTGGAACTCAGTGTTTAATAAAACTGATTATAAATGTGAGCTAGTACTAAGCATTTTTATGCCAAGTAAAAATATTCTTTAGAAAGTTCTCAAGTAAGCATATTAGGCACATCACAGAAATATATTGCTGCTTTGGACTGTTTCACATCATTTTCAAACTTTTCCTGAGCACCTAATTGTATATGATGCTGTATTACATTATGTTACAGACAACTGCACATATCCAATCCCAGCACAGCTAGAGTTGGGACAACTTTGAAACTAGTATTCACCAAAGAATATTGATTCTGATAATTTGTAACATCTTACAAATCTTATTAGTACAAGTGCTAGAAGAGTATGTCCCTTTAATAAGCTCGAGGCAGAAGTGCAAAAAAATATTTTCTTTCTTTTACATTATAAGACATCCAACTTTTTATTATATATAAAAACTTGGTAAATACCAAGACACATCCTCTTTTCCACTATTAACCTAGTCAGAATGAAAATAATGGAAGATACTTTTGCACAACTAAAGACAATATAGTATTGCTTCCTGGGAAGAAGTGGCAAGGGTACTATGTTTTGTTTAATACTGTTACAGCCTATAAAAATCTACTAGGCCAAAGGGATGAATTCTTGCCTAAGGAGAGGCAATGTCCCACAGACATTCTATAGCCCGGTTTGGTTGCTAAGGAAAATGCCCCCATAAAACTAACTCTGCAGGCATTTCAAATTAGAAATGTCATCAGCCACTACCTTAATGCCAGCACACTTTAACTTAATGAAATGCATTTCATGCTGTTATCACAAAACGCACTTGCTAGAAGCAATATGGTACTAATACAAATAGTGTTAACAAACAGAAATGTCTTGTTCATTGATTTAAAAAATAACCATATTCTCTATGTGCATAAACACATATCAGTACCAAATTCAATTTAGCTTCTCACTAGAATTCATGCTTGTACACTCTTTTCTTGTACTTTCATTTATTGTTTCATGCAGTGGTTTTGCAGGTAACCTGTATCCTGGATAAAACATGAATTCCATCTGTGAGGTTTTGAGATAAACATGTGTCAATGGATCCCTGAGAAGAACCAGGTGATGACACAATAGGATCAGAATTATAACTTAAAACTGGCAAGTAATTTGTGCCCCATAAACTACTTTCATGTTTACAGGCATTTGAATTTGATAAGGATTTGCTATTAATCATCACCACTTACTTATTTATAATACAAGGTCCTTGATGTCAAGGAATCTTGTTATTTGTATAGCACCAGCACAAAGTGCCACTACAGCACGATAGGTATCGTCATATGAATGAGAAAGAGGCACTGTATGCATGCTGAATTCTCTGCATCACTAAAGCCTCCATGTGAGAGTCTGAACAGATGATGGTGAATGGAATCTGAAAAACTCCAGTGCTTCTAAGCTGACAATTAGGATGGATAGCATTGCTATAATTTAAAGAAATACTTAGGTCTCACCTTGAATTATCAAAAGAAGTGACTCTCCAGCTTCCACATGATGGACAGGTGAGTATAAACCTAGAAAGATGCCAGACTATGTCACTTGCTTTAATAACATCTCACAAGACCTTGATTCCTCAGAGTATTTCTTGAAAACGTGCTTGAAAAGCTTGAATGAATCTTACATGTCCTATTGAGTGACCCATAAATCCCTTAGGTAATGGTTAGAGAATGCAGCATTTGATTTTATTGTAGGTGGAATAGTTCAGGAATTCAGAGTTGCTACAAAGGTGGTGTTCCTGATGGAGGCATGTGTTTGAGGTTGCAAAGGAAAACTTGACTTTGGAGAAACTTGACTTCATTATATGACTCTGAAAGAGTGACTAGTCTTTTAGTGATTCACTCTATCAACCTTTCAGTCTGTAAAGAGTGGGTTGCCAGTTAATCCAGTTATGAAGGTCTCCAAAGAGATCTATACAAGGGAAACATAAAGTGCACATTAGGCTCAACCACACTAAGAGATGCCCAAATTAAGTTGGCAGTGTAGCAGAACTGGCTATGCAGACAGATCTTTTTGAGAAAAATGTAGTGGTGGTTGACCCTCAATAAAATGGTAATATCTCGTGATTTCTTAATTATTTTGTCTACGTATTGGGGTCAGATATTTTGAATGTTCTTTAAATATATTTTAGGTGATCCTAGTGTTACACATTTGAAAATGATAATGTGGCACAATTTTTCATCAAAATATAACCACAATCTTGATGCTTCAAATACACACCTTTCTAAGATTTGATGAAAGATATGGTGGATTCATTGGCACCTTCCTAATACCTATTTGATAAGTGCATCCTTTGTCAGGATGCTGCCAAGATAGTGCTATTTAGTGACAGGCTTCAAATGTATACAGCCAATATAGAGCTTCTGAGGTTATTAAAGTTCTTCTGTAACAGAGTAATGGATGGCTTTAATCCTTTTTAGGCTGGCTATAAACTTGTAATACTTTGCTGACTGTGCAAAATAGCCTATAATATAGACTTATACCTTTTCTTATGTGTGTGTTTCCAAGATCTATTCATCAGCTTAATGACTGATTTTTCCTGAGGTCGGTTTTAGGGCTTGGAGCCAATCACACTGAAACTATTTGGGAGAAAAGGAAAACATTTCACTGTCAAATACCTTGTGTATGTTAATAAATTTTATACATATCTTAATGTTGTTTTGTACATGTCTTACAAGTACCATCTTATCTTTACTTAGTAAGCATTTCAGTTCTCTCATGGTGGGGCTAATCCAAAGCAAATCTTCAAATTAACTGGTATTTGTTACTGGCATCTCCTCTTCCATTGAATCCAGAAACAAAACAGTGCTTTGGCAAATTATAAAGTTCCTGATTGATAGCACCTCAGCTATGGCTCTCTTCTTCCCAGCAAGCCTTACCTGAACACATGTTTCCATTCTCTCCTAACCCTGTTCTTTGCTTTGTACAGAACAGCATTTTGACAGGTCAAAGAAGGCTAAGATGATAAATAGCTTCAGACATTAGCCTTCCAATGGTGATTTCATGTTAATAGGAAGCTCCTGGAATAAATGTCTCAAATTCAAGCGATAAATTATTGAAGATGCTACTTCATAAAATGCATCTGAACACTTGGGGAGCATTTTTGAAAACAGAGTCCCTCTCTATTTCTTGCAAATATTTATGGATACATGGCTATCTACTCCTACTGCTTATAAGAGTATGTACATATATTTAAGAGTAACACTGAGGCTGCTTCTTTTTCTGATATTCATGTTTGTATTTACCAACAAATGCAAATTAATATTGGCTCATGTTATATTGAGAAGATTATTTTACTTAGAGTTTAAACTCATTGAAAACTAGCTCCCAAATTAAAATTATTTGGGCAGACTTGACTAAAACTACTATACAATCAAGTATGTATTTAGGAAAACACTTATAAAGGATATGCCCAATTTTGACTGTATGTGTATGTATGTGTGTGTCACAAATTGATATATATATATCTCTACAAAAAATAATACACACACATTCAGAGAGAGAGAGAGAGAATTAAAATGGTGTCATCCAGAAGGTTTGAATTGTGCAAAGCTAAGAATTTTTTAAAGGAATGTACATATGTTTCCCAAATAATTATGCAGATATTGTTGTCAAAAAAGAATGATGAAGCCAGGTGTGGTGGTTCATGCCTGTTCAGCATTTTGGGAGGCCAAGGCAGGAGGATCACTTGAGGCCAGGAGCTCAAGACCAGCCTGGACAAGATAGTAAGAAACCATCTCTACAAATATATATATTACATATGTTAAAAGTTAGCCAGGCATGGTGGTGCTATTTATAATATTTATATATATTATATATTTAGTATTTAAATATTACATATATTAAAAGTTAGCCAGGCATGGTGGTGCTCACCTTTAGTCTCAGGTACTCAGCAACTTGGGATACCGAGGCAAGATTATCACTTGAGCCCAGGAGCCGAAGGCTGCAGTGAGCTATAATCCCTGTATTCCAGCTTCAGCGATAAAGGGAAACCATGTCTAAAATTCAAAAAGAATGACAAGGTATAAAGTCATACAATTATTTTACTTATTGTGTCTCTTTCTCACACATACATGCAACTGATTATTATAACAATTGTTGTCAATAAAGAGAAATGCTAGTTTGGCGTTAAAATCTCAAAATTGATAGCATATGAGGAGATAAATCTAAAATCCATCAAAATACTTATACATTCCAGCAACTTGTTTTTCATGTGGACAGATGTGTGGTTGTTTCTTTGGAATTTCACATAGCCAGCTATTTGCCCTCTTCAAAATGATTGTCATTTTAAAGAATAATACGCTGTTATAACGTTTCTTGAAACATCAAACTATCTTACAGAATAATATTAGACTTTGTCAAAAACCACAAAAAATAGAATATTTCAAAAACTAGGACCCTGAAAACTTTGTATATATTTTATGACCTTTTAATATGTCTTGCTTATATGGACCCTTTAAATAGAAGCTAAATACCTCTGTGACTAGCATTTTTCTCTCATACTCGTTTGTTCCTGGCAGCTCTGGGTGCTCCACAGGGTACACAGAGGTATGTACCTTTCCTGCCTGGGGCCTGGCAGCATTCTGAGCACACTGATTTCTGTCAGAGACCTTCAGGCAGTAGCCTCTGGCTGACATGGGAAATGCACATTGTAACACTGAGTTTGTCAGTCCTCAACAATCTCCGAAAAGTGGAAAATCTTGGAGAAATGGAGGAAAAATGAAAGAGCAACTCTGCATTGAAAAATTAAACAAAAAATAGCTCCTCTACCTCCTCATTCCCTTTCCAGTCAAGGTAATATGTACAAGGTATGAAATCCAAATCAGTGTGGCAGAAGTTGGGACTGCCATCTCACTTGCTTAATTAATCTTTTGATGACATTATGTCACTCAGCTATGAGCACTACAAATAAACCTTAGGAGACATGACTGCAGCGTTCTAAAAGGAGGTCCATCAGATGAAAGACAATTTATTGCATCCATGGAGCCACAGTTGCATCATTGAAATCGGGAAGCCCACTGCTGAATAGATTTAATAACTTCAGTAGTGACGTTTTCATTTCTATAAAACAGCTAAATTCTTTCCAACTAATATGCAGTAAATACTTACTATGTGGAAGGTATTCCACAAAACAAAGAATTTAATTAAAGTTTTTAAATTAAAATAAAATCATTGAAATTTTAGTTTTAGGCAACATAAAGTAAGCACTCCTTATCCTGACTCTTTCACTGAATACTGTTATAAAATCTGGATAGATGCATGGAGCAAGTACTAGAAGACTCCAAAACCTAAATATTAGCAGATGGATTAGAAAAGAAAGTCAAAATACAAAGTAACACTGAAATGACTGTGAACTTATCATTTATATCTACCTGTGTGGTATCTGCCAACCTGATCTCAGAGCTGCTTAAAACCTGGAAGTGAGTACCAATGAAGAAAGAGAGAGCTGCAGGAGATGTCTTCTGGTTCCAGTTTGAGGAGTGGGAAAGAGGACTTTGGATGGTAATGATGGCTGTAGCATGGGCCTGCAGTTACCTAAAACTCTTAAGGAGGGGAAAGTTCTTAGATCAGAGAAGTTGTGGTATTAAGATGAGGTAAACGTTCATTGCTTTTACTATTTTTGTCCTTCTGCCATTTGGCCTCAACAATGGTTGCAATGGAATTAAGAATTTAACAAATAGGGTTAAATACAGTCCAGCTCCCTGACTGGGGGATATAAAAGCAAGCCCCAAGAAAATCAGAAAGAACCAAAAAGATTACAGAAAGAGAAAAGCTTAGGAAAGTGATCTATAAACTTGCTTGTTAATCTTGTGGGTTCAACCCTGATTTGAGTATGCATGGATCTGATCTTAAACTGCACACTTTGAAAACTGGACACAGATATAAACTATCACTTATGTCCCAGACTTGCCACTGGATGACCCGCATACAGGAAAGATTTAAATAGCACAGAAAATCTTGAAAAAGTAAACTGAAATTGGAGCCACAGCATACAGGTTGGAACTTGTGACCAAAATCAATATCAGTTAATTGCCTACTACAACAAACAAGTACATATAATTTAAACAAGACCAAATGGCTCATAACATGACATTCAAAATATGCAGGATACAATTAAAAATTTTTAGACATAGGGAAGATCAGGAAAATCTCAACACACGTGGGAATGAAAAACCTATTTACTAATGGAGTTTGCAATGTATGTAGATGTAATATATGATATCTACAATATACAAAAAGGCAAGTAAAATACCTATATCATGGTAAGTTTCCAATCTTCCACTTGAAGTGGTAAAATGCTGATTTAAAATGAATCATAAAGAGCTAAATATGTACACTGTAAAAACTAGAGAAATCACAAAAGCAAAACAAAATAAAAACAAAACAAAAAAATCCAAAACTATACAAAGGGATATGGTCAAACACCCAATAATAAATTAAAATGAAAAAATAAAATGTGTAAATCAACAAAAAGAAAATAAGAAAGGTGAAAGACAAGTAAAAAGAGGTAAATAAAAAAATGTAGAGCTACATCAAACATAGCAATAATCATATTAAGTGTAAATTGTCTGGACACACAAATTAACTCACACATATTATCAGAATGAATTTTTAAAAATCATGATCCAACTAGATTCTATATATAAAAAACTGACTTCTAATGTAATGATACTGGTAGTTTAAAATGAAAATAGAGGGAAATATATGTGTGTGTGTGTGTGTGTGTGTCACAAATGTCACACTATGCCAACAATAATCCAAACAAGACCAAAAATCTGATGGTTTATAAAAATGTCAGTCAAAGTAGAATTGAGAGCAAAGAAAGTTACAAAAAACATATAGGGAAATTACACAATTTTAAATGAAAAAAAATCAAGAAGACATAAAGGAAGGAAAAACTGACATAGCAAAAGGAACTAGACAAAATCTACAATTGTAGTTGGAGACTTCAACTCTCACCAACTGGATTTAATTTCATTTATAGAATGCCACCCAACAATAGTAGCAGGCACGTTTTTGTCATGTGTTCTTGAACACTTAGCTTACTAAACCTTTAATTTGCCTTGTCTTATTCTATTTTGTGCTGCTATAACAAAATACTTGACACTAAGTAATTTTTAAAAAGCAGGTATTTATTTACTACAGTACTGGAGGCTGAGAAGTTCAATGTTGAGAAGGCTACATCTGGTGAGGGCCTTCATGCTGCCTCATCCCATGATGTAAGGAAAAAAGAAAAGAGAGCATGTGTGAGAGAGTGAGAGAACATTTACAGCCTCAAACCCTTTTATAAGTGGTATTAATTCATTAATGACGGTAGAGCCCTGGTGACCTAAACACATCCCATTAGGCCCCACCTCTCAACACTGTTGCATTGAGGATTAAGTTTCCAACACTTCCCTTTTTGAGGACACATTCAAACCACAGCACCAAAGTAGACCATATTCTGGATAATAGAACAAATCTTACGTCATTTAGATAATAGAACTCATACAGAGTATGTTCTCTGAACATTATAGAATTAAACTAGAAATTGGTAAAAGAAAGATAGCAGGAAAAATCACTAAACACTTGGAAATTTAATACTTTCTTAAGAATCTATAGTACAAAGTGAAAATGTCAAGGAAAATTAGAAAATATTTTTAACTGAATTAAAATGAAAATATTACAAATAAGTGTATGTGATATGCAGCTAATTAAATACATAGAAATTAATATTAAATGCTCATATTACAAAAGAAAAATGATTTCAAGTAAATAGCCAGAACATTCATCCTAAGGAACTATAACTAAGCAAATGGAGGGTAAAATGAAGACAGAAACAAAAATCAATAAAATTATAAATTTAAAATCCTAGAGAAAATTTTAGAAATCAAAACATAGTTAGTTGAAAAGACTTTAAAAATTGATCAATCTCCACTGATATTCACAAGAAAAAGAAGAAAGTAGACACAAATTACCAATGTCGACAATAAAAGCAGATATTACTACACAAACCACAAAAATGAAAAGCATAACTTAAAAAAAGTATTACCAACAAATCACATATGTTCAACAACATAAATAAAATATGCCAATTCCTAGAGAACCTCGAACTATCAGAAGTCACCAAAGATGAAGTAGGATAATACTATAATTATTACATAAACTGAATTTATTCCTTTTTTTTTTTTTTTTGAGACAGAGTCTCGCTCTGTTGCCTAGGCTGGAGTGCAATGGTATGATCTTGGCTCACTGCAACCTCCACCTCCTGGGTTCAAGCAATTCTCCTGCCTCATCCTCCTGAGTAGCTGGGATTACAGGCATGTGCCATCATGCCTGGCTAATTTTTTGTAATTTTAGTAGAGACAGGGTTTCACCATGCTGGCCAGGCTGGTCTCAAACTCCTGACCTCATGATCTACCCGCCTTGGCCTCCCAAACCTCTGGGATTACAGGCGTGAGAACATTAATTTTGAAAAAGAAATCTTCAGTTCCGGATGATTTCACTGAGAAGTTCTACCAGTCATTTAAAGAAGAAATAAAACCAATTTCTTTCAGAAAATAGAAGAGAGGAGAGCACATCACAACTAATTTTATAAAACCATTACTACATGAACAGTATCGAAATGAGTCAAAGACACTCTAAGAAAGATTAACTACAGAGAAATATCACTTATGAATTTAGATGCAAAAATCCTCAACAACACATTACCAAATTAAATCCAACAATATATAAAACAATACTATATTATAACAAAACAATATTTACCCTACATATGGGAAAGTTTTTCAATACTCAAAAATTAGTGATTGTAATCTATCATATTAACAGTCTAAAGAAGAGACGGCACATGATCATATCAACTAATGAAGAAGAGTATTTGACAAAATTAATGATCGATTCATAATAAAAACTAGCAGAAAATAAGAAATTGAAAAAAAAATATCAACCTGATAAAAGGCTTCTGGAAAAAAAAAAACAATACCACTAACATAATTCTTAATTTTGAAAGACTGAATGCCTTCCCCCTAAAATTGATGGCAAGGCCAAAATTTTTATTTCATTACTCATATTTAACACCATACAAGAGGCCTAACCAATGTATTAAAGCAAGAAAAGAAATGAGATATACAGATTAGAAAGGACTAAATTAAACTGTACCTATCTATATACACAAATTTCCATGCAAAAAAAGCCATGGAATCTATTAAAAATAACTCCTAGAAAATAATTAGCTGGCATAGTCACAAAATACAAAGTTAACATTGTAAAATCTCTCATTTCAGTACAGTAAGAACAATAAGCAAAATTTATCTTAACTCATATGATTTACATTTGCTCCCCCCCAAAATGAATCAAAAATAAGTATGGATTTAGTTAAAATGTGCAAGATCTATATGCTAAACATTACAAAAGCTGATGAAATAAATCAAATAACTCATGCTATGGTCAAGAGTGGAAAGACTCTAAATGGATAAAATTCTCTGTTCAAAAGATACAGAGTGACTGAATAAATTAAAGCAAAACAAAACAGGACCCAGCTATATGCTGCTTATAAGAGAAACACTTCAACTTTAAGGGCACATAATGTGAAAGTGAAGGAATGGAAAAAGATACTCCAGGCAAAGAGAAGCTAAAAGAAAGCAATGGTAACTATATATATATATATATATATATATATATATATATATATATATAGCTATATAGTTATATATATATATAGTTTTATATATATAAATATATATAAATATATATGGTTATATATAAATATAAATATATATAAATATATATGGTTATATATAAATATAAATATATATAACTATATATAAATATATATAGTTATATATAAATATATATAACTATATATATAGTTATATATATAAATATAAATATATATAAATATATATAAATATATATAAAACTTTAAAATTAACCTTATATATATAACTTTATATATAGTTATAAAGTTAATTTTGTATGTATATATGTATATATATTGTGTGTGTATATATATACAAAATTAACTTTTAAGTATCAAAAAAAGAAGGAGGCATAAAGGTGATAAAGGTGTAAATTTAACAAGAAGATATAACAATTATAAATACATATGCACCTAAATATACCACTTAAATATACCAAACAAATATTAATAGATCCTAAGGGAAAGAGAGACTGCAATACAATAATAGTAGTGAACTTCAGTATCACTTTCAACAATGAACAGATATCGAGATAGAAAATCAGTAAGAAAACACTGTACTAAAATGGCACTTTAGACCAAATGAACCTGACAGACACATACAAAACATTTCACCCAACAGTAACATAATATACAGTCTTCTCAAATGCACATAGGACATTTTCCACAACAGATCATATGTTAGGCAGCCAAGCAGGTTGGACAGATTAAGACTGAAACATAGCAAGAATCCTTTCCAACAACAATGGTATAAAACTAGAAATCAATAACAGGAAGAATTTTGGAAAATTCATAAATAAATGGAAATGAAACAATGTACTACAGAAGAACCAATGAATCAAATAAGAAATTGAAAGGAAATTTTAAAAAAATCTTGAGATAAAGAAAAATGTAAACACAGCATACCAAAATTATGAAATGCAGCAAAAGCAGTTATAAGAGGAAATTTTATAGCAATAAATGCTTATATCAGAAAAAGAAGAAGAAAGAAAAATTCCAGATAAACAACCTAATGTTACAACTCAAGAAACTAGAAAAAGAAGAACCAACTAGGCCTAACTTTAGTAGAATAAATAAAAAAAAAGATCAGAAGAAAAACAGATGATGTAGAGACCAGAAAAACAAGAGAAAAAAGCAATGAAACCAACAGTTGGTTTTTAGAAAAAAGGAACAAAATCGATAAACTTTTAGCTAAACTAAGAATACAGAGAAGACAAATAAAACCAGAAATGAAAGAGGAGACATTACAACTGATAACACAGAAATACAAAGAATCACAAGAAACTACTAAGAGAAACTATATGGCAACACATTTAATAACCTAAATACCTAGATAATAAAACCTTCCAAGACTTAAAATAAATTGAAAATCCCAAGAAACCAACATAAAGTATGGAGATTGGGTAAGTAATAAAAGGTATCATCAAAGAAAAGCTCAGGACATAATTGTTGAACTCTACCAAACATTTAAAGAACTTAAAACAATCCTTTCTTCTCAAATTCTTCAAAAAAATAAAAGAGGAGATAATACTTCCAAGCTCATTTTTAGAGGCCAATATTACCCTGATGTCAAAGCCCAACTAGGGTATGACAAAAAAATAAAATTACAGGGCAATATCCCTGATGAACATAGATTCAAAACTCCTCAACAAAATACTAGCAAACTTTATATGGTTTGGCTGTGTCTGCACTCAAATCTCATCTTGAATTGTAATCCCCACGTGTCAAGGGAAGGACTTGGTTGGAGGTGATTGGATCAGGGGGCAGTCTCCCCCATGCTGTTCTCCTGGTAGTGATTGAGTTTTCAGGAGACCTGATGGTTTTAAAATGTGGTACTTCCTTGCGCTCTCTCTTTCCTGCCGCCTTGTGAAGCAGGTGCTTGCTTCTCCTTTGCCTTGTGCTATAATTGTCCACCACATGTAGAAAAATGAAATTAGACTATCATCTCACATCAGATACAATAATCAACTAAAAATGGTTTAATAACTTAAATATAAGACCAGAAAATGTGAAGCTATTAAAAGGAAATAGAAAACTCCACTACATTTGCCTAGGCAATGATTATTTGAATATGGCCCCAAAAGCACAGACAGCAAAAGCAAAAATAGATGAATGGGATAACAACAAAATAAAAAGTTTCTGCACAGCAAAGAAAACAATCAACAGAATGTAGAGACAATCTACAGAATGGGAGAGAATACTTGCAAACCATACATCCGAAAAAGACACAATGTTCAACGTATATGAGGAACCCAAACAACTGAATAGTAAGAAAAACACGCTTTAAAAGAGGGGCAAGGGACCTGAAGAGAATTTCTCAAACACATGCATACAAATGACCAGCCAGGCATGAAAAAATGAGCATGAAAAAATGTTCAACATCACTAATCAACAGAAAAATGAAAATCCAAACCACAGTGAGATGTAACCTCATACCTGTTAGGTTGGCTCTGATAAAATAGTCAAAAGACAACAAACGTGGGCAAGGACATAGAGAAAAGAGAATCCTTATACATTGTTGGTGGAAATGTAAATTGGTACAGCCATTATGGAAAAGAGCATGATGATTCCTCAATAATTAAAAATGAAATTACCATATCATCTAGCAATCCCAGTTCTGGGTGTATATTCAAAGGATATGAAATCAGTATGCCAAAGAAACTGCACTTTTATATTTATTGAAGCAATATTCACAATGTCCATGATATGGTATCAAATTAAGTGTCCATCAGGAAATAAATAGATAATAAAACTGTGATATGTATATGTGTGTAGAGAGATATATATATATATGAGCCAAGATCATGCCACTGTATTCCAGCCTGAGTGACAGAGTGAGACTCTGTCTCAAAAAAAATTTATATGTTATAAATTATATTTTATATATATAATATTGTCATATATATTGTTATATATTATTTTATATAATAAATAATACATATGCGTTATATATAATATAAAATTTCATTTGATACATAAATATGTATTTTTATATATTCATTGTACTGTATTATAATATATTCATCATATATGTGTGTGTATATATATACATGGCTTATGTATAAGATATCCTAGGTGATATCCAAGGTCTTTCAATATGCTAATTGAAACAAAGCACAATATATCATATATAAATATGTCATATATTTTTATTTTTATCATATATAAATTTGTAAATTATTGCAGAAGCTATGTTAATAAGGAAAATGAATGTATTAGAATGGAGGGTAACAATAACTTTATACAGGTAAAATCTGAAATCCAAAATGATATCAAATTCTAAACTAACTTTAAGCGCCAACATGATGCTCAAAGGAAATGCTCACTGAAGGTTTTTGGATTTGGAAAACTTAACCTGTAGTTGCTACAAAAGCCTGTTGGCATGACTCCCAGATACTTCTAGAAAATTAAACCTTGTCTTATCTCTGCAGGTTTAAATTTAGGGAATACTTCATTCAGCCTCCTTAGCTTGGGCTGCTGAAACATGCTCAGCATTAACAATGCTCAGTCCTGAGAGTATCGTACTTTATTATGCTCTTTAGTCATAATGTACATGGCATAAGACTAAAAACAGTGACACATCCAGCTTAGATATCGCTGTCCGTAGCCTACAAGCAGAACTGCTTCAGCTAGGAAAGGGGCAGGTGAGTTTCCTGAGGTCTGATTTAACCTTCTTTCACTTTAAAAACAATCCACACGTTGGGGAGCTAGAAGCTTACATCTCCAGGTCCTGGGAAACTGTTGCTGATCTTTCAGTTCTATACCTTGTCTGGATTTATTTTGCCACGTTTTGAATAGGTAAACTTTCTGTGTGTCTTTTCTTTCCATCATTCCGAATCTGTTCTTCATGTGGGTCATAAAGTCCCTTATCTTACTTTATCATCCCAGCTTCCTCAGAAAAGAAGACTTCAAGTTACCGTAGAGAAAACTATGCTAGGGAGAATTACTCTGCTGTGCAAACGCAATAAGGTAAAATGAGAAAAAAAAAAAAATGGAGAGAAAGAAAAACATATGGGTAAATCTCTAAGACAAAATGGCTGATATCACTTTCTCTTTGCTTGTCCCAGGGAATCTCAAGATAAGTGGTGAAAACAGTAGAAGAATAAAGTCAATATAACCTGAGAGCTAGAAATGTGGTCATATTTTCCTTTCATACCTTTCTTCCTCCATAATTTTGAGCTGTATTTGCTTTTTCCTAACAAAGCAACTTGTCCCTACAGAAGGAAGTGTAGGAATCCAAGGAGAAATATCCGTGGTAGATTTCAATTAAGAAGCTCTGGCATTAAGCAAAATAGGTGAAGAAGCTTTACACGTCGTTTCCCTTTTGAGTCGCTCAGCCAAATTCATCAGTGTAAAGGAAGAGGCAAGTATTTAATTCAAAGGTATGTACAGGAATGGCTTTTCTTCTAGAGTGTGCCTTGTACTGCATTTCTTGAAGATCGGCAATACTTGGAATTAAAGAGTTGTAATATACCAATTAAATTGGACATAGACAGGGCCGGGCGTGGTGGCTCACGCCTGCATTCCCAGCACTTTGGGAGGCCAAGGCAAGCAGATCAAGAGGTCAGGAGATCGAGACCATCCTGGCTAACACGGTGAAACCCCGTCTCTACTAAAAATACAAAAAAAACTAGCCGGGCATGGTGGCGGGCACCTGTAGTCCCAGCTACTTGGTAGGCTGAGGCAGGAGAATGGCGTGAACCCAGGAGGTGGAGCTTGCAGCGAGCTGAGATTGCACCACTGCACTCCAGCCTGGGCGACAGAGCAAGACTCCCACTCAAAAAAAAAAAAAAAAAAAAAAATTGGACTTAGGTTCTTATACAGTCAGATAAAATATACATCTCATGGATATTGTTGCTTTCTTCGTCTGAGGTCACTGGTTTTTATTAAAAGCAAGCATTACGGAGGTAAAATTTGGTCTGATCCACATTCATCCTTGGCATCAAAACCCTCGGCCTTCCCCTTGATAACTCAACAAGATAACTTAGGTCATTTGAGATGTGTTTCTAATAAAGGATGCTTCATCTGTAATTATGCAGGAACTTTATACATATTCACCAGTAACAGTGTATCCTTCATTTTTGAATAAATTAATTGTCATTTGGATCTCTTGGGTGTCTCAGGGTAAAGCTATTTAAGCTGTTAGCAAAAAGAATATGATAAAATTTCTGCAGCCAATATATAAGCAAACTTTCCACATAAAAATAACAGTAACTTTCATTTTTCTTAAGCTAAAATATTCCCATACTTTTACATTGTTTCATCTATGTCTTTCTCTCAAGTGAGAGACAAGTTTGATAACAAATGTTTAATACTCTAAAATGATTTGGACACAAACAACTTATTTGAACATACCAAGATCAGTTTTGAATTTATAGAGTCTTTAGTAGAAGGTGATATCATAGATTATGAGTTTGGTAAACTGAAGATCAGACTCATATTTTAGTGATACATTAAAACATGATGATATGGTTTGGATCTGTGTCCCTGCCCAAATCTCCTGTCAAATTGTAACCCCCAGTAGGAGGTAGGGCCTGATGGGAGGTGATTGGATCGTGGGGGTGAATTTCTCCCTTGGTGTTCTCGTGATAGTGAGTGAGTTCTCCTGAGATCTGGTCATTTAAAAGTATGTAGCACCTCCCATCTCTCTCTCACTGCTGCTCCCACCATGTAGGTTGCCTCACTCCCACTTTGCCTTCTGCCAAGATTGTAAGTTCCTTGAGGCCTTTTAAGAAGCTGATGTCATTATGCGTCTTAGATAGGCTGCAGAACCATGAGCCAATTAAACCTCTTTTCCTTATAAATTACCCAGTCTCAGGTATTTCTTTATAGCAGTGTGAGAATGGACTAATATACATGATAATAGCTTAAAGGTGATGAGAATGAAGGGTATTTTTTTTTTCAGATGCTGACTGTGCTGCTGCAACCACCTGGATCTCAGTATCCACATTAACATCCCATAGAATGATTAACTAGATTTTCACTTATCCCTTTCCCTGAATACATTTGTCTTAATTTTCTTATTGTAAAGATCACTATCTTTAGAAATGCAATCAAGGCTTAATAATCCAGTACACAGTAACATCATTAAAATCTATAGCCTAAGATGAAACCATGCTACAATAATAACTTTCCAGAATTCCTAATAAGACTGAAGATAAGAGTCAAGTGAGCACCTATAAAACTGAATTTAGTAGTCACATTTTAAGATACATCTGGAAAACATATTTTGGCCTTTGAAAACCTGATTCAATAGTTTTGAAACCTCAGCCTAGAAATATACCACTCTCAAAAGCAAACAGATTTGTGAGCAGTCAAAACTTGCTTTGCACTTCATTTGTAAAATTCAAATTGCTTATTCAGCTCTCTCTAAAAAATGATGCTTTATGCTTCTTGAAAATTTATAAAATTATGTCCACTTAAATCTTCTTACTAGGTAAGATTAGATAATATTACTGCAATTAGGTAAAGTGAGTCTATTGTGCTGTGGTGCAATACAACAGGCAGCAGGAAAGAAACAGAGAGAGGATAAAGGGACGGGACTGCCCAGTGACTAGGTGAACCCCCATTTCAGGAATTTGAGCGGAAAATCTTTTATAAGCTGGTACAAGTTATAACAGCTGAAATGCATATAAGACATCTAAAATGTGAGTCATCACATTTTGAACTCATATAAAAGAGGATATCTGTCCAGTTGGACATCGTTTCATTTATTCAAGCTGACTAGATTAGATGACCTTCTTAATGACAAGAGTGTCCACACCTCTTCAATTGCCATCAAAACCTCTCACAAATCAAAATATGCCCCCCCAAATATATTTCCTGCTTCTTTGCATAAACCTCACACTTTACCATTATTATCATATTTCTAATAAATTGAATAAAGTCTAAAAATGTAATATTCCTTTGGTGTACTGCAGGTCTGAGATAAAGTCAAATACAGAATTCAAGTAGTTTAATTATTATTTTATGAACTGCTTTTCCATCAGTTAGGAGATTGAAAATTACAATAATTAAATTAATTGCAGCAATGTGAATTAATTTTTAAAATATTGCTATGTGTTTCAATAATAAACTTTGTATTTATATGTAAGTAGTCATATATAAAGAAATTTAGAGAGTAAAACTATCTTACATATTGTCATTCATTTTTCTTTATTCAGTTAAAGAAGTACTCAAACCCAAGAGCCCTTTAAAGAAACAACATAGGAGTCAGTGAGTGAGTGGGGGAAGCAGCCAAGATGGACAAACAAGAACAGCTCTGGTCTACAGCTCCCAGCATGAGCGACGCAGAAGACAGGTGATTCCTGCATTTCCATCTGAGGTACCAGGTTCATCTCACTAGGGGGTGCCACACAGTGGGTGCAGGACAGTGGGTGCAGCGCGCAGTGCGCGAGCCGAAGCAGGGCGAGGCATTGCCTCACTCGGGAAGTGCAAGGGGTCAGGGAGTTCCCTTTCCTAGTCAAAGAAAGGGGTGACGGACGGCACCTGGCAAATCGGGTCACTCCCACCCGAATACTGCACTTTTCCGATGGTCTTAAAAAATGGCGCACCAGGAGATTATATCCCGCACATGGCTCGGAGGGTCCTACGCCCATGGAGTCTTGCTGATTGCTAGCACAGCAGTCTGAGATCAAACTGCAAGGCGGCAGCGAGGCTGGGGGAGGGGCACCTGCCATTGCCCAGGCTTGCTTAGGTAAACAAAGCAGCCGGGAAGCTTGAACTGGGTGGAGCCCACCACAGCTCAAGGAGGCCTGCCTGCCTCTGCAGGCTTCACCTCTGGGGGCAGGGCACAGACTAACAAAAAGACAGCAGTAACCTCTGAGGACTTAAATGTCCCTGTCTGACAGCTTTGAAAAGAGCAGTGGTTCTCCCAGCACGCAGCTGGAGATCTGAGAACGGGCAGACTGCCTCCTCAAGTGGGTCCCTGATCCCTGACCCCCGAGCAGCCTAACAGGGAAGCACCCCCCAGTAGGGGCAGACTGACACCTCACATGGCTGGGTACTCCTCTGAGACAAAACTTCCAGTGGAAGGATCAGACAGAAGCATTCGCGGTTCACGAAAATCCGCTGTTCTGCAGCCACTGCTGCTGGTACCCAGGCAAACAGTGTCTGGAGTGGACCTCTAGCAAACTCCAACAGACCTGCAGCTGAGGGTCCTGTCTGTTAGAAGGAAAACTAACAAACAGAAAGGAAATCCACACCAAAAACCCATCTATACATCACCATCATCAAAGACCAAAAGTAGATAAAACCACAAAGATGGGGAAAAAACAGAGCAGAAAAACTGGAAACTCTAAAAAGCAGAGCGCCTCTCCTCCTCCAAAGGAATGCACTTCCTCACCAGCAACGGAACAAAGCTGGACAGAGAATGACGTTCACGACTTGAGAGAAGAAGGCTTCAGACGATCAAATTACTCCGAGCTACAGGAGGAAATTCAAACCAAAGGCAAAGAAGTTGAAAACTTTGAAAAAAAATTAGACAAATGTATAACTAGAATAACCAATACAGAGAAGTGCTTAAAGGAGCCGATGGAGCTGAAAGCCAAGGCTCGAGAACTACGTGAAGAATGCAGAAGCCTCAGGAGCCCATGCGATCAACTAGAAGAAAGGGTATCAGTGATGGAAGATGAAATGAATGAAATGAAGCGAGAAGGGAAGTTTAGAGAAAAAAGAATAAAAAGAAACGAACAAAGCCTCCAAGAAATATGAGACTATGTGAAAAGACCAAATCTATGTCTGATTGGTGTACCTGAAATTGACAGGGAGAATGGAACCAAGTTGGAAAACACTCTGCAGGATATTATCCAGGAGAACTTCCCCAATCTAGCAAGGCAGGCCAACATTCAGATTCAGGAAATACAGAGAATACCACAAAGATACTCCTCGAGAAGAGCAACTCCAAGACACATAATTGTCAGATTCACCAAAGTTGAAATGAAGGAAAAAGTGTTAAGGGCAGCCAGAGAGAAAGGTCGGGTTACCCACAAAGGGAAGCCCATCAGACTAACAGCGGATCTCTCGGCAGAAACTCTACAAGTCAGAAGAGAGTGGGGGCCAATATTCAACATTCTTAAAGAAAAGAATTTTCAACCCAGAATTTCATATCCAGCCAAACTATGCTTCATAAGTGAAGGAGAAATAAAATCCTTTACAGACAAGCAAATGCTGAGAGATTTTGTCACCACCAGGCCTGCCCTACAAGAGGTCCTGAAGGAAGCACTAAACATGGAAAGGAAAAATTGGTACCAGCCACTGCAAAATCATGCCAAATTGTAAAGACCATCGAGACTAGGAAGAAACTGCATCAACTAACGAGCAAAATAACCAGCTAACGTCAAAATGACAGGATCAAATTCACACATAACAATATTAACTTTAAATGTAAATGGACTAAATGCTCCAATTAAAAGACACAGACTGGCAAATTGGATAAAGAGTCAAGACCCATCAGTGTGCTGTATTCAGGAAACCCGTCTCACGTGCAGAGACACACATAGGCTCAAAATAAAAGGATGGAGGAAGATCTACCAAGCAAATGGAAAACAAAAAAAGGCAGGGGTTGTAATCCTAGTCTCTGATAAAACAGACTTTAAACCAACAAATATCAAAAGAGACAAAGAAGACCATTACATAATGGTAAAGGGATCAATTCAACAAGAAGAGCTAACTATCCTAAATATATATGCATCCAATACAGGAGCACTCAGTTTCATAAAGCAAGTCCTGAGTGACCTACAAAGAGACTTAGACTCCCACACAATAATAATGGGAGATTTTAACACCCCACTGTCAACATTAGACAGATCAACGAGACAGAAAGTTAACAAGGATACCCAGGAATTGAACTCAGCTCTGCACCAAGCAGACCTAATAGATCTACAAAACTCTCCACCCCAAATCAACAGAATATACATTTTTTTCAGCACCGCACCACACCTATTCCAAAATTGACCACATACTTGGAAGTAAATCTCTCCTCAGCAAATGTAAAAGAATAGAAATTGTAACAAACTGTCTCTCAGACCACAGTGCAATCAAACTAGAATTCAGGATTAAGAAACTCACTCAAAACTGCTCAACTACATGGAAACTGAACAACCTGCTCCTGAATGACTACTGGGTACACAACGAAATGAAGGCAGAAATAAAGATGTTCTTTGAAACCAATGAGAACAAAGACACAACATACCAGAATCTCTGGGACACATGCAAAGCAGTGTGTAGAGGGAAACTTATAGCACTAAATGCCCACAAGAGAAAGCAGGAAAGATCCAAAATTGACACCCTAACATCACAATTAAAAGAACTAGAAAAGCAAGAGCAAACACATTCAAAAGCTAGCAGAAGGCAAGAAGTAACTAAAATCAGAGCAGAACTGAAGGAAATAGAGACACAAAAAACCCTTCAAAAAATTAATGAATCCAGGAGCTGGTTTTTTGAAAGGATCAACAAAACTGATAGACCACTAGCAAGACTAATAAAGAAGAAAAGAGAGAAGAATCAAATAGACGCAATAAAAAATGATAAAGGGGATATCACCACTGATCCCACAGAAATACAAACTACCATCAGAGAATACTACAAACACCTCTACGCAAATAAACTAGAAAATCTAGAAGAAATGGATAAATTCCTCGACACATACACCCTCCCAAGTCTAAACCAGGAAGAAGTTGAATCTCTGAATAGATCAATAACAGGCTCTGAAATTGTGGCAATAATCAATAGCTTACCAACCAAAAAGAGTCCAGGACCAGATGGATTCACAGCCGAATTCTATCAGAGGTACAAGGAGGAACTGGTACCATTCCTTCTGAAACTATTCCAATCAATAGAAAAAGAGGGAATCCTCCCTAACTCATTTTATGAGGCCAGCATCATCCTGATACCAAAGCCGGGCAGAGACACAGCCAAAAATAGAATTTTAGACCAATATCCTTGATGAACATTGATGCAAAAATCCTCAATAAAATACTGGCAAACCGAATCCAGCAGCACATCAAAAAGCTTATCCACCATGATCAAGTGGGCTTCATCCCTGGGATGCAAGGCTGGTTCAATATATGCAAATCAATAAATGTAATCCAGCATATAAACAGAACCAAAGACAAAAACCACGATTATCTCAATAGATGCAGAAAAGGCCTTTGACAAAATTCAACAACGCTTCATGCTAAAAACTCTCAATAAATTAGGTATTGATGGGATGTATCTCAAAATAATAAGAGCTATCTATGACAAACCCACAGCCAATATCATACTGAATGGGCAAAAACTGGAAGCATTCCCTTTGAAAACTGGCACAAGACAGGGATGCCCTCTCTCACCACTCCTATTCAACATAGTGTTGGAAGTTCTGGCCAGGGCAATCAGGCAGGAGAAGGAAATAAATGGTATTCAATTAGGAAAAGAGGAAGTCAAATTGTCCCTGTTTGCAAAAGACATGATTGTATATCTAGAAAACCCCATTATCTCAGCCCAAAATCTCCTTAAGCTGATAAGCAACTTCAGCAAAGTCTCAGGATACAAAATCAATGTACAAAAATCACAAGCATTCTTATACACCAATAACAGACAAACAGAGAGCCAAATCATGAGTGAACTCCCATTCACAATTACTTCAAAGAGAATAAAATACCTAGGAATCCAACTTACAAGGGATGTGAAGGACCTCTTCAAGGAGAACTACAAACCACTGCTCAATGAAATAAAAGAGGATCCAAACAAATGGAAGAACATTCCATGCTCATGGGTAGGAAGAATCAATATCGTGAAAATGGCCATACTGCCCAAGGTAATTGATAGATTCAATGCCATCCCCATCAAGCTACCAATGACTTTCTTCACAGAATTGGAAAAAACTACTTTAAAGTTCATATGGAACCAAAAAAGAGCCCGCATCGCCAAGTCAATCCTAAGCCAAAAGAGCAAAGGTGGAGGCATCACACTACCTGACTTCAAACTATACTACAAGTCTACAGCAACCAAAACAGCATGGTACTGGTACCAAAACAGACATATAGATCAATGGAACAGAACAGAGCCCTCAGAAATAACGCCGCATATCTACAACTATCTGATCTTTGACAAACCTGACAAAAAGAAGAAATGGGGAAAGGATTCCCTATTTAATAAATGGTGCTGGGAAAACTGGCTAGCCATATGTAGAAAGCTGAAACTGGATCCCTTCCTTACACCTTATACAAAAATTAATTCAAGATGGATTAAAGACTTACATGTTAGACCTAAAACCATAAAAACCCTAGAAGAAAACCTAGGCAATACCATTCAGGACATAGGCATGGGCATGGACTTCATGTCTAAAACACCAAAAGCAATGGCAACAAAAGCCAAAATTGACAAATGGGATCTAATTAAACTAAAGAGCTTCTGCACAGCAAAAGAAACTACCATCAGAGTGAACAGGCAACCTACAAAATGGGAGAAAATTTTCACAACCCACTCATCTGACAAAGGGCTAATATCCAGAATTACAGTGAACTCAAACAAATTTACAAGAAAAAAATAAACAACCCCATCAAAAAGTGGGCGAAGGACATGAACAGACACTTCTCAAAAGAAGACATTTATGCAGCCAAAAAATACATGAAAACATGCTCACCATCACTGGCCATCAGAGAAATGCAAATCAAAACCACAATGAGATACCATCTCACACCAGTTAGAATGGCAATCATTAAAAAGTCAGGAAACAACAGGTGCTGGAGAGGATGTGGAGAAATAGGAACACTTTTACACTGTTGATGGGACTGTAAACTAGTTCAACCATTGTGGAAGTCAGTGTGGCTATTCCTCAGGGATCTAGAACTAGAAATAGCATTTGACCCAGCCATCCCATTACTGGGTATATACCCAAAGGACTATAAATCATGCTCATAAAGACACATGCACACATATGTTTATTGTGGCACTATTCAGAATAGCAAAGAGTTGGAACCAACCCAAATGTCCAACAATGATAGACTGGATTAAGAAAATGTGGCACATATACACCATGGAATACTATGCAGCCATAAAAAATGATGAGTTCATGTCCTTTGTAGGGACATGGATGAAATTGGAAATCATCATTTTCAGTAAACTATCGCAAGAACAAAAAAACCAAATACTGCATGTTCTCACTCATATTTGGGAACTGAACAATGAGAACACATGGACACAGGAAGGGGAACATCAGACTCTGGGGACTGTTGTGGGGTGGGTGGAGGGATAGCATTAGGAGATATACCTAATGCTAAATGACGAGTTAATGGGTGCAGCACACCAGCATGGCACATGTATACATATGTAACTAACCTGCATGTTGTGCACATGTACCCTAAAACTTAAAGTATAATAATAATAAAATTTTAAAAAAGAAAAGAAACAAAAACAAACAAAAAAAGAAACAACATAAACACTGATTTGGAAATGATAGTTGAAGTTATTTGTGATTTTTATATTTAAATTTGATTGTTTTATTATGCAGTAATTGCTAATGGGCTTAATATCCTGTGTTATTTTAAAAAATTTTAAAGGTCTATGATTAAGAGCAAAATATCTTCAATAACCTTCTTATACATTATTTTTTTCATTTCTTAATAATCACTTGGTAAAAATCTGATAGACTCAAACTTCTAAAACCAGTTATTTTCAGTGAGTTTTGTGTTTGAGTAGTTCAGAAAAGCATGTTGTCGAGTCCACCATTTACCTTACAAAAAAAAGGCTGAACTCTCTGCCTGCCCTTCAGTCATGTCTTCATACCTTCTTCAGGATGGAAATAAAACTCAGTAAAACATGCTGAAATATATTTACACACAACACTCTTCATCTGGCTCTTTAAAATGTTTTTTAAAATATTGAAATGTCTTCTCTTTGTTGTGGTTTTGGTTTACTTAGATAATAAGCATAACCAGAAAACATTGAACACGTGTTTATAGAGCAACTTGCTATTTGTTATTTGTGTAAAACTGTCCGTCACACTATGGAAGATACAGAGATAAATAAAACATAGTCCCTATTCCCCAGGTATGTGAGAAAGTATAAACAGGCCCCCACTGATTCCAATGAAAAGCCAATTTCATAAAACATAGAATTTAAAATCTGTGAAATTTTTGTATGGGATTCCTGAAAAGTAAGACAATGCTTAGAGCTAAAGGAGCAGAAAACATTTTGCCATTTATATTGAAAGGTAAAAATAGAAACAGTCAGAATTCAAACAACAGTTACAATATATGTTGCATTTTAATATGTATAAAGCACTCTCATATCCAATAGCTCATCTGTTTCTTTAATCTTGTGAAGTAGTCAGAATAGATACATCATCACCATTTTGAGGATAGAGAAAATTTGTTTACAAAGGTTAATGGTTGGTTAAAAATTAGTCCAACAAATCTAGAATCCAACCTAGAACTCCTAAATAAGCTAAGTTTTTGTTTTGTTCTGCTTTTAGCTTTACCTTCAGGAAAAAAAAAAAATAAAGCTTATTTTAAAGAAAAGGAAAACCTTTCTACCTCCCTAAGAAACTCACCAGAAAGGCAAATTTATGATTATATTCCTGAGTACCTCTTTCAAATATGTTAAAAAATACTTTTTTTCTCACAGCAAACTAAGTGATCCTGAATCATTTATGACCATAAATAGTCAGGATCTTTGTTTTATAGCTTTCTGGACAGATAGCACTTTCAGCATAGTGAAACACCATTTGTAGGGAGCTTCAGATGACTGTCAAAAGGAAACAGGTATCCTACTAAAATATTAACCAACACCACGTTCTTTGTAATATTTAAGGAAGTAATTCTAAATATTAATTTCAACTACTGGTATCAATATAAAGTTTATTCAGCAAGCTTTTATAAACATTCACTATGTTGGGAAGATGTAAAGAACTCTTGAATTTCAATCTTATTATTTTTCACACACTGAAGAAAAGGACTGCATAAAGTTACAGTCCTGGTTAACAGTTTCCTGAATATTTTTTCATCGTTCTTTTCATAAACAAAGATAAAGTGCTTGGATTTTTAAAAATATATTTCTTTCATTTTGATGGCATCTCTAATATTTTCAAAGCAACCTCTTAATAGATTCATGCTCTTGTGTAATATGTAAATATGAATGCATCATCTTAGCTTTTATGTTACCCTTGCCTTCAAAAATAAATATTTATTTACCACATAATATATTTTAAAAACTCTTTAGGTAGTTTGTATTTTGTAACAAATCAGAGAAAATACAAGCTACTCAAACAATTATTTGTTCTGTTTGGTTTTGCCTTGTTAAATACTATTGCTCTTATATTGTTCCAGGATAGGATTATGATTGTTGCATCTGAGAATAAGCATTCCATGAAATAAACTTTTTGAAAAATAATGACAATAATACTCATTAAGCACTGAATATAGTACCAGCAAGGGCATGACATAGGTTTCACTGACCCCATTTGGGACAATACACAGTGTGAGGCTTAGACATGTAAACAACCCACTGAAGATCACAAAGACAATCAAGTGGTGTAGCCGAACTAAAGCTCAGGTTCCTGTGACTGAAGAGCCCCACCTTTAACCACCATGTCCATCAGTTCCTGTATCACAACAGTTTAGGTCTCTCTGTTCTAAAAGTTTATAAAAATGAAACCATACCAATGATATAGAAATAAAGTAGGGTGGAAGTGGCTTTCCCCATTGAAGGGGGTGAGTAATTTGTTGCTGCAGTGTTTGGAATTCTATAGGTAATAAACACACTCATTGTCTGCACCTGAGCACACTGCTTCCATTGCCTTTACTTTGGGATGCCTCAATACCCCACAGCATGTACTGCCCTGTGACCTCTTTTATGTGGCATAATGTCTGTTTTACTGATATCATTACAAGTATTATCCAGTGGTTCCCTTTCACTGCTGAGTAGTATTCACTGTATACATGTACTGCAATTGTTTACTCTCTATTTATGGCCATTCGGATGGTTCTTAAGTTTGGATATGATAAATAATTATACAAAAATATTATTGTACAAATCGTTATGAACATGTTTTCTTATTTGTTGAGCATAATCCTAAAAGTGGAGTTATTAAATCATAAGGTATGTGTATGATTAAATTTATGTGGAAAGATAAATAGTATTCCAAAGTATAACCATTTTACATGCCCACCTGTATAGTACAATGCTTTCAGTTTCTCTGCATAACGTCCCCACACTTGGTTTTATTAGTCTTATTAAATTTTAGCAATTACTGTGTTTGTGCAGTAAACAGTAAGTCATCTCTTAATACCCTCAATAGATCCTTGAAAACTGTAACTTTAAGTGAAATGACCTATAGGAAATCAATTTTACCATAAGCTAATTAATATAAACCAGAGTTAAGTTTCTATAGTATATTTCTGGTCATGAAAACACCACCACCAAACTTCTAAATGAAGACAAAAACTCTTCTAATATTAAACTTTGAAATAAATGTGAGTGATGCATACATGTAAGACAGATTAATAAAAACAAGTAAGGTAATTATTTACCTGCTGAGACGAGTTTGGGGTCACAGGTGGGTAGAGCCACTCCTGGCAGTTCAGAGCAATAGAAGAACGACCCTGGACAGGATGATATGCCATCAGAGGGTGCACTCAAACACACCCACACTCACACAGATGAGGTCCATGTGGGTACGCTAGTTCACCTCGTGTGCACAGCTTTGGGGTGTGGGAGGAAGCCAGGATACCTAGAGAAAACCCACATGTGAAAAACATGCAAACTTTATACAGATGGTGGCCCCTTCTTATGAGCAATTTTTTATTCATTATCAATATTATAATAAAAGGACATTCAATGAAACACTATTTGAGAGTCTGTATTTCACTTTTGTTTTCTCTGAAACCACTGATGTTAATCAACATTTAATGAGATCAATAGCCATTTGCATATCTCCTTTGGGAAACATCTAGTCAATCTTTTTTTTCTATTTATATAACATAGGGTTTCTTTTTGCATTATATTTTATAAGTGATTCCTATATATTCTGGATATAAGTCATTCACTAAGTATTTTGAAAATGATCTTTTGAAGAAGTTTTTTTTTTGTTTGCTTTGATGAGGTCCATAGCACCATTCTTTTTTCATTTGTGGTTTGTTCTTTTCATAAAAAAAATTATTGTATAAAACCTTTTTCACTAAACAAAGTTACCAATAATTTATGTTTTATTTTTCTATGAATAGATATTTTATATTTTATGCTCATATATTGTTCTATAAACCACTTCTATTTAATTTCTATTTAACTTTTGTATATTTTATGACAAAAAGATTCAGGATCAGCATATTCAATTGTTCCATAAACATTTTGAAAATATATTATCTCTATTAAATTAGTTTTGTTATTTTGTTGAAAATCAATTGACTATATATGCATGTGTCCATTTCTCAAGATTTCTGTTTCATTGATCTGCATTTCCATTCTTACATGAATACCATAATATGTTGATTACTATGGCATTATAATACATTTTAAATTACATGGTGTAAATCCCCCAAAATTTCTTTTCTTAAAGATTTTGGCAATTCTCGGTCTTTTTCATTTCCAGAATAAAAGAACTAAAATTTAGAGATATTAAATAGCTTCCCCAAATTGAGATTAACAGGTCCAGGAATTAAATGCTAGTTGTTGTAGTTCCTGAAATCATTAGTAACTACCTAAGTAACTAATAACCATCCAAGTCTATTAATGAATTGCTTAACTATTTAGTCACTGAAGACATAAACCTAAACTCATTTCCTTTTTAAATAAATCTATTTCATTTTTCAGCCAGAAATAAACTATGCTTGTTGATAAATTTATTTTAACATTATTTAATAAAATAACTTTTTAAAAATACTTTAAGCTCTGGGGTACATATGCAGAATGTGCAGGTTTTTTACATAGGTATACAAATGCCATGGTGGTTTGCTGCACCCATCAACCCGTCATCTACATTAGGTATTTTTCCTAATGCTATCCCTCCCCTAGCTCCCCACCCTGACAGGCCCCAGTGTGTGATGTTCCCCTCCCCGTGTCCATGTGTTCTCATTATTCAACTCCCACTCATGAGTGAGAATACGCAGTGTTTGGTTTTCCGTTCTTGTGTTAGTTTACTGAGAATGATGGTTTCCAGCGTCATCCATGTCCCTGCAAAGGACATGAACTCATGCTTCTTTTATGGCCGCACAGTATTCCATGGTGTATATGTGCCACATTTTCTTTATCTAGTCAATCTTTGATGGACATTTGGGTTGGTTCCAAATATTTGCTGTTGTGAAGAGTGCCACAATAAACATACCTGTGCATGTGTCTTTATAGTAGAATGACTTATAATCCTTTGGGTATATACCCAGTAATGGGATTGCTGGGTCAAATGGTATTTCTAATTCTAGATCCTTGAGGAATCCCCATACTGTCCTCCACACTGGTTGAACTAATTTAAACTTCCACCAATAGTGTAAAAGTGTTTCTATTTCTCCACATCCTCTCTAGCATCTGTTGTTTCCTGACTTTAAAATGATCGCCATTCTAACTGATGTGAGATGGTATCTCATTGTGGTTTTGATTTGCATTCCTCTAATGACCAGTGATGATGAGCTTTTTTTCATATGTTTGTTGGCTGCATGAATGTCTTCTTTTGAGAAGTGCCTGTTCATATCCTTTGCCCACTTTTTGATGGGGTTGTTTTTTTCTTGTAAATTTGTTTAAGTTCTTTGTAGATTCTTGTTATTGGCCCTTTGTCAGATGGATAGATTGCAAAAATTTTCTCCCATTCTGTAGGTTGCCTGTGTACTCTGATGATAGTTTCTTCTGCTGTGCAGAAGTTCTTCAGTTTAATCAGATCCCATTTGTCAATTTTGGCTTTTGTTACCATTGTTTTTGGTGTTTTTGTCATGAAGTCTTTGTCCATGCCTATGTCCTGAATGCTATTACCTAGGTTTTCTTCTAGGGTTTTTATGCTTTTAGATCTTACGTTTAAGTCTTTAATCCATTTTGAGTTAATTTTTGTATAAGGTGTAAGGAAGGGGTCCAGTTTCAGTTTTCTGCATATGGCTAGCCAGTTTTCCCAACACTATTTATTAAAGAGGGAATCATTTCCCCATTGCTTGTTTTGGTCAGGTTTGCAAAGATCAAATGATTGTGGATGTGTGGCATTATCTCTGAGGCCTATGTTCTGTTCCATTGGTCCATATATCTGTTTTGGTACTGGTACCATGCTGTTTTGGTTACTGTAGTTTTGTATATAGTTTGAAGTCAGTTAGCGTGTTGCCTCCAGCTTTGTTCTTTTTGCTTAGGATTGTCTTGGCTATACAGGCTCTTTTTTGGTTCCATATCAAATTTAAAGTAGTTTTTTCTCTGAAAGAAAGTCAATGGTAGCTTGATGGGGATACCATTGAATCTATAAATTAATTTGGGCAGTATGGTCACAATGTTGATTCTTCCTATCCATGAACATGGAATGTTTTCCCATTTATTTTCCTCTCTTATTTTCTTGAGCAGTGGTTTGTGGTTCTCTTTGAAGAGGCCCTTCTCGTCCCTTGTAAGTTGTATTCCTAGGTATTTTTTTCACTTTGTAGCAATTGCGAATGGGAGTTCACTCATGATTTGGCTCTGTGTTTGTTATTGGTGTATAGAAATGCTTGTGATTTTTGCACATTGATTTTGTATCCTGAGACTTTGCTGAAGTTGCTTATCAGCTTAGGAAGTTTTTGGGCTGAGATGATGGGGTTTTCCAAATATACAATCATGTCATCTGCAACAGAGACAATTTGACTTCCTCTTTTCCTATTTGAATACCCTTTATTTCTTTCTCTTGCGTGATTACCCTGGCCAGAACTTCCAATACTATGTTGAATAGGAGTGGTGAGAGAGGGCATCCTTGTCTTGTGGTGGTTTGCAAAGGGAATGCTTCCAGTTTTTGCCCATTCAGTATTGTATTGGCTGTGGCTTTGTCATAAATAGCTCTTATTATTTTGCAATGCTTTCCACTAATATCTAGTTTATTGAGAGTTTTTAGTAAGAAAGCATGTTGCATTTTGTCAAAGGCCTTTTCTGCATCTACTGAGACCAGATGGATTCACAGCCTAATTCTACCCAAGGTACAAAGAGGAGCTGGTACCATTCCTTCTGAAACTATTCCAAACAATAGAAAAAAAAGGGCTTCCTCCCTAACTCATTTTATGAGGCCAGCATTATCCTGATACCAAAACCTGGCAAAGACAGAGCAAAAAAAGAAAATTTCAGGCCAATATCCCTGCTTAACATCAATGCAAAAATCCTCAATTAAATACTGGCAAACCGAATCCAGCAGCACATCAAAGAGCTTATCCACCACGATCAAGTTGGCTTCATCCCTGGGATGCAAGGCTGGTTCAACATACGCAAAACAATAAACCTAATCCATCACATAAACAGAATCAATGACAAAATAACTTTTTTATTTCTCTAATTTTCTCTGAAAAAATGCTGCCTGTATTTGAAAAAAAAAATGTAAAGCCAGTTTATTTCATTTAAGCGAATGTAAAGAACAGCTCTGCTATGAATAGCCTATGATAGAATTAACTACTGTTTAAAAATTACCAAAAGAATCTTGATAAATTTCTTTATGATTCCTAGGAATGGTTAATAGAAGAAATGTATTTTAAAATTATCTTAGTTCACTTAATCAATTTTTCTCAATATATGTCTAAAAACTTTCATTACTTTTCTGCTCTAGGAAGGACCTCAGGAAACCTGCCCAGCAATCATAAATGCTGCTTTCATCCTGCAAGTGATCTTACTTTGCATGCCACTGAGCCACAGGTTCATGAGCAAGAGAGTAGAAGGTATGAAGCATAAACTTCTCAGCTGTAAAGGCAGGGTGGATAGAAAGCCAATATAGAAAACGCACACTTCCATACTTAATCCAATATTCCTTTTGAATACAAATGAGAGTGATACATATTATGCTAGTAATTAGATTAGAAAAACAATATTTCAGAGGGAAGTCTAAAGGAAACAACAACATGATATGCAAAAGAATTCTAATATATCCTTTCTGTGTTTTTTTTTCTTTCAGTCAGATTTATTTATAAGGCCTCTGCCAAACTAATTTAGCTCCTGCTATAGGTACCACTCAGAATTCATTTTCACAGATGCTCTTTTTAATCTTCACAATGCGGAGCTGAGTGGATGCTCTCAAAGGCCCCCTAGTTTCTTGTATGTCTTGTTTTGGAGATGCAGAGTCTTCCCAAAGTGAATATCTGTATTTAACTCAGGTCTACACAGTTTTACATCTCACAGGATTGTTTGGCTAATTTATATCTAACATTATTTCAGGACTGAATATACTGTATAATTGTATTAAGCACAATAGACAACTTCAAGTGAATACCAAGTGTACATCCAGGAAGCTTTTTAGTTTGCTCCATATTAAGTTTTCTTTTCATATTAATCTTGTTTTTCTATTTTTACTCTAATTTTAGATAAATATTATTCCTTTGAAAGTTTTGATGTTCTTCTTCCAAAATCTGGGTTAGTCTGAGAATAAGAACATTTAGGTGATGGAGTCATTAAACATCCTAACGTGTCAAAATTCATCAACCATATGTCTGTAAAGTCAGTCTACACTACGTAACTGTCCCTCTCAAGTAGTTAACATCCCGTATTAAAAAAAAATTAGCAACTATCTCTTAATTTTAAATCCATCTAATCTTTTCATGTGTCAGACACATAGCAATAACGATTACAGGAAAATATTGTGAGAATATTTCTCTAGATTATTTCTTGAGAAATGATCTCAATTTGACTTGTATAATGGCTTCACAGAAAAAGAATAGCCTTTGACAATGAAACATGGTCATTACATTAGTTGGTAATGTAAAGATAAACCAGATTCAAGTGAAGTTTTCTTAAAACCGGTATTACTTGGACAGTAAAACTCAGGGTATTGTCTCTTCATCTTGCAATTCACTTTTCATTTATGCACAAAGGCCAGATAAGCATTATTAAAAATGTGAGTGCAGCCAAAACTGCCATAGTTGGCCTTAGCTTATTTTTGGCAAAAAATTAAGAAAATTTTATATTAATACACAGTGCCAAAAAAGCTTTAGATTAAATAGATGTTAGATGATTTGTTTGAAGCTCTACAACTTTAGAAATATTTGCTATATGGGTGTGAATCATATAGCATAGAAAAAGGACTATATTGTATACATTTTTTCAATGCTTTGCTTTTAAATGAATAACAAATGCAAGAAATATGTTTACTGTTTTATTTAAGTTATTAAAAATAATTGGTAATTTTTTTAAACTGAAACAAATTATATGCTATTATTTTTTAATTTTTAAAATTTTTTAATTCTTTTGATTTTGCAGAGTCTCACTCTGTCACCAGGCTGGAGTGCAGTGTCATGATCTCCGCTCACTGCAACCTCCACCTCCCAGGTTCAAGTGATTCTCCTGCCTCAGCATCCCAAGTAGCTGGGACTACAGGCATGCGCCACCACAACCAGCTAATTTTTTTTGTATTTTTAGTAGAAACAGGTTTTCACCATGTTGGCCAGGATGGTCTCAGTCTCCTGACCTCATGATCTGCCTGCCTCGGCCTCCCAAAGTGCTGGGATTACATGTGTAAGCCACCGCACCCAGCCTTAATGTTTAAAGTCAAATTTGTTGAGTTGTAATTTAGTAACAAAATGCCTTTATTTTAATATAGAGTTTTATGAGTTTGGACAAATGTATTTGCCTATGTAGCCATCACATTCAAGATATAAATTGTTTTCATCATCCAGGTATATTACTAACACCCCTTTGCAGTCAACCCCAAATTCCCACCTTCTCCTGGGTAACTGCAGATCAGCTTTCTAGCAACATAGATTGGATTTGTCTGTTCTGGATCCTTTATGTGTCATTCATTGGGTATATTTTTGAAATTAATCCATGTTGTTTCATGTATATCACTAAATTTTAGATTTTTTACCAATACATTTTTTCAATTTAAGCTTTTTGGTTTCTTCACGATAAAACACTAAGTTTAGAAAAAAAAAAAACATAGATTTTCTTTTCTTAGTAATGCATTGCAGTTGGAGACACCTGGGTTCCAAAGTTGGCTCTGACATTTGTAAACCAAATGGACATTTGCAAGTCACTCAACCATTCCAACCCTCTACTTCCGGAAAAACTGAGAAACTACCTCTTTACTTGAAATGTTGCAATAAAAATTAATTGAGAATTTGTATAAGGCATCTAGCACAAGTACACAGCAGTAGGCACTCAATAAATACAACGTATTCTTAACAATTATTTCAATAAAACCCATAAAATTTCCCACAATTCTGTATTATTTTTGCCTCACTGCAACCAAAAATATGTGTAACTCCTTACCCAGAAGTTTTATAAACTATACTTTTGATTAACTGTTGCCTCTCACTATAAAATTACAAACCTTTTATGTGTATTCTTCTAAAATTGGGATCAAACCTGTCTGTAGCTACTGCTCTTGCAGTCTTGCCTTTAACAGTAGTCATATCCATTTATTATTCTTTCATGCACAGTATTTATCAAGAACTTAACATGTGTGGCTGCTCTTCTGAATACTCATTTCATTCAAATCTCTGCCATGTTTCTTTTTATTAGAAAGGATTTTATGGGCAACAAGTCTGATACAGTATTCTCCACCATCCTCTTTCGCATTTGCCTATTTTAGTCCCTTTGTTACTCTTATTCTTGTACACACACACGCGCATTGTTGGTGTCTCCAAATGAAGCATATGCTTCATGAGGATAAGAATTTTGTTTTGTTACCATGATATTCTCAGCATCTACAAAAATGCCAAGTGAAGGTAGAAGCTCAGTAAGTGCTTACTGATCAAACTAACAGCTCTGATGAAAGCAAACAACTCTCATCATGACTCAGAGCTTTGGTATAAGTGGTCTTACCCCTGGATCTCAGGACAGACTAGCAAACTTCTTTGTGACACAACTGCTCTCTCTTTTTGGGTTAGTCACAAAATTTGAATCACTGCTGCTTTTTTTTTTTTTTTTTTTTTTACGTCTGCTTTCTGAAACCCTTCAAACTAACCTTAAGTTGCTACTGGGTTTTTTCCTCTTTTATTACAGAGTAGGTCCAAGTGAGGTAGGAGACCAGCAGCACTTGTTTTCTGGTCACAACTCTGCTGACCAAAGCAGGATCTGGTCCAGACAGGATAAAGTGACAAAACTGACAGGAACCAGCAGATGGCTACAAAAGCAATTCCTGGCTGCCCTCATTGCTCATTAGCATCAGACACTCCCACCAGCACCAGGACAGTTTATAAACGTCATGACAATGACCCGGAAGTTGCCACAGCTTTTCTAGAAAGTTATAAATAACCCACCCCTCAATTTGCATTGGAAGTTATAAATAACCCACCACTTAATTTGCATGTAATTAAAGTGGGTTTACATGAGAATAAATACTGTTGCCAGGAGCCCATAAGTTGCTGACTTTGGATGCACTGCCTACTGAGTTAGATCTGCTCCACAAGGAGTAGTACCATTCAACAAAGGATTGATGTCTAACATCACCAGCTTTTCCTTGAATTATTTCCTGGGTGAAGCCAAGAACTCTAAGAGCTAAGCCCCAATTTCAGGGCTTGCCTGTCCTGCATCACAAGGGCTAGTGTCCAGATGGCCCCACTACTAGTGAGGCCACTAATTGTAGCTTTTTAAAAATTTGCATGCTATTTATGTTACATAATTTTCTACTTTCCAAATAATTATCTTAAAGCAAGCTTAGTTTAAAAAAAAAAGACCCAATTAAATGTAACCAGTATTTCTAATTTTTGATAAAAATCACTAGGACTTAACTTGTTGAACCTGAAATAGAAAGACATGGACAAAATCACTTTTAAGTTCTTCCTCCTCTTCAAAACAGCCTAAATCTTCTAAAAATATTAACAGCTACATTTATTTAAAAATTCCATTTTATAATAGTTTTTATAATTTTTTTATTCTTTAAAGTATTTCAAAGGAAATTTATTTTTTTTCAGGTAGAAGCAAAGTGATACTAATAAATTTGAGTATACTAAAATATCATGGTCAACAACTTTCTACAGGTAGTATTATTCCACAAAATTTCAACATATATATGTCAAAGTTATTACTCTAATATTTTTCTATTATTGTTTTGCCCAATTATAGTGAATTTTATTCTGATCTTGTCTAGACTGAAGCTGGCACCATATTCAATTAAGGTAAATTCTATTTCATTTCCAAAAAATTACCATATTTATTGTACAAAAAAAAAATTAACAGGCTTTGAAAACAAGTTTCTGTTCTTCTTTTCAGAGAAGGAAATGGCACTCATGTTTTCTGAATTCCAAGTTTGTATGATGTTCTTTTTCATTTCTCTTGTACTTGAAATTTAGTGACTTCTGGTCCAGGAGATAAAGGATTTTTATCTCTGTATTCTCAGAGTTTGAAAGGAAAAAGAAAAAAGAAAAACTAAAATGCTTCTTTTCTTGTACTGAACTTAAAAAACAGTTTTACTCTAGATTTTAGCATTTGTCAGCAGGCTTAGATGAAAGAGAACAAATAATTCTGCTTTTCCTTTATGAATTTGTTAAAATTTTTAGAGGATCCAAATACGTGAAATATATCTTCATGACAAATGTTACTGATGACAAACAGTAATTCAGATTTGTCTTCTCTAAGCCCAGATATTTTTAAGCTATGCATCCTTTTATTTTCAAATTGATTATAAAATCCTTAGTCTCATCTCTTACAATCCCTGGTCTAAATTTTAAATGTGGGGGATCATTTTGTCTGTGATAAGTACCATCATTAAGGTTAATAGAGGTGCTGGAGGAACATCTGAGTCATAAAGGTAAGGACATTTTGGGGATACTTCACAGAGAGATGATTGTGCAAGTGGTATATGAATGCTCAACTGGAATGTTTTCCAGTCTAAATAGATAAATAGAAGTAGAGGAAGATTCTCTAGGTAGAGGGAACATCTTGTACTAACACAAGGGCATAAGCTTTTCTGGGAATGATAAGAATCCCTGCACAGCTCTCAGACAGAATTTATGAAGGACGTTTAAGGATGCAACTAGAAAGATAGATTAAGGTCACACTGGGAAATTCCAATAAATAATATTAAATCAGCTGCAGAATTTGAACATTTTCTTCTATAGTAAGTAGCCTTAGGTAGCTTTGAAATCCAATTTGTATTTTAGAAAAATCACTCAACGGAAGTGTGAAGACCTGAATTAAGCAGTATGTAATTACCTATTAACACATAACAATTATCCCAAACAGTCCACAACACAATTTGGCCTTTAGCCTCCAATAATACACATCCTTTCCATATGCAAAATATACTCAGTGTCTCTTAAAGCCTCCAAAAGTCTCATCCCATTGCAGCATCAGCCCAAAGCCCAAAATCTCATTATTTAAATCAAGCCCAAGTGCAGGGAAGACAACTGATGTGTAGTTCCTTAAGTACAGCTCTTTGAGTACAGTTCCTTGTGGCCTGTGAAATAAAGAGATAATTTATCTGTCTTCTGATTACCCAACACTTTATGATAAGACAAGCATAACATATTCACTATAGATATTCTTGTTCAAAAAGGAGAAAGTGAATTTCACTAAGGTGTCATTGATCCATAACAATTCTAAAATCCAGCTTGTATGATTTTTTTCTATTTTTTTTTTTTTTTTTTTACAAAAGACAGCCTGTCTTTGCAGCTGAATAGTTTTATCAGCCACCATCCTGTCAGTAGAGTTTTGGGGACCAAAGGCTCTTGGATATTTTTTTCTTTCTTGCCTTTTTCTGTCCAAGCCGGTGATGATCTGCATATATAACTGCATTAGTCCATTTTCTGTTGCTTATAACAGAATACCTAACACTGGATAATTTATTTTTTAAATTATTTTTTCCAGTTATGGAGGCTGAAAAGTCCCAGATCAAGAGGCTCCATCTGCTGTGAGCCTTCTTGCTGGCAGGACTCTCTGCAGAGCCCCAAGGTGGTTCAGAGTATCACAGGACAAAGGTGCTGACTGTGCCAACTCAGGTCTCTCTTCCTCTTCTTAGAAAGCTACCAGTCCCACTCCTGTGATATTCCATTAATCCAATAACCTATTAATCTACTAATGGATTGATCAATTTATGAACATAGAGCCTTCATGACCCAATCACCTCTGAAAGACCCCACCTCTCAATATTGCCACTTTGGGGATTAATTTCAGCATGAGTGTTAGAAGGGATAAATATTAAAACCATAGCAATCACTCTTTTAAAAACTTCGTGGGTGTCCTATGAATGTTATTTGGATTTAATCAACTATATAAAAGCCACAGCCACAAAAGTTTTCAAGATAAGCCTGCTTGTTTGTTGGGATCCTGCTAAAATGTCTAAAGAACAATGCTGTTAAGGTTCCTAGAAGCTTTATAGTTTGATTGAGAGACACTTGGAGGCATATTTTATCTGCCCAAGTAGCATTCCACTGTTTATTTGAGACTAAATTTTGTCTTTTCAAAACATCAGGCCAGGCGCGGTGGCTTGGCCAGGCGTGGTGGCTCACGCCTATAATCCCAGCACTTTGGGAGGCCAAGGTGGGTGGATCACCTGAGGTCAGGAGTTCAAGACCAGCTTGACCAATATGGTGAAAACCTATCTGTACTAAAAATACAAAAGTTAGCCTGGCGTGGTGGTGTGCACCTGTAGTCCCAGCTACTTGGGAAGCTGAGACAGGAGAATTGCTTGAACCTGGGAGGTGGAGGTTGCAGTGAACCAAGATCTCGCCACTGAACTCCAGCCTGGGCAAGAGAGAGCAAGACTCCATCTCAAAAAAAAAAAAAAGATTTCACAGTCACACCTTTAACTTCGTCTTTGGTCCATATTTTCCTGGCAGTCTGCTAGATTGGATATTTGCTCAGAAGTAATTTCTTAATTTTTACATCATTTGCCACCTGCAGATTTTTTTTCAAATCATCAAGTCCTGGCTTACTTCTTTTTTATATACTTTCATTAGTTTATCTCTCACTTCTCACATTTTACTATTAGCACCACAAAGCTGATGGCACTTTTAAAACTCTGGTTGAAAATCCCCTTAGCTGTATCACATGGTTAATTAGACATATTTTCTGCTTTTCACAGAACTGCACTAAGAGGATTGCTAAACTTTCTGCTACTACACAATACAGTTCCTCCTTCTTTCAGTTTGAGTAACTTTTACCTCACTTTCCTGTAAGCCCTTACTAAAGACCTTATTAAAGCTCATGCACAGCTTTATAAAAGCCTTGGGGGCTACTGATATGGTTTGGCTGTGTCCTCACCCAAATCTCATACTGAATTGTGTAACTCTCACAATTCCCTCATCTTATGGGAGGGACTTTGTGGGAGGTAACTGAATCATGAGGGCAGGTCTTTCCCATGCTATTCTCCTGATAGGAAATAAGTCTCACAAGATTGGATGGTTTTATAAAGGGGAGTTTCCCTGCACAAATTCTCTTCTCTTGTCTGCCACCATGTGAGAGGTGTTTTCACCTTCTGCCATGATTGTGAGGCCTCCCTAGCCACATGGAACTGTGAGTCCACTAAACCTCTTTCTTTGGTAGATTGCCCAGTCTCAGGTATGTCTTTATCAGCAGTGTGAAAACAGATTAATACAGCTACCTTAAG
Organism: Homo sapiens; assembly: GCF_000001405.40. Lineage (NCBI taxonomy): Eukaryota > Metazoa > Chordata > Mammalia > Primates > Hominidae > Homo > Homo sapiens. The sequence continues at coordinate 88,839,363 of NC_000008.11, read as the reverse complement.
GCATTTTAGGCTTTCACTAGTACTTTCCTCAGAGCCTGCTTCCTGCTTCCAAAACCATCCCTACATTTTAGATATTTACTGTGACATCACCCCACTTCCAGGTGCTAAAATCTATATGTACGTATCTGATGTTATGGGCTGAATCATGTCCCTGCAAAAGTTATTACATTGAAGTTCTATCCACCAGTTCAGAATGTGACTGTCTTTGGAGACAGGACCTTTAAAGTGATAATTAAGGTAAAATGAGGTCATACTGGTGGGCCTTAACCCAATATGATTCATGACCTGATAAGGAAAGGAAATTAAATAATAGGCACATAAAGACAGAGGACAGACCCTGTAAAGACAGAAGGAAAATACAGCCATCTATAAGCTAAGAAAAGAGGCCTCAAAAGAAATTAACCCTGCTGATACTTTTAGATATGAAAAAAGATGCAATCTCTTCATGCTGCTATAAAGACACATGCACACATATGTTTATTGTGGCACTATTCACAATAGCAAAGACTTGGAACCAGCCCAAATGTCCAACAGTGATAGACTGGATTAAGAAAGTGTGGCACATATACACCATGGAATAGTATGCAGCCATAAAAAATGATGAGTTCATGTCCTTTGTAGGGACATAGATGAAGCTGGAAACCATCATTCTCAGCAAACTATCGCAAGGACAAAAAACCAAACATCGCATGTTCTCACTCATAGGTGGGAATTGAACAATGAGAACACTTGGACACAGGAAGGGGAACATCACACACTGGGGCCTGTTGTGGGGTGGGGGGAGGGGGGAGGGATAGCATTAGGAGATATACCTAATGTAAATGATGAGTTAATGGGTGCAGCACACCAACATGGCACATATATACATATGTAACAAACCTGCACGTTGTGCACATATACCCTAGAACTTAAAGTATAATAAAAAATATATGTATATGTTTAAAAAAAGAAGACTATGGGGAAAATAGAATCTTTATAGGAGAAGTTGACAGCAATTAAAGTCAATATTTCAAAGAAACAGTTACATACTTGAGGAGAATGTTTAAAATGAAACAAAATGTAAGCACGATGCCAAGTATTCTGAGATAAGTCAGGAATGGTAGGACAAAATGAGGCAGACAGTACAAAGAAATATGGAAGTGAAGGTTTTGTGTTTTAGTTGTTGGCTGTAAAAACACAGGAATGTAAAGCCTGGTGCAACCTGTACTGCCACCATCCTAATTGAAACTATCATTGCCAGCTCTCTGATGGCCCACTACTTCTATTCCATTCTACCTTCAACTTATTCTTCATTTTGACTTTTCTATTTCCCCAAAACATAGACATACACAGAAGCACGCGTGCACACACACACACACACATACTCACACACAAACTTTTTGCTTAATCTTCGCTGTTCTTAAGAAAAAAAAAAAGGCCCAAATCTTTTACAGAGTTAATGATTTGGTCCACGCCTTCCTTTGCAGGCCCCCTTTTTATTTTTTTAATATTGCTACAACATCTCTTAGTGATTCTTTAAATCTCTGTTCAATCAACAGTTCCTCAGATAATGTTTGCTGATAAGAGGAGACTATACTATATTCTCATTCTTCTCAGAGAACCATTTTTTGTACTTCAGAGTTATTTATCTCAGTTTGTAACTGCATATTCATTAGTGTAACTTTAATTAATATTTGTCTCTTCTACAAAAAACAAGGTATCTGAAAGGATAAAATTTGTCTTGTTCTACCTACCACTGAACACTCAGCAATTGACACAGTGCCTCACCAAAATAAGAGCAAGAATATTTGTTTAATTAATGATTACATAGATCCAAAGAATTCCAGGTTCTGAATAAAATTGTAGTATAATATTCCTTCCTTATTTTCTTATTAGTTTAGGCAGTGATATGGTTTGGCCATGTCCCCAGCCAAATTTCATCTTGAACTGTAGCTCTCATAATTCCCATGTGTTGTGAGAGGGACTCGGTGGGAGATAATTGAATCATGGGAGCGGATTCCCCCTTGCTGTTCTCATGGTAGTGAATAAGTCTCATGAGATCTGATGGTTTTATAAGGAGAAACCCCTTTCACTTGGTTCTCACTTCTCTCTTGTCTGCCGCCATGTAAGATGGCCTTTTGCCTTCTGCCATGATTGTGAGGTCTCCCCAGCCACGTGGAACTGTGAGTCCATTAAAACTCTTTTTCTTTATAAATTACCCAGTCTCAGGTATGTCTTTATCAGCAGCATGAAAACGGACTAATATAGGCAGAGCAATGGCTCTCTGCAGCTTGGCCAGCACTATTTTTTTCACATGTTAAAAATTTTTGGATGAAGTTGTTTTAGTAACTCTACAAAGGTCACTCCAGGTTGCCCAGTGTCTTCATGAAAGTAATCAGTGTTCCATCTCCGAGGTACTGTTCTCAACAAAGCTTGGCTCCTGGACTGATCTGACATATTTAACTTCCTTCCAGCCAAGGATTGCCACTTTGAATTCCTGAACCCTTGGTAGTATATCAACTCTTGAATACATTCCATATTAATCAATTATAATTAAAATATCATTATACATTTAACCACTATATTAACATTTTTAGTGTCTCATTGTCCTCTGATATTTTCTTTTTTAATCCACCCTAAATGTTATAGAAAGAGTTGTCTAACATGCGAATGTATTTATGTAACTTTTCCCATTAAAAATCTTTGACAGTTAATAATTTTATACAGAAAAGGGCATGAATTAATTATCATGGTATTGAAGATACTTCAAAAGCTAACCTTAATTCACATTTCCAGCTTCTGTTCCACTGCTCTCTACTTTACCATATATCCTAGAGTATCAACAACTCCAAGTTCATGAAAAGATATGTGCAAAGCCTAAGGCATTCCCATACATTTTAACAGCTGGTTTGTTTGAGATATTTCACATGCCATAAAATGTATGTTATTAAAATATGCAATTAGTGGGTTAGTATAGTCACAAACTGGTATAACCCTCACCACTATCTAATTCAGAGAAAATGTATTACCTCATAAAAAAACCCCGTGTCCAGATCACATTCCCCCTTGCCTCTAGGCCCTGGAAACCACTAATATACTTTCTGTCTTTATGGATTTGTCTATCCTGGACATTTCATATAAATTGATTTATACATTATGTGGTCTTTTGTTTCTGTCTTCTTTCACTTAGCATAATGTTTTCAAGGTTTATCTATGTTGTAGCACATACCAGTATACCATTATTTTTTATGGATGAATAATATTTTATTGTATGGATAAGTCATATTTTGTTTAACAATACATCAACTGATGGACATTTGATTTGTTTGCTTTTTTGCTTATTATGAATAATGTTGCTATGAATATTTGTGGACATGTTTGTTGGGATATGTTTTCAATTCTCTTGTGTAGAAAGTAGGAATAAAATTCCTAGGTCATATGGTCAAACTTTTTTTTTATTTCTGAAGATACTGCCAAACTATTTTCTAAAACGTCTGCCTCATTTTACATTTCTACCGCTAATATAAAATGCTTTCCATTTCTCCACATCCTTGTCAACTCTTGTTAGTGTCCATACATTTAATTATGAACATCTTAGTGGATGTGAAATAGTAACTTATTATAATACTGATTTACATTTCCCTGATGCTAATGATATTGGCCATCTTTCTATGTTCTTATTAGCCATTTGTATATCTTTGAAGATATGTTCTTTGCCCATATTTTAATTGGTTAATTGTCTTTTTATTGTTAAGTTAAAAAAGTGTTTTATATAATACGGATTCAAGTCTCTTATCAAATACTTGACAGCAAATATTGTCTCTCATTTTTAGATTATATTTTCACTTCATTTATAGTTTATTTTGATATACAATCATTTTTAATTTTGATGAAGTTTAATGTATTTCAGTTTTTATTCACTGCTTGTGTTTTAATTGCCATATGTAAAAAACTGTTGCCAAATTCAAGGTCACAAAGACTTAAATCTCTATTTTCTTCTAACAATTTTATAGTTTCAGCTGTTACAGTTAGATTTTTGCTCTATTTTGAATTAGTTTTTGTATATAGTATGAGATAGAGGTCCTACTTCATTCTTTTGTATATAGTATGAGATAGAGGTCCTATTTCATTCTTTTGCATGTAGTTATCCAGCTGTCCCAACATCATTTGTGGAAATGTTATTTTTTTCCTTCGTTAGATTGTTGGCATCCTTGTAGAAAAACACTTAATCATTGTCTTAGTCTATTTGTACTACTATAAACAGTATTTATAAAGAACAGAGATTAATTAGTTAATTAATATTCTCACAATCCTGAAGGCTAGGAAGTCCAGTATCAAGGTGCTGGCAGGTTTGTTTTTCTGGTAAAGGCTGCCCTCTGCTTCCAAGATGGCTTCTTGTTGCTGCATCCCCAGACAGAAGTAACACTGTGTCTTAACATGGCAGAAGATGGAAGGACAAGTGAGCTGACTGTTGCGTGAAGCCTCTTTTATAAGGGCCTTAATCCCATTCACAAAGAGCAGATCCCTCAAGACCAAATTACCTCTTACAAACCGCACCTCTTACTATCACCACATTGGCCATTAAGTTTTAACACCTTAATTTTGGAAGGGACACACTCAAACTATAGTAACCATAAATGTGTTTATTTGTAAACTTTTAATTCTAACCCATTAATCTATATGTCTGTTTTTATTCCATTACCACACTGTCTTGATCACTATAGATTTATAGTAAGTTTTGGAATCAGGATATGTGCATCCTCCAACTTTGTTCTTCTTTTCTCAACATTTGGCCATTTTGTGTGCCTTTAATTTTTATATAAGTTTTAGAATCAGCTTATTACTCTTGCAGAAACAAGCAGCTACAATTTTGATAGTGGCTTAGCTAAATCTTAAGCCCAGTTTGAGGAGTATTAGAACTTCAAAATTAAGTTTCATATACCATAAACACAAAATGTCTTTCCATTTGTATGAATCTTCTTTAATTTCTTTCAAGAATGTTTTTTAGTATTCACTGTATAATTCTTGCACTTACATGTTAAATTTATTTCTCTGCATTATATTCTTTATACATTGAATTTATTTACTTCATTTTCTATTTATTCATTGTAAGTGAATAGAAATACAATTAATTTTTGTATATTGATACTGTACCTGCAAACCTACAAAACTCATGTTTTAGTTCTAGTAATTTTTCAGGGAATTCCTTGGGATTTTCTATATTCAAGTTCATGGTAGCTGTAAATAGAGATAGTTTTTATTTTTTTCTTCCCTAATTGTCTCTACTACAATGTGAATAGAAGTGTCAAGAGTAGATTTCCTTGTCTTGTTTCTGATCTTAGAGAGAAAGCATCTAATGTTTCACTATTAAGTATAATGTTAGCTTTGATGGTTTTCATAGATGCCCTACGTCAAATTGAGGAAGTGTGTTTCTGCTCCTTAGTTTTGTGAATGTTTTTGTCATTAAGAGTGTTGGTTTTCTTAAATATTTTCTGTGTGTCTCTAGGGATAATCATGCAGATTTTGTCTTTTTTTCTTAATATGGTATGTTACATTAAACAAGTTTTCTATTCTGAAACAGCTTTGCATATCTGTGATAAGTCCCACTTGGTCATGGTATAAAATCCTTTTTATATGCTGCTGGATCAAGTTTACTAGTATTTTGTTGAATGCTTTTGTGTCTATATTTGGAAAGGATATTGGTCTGTAGCTTTCTGTGATATTTTAGTCTAGCTTGGTATCAGGGTAGTACAGGCTTATGTAAGTTGGGAACTCTTTCCTTTTCTTGGACTTTTTGGAAGAGTTTTGTGAAGGGTTGTTTCATTAAACGTTTGGTCAAAATAACCAATGAAGGCACTTTGGCCTAAGCTTTTATTTGTGGCCTAAGTTTTTGATTACTGGTCCAATCTCTCCATTTGCAACAGGGCTTTCTCATTTTCTGTTTATTCTTGTGACAATTTCTTATGTCTCTCAGGAATTGATTCATTGCATCTAGGCTATTTAAATTGTTGGCATACAATTGCTCATCATATTCTCTTTTTTTGGTCCATCTAGCTAAAAGTTTGTCAGTTTTGTTGATCTTTTCAAAGAACAAGGTTTTGGTTTAATTGATTTTTATATTGTTTTCTATAGTTTGTTTAATTTATGTTTAATCACATCTTGACCACTTTTTCCAGTTCTTCTCATTGTTTTTATTGAGGTACAGATTTTTAGAGGGCCTTACTCTGTCATTTACACTATTCCACAGTTCCATACTTTTGAGATGATAAAATTATATTCACCCTTCCTGGCCACATTTAGTTATCAGCTACCCAGATATGAAGGTAATTTGTCTCTGAAATCTGTCTTCTGTTTATCAGTTTCAGCTGATTATAGTATGTGGGTAGACATCACTAAGATTACTAAGATTTTCTATGTGTATCCCCTCCCAAAAAGGTAAACTTATTAAAAAACTACCTTCCTAGATCAAGGAGAACTCATCTTTAGTCCAAAACAATTATCTGATAAATTAATTCTAAACCTAACTAGAAAATTATTTCCTTTGTCTACAATGATTTAGAGAATCAAAGCAATTTTTGGAGTCAGATAGAACTGCTTTACTATCTGAGACCTTCTATTTATTACATGTGTAAAATTGTTGAATATATATGGGAATTACTACATTGATTATCAAATGAATGAGTGAATATAGACATACAAATATAAACATATTTAGTAAGGCACTATGATTTGTTAAACACGTTAACATGAATTATCTTATTTATTCATCATTTCTATGCAGCCCCATATTTATATGATATTTGAGTAAGAGTAACTAAGATTTTCTGTGCCTTTATCCATAGAGGGAGTTTTCAAATGCATTATCTCATGTTCCCTGTGTAAAATACTGCAAAGTCATTAAAATTATCAACCTGTCTAGAGAAGTTCTAATGTTATAACTTAAATCTATGCCTGGGATCCAGGTTCTGAATACAATTCTAAACATTTATTCACTAATCTGACTTGACTAATTTATTGAACATTTGATACATTTTTTGATTAATGAAAACATCAAGTCATGTCTGAATTTTTTGCCTATTTAACCCACTTAGAGATTTTGAAAATACGTTTAAAGCTTAAATATGTCTGAAACACTTGAGATGAAGATATATTTCTTTTTCAGGTTTCAGGAAAATAAATGTGAATTAATGCTTGGAGAGTGTTTGCTTTGCCCTATTCACGATATATAGATGTGGAGAAAAATTCAGTTGTAACCTCTTTTTGCTTCAGTATGCATCAGTAAATCTCCTGATAGCACAACATTTTCTGTGTACTGGATTATAATGATGTACACATCATTAAAGACTAATACAGGGAATCAATTAACTTAGACCCCAAACCAGCACAAGGAATTGGCAGTCCTAGTGGAAAGAACCACTGAGCTTAGATGTATCTCTAATACCACTTCCTAGCTGAAAAGTTATAGTATTTTCCTCTGCAGTGGTTCTTCTTGATACAAGGGCTAGTGTGTTCTGCATATGATTTGGGTTGCTCTCAAAAACATGTTTGCTGTCTTAATAAGTTCTCAAGAGACAGCAAAGAAAGTAGGGTTTCTCATTTACAGAGCTCACAGTGATTTAAAGCATTCATTATAAGGCTACCTCATATGAATTCATGTTTCATATAAAGCTGCTTTGGTCTGAAATTGCACACAATATTCAAAGCCTATGCCAAAAGTCTTACATCATAAAGAAAGATAAATAAATCGAGAATGTGCATAGCAAGTGAACCATGATGTAGGGCCCCTGGTTTAACAGAGGTCATTTACAATGCATTAATATTTGGAGATAACTTTTTAAAAGGTTGTGACATAGACTTTCTTATTTGCATAAAATTGGATGCAACATTCAATTGGTTAGTTGGAGTAAATGTTCAAAGTGGCAATCCTCAAAAAACATGGCTCAAACTATAATTGTAAATAGACTACATGGAATGATGTTGAAATAAATGTGAAATGCATTATATTATTTTACCTACAAGCTGATTATGATACAAAGAGAATAAACAAGTAATATTAGGTGATCCTTAATGGAAAAAAATCAAAATGATCTATAGTTGTTTTGTTGAGGGCATAAGGACTCTTATATCTCCACCAAATAAATTTTGTCCCTATAGCTCAATCTCTGATATCTCCTATATGTGTGTACTAGTAGACTTCTAGTTTACACATTATGTAGACAGAAAAGAGGATTTATCTGAAGAGTCTTAATTAAGGAATGTTTTAACTGGTCCCACTGGATGTTACCTAAGATCTTACTTTTGCAAAAACATAGATATGCCTATATATACATATATATGCATGTGTGGGTACCCTCAATTTACATATATATGTATACACACACACACATGTATATACACATAAAATGTATACATACATAAATGTGTGTATGCACGTGTGTGTGTGTATATATATGTAAATGGAGGGTGCCCACACATGCGTGTGTGTGTATGTCATTTTTATTTATTTCATTCAGTTGGATTAAAAATAATTCTATGCTATTTTGGTTGTTTTGCTACTATGATTAATTCAATAAGTTAAAGATATTGTGAGTGATTTAATTTTTCATCCTCTGAAACCTTTAATTCATTTTTACTTCAATTCTCCGCCACCTCATTTATTTTTTATTTAAAAATTGAATCTATTGTTATATAGCATAGCAGACATTTAACATTTTTATCTGTCTACAATCTACTTACTTTTGCTTAATAAGACTGTATTAGAACCTTACTTTCTTGCTTCTAGGCAATGTCGGCTTTCAAGCTATGAGACACTGTATATATATATATATATATATATATATATATATACACACACTGTATATATACACTATATATGCATACATACATATATATGCATACATGCATATATAGTACATATAGATGCATACATGCATATATAGTACATATAGATGCATACATGCATATATAGTACATATATATGTATGTACTATATATGCATACATATGTACATACATATATAGTGTATATACACTATATATACATATATATAACTAATACACTATACAATATATATACATATATATATAACTAATTTACCAGATGAGACCAAAGGCTTCTAGCTTTGACTGGGACCCAGAGTAAGAGGAAACTCTGCAGTAGCCTTGGATTCAATGAAATTATGTTCCTCTACTCATACGATCCAAGATATAAAGTGCTGCCCTAAATGACCCTATCAGATCAAAGGTCTAACCTGAGCTTGTATTAAGCACTAATACAATAATCATAGTAGAAGCCTCAAATTTGCATCATCTTTGCCTACTGAGGCATCTGCTTTATGAGAAGTAGATCTTGGCTTTTTGCCATGCCCTGGCAGATACTGAACATCCAACCATGGCACACTGAATGATCACACAGCCTAAACTGCCAATTGTGAACTGGATATTGTCTAATTCACTACTTCCCAATCCGGATACATCCAGTACCAATATATCATCGAATAGCAGTAAAATATACGGAATTGTGCATGAGCAACATATGTTGAACTGACAAATCTCATGCACAGATCACTTTATCTTCTTGTGAGACTAATTCATGTTACAAAGCTCATCATCCCTCACACCACATCTATAGCCTCATATGGCTTCTCCATGATGAGTTAACTGAAAAAAATAACATCCCAGCCTGGCTTTTGGTTGTAGCTTTATGAAACAAAAGGACCCATCAGAATCAGTCTGCTGCCACATTGCTTTCCATTCTTAGAGAAATCCTCCTATGCTTGCGAAACTTCAAATGCCATCTCTTGATTTCCGTTCTCCTAGAGGAAATATTGAATATAAAAAAATACAAACTATTTTAAAAACCAGAGATTGATTTTTCTGTCCCACTTTTATTATAAAAAGTACAATGACAGGCCCACAATGAAATTATAACTTTTCTTATAGTCGTTTCCTTTTCATGCTTGTTATGCTTCTGCCAGCACTATCATTTTTTAAATAACCAAATACTTCAAACACTGTCGAGATAGCTCACAACATATTGCTTCTGACCAAGAGCTAACTTGACAGTTAAAAGAAAAGGAGAATAAACCAATGCCCAAAGGATTAACTGGCAATGCCGTTGGGCACATTATTGAGAAGTAGCTGGCTTTAATGCATGTTAGTATACCTTATTATAATTCAGTTATAATAATACCATCTTGGAGAGAATGTCTGTGAGGTGGGTTGGAATGCTATCTTGCAGGATCCAATGTGTGTGTATACATTGCTGTGTGTGTTTGCCTGTGTATGTATGTGTGCATGCACCCATGTGAATCCGTTTCTCCCACAGCTACAGTATTTAGTTTTCAGAATCATTTAGAAGGTAGATATGAAAATATCATTTTGTATTGTTTTTCTTAATGACCTAATCACAAAACGTTTGCTTCTCAGCTCTACTGGTTGTAATGTATAAAAATCCTACAAGGAAATGCTTCCACTGGGGAATATGAAAATACTTCGATTTAGTTGAACTCTAGGCGAGACCTCCCACCTGGCCATTTTGAGATTTCATTTCCTAGTAAAAAGAAGTAATCAGAAGGTTAATACACAAAAATCATAGCAAAAAATCAAATGGAGGATAATCCCGTTTAAAATAGCATAAATCCTAAAATTATTTATAAATAATAGGACTTAGAGATAAAAAAACTATAAAATTTTACTAAAAAACAGAAAACCTTAATAAGTGAAAAGAGGCAATATTGTATGTAATGACACCACGTCAAAGCTATAAATATGTTTAATACTCATGTGTTTCTTTGTATTTTCTCCCAGTTATAAATTTTCTTTCAATTTCTACAAAATCCCAAGTTTTGGAATTTTAAATTTTTTATGAAGGAATAGATTTCCAAAAATAAATAGGAATTTATGAATTTGAGGACTAGTGAAACTCAATTTAACTGCTAATACTTTATATTCTAAAGCTACTGTGATCAAAACATGTATTAACTTTGATAAACAAATAGAACAGTTGAGTTCAAAATAGATCTGTGTGTTTACGGAAATCTAGTACATGAATGAATTGTTCAGGAAGAAATCGAAAACTTGAATAGAAAAATTAAGGCAGAGAAGACTGGAAAGGTATGTTGGAATATTGGCTGCCCTTCTTCTTTCTGCTATTTTCTGTTTCCCCTGAAATTCCTATTGTTTACAAATGCCTTCTCAATTTTCAATCTATATGTCTCCAAATCTCTTAAATTTTTTTTCATGATTTTTTTTACCTTACACTTTCTTTTATTGTTTATTCTTTTTAAAATGGAATTCAGTTGCACAGAATTAGAATACTCATAATGCTGAGTTTTTACAGTTCTCACTATGCAATTATAATCTATCCATGATTCTGGATATTAGCCCTTTGTCAGATGAGTAGGTTGAGAAAATTTTCTCCCATTTTGTAGGTTGCCTGTTCACTCTGATGGTAGTTTCTTTTGCTGTGCAGAAGCTCTTTAGTTTAATTAGATCCCATTTGTCAATTTTGGCTTTTGTTGCCATTGCTTTTGGTGTTTTAGACACGAAGTCTTTGCCCGTGCCTATGTCCTGAATGGTAATGCCTAGGTTTTCTTCTAGGGTTTTTATGGTTTTAGGTCCAACGTTTAAGTCTTTAATCCATCTTGAATTAATTTTTGTATAAGGTGTAAGGAAGGGATCCAGTTTCAGCTTTCTACATATGGCTAGCCAGTTTTCCCAGCACCATTTATTAAATAGGGAATCCTTTCCCCATTGCTTGTTTTTCTCAGGTTTTTCAAAGATCAGATAGTTGTAGATATGCAGCGTTATTTCTGAGGGCTCTGTTCTGTTCCATTGATCTATATCTCTGTTTTGGTACCAGTACCATGCTGTTTTGGTTACTGTAGCCTTGTAGTACAGTTTGAAGTCAGGTAGCATGATGCCTCCAGCTTTGTTCTTTTGGCTTAGGATTGACTTGGTGATGCGGGCTCCTTTTTGGTTCCATATGAACTTCAAAGTAGTTTTTTCCAATTCCGTGATGAAAGTCATTGGTAGCTTGATGGGGATGGCATTGAATCTATAAATAACCTTGGACAGTATGGCCATTTTCACGATACTGATTCTTCCTACCCATGAGCATGGAATGTTCTTCCATTTCTTTGTATCTTATTTTATTTCATTGAGCAGTGGTTTGTAGTTCTTCTTGAAGAGGTCCTTCACGTCCCTTGTAAGTTGGATTCCTAGGTATTTTATTCTCTTTGAAGCAATTGTGAATGGGAGTTCACTCATGATTTGGCTCTCTGTTTGTCTGTTATTGGTGTATAAGAATGCTTGTGATTTTTGTACATTGATTTTGTATCCTGAGACTTTGCTGAAGTTGCTTATCAGCTTAAGGAAATTTTGGGCTGAGATAATGGGGTTTTCTAGATATACAATCAAATTTACAAGAAAAAAACCAAACAACTCCATCAAAAAGTGGGCAAAGGACATGAACAGACACTTCTCAAAAGAAGACATTTATGCAGCCAAAAAACACATGAAAACATGCTCACCATCACTGGCCATCAGAGAAATGCAAATCAAAACCACAATGAGATACCATCTCACACCAGTTAGAATGGCAATCATTAAAAAGTCAGGAAACAACAGGTGCTGGAGAGGATGTGGAGAAATAGGAACACTTTTACACTGTTGGTGGGACTGTAAACTAGTTCAACCATTGTGGAAGTCAGTGTGGCGATTCCTCAGGGATCTAGAACTAGAAATAGCATTTGACCCAGCCATCCCATTACTGGGTATATACCCAAAGGACTATAAATCATGCTACTATAAAGACACATGCACACGTATGTTTATTGCGGCACTATTCACAACAGGAAAGACTTGGAACCAACCCAAATGTCCAACAATGATAGACTGGATTAAGAAAATGTGGCACATAGACACCATGGAATACTATGAAGCCATAAAAAATGATGAGTTCATGTCCTTTGTAGGGACATGGATGAAATTGGAAATCATCATTCTCAGTAAACTATCACAAGGACAAAAAACCAAATACCGCATGTTCTCACTCATAGGTGGGGATTGAACAATGAGAACACATGGACACAGGAAGGGGAACATCACACTCTGGGGCCTGTTGTGGGGTGGGGGTAGGGGGAAGGGATAGCATTAGGAGATATACCTAATGCTAAGTGACGAGTTAATGGGTGCAGCACACCAGCATGGCACATGTATACATATGTAACTAACCTGCACATTGTGCATATGTACCCTAAAACTTAAAGTATAATAATAATAAAATAAAATAAAATAATAATCTATCCATGAAAGGATGAATTTATTTATTTATGTATGGATTTATTCTTTGATTTATCAAGAAATAAATTCCTTAATTTATTAAGGAATAAATTGCAAAAATACCACTTTTTTCCATTACATCTTCCTGCATATTTTTATTCATATCATTAGAATATTGCTTTACTATACATAAATACATGTACATATATTATATGTATATATATACCTGCTTAGACACAATACTGTTATTTTACTTGATTTTAAACTCAATAGTATCATATTGCATATTACTAAGATTTATCCATGATGTTGTATTTGGTCCTTTAGATCAATTAAAAATGTTTTAAAAACTTTATTTTACCTTTATTTATTTCATTTCTAGTGTTCTTCATTTCTTTGTTTCAATCCAGGTTTCTTTACGTGTCGTATTACTTCTCTCTGAAAAAAAAAATTGTTTCTTATAGTTTATTTTGCTATTAATTAATTCTTTTGTTTATATTAAAGGTCATTATTTTTCCTTAATTGCTTAAATTAATAAACCCTATTTTTAGAGCAATTTTAAGTTCATAGTGATTGAGCAGGAAGTACAGAGAGTTCCCATTATCAACATTCTGCACCAGAGTAGTATATTTGTTATAATCAATTAAACTACATTATCACTCAAAGACCATTGTGTATATTAGGGTTCATTGTTGGTGGTGCATATTTTATGAGGTTTACAAATGTACAATGGCATATATGTACCATTATGGTATTATACAGAACAGTTTCACCACCCTTAACTCTGCTGTGCTCTGTGTATCCATTCTTCCTTTCTCCTAAACATTGGAAATCACTGATTTTTTTTTTTACTGTCTATAATTTTAACTCTTCCCGAACGTCATATAGTTGGAATTATATAGTATGTAGCTGTTTCAGATTAACTTTCACTTAGCCATATGCACTCAAGTTTCTTCCATGTATTTTAATGTCTTATAATGTCCATATAATGTCATGCTTATATTTTTAGTATGAAATAATATTCCATTGTCTGGATGCACTACAGTTTATTTATTCATTTACCTACTGAAATACATCTTGATTGTTTCCAGGTTTGGCAATTAAAGCTGCTATAAACATCCATGCACAAACTTTTGTTTGGACATAAATTTTCAACTCCTTTGGGTAAAGTATTATTGCTGGATCACACGGTAAAAGCATATTTAATAAGAAATTGTCAAACTACCTTGTAAAGTAGCTGTACCATTTTGCATCCACCTGCATTGAATGAGAGTTCCCGATACTCTACATTCTAATAAGCATTTGGTGTTTGTCAGTGTTTTGAATTTTTGCTATTATTTTTAATGGCAAAACCACAATTACTTTTTCACCAACTAATAGTAGATATGTAATGGTATTTCATTGTTTTAATTTGCAGTGGTATATGATGTTGAACATCACTTCATATGTTAACATGCTATTTTGTGTTGAGTCCCCAGTTATTATGTAAATAGAGTCTATCTCTTTCACTCTAATAATTCTTGCTTTATACCTCTGGGTGCTCTGGTTTTCGGTGTATATATTATTTACAATTGTCATGTCCCCTTGCTCCATCGATTCCTTTTTAACTATGTAATGACCTTTTTGTTTCTTTTCATGGTTTTGTCTTAAAGCCTATTTTGTCTGATGTAAGTATAGCTACTTTTTCACATTTTTGGCTTCTGCTTGCACAGAATATATTCTTCTGTCCCTCACTTTTAGTCTATATATGACTTTACAGGTGAAGTGAGTTTCTTGTAGGCAAATTATAGATAGGTCTTTTTTTTAATTGTTCAGCAGATCAGTTTTTTGAATTTAGACCATTTACATTCAAGCTTGGTATTGGTAAGTGAAGACTTATTCCTATCCCTCTGTTTCTTGTCTTCTGGTTGTTTTGTATATGCTTTGTCTATTTCTTCCTTCCTTATTCCTTATGTGATGGCTTTCCGTAGTGATAATGTTTGATTCCTTTATCTTTCTCCTTTGTGTATCTTCTCTTCCAGTGAGCTCTTTATTTTTGTGGCTCAGACTGTGTGGTTTTTTATGGACACTGTGGTGAGACTTTGTGGGAGATGAGGAGGGGGACACTGAGTAGGCTGGTCCTCAGTCATCTAAGTGGCATGTGCAGACACTGGCAGTGGCAGTGGTGTGTGCCTCAGGTGGGCCACTCTTTGGGCCCTATGCAGGGTGTGTGGGCACTGGTGATGGCAACAGTAGGCTGGGTGGGCCAGATTCTGAATCTCTGGGTGGCATGCACAGGCACCAGTAGGCTGGAAAGTCTGCTTCCAGGGTTTCTACATGAGGTGAATGGACACCAGCAGTAACCATGTCGGGGTAAGCAGGCCAGTCCCTGGGCCCTGAGTGGGTTGCAAGGGCTAGCTAACCTCTGGCCCCTGGCCTTGCTGCTGGAAGGGAGTGGGGTCACTGTCTGTGGAAGTGGCCCTGGGAAGACTGCTTTCTGGCTCTAAGGAGTGCATACTTCAGTTCTCTATGTCCTGAGGGCAGACTTCCTGATGCGCTGGACTGCCTGTTCCCCAGGGTTGTAGGGTGTTGTGCAAGCAGTTTGGGTTCCAGTGATGTGACTGCCCCTGGCTCCAGTCAGCACAATAATGCTGCAGCCCTCTGGGTGGATGTGAGGGGATGTTAGCAGGGCCCCAGACATGTGGAGATACAGGAGATATTGGGCCCTAGGTCAAGATGTAGTCCAGTGTTGTCTCTGCTCTCAAAATGGTGTCATGCTTGAGCAGCTTGGGTACAGCATGAATTCCCTCTCTAGAACAATGCAGCCTGAGTCCCTCACCATATTCACCTGCCCAATCTTCAACCTTTCTGCCACCAGAATCGTGAGCCAAATAAACCTCTTTTCTTTATAAACTTTCTAATCTCAGGTCAGGTATTCTGTTATGAGCAACACTAAACAAACTAAAACATTGTGGTAAGCTAGGATGCTGTCTCAAAATTTTAGATAGAGGAATCCACAATTTGTTCTCTTCAATATTAACTTTCTCATAAATGAGCATGTCCTATATTTGAATGTGGACAAAAACTGAATATCTTTTCAGTAGAAGAAATATTATGTTTTTTAGTGAAACAGATACTAAAATTTAGTCTTTGGGAGACAGTTTTTTAATTATAAAATTTAAATTGTTTTTAAACATTAAAACTACCTAAAAATCACCAAATAAAGTGAATACAACTTTATTTGCTAAAATGAACTTAAGCCCCATAGGACTTGGCTTACATTTTTAAACTTCTGCATCCAAAAGAAAATGTCAAGCTAAGTTCTGACTCAAAACTTTATGCCCCAAATTAGGCCTCTAATCAAATATCTTGTTTATAATATTCCTGTATCTAATTTATCTCCCCATAAACAATCAAGAATTAGAAACGTCAGCCTTACTAGAAAGCATATTTTCTAAACAAAGTTTTATCAATGTTGCAACTCATAGTGCTGAGCATTTTAAATGAAGTTATCAATGTGATGCTGAATATTATTTTGAGATTCTGAAAGTTCAGAAGTATACTATTAAATAATGTTTTAGATTCAGTTTCATTTATTATCTCTTTGAGATTGTTCAATATATTCTCCAAGTTCATCTTTATTCATTACCTTAGAGATAGTCATATTTACGGACTATATTTTTAACAAATATATTTATGAAAAATTGGAATTCCTCTGTATTTGGAGATTATAATCAATGTATAAGAGGCAGTGAAGGGAGTTATTTAAAGATAAACACATTTCTATTGGATTTATTTCTACATGTGTTTGCTAAGTAACTAGACAGAATTGATATTAAGGAGATTTATTCAAATGTACTTTATGAGATATTGGTTTAAACTTGGGTCTCAGATATAAAAAGTGCTGAAGTTTGAAGAATAAAATTATTGTTTACATTTCAATGCTTAGAAGAATTATCTGGGTAAAGCAAGTTGACTCTTCCCCAGGAAGCCTCACAAGATGGAATTATGCTGGTAAATTTACCATTGTTTGACATTTTTCCATTAGTCTTACTGTCTCATAAACTCTAATGTGTCCCATATTAAGAGTTTTCTAATAAGACATACTAAACTAATTTATGATACAAGAATATACTTTTGTTTTAGTTTACTCTAAGAAAAAGGACTGGTGTTTAGCCATCTAGCTAGCACTTTAAGCAAGATACTCAAAGATCACTCTATCTTCAGGAAAAAAAGCTTTTTAAATATAATGATAAATAAACTTGCTTATTTTATTGGGCAGTACTAGTGCTATGAGCAGTGTTATCTCTCTCCAGAGAAATGGCATATGGGAAAGCTATTATTAGAAAGTTGTTCATTGTTAATGGAATCAGATCAAAGTGGGACCTAATGGCTCTTGTTTTACTTACAAGGTAAAGAAAAGGAATTCCTTCAACTCTACTAAAATATATCTTTCAGATATAATCTTTCTTGATTTTTCTATAAAATTTAAGAGTGTTGACTCTAACTTTCTTCTTGAGAGTTCTTTTTACTTACTTGATTCCATGTTTACTTAGATTTCTCCCTTCTCATTGAATACCTATCCATTTATTTTGTGGATTCTTTCCCTGCTCTTTTTTTGGAGACTTTGAATTCCCTGTGGTTATTTCTCACTCTGTGACTCTATGACAATCAGTGATTACATTCACCATGGCTTTCATTGTTATCTATATAATGGTAACTCCCAGCTTTCTCTCTTGAGTTTGAGGTATCTATATCTATATCCAATGAAATACTAGGCATTCTCTTGGTTGTCTTACAAATATACCAACCTCCTTTGTTTACTGTCTTAGTTGTGACACTAATATTCTCTCTTTTTATTCTTTTTTTTTTTTTGAATGTCTGAGTTTGAACCTTAAGAGTCAATCTTGACGCTGATCTTGGATTACTTTAACCAAGTCTCTCTCTGAGAGGTCTCCCCTGACACTCTCAGATACCTATTTCTGTTACTGGAAATCTGTTGCCTCTAGAATTTCCTTTTATAGCACGTCATGCATCTCCAGAGAGAAGTTAAGTGCTTATAGAGCACGAACCATGTCTCAGTTCGTGGCATATAACAGATATTTAAAGTATTTGTTGAATAAATGTCCATATAAATACATTTTTGTTTTATTTTTTAGTTTTACCAATGCTTAATTCCCCTTGGATTTTTCTGAATATGAGATTTTCTAGTGTTTCTCTCCTATGCTTCCAGGAGGAAACACTCTTACTAGGCTTGACATATTCTTTCTCTAGATGTGTCAGCACATTCGCTTAAATTGTAATGTGATCTAGTCTAGTAGAAACAGACTTAATTTGTACTTTTCAGAGATCTGCACATTCCTCTTCTTAATCCTCCTTTGTTGATTCTCTTTCTCATACAGCAATCTTATCTTATTGAAAAATTTATTGTAGAAGTGGGAACCTACCTACCTAGGATAATATCACAAAAGTGATATATTGCTTTGTGATTTAGCTTTCTATTGTAATTTGCTTTTCTAGTTTTTACAACTCTTCATATAAGAGACTAATGACACTGTAGAAATCTTACAGTGCAACCACCTATTTTCACACTATCTAAGGGGCTGCAGAAGATTGCAAAACTGAATGATAGAGCAAAGATTAAAACCCAGAACTCCTAGAACA
Organism: Homo sapiens; assembly: GCF_000001405.40. Lineage (NCBI taxonomy): Eukaryota > Metazoa > Chordata > Mammalia > Primates > Hominidae > Homo > Homo sapiens. Next base: position 88,820,458 of record NC_000008.11, on the reverse strand, counting down.
AACAGGGTTTCATTTATGAGACACTGCTTCTCCCTCAATAATTTACAATACTAGCACAATAACATTTATTTAACACTTATGAGCTTGCTAAGGATGGCAGTGTACATTATTTTCTTTAATTCTTACAAATTTTCTGTGAAATATGTCTACTATAAGATGAGAAAAGTAACCAAATTGGAAAAGTTATTGTATTCTATGTTGTTTTTATTTCTGTCTCTCATAGTCCATTTCGAGTTATTATTTTATCAAGGCTAAGGCAATTGTGTAAATATTTAGTCCTTTATTCTCATCTGAAAATAATTTTGTTCATAAATTTAAAAAGAACTCTTTCCAGGAAGTGGAAAGTCTTGAAGCAGAAGCAATAACTATCTTTCAAGTGGGCTATGGGAGAATTATGTCCAGAAATGTTTGTAAAAGTATGAGGCAAGAATACACTTTATACATGCTGTAGAAGCAAGATAAGCCACAACATGAAGAAGGTTGAAAATCGCCTTTTGTTACACCCAATCCTGATCTATGTTTGGCTATCTACAGTTGTGAGTCCATAATTTTATGGGGGAATATAGTGTTATGTTAGGCAATCTGTTTAGATGAATAAGTTAAAGACAACTATTAATACTGTATTCACACAATAATTACAGTTCTGGAGAAAAATTGAGGTCCCAAATCTCCCCCAGTCATTTCCTTGGTACAGCCACTGATTAATTTATTCAGTGGCATGACACACAAATGTGACTTTTAACTTCAGGAAAAATCTCAACATAATAACCTAGTCTTGTTCACCTTTCATCCGTTGACCACATACATGGAGGTTATTTCTCTACAAACAAATCTGACCATGTAACTTCCATAATGGAAGCCCAAAATTCACAGTATGGCATTAAAGTGCCCTCACTATATGATTCTAACATATGCTGCCCATGACTTACTTCTACTCTCTACTCATACTTTTGACATTTCAAGTATTCGTTTCTTTCAATAAAATTTTAATCATCCTTGTTTCTATGTATGCTATTCAACTTCTTAGTCTCACTCAATCATTATCTACTGAGAGTATTTCCCATGACTTTTCACTTCAAGAATAATAAAATACCCCACATTAGATATGATCTATGACGGATAATACATCTTCTCTCCCAGCACTTTTTCCCTTACGTATTTGTCTGTTTCTTCTAGATATAGAGCTTTTTAAAGATGTAGAATGGAACTTAATTCATCTTTTTCTTTTCTATTCCCCTTTACTAATCTTCAAGCCTAGAATCTACCATAAGGTAGGGATCAATAAATATTTAGGGTAAATTTAATTCAAATTTAAAAGGATATAGCTGGCAATGGCAAAAACAACCCTGAGGAAAGAGAGAAAGAAAAGAAAGAAAGAAAGAAAGAAAGAAAGAAAGAAAGAAAGAAAGAAAGAAAGAAAGAAAGAAGAGAGAGAAAGAAAAGAAAGAGAAAGAAAGAAAAAAGAGAAAAGAAAGAAACAAACAAAGAAAGAAAGAGAAAGAAAAGAAAGAAAGAAGGAAAGAAAGAAAGAAGGAAAGAAAGAAAGAAAGAAAGAAAGAAAGAAACAAACAAACAAACAAACAAACAAACAAACAAACAAAAAGGACTCTGGGAAGTAGGCATTCCGACATGTCTGTCAGGAGTTTGGCAAAATATGTGCCCAATGTGCAATGATAAAACTGTAAAAAATTGACAATAATAACTGTTTACAGTCTCTGGAAATTGACAAAAGGCATACAACAAATTGAGAAGAATGTATTAAAGAAAATCTACTGGATCTCAGTCAGAAGAACAGGATATTGTGGCGTTTCATCCAGGGTTGCCTTCATCTCCCCACCAATCTACAAGGCATTTAAGTTCTTCCCTGGCTGGAAGGGCAAGCCATGATATTGGGTAGACCTGTTACTTTGCTGAAAGACACTGAATTTATTTGGAGAAGAGTATGCAAAAAGATCATTGTACACAACAGCCAAAATTGGAAATGACCCAAATGTCTATCAACCTGTGAGCAAACAAAATGTAACCTATCCATATAATACTATTGAGAAATTAAAAGAAGTACAGATATGTGCCACGATGTGGCTGGACCTCAATGAAATTCTGCCATAGGAAAGAAGCCAGCCACAAAAGTCCACATAGTGAATAGCTCCATTTATGTGAAATGTCATTTAAGACATATGTTTTCCGGCCGATCACAGTGGCTCACGCCTGTAATCCCAGCACTTACTTTGGGAGGCCGAGGCGGGCGCATCGCAGCAAGGTCAGGAGATCGAGATCATCCTGGCTAACATGGCGAAACCCCGTCTCTGCTAAAAATACAAAAAAATCAGCCGGGCGTGGTGGCGGGCGCTTGTAGTCCCAGCTACTCGGGAAGCTGAGGCAGCAGAATGGTGTGAACCCTGGAGGCAGAGCTTGCAGTGAGCTGAGATTGCGCCACTGCACTCCAGCCTGGGAGACAGAGCAAGACTCTGTCTCGAAAAAAAAAAAAAAAAAAAAAAAAAAAAAAAAAAAAAAAAAAAGGCATATATTTTCCTTGTTCCAATTACATCTTACTCATTGCCTAAATGAAAATGCCAACCAACATGTTTATTGTCCTATCAGAAATATGGCCATAGTGTGTCTTCAGAGACAGGAGTCCAGCAAAAATCAACAAAAGCATTTGTGGGCACCAATTGCCAATATGGAATCTATAATATGGGGTAATATAATCTATTATTATTTGTAAATTGTGTGCCTTCATTATTTACATCAGTAAAACGTATAATAAATGAATGTATTAATATATAGGCAAACCATTTTTTATGTCCAGTAGTTAAACATAAACCTGACCACCACTGGATGAAGACAAGATCAACGCTTGCCTGAGATGAAAGATAGGTGCATAGGTTGAGTGTTTGACTACAAAGTAATAGCATGAGCATAAAACTGTGAAAAAAATAAATTTTATTGTATGTAATTTAAGAATAAAATGTAGAAGTATATCCAAAGGCCAATGCTTTAAGTACGATAGGGCCAGAGGGGCTTATTTTTCTGGCAAATTTGAATGCAACATTCAGGACAAGCCAGCATTTGTCATTTAAGGAACGCCAGACAACTTCAGGACTCTATCTGACAATTGGCCTTCATCTATGCAGGTCTATCAAAAAATAAAGCCATTATGCTTTTTGTTATCACTTTGTTTACACATCTTCAAATACGCTTTCACGATTAGAATCTATTATCCTGGCATTTAATTGGTGGGAGAGCTTTTCAGAAAAGGGGAGGGGAGGGGAGGGGAGGGGAGGGGAGGGGAGGGGAGGGGAGGAGAGGAGAGGAGAGGAGAGGAGAGGAGAGGAGAGGAGAGGAGAGGAGAGGAGAGGAGAGGAGAGGAGAGGAGAGGAGAAATTTATTTTTGGCTCCAGGCATAGTACACTTTCTCCTCTCCTAGATTTCAAATTATTTGATGCTTATTAATGTGCTGATGTGAAGCAACCCTCTAAAAATAGTACTGAATAAAATATTATATTTTTAAATAAGTCATTTACTTTCATAATATCCAAAAGGGAAAAAATGGCTTCGTGTTTTTGAAATATTTAAAGATATAAAATTGCATGTCTAGGACCTGGGTAATAAGTCATTTGATATAAAATCCAATGACCTTTAAGTTTCCTTATGTACACCTTCTACTTAAGAAATTAGTTCTCTCAGGATGTAAATGCAACAGAAAAAATAATGTATGTAAAATTAGCAACTTGATTGGTAACCTTAAAAATATCATCTGAAATTACTAGCTAACTCTGAACTTCAGTCTCCTGTATTTTATTTGCATAACAATACTACAATTTATAAATGAACTTGATTAGTATTGAGATGATTTAAAGGAAGCTTTTTGTTTAACGTGGTTGATTGTGTCAAATTCTTTTTATTTACCCATCTAAAACGTGGATTAAAATAGTAGAAAAGAGATCAGTTTGTATTTTCATATTCCTCTTTACTAATTCAAGTCAGAGAAATAATTTAAGCCTCACTTGACACTTCTATTATTTAAACATGACTAAACACTAGAATGCTGGAATTATAGTTAGTTGGAGACTGTTTTGGACTTAATTCATGATTTTGACATTATCAGACACATGGTTTACATTAGTATGCCACATCAAAATCTGGCCTCAGATTTTGGTTTTGTTGCTTATTGCCTCATCTTAATGGAGACAGGGAAGAGAGAAAAAAAGAAATTTTTGATAGTAGGTCCCAAGGATATGAAATAACCATCTAATTTCACAATAACCTAAAACAATAATAACAGTGAGATGGGAACACTAGACATAAAATGCTACTCTTTATTCCTTCCCTTCCCTTCAGATATTTTAGATTTTAGATTCAGGGGATATATGCGCAGATTTATTACATGGACACATTGTGTAATGGTGATATTTGGCCACCTAGTGAATTCAGTACCCAAATAGTGAACAAGGTGCCCCATAGGTCGTTTTTAAATCCTTTTTCCTCTTTCATCATCCTGTCTTTTGTGGTCTCAGTGTCTACTATTTCCATCTTAATGTCCCTGTGTACCTATTAATTTGCTCCCGCTTATAAGTGAAACGTGATATCAGATTTTCTATTTTTGAGTTATTTCACTTAGGATAAGGGCCTCCCACTCCATCCATGTTGCTGTGAAGGACATGATTTTATTCTTTTTTATGGCTGTATAGTATTCCATGGTGTATATATACCATATTTTCTGTATCCAATCCACCACTGATGGACACTTAGGTTGATTCCATGACTGCACTATTGTGAATAGTGCTGCAATAAACATACAAGTACAGGTGTCTTTCTGATAAAATTGTTTATTTTCCTTTGGGTAGATACCCAGTGGTGGGACTGCTGGGTCAAATGTTAGTTCTATTTTTAGTTCTCGGAGAAATCTTTATATCATTTTCAATAGGGATGAATTAATTTACATTTACTAATAAACTAATTTACATTCCCAACAACAGTGTATAAGAGCTTCCTTTTCTCTGCATCCTTGACAACATCTGTTATTTTTTGACTTTTTAATAATAGCCATTCTGAAGGGTAGCAGATACCATCTGAATCTCATTTTAATTTGTATTTCCCTGATGATTAGTAATGTTGAGGTTTCTTCATAAATTTGCTGGCCACTTGTTGGTCTTCGTTTGTAAAGTGCCTGTTTATGTACATGTTGTGTTCATGTTATGTACATGTTTATGTACATGTTATATTCTGTTTTTAATGGGGTTATTTGGTTTCTTCTTCTTGATTTGTTTAAATTCCTTATAGATTCCAGATATTAGTCCTTTGTCACACTCATATTTTGCAAATATTATCTCTCATTCTCCAAGTTGACTGTTCACTCTCTTGAGAGTTTCTTTTGCTGTGCAGAAGCTACTTCATTTCATAGTTGCATTTGTCTTTTTTTGTTTTTCTTGCATTTGCTTTTGAGGTCTTAGTTATAATTTCTTTGCCTATGCCAATGTCCAGAAGAGTTTTTCATAGGCCTTCTTCTAGAATTTTTATAGTTTCAGGTCTCACATTTATGTATTTAATCCATTTTGAGTTAATTTTTGTACACGTCAAGAGGTAGAGGTTCAGTTTCATTTTTCTGCATATGCCTAGCCAGATTTCCCAGCACTATTTATTGAATAGAGTGTCCCTTCCCCATTGTTCATTTTACAACTAACTTTTTCAAAGATTAGTTAGTTGTAGGTGTATGGCTTTACTTCTTGGTTTTCTATTCTGTTCCATTCATTTGTTTCTCTATTTTTGTACCAGTACCATACTGTTTTGGATACTACAGCCTTGTAGTACAGTTTGGAGTCAGCTATTGTAATGCCTCCAGCTTTGTTCTTTTCTCTTATAATCACTGTAGCTATTCAGGATTTTTTTAGTTCCATATGAATTTTTGAATAGTTTTTTCTAATTCTGTGAAAAATTATGTTGGCAATTTTATAGAATTACATTGAATCTGTAGATTGCTTTGGGCTATATAGACATTTTAATGATATTGATTATTCCTGTCTATAAGCATGGAACGTTTTTCTCTTTGTGTCATCTGTGATTTATTTCATCAGTGTTTTGTAGTTCTCCTTGTAGAGGTCTTTCATCTCCTTCATTAAATTATGTCTTGGTATGTTACTATTTTGTGACTATTGTAAATGGGATTGAGTTCTTGATTTCGTTCTCAGCTTGAGTGTTGATGTACAGAAATGTGACTGATTTTTGTGCATTAATTTTGTATCCTGAAACTTTGCTGAAATCCTTTACCAAATTGAAGACTCTTTTGTAGAAATCTTTAGGATTTTTCTTGCTATAGGATTTTGCCATCAGTGAACAGGATATCTTGAATTCTTCTTTTCTCCTTTTGATTCCTTTTATTTCTTTCTCTTGTCTGATTGCTCTGAGTGGCACTTTCAGTACTGTGTTGAATAGGAGTAGTAAGAGTGCTTGTCTTGTACTAGTTCTTAGGGGAAATACTTTCAACTTTTCCTGATTCAGTATGATGTTGGCTGTTATTTGTCATATATGGCTCTTATTAATTTGAAGTATGTTTCTTTGATGCCTAGTTTGTTGAGGGCTTTTATCATAAAGTGATGTTTGGTTTTATCAAATGTTTTTTCTGCATCTATTTAGATGACCATATGGTTTTGGTTTTATTTTTGTTTATGTTGTGAATCACATTTATCAATTTGCACATGTTGAACCATCTTCACATCCCTAGAATAAAACTCACTTGATCATGATAGATTATCTTTTTGATGTGCTATTAAATTTAGTTTGCAGGTATTTTATTGTCAATTTTTGTGTCTATATTGATCAGGGATATTAGCCTGTAGTTTTCTTTTTTGTTGTGTCCTTGCCAGATTTTGATATAAGAATAAAACTAGTTTTGTGAAATGTGTTAGGAAGGAATCCCTTCTCCTAAATTTTTTGCAATAGTGCGGTAAGATTGATACCAACTCTTTTTTGTGCTTTTGGTAAATTTGGCTTTGATTTCATCTAGTTCAGGGCTTTTTTGGTTGGTAGGTTTTTTATTACTGATTCAATTTCATAAATCATTATTGGTCTGTTTAGGATTTCAGTTTCTTCCTAGTTCACGTTTTGAAGGTGGTGTGTTTTCAGGAACTTATCCACTTCCTCTAGGTTTTCTAGTGTATGTGCATAGAGATATTTATAGTCTCTGAGAATCTTTTGTATTTCTGTTTTATCAGTTATAATGTCATCTTTATTATTTCTGACTATACTTATTTGAACCTTCTCTCTTTCTCTCTTTTTTTTTTTTTTTTTTTTTTTTTTTTTTGGGTAATCTAGCTAGTGGGCTTCTAATCTGGTCAGGTGGTGATAAATTCCCTTAGCATTTGCTTGACTGAGAAAGACCTTATTTCTTCTTTATTTAGGAAGCTTAGTTTGGCCAGATATAAAATTCTTGGCTGATATTTTTTTTTCTTTAAGAAGGATAAAAATAGGCTCCCAATTTTGTCTGGCTTTTAAGGTTTCTGTTGCAAAGTTTACTACTAATCTGATAGGATTTCCTTTATAAATAATTTGTTCTTTTTCTGTAGATGCCCTTAAGATTTTTTTTTATCATTGACTTTGGATAGTCTGATGACCATATGCCTTTGTGATGCTTATCTCATTTAGTATCTCACAAGTGTTCTCTGAATTTCTTGAATCTGGATATCCACCTCTCTAGCAAGATTAGGGAATTTTTTCTGGATTATTCTCCTAAATATATTTTTCACATTGCTTATTTTTTCTTATTCTCTTTCAATAATGCCTATAAGTCATAGGTACAGTCACTTTACATAATCCCATATTTCTTGAAGTCTATATTCATTTTTTAAAATTCTTTTTTATTTATTTTGGTCTGACTGGCTTTATTCAAAAGACCACTCTTCAATCTCTAAAATTCTTTCTTCTGCTTGGTCTAGTCTATTGTTAAAGCTTCCAACTATATTTTGAAATTCACTTAGTTAATTTGTCAATTCCAGAAGTTCTATTATTTTAATATAGCTATTCCATCTTTCATATCCTAAATTGTTTTTCTGTTTTTGTATGTGCTGGTTTTCAACTTTCTCTTTTATCTTATTGAGTTTCCTGGCAGTCCATATTTTGATTTATTTATCTGTCATTTCAGACTTTTTATTTTGATTAAGAGTCATTACTAGAGAGCTAGTATAATCCTTTGGAGGTATCACTATACTCTGTTTTTTGCACTGCTGGAATTCTTGCACTAATTCCATCTCATCTGAAGGAGCTGTTCCTTCTTATTTTTGAATCTGCTATTGTTTGAATGGGACTTTTATATTTTTAAATTCTTTTTTTCCCATGAGGGTATGACTGTAGTTTATGTTTTGTATGATTGTTTAACTTTATTTCTAGGTTGTTTTAGAAGGCCAAGTATTTGTATGGGTTCCTTGGTTGGGGTTTTTGTTTGTTTGTTTGGTGGTTTTCGTTGATACTACTTGTTTCGCAGTAGATTGGATGCATGAACCAACAATTCTCTCCTGCAGGGCTGAGAATGTGCAGGTATCAGGATGCTTATCTACTGCACTAGCACTATGCACTTCTGGAAGCAAGTTTTTTATTTGGTTGTGCAGTTCAAGCTTCAGTTCAGTAGGTGGCAGTTAATTGTAAGAGCTTGATTGCCCTCAGGTAGGTGATGATGAGTAGAAGCACCTGCTCTCATGTGGCCAGTGGTGGTGGGAGATTGTGTTGGAGTGTGCTAAGGTATTCTGGGCTGGACTTGGGGAATGCAACACCTCCTCATTGTGGGAAGACAATAATTCAATCCACTTCCCTATCACACCCCTGTCACAGGGCTCAGGACTTTCAGTTTATACAGACTTCGTCCTGTGTGGCTGTGGACTACAAATATGCCCCTCTAGCAGCTTTCACCTAACTGGGCTCAGGGCAGAGCCTTTTCTCATAGTCCAGAACTGACTACTCTGGCTTGTCTGCCTCTGTTGCTGGGATGCTGTTACTCTGTGTAGGAAGCAGGAATTGAGCACTATCCTTCATGCAAGAACTAGCTGCACAAACTCACTTTCAACTGGGATAGAACTGCCACAGGAAGGGCTGGAATGGCTTTCTCCAAGTGCATACATCCACCCCCAGTGAGAAGAGTCTCTGCTGTGTTTGCAACAGTGAACAAGGAAAGCATGGAGATGACCCCGTCTCCTTGCCCTTGTAAGTTGTTTTCTGAAACTCATTTATATTTTATTTTTCATAGTAATGGTTATAATTACTTGCATTCATAGGTATTTAGGTATTTTTCTTACATAATAATCTGTGTTTTACAGCTGTGTCAACAATTCATAAAACATTATGATAATCATATGAGGAGGAGGAAACTAAAAACTAAACAAATGAACCTTTGTTATCATCTGCTTCAAAGATACTACCAAAAAATTACTAAGAAAGATGAATGAATTCAGTAAATAACTTCACAAGTTTGTATTTAGTGGTTTGCAATACTTATCACTGCTTCTCAATCACCTTAAAGATATCTCTGTGACAGTTGAAAAATATACACCTGAACTAGTTAATACTTTTAAATGTTCTGCCTTAATTCATTATCTTCATACCAGATATATGTTATATATAATATATTATTGAATTTAATTTTATTGAGATTATTTTTACTACATTTTGTTATTTGCTGTCTCTTCAGTGGCTTCCTTTACCCTCTATCCAGATTAAAGACAATCATAGTATTTTATCTCTAGGGCAAGAATTTACGTAATTTAAATAAAGTAATTTTTAAATTTTTCTCACACCAATGATTCTGTGTTTAAGTATTGTGTTATGCGCTGTTAATTTTCATCTTTTCTTTATAATGTGTTTTAATCTATTTTCAATGTAAGCTTGAAAGCACCAAAAAATATTGATGTTTCATGTCTTCCAGGACATTCCTACATTGATTGTCAAGGTGTTGAAATTTCCACCATGTAGTTTTTTCTCCACACTCACAGAGAGGCTCACGGTAAACCTCCTAAAGCATCTTATTAAAAGAGGTAATGAGCTTTCTTGTTTCAAGGCCCTCAAACTTAACCTTTTTTTCCAATATTTAGAAAAGGCTTTTTCAGTTAACGCAACTCTTTCTTGCCTCAAATTTTCTTTAAAATTGTGATGCAAATATAATTCTCTGTAGTGAATCTCTCTAACCTTTTCTAAATTGAAAGCATTATGCAAACATTTATAGCAATTTAAACAATCATTTTGGATAGCAATTTTATGAGTCAATATTTCTTTCCAAGAAAATGTTTGGCAAACTATAATTTTGGAGAAAATATTAAGATTAACATTTTAGTTTCCAGAAATGATTGTATTTGTACTATGAAGCAGAAAATTTATGTAAATTATTAAAAATAAAAAACTTTTGGTAATTATTCTTTGTTTAAAAAATTTAATTATAATGCTTAAAAATGTAAATATTTCTATTATACATTATTGATAAATATTAATATTATACTAATATAAATATTATTACTCATTAATACTTATATTAAATAATATTTTGAGTGGTTACTATAATTTTACATCTGTTTTCTCATTTAATCCGCCCAAATATTATAAGAAGTAGTGACTATTGTCATCAATTCACAGATGAAGAAATCAAGACTTAACCTATATGAATCTAAGTTCATATTATTCTTAAGCCCATTCTCTTAAACACTTATAAATACTATATAATATACTCTTTGAATTGGCAACCTAGTATATACCAGAATGTGAAGTTACAGAAAGTTTCAAGTTTTTTGTTAATGTAAGTTTTAATCCACATAAAACAAGTATAATATTTGGTTTAAACTTCCATTAGGCTTACAATCCAATTTGGAGCAATCAATTCCACGGGAAATGTTTAAATACATTTTGCACGTTCTATCCACTTATTTTTAAGAGCATAAATCTTTGCTGAGTTATGCAAGGCAGAAAATTACAGTTCTTCCTATATTTAACCCCTTCCCTCAAGTTCCATCTGCAAATCCTTCTTCCCTTTTATTCTAACTTAGAAACCTGTCAATTCTGCTTCATCCACTCTAATGCTCATGCCACCATCTCATCTCATTATCTCATCAGGTCTTGACTGGATAAATACGTATGTGTTTTACTGGTTTCTTCTGTGCATAATTTATTGTCACTCTATTGTAGCCCCGCGAACCCACCCCCCACTGCCTGAATTTTCTTTTTAAAACTGAATCTTTTGTTTTTATTCCTTTTAGAAACGCTACAGCCATAGTCACAGATGAGCTCTGGTGACTAAAATCCCACCTACCACTACTTGACTGTTGCGGTCCCTGAAGCCTACAAAATCGCAGAATGATTGCTGGTTCTCAAACCTCTAGGTTACTTTATGATTGGGAATTTTACATATATCCATTGCCTGAAATGCCCTTAGCATCTATTACCCTTTGAGACTTAGCTTCAATATCAAGTAATGAAGCCTTTCTTAAGTACCTAGAGAAAATCAGTTTTCCGGTCTTTCATGCTACCTTTGTACACACAGCTTTCTGTTGTTACCTTTTCAAATCAATCATTTCACCATTATTTCTCTATGCATTCATTCATTATTTCAACAAATATTTATCGGGTGTTTAATATGTTTATAGCCATGTGCTAAGCACTGAGGTTATACTTTGTCGTGACTCCATGGTTAAACTCCACAGGGACAAGATCCACACAAATATTCTGTGTGAAGGACACATAAATAGTTTGGGGGTACATCATGCCTATGACTGATATGAAGAAGGTGTAAACAAATGTATATTGAATTAAAGAATACCTTAAATATTTGTTTGTAAGAGATATAGTTTTAGGATTTGTTACAATAGTTAGAAAAGGGTTTCATGAATATGGAATGAAAGCTTAGACTGCAACTGTTTTACAAAGCGCTTTTAAAAGTAACTACTAAAATAATCTAGTAACACTTTTAGAGTCATTTAGAAAAGAATAAAATAATCTTAGCCTAGCTAACAGGATGTTCCAATAAAACTATTGTGAAGTGGTAGGACTCTTGATTATGGTGAGAATGGGTCAGAATGGATGAATCAACACATTTGTGTAAAGAATAATATCTAGAAATGATGACAATGTATATTTGAAAGAAAAGAGTATTAAAAATGTCTTTAAATTTTCCAATTTGTTGTACTCATAGGAAAATAGGAGGTGAAAATGAAATACTTAGAGATGGTGTCTTAATTTATTTCAAGAATTTGAGGTAAAAAGGAACTGCTCTGCCCTGTTAATATGTGAGATGAGCAATTTAGGAGGGAGGTCAGACTGGAAAAGTGAATTTACTGAACACCATGATAGTCATGTTGTTTAATGACTTAAGAATAGACAGTAAAAGAGGTTCTCCTATCATAGCCCTACATCCTCTGGAAATACATGCTACATTAAAATTTATATTTCTATTTCCATATGCTTGGTATGACTAATGGCAGAAACTGTGAAGAATCCTAGGAGAAAAATGGTCTGCATTTGCTTCAGACTTATTGCAAAGTGTATGTATGAAGGAAAACATTACTTCTAATTCTACCAGACCATCACCTGCATGAGTCCCTGTGATGCTTCCCAAATCCATCCAAATGCTTAACTGAAGCTTGAATTTATTATTTTCAAGTTCGATGTAAAAGTTCTTCTTTTTAAACTTGACACTGTATACTGTGGCTTAAATATTTAAGCAAGGCTCTTTCGAAGATTGAGGAAGAAACACTCACACATCAAAAGTATCTAATGTTTAATTCAGCGAGGTAAGCTTTCTCAAACTCTGAAGCTTATGTGAAGCTGTTTGGAATTTTTTCAAAGGTCTTTTATCTCTAAATCAAAACAGAATTTTTTTTAAAAAAATTATAATAATTCTTCAAAACAGAAATAACTTCTGTCAGAGTTCTTTGGTTTCTACCTAAAAGAAACAGTTACGTGGCAATTGTTTATTTATTTCTACATGAACCCAACATGTTCAAATTCTAAAAGATTTAGACAAGCTTGCTTCAGTCATACATAAAGATTTTGAAAACTTATTATTCAAGCCAACTAAGATTCTTGCTAGAAAACTCAAACAAAGAACAATAATTGGTTTGAAAACTGCAGAATATACTTTGTAGATTATGACTCTTCATTGATAAACAGATAAGTAAACACCCACAAATCAATATGTAAACAATAGAACTGGCTATTAAGTTTTTGCTAAAAGATCTTCCTTGAGAGAGTTTATAGAATTTGCTAATTTTTTCTTTTTTGTCTTATTTAATGTTAGTTATCAAAGCCAAGTCTTCCCAGACCCTTACTAATTAATCTCAACAATTTGTTTTTGAAATTTTGAAAACATAGAAATATTAGGAGAATCTCCACTGGAGTGATTCAAGAGAGTTCTAAAACATGGAGACTGACAAAAACATTCAGATAGAAATCTGCAGTTAATAGTAATAAAATGACGGCAGTCACTGTGATGATATGATAATTGTGATGATTAGGCTGCTGGTTTGGAATCCTGGATAAATCTCTTAAACTAGCTTTATGGCTTTTAGCAAGTTATGTAACCTTTGAAATATTCACCTGGTTTTTAAAACCACATTCTGTGGATGTAAGATCTAAATAAGATAACCCATATAAATAATGTAGTATGTCTCGCACATACTAAGCGCATGCTAAGACTTTCCCCATGCTTTCTTTTTTTTGGCTTCTTTTATTATTATTATTATTATTATACTTTAAATTCTAGGGTACACTTGCACAACATCCATGTTTTAAGTCTCCACCCACTTGTCCTTGAAAATTCTAATCTCTTTTGTTTACCAAGGCCAGTGATAATGAAGTCTTATGATAAAACCTGTTCCTATAACATTCCTTCTAGTCATTACACATTTTAATCTCTCGTTTATTAAGTTAGGTGCCTGTAATAATAACATTTTCTAGAATATTTTTTACTGCTTTTAGCATGGCTAACTTTTTTCACCTTTCCTTCAGTAAATGCTGCCTCATTTTAAGGTTTATTCTGAACACCCAATATAAAGTAATCCCCTCACAATCTAGACTGCTCATTATTATTTTAATATTCTATATATTTTTATTACTTATCACAATTTATTTTTGAGTATTTTAGGAAAAGCTATTTAAACTGTGCCTAGAACATAGTTAATATTTTAAATTATTTGTAATTTTTAAAAGTTTCCTATTTACTTTTCCCACAGATTTTTAAGTTCTTGAGGGTTAGACACTTGTTTATTTTTTTTCACCATTATATCCTGAAAGCCTAGACAAAGCCTATACCTTATAAGAACTCAATGAATATTTATTAAATAAACAAATTATTAAATGAATGCATATTTATAAAATTATGTGATTTCACCACATCAATGTAAGCAAAACATATCATATAAATTAGAAGTTAAAGTTATATAAATTATAGTATCTAATTACATTTGAGGGCTATGCTGCAGTATAAGAGACTTGTGTGAATTAGATATCGTGATTAGTACCCCTTTTATATGGTGTTACTTTCTACTGTCAGCAATAACACATTAATTTTTAGAACTAGTTTTTTGAGTCTACACATTGGTATGGAAATATTTAGATACCCTAATATATATATATATTTATATATTATAAATATATAATTTATATGTAATTATATATAATATATAAATATAAAATAAAATAATATATAAATATATATAATATAATATATAAATATAATATATAAGTATAAAATCCTGTAAAAATATATCAATATATATTTATAAATATATAAATATTAAATATATATTTAAATATATATTTAATATAAATATTAAATATATGTTTATTATCTATACATTTATAAATATATATTTAAATATATATAAATATATGTTTATATATTAATATATATTTAAATATATATAAATATATGTTTATATATTAATATATATTTATATATGAATACTACAAGTAATTTAAAGCATTAACTGTGTTCTAGGCACAGTTTAAATAACTTTTTCTGAAATGTTCAACAAAAAATTATGATAAGTACTAAAAATACATAGATATTAAAATAATAAGCAGTCTAGATGGTGAGGGGATTGCCTTAGATTGGGTGTTCAGAATGGACCCTAAAATGAGGCAGCATTTATTTATATCATTTATTTATATATATCAATGTAGTATTAAGGATGAAATTATTACATAACTATTAATGTTTTCCAAAATATTAATTATTCAAGGACATATTTTGGCATTTTTCTTGGCAGCAAATTTCTGGATAAAATAGTTTTATTTCTGAATGATATGGGAAAAATAAAAATGTCAGTGTATTTTTAATAAGTGAATAGCCTGTAATCACTTCAGTATGAATGTTTTGGACATAAGACAAAACCTAGCAGTGTAATACATATCTTAGTATTATTATTTCACAAATTGCATTCACCAAGGAACTTCTGTGTTATAACCTACTATTTAAATACACTGTATGGAACTGAGCACACAGAAGTTTTTTGTTTTTTTGTTTTGTTTTTGAGACAGGGTCTCACTGTTGCCCAGGCTGAAGTACAGTGGCACGATCTCTGCTCACTACAACCTCCATCCCCTAGGTTCAAGCGATTCTCCTGCCTCAGCCTCCCAAGTAACTGGGACTACAGGCACGTGCGACCACATCCGGCTAATTTTTGTATTTTTATTTTTTTTAGTAGAGACAGGGCTTCTCCATGTTGCCCAGGTTGGTCTCCAGCTCCTGGGATCAAGTGATCTGCCCGCCTCGGCTTCCCAAAGTGCTGGGATTACAAGCATGTTTGGCTTTATGTTTTTCTTAGCTAGGACTTAGAAAATAAACACTTATTACAATATGGCATTATATTCTGAGTACTAATTCTCTGCTGTTCACTTGCTAGGAAAATGGGAACAATATATAATTTAAAGCAAAGTTTGATAACGACTTAGATGTTCCACTAAAATTTTGGTAATAGCATTACTATTTGTAAAAATTTAGAGATGTAAATTTCCTTTTATTTTCCCTTCTTCTGAACATGAGGAGGACTCGTTAATATTCTAATTTTTAATGAATCTTTTTTGGAATAATTTTAGATTTTGAGGAAAGTTGCGAAGATTGTGTAAAGTCCTTACCCCCAGTTTCCCCTAACGTTAACATCTTATATAAGTCAAGTTAGTATATTATCTTTGGTAAAGTACTGTTAACTAAACTTCAAAGTTTATTTGGATTTCGCCAGTTTTTTCATTATTGTCTTTTTTCTGTTCTAAGAGCCAATTCAGAAGACCACATTGTGTTCAGACATTACATCTCCTAGTCTCCTCTGGTCTGTGACAGTTTTTTGGTCTTTAACTTTTCATTACTCTGACAATTTTGAAGATCATTGGTGATCATTGAAGATCTTTTCTAACGTAATCCTCAACTTGACCTTTATGATTTTCTAAAGATTAGACTGGGTCTAGGGATTTTGGGGAAAAAATGTCCAAGAGATGAAATGTCCTTATTACATCATGTCAGCAAGTAGATGATATCCTCATGACTTATTACTGGTAATATTAACCTTAATAATGTGGTTAATGATATGTCTTCCAGTTCCCTCCATTGTAAGTTACTCTTTTCCATTTTCATATTCTGCACTTGGTAAGCGAGAGTAATATTTTATAAGAGAAAATAAGTATATGCAGCATTATATAGAGCACTTTAAAAGTAAGCTATTATTATAACATATTCCTTTGGAATAAAGATTTATTAATCCATAAGAAGTAAAAGACAATGTCACCATTTCACAATAACTCTGTGTTCCACAGGTAATAGCATTTTTATCCAAAAACCAAGGACAATTATTAATAATTGCTATTTCGTACCACTTTCCAAACTGTGATAATAAAACTAGTTGTTTACCAAAATCATCAAGAGTACATTTTATTTCAGCAACCTAGGCAAAAATATGCAGATGCAAATTTTAGAAGTGTGGATATATCTATCTTTATGTCTGTTTGTGATACAGATTATATGATATACACCTACATTTGACACTATTATTTTACTAATATGCCATTTTATCTCATCTGTTTATTCTTTAAAACATTGTGTCTCATACTGAGACATGATCAGTGTAAAATATATTCACAAATTATGTAAAGTAACATTAAAAAGAAAGCTTCAACTTAAATTTGAATGAATATTTATGTCAAGTTTACCATTGGTCAAAAAGGAAATCAAAAGAGAATTTTAAAAATACCTCAACAGAAGAGACACAACATACCAAAACTTTTGGGATGCAGAGAAGGAAGTACTAAGGAAAAAGTTTATAGCATTAAATGACTACACTAAATATGAAGAAAGATGTAAAATAAACAACCTAACTTTATACCTTAAGGAACTACAGAAAGAACAAATTAAGCCCAAAGCTAGCAGAAGGAAAGGATTAGTAAAATTTTGAGCAAATATAAATCAAACAGAGAGTTTTAAAAATTAGGAAAATAATCAATAAAACTAAGACTTGGATTTTTGAAAGGATAAAAAATATGACAAAAATTTAGCTAGACTAAAATAAACCAGGCACAGAAAGATAAATATCACATATTCTCACTCATATGTGGGAGCTAAAAAAATTAATCTCATGGAGGTAAAGAGTAAACTGATAGTTAGCATTGGCTGGGAGGGTTGTGTAGGGGGCCAGGGGATCAAAAGAGGTTTGTTTATCAATAGGGACAAACATACAGTTAGACAAAAGGAAAAAGTTTGAATGTTCAATAGAAGAGTAGTATGACTAGAGTTAACAGCAGTGTATTGTATATTTCATAATAGCTAGAAGAGAGGTCTTGAAATATTCCTAACACATAGGAATGACTATGGATATCCTAAATACTCTGACTTGATCATTGCACGTAGTATACAGGAGCCAAAATATAACAGGTATCCCATATATATGTACAATTGTTATGTATCAATAAAAAAGCTCTCAGCCAAATAGGTACCTCAATGCAATAAAGATTATATATGAGAAGCCCAGATTAATGTCATAATCAATGGGGGTAAATTAAAAGCTTTTTCTGTAAGATATGGCAAAATGCAAGGATGCCCATGCTCACTGCTTCTATTCAACATAGTACTGAAAGTCCTCACTAAAGCAATTAGAAAATAAATAAGAGGCATCCACATTCAAAAGAAAAGAGTAAAATAAGATGTTTGCAGATGGCATTTTCAAAAGAAAACCCTAAAGACAACAAAAAATCCTATTAGAACTAATGAGCAATTTCAATAAAGTTGCAGTGTACAATATCAACATAGCAAAAATATCTGTTATTTCTATGCATCAACAATTAACTATTCAGAAATGAAATTAAGAAAACAATACCTTTTAAAATAACAACAAAAGAATAAAATACTTAGAAATAAAGGTAACCAAAAAGGGTAAAGACTGATATGCAAAATGGTATAAAACCTTGATAAAGAAAATTTTTTACAGACACAGATAAATAGAAAGACTTCCCTTGTTCATGTTGGAAGAGGTAAAATTGTTAAGATGTTCGTGCTACTTGTATTAGTCTGTTTCACACTGCTATAAAGAACTGCCCGAGTATGGGTAATTTATTTAAAAAGGAGGTTTAATTGACTCACAGTTCTGCATGGCTGGGAAGGCCTCAGGAAATTTGCCATCATGGAGGAAGGTGAAGGGGAAGCAAGGCATATCTTACATGGCAGCAGGAGAGTGAGTGAGCACAGGGGAAACTGACACTTTTAAACCATCAGCTCTCATGAGAACTCACTCACTATCACAAGAACAGCATGGGGGAACCTATCCCCATGATCCAATCACCTCCCACCAGGTCCCTCCCTCAATACATGGGGATTACAATTCAAGATGATATTTGGGAGTGGAGACAAAGCCAAACCATATAATTCCATCCTCCCAAATCTCATGTCCTTCTCATTGTATTTTGATTTCAAAATAAAATCACACCTTCCCAAGAGTCCCCCAGAGTCTTAACTCATCCCAGCATTAACTCAAAAGTCACAGTCCAAAGTCTCATCTGAGACAAGGCAAGTCCCTTCCACCTATGAACTTATAAAATCAAAAACAAGTTAGTTACTTCCAAGATACAATAGGGGTATAGGCATTGGGTAAATGTTCCTGTTCCAAATGGGAGAAATTGGTCAAACCAAAAGGCTATAGGACCCACGCAAGTCTGAAATCCAGCAGGGCAGTCATTATATGTTAAAGCTCCAGAATGATCTCTCTTGACTCCATGTCTCACATCCAGGCCACACTGATGCAAGGGGTGGGCTCCCAAGGCCTTGGGCAGCTCTGCCCCTGTGGCTGTACAGAATACAGACCCTGTGGCTACTTTCACAAACTGGCATTGAGTGCCTGAGACACTGGGTGCACAGTGAAAGCTGTCAGTAGATCTACCATCTTGGGATCTGGAAGACCTCTTCTCACCCCAAAGGCAGTGCCCTAGTGGGGACTCTGTGTGGGGGCTTCAGCCCTTCCCCCTCTGCATTGCCCTGGTAGATGTTCTCCATAGGTGCTCTGTCCCACAGCAGACTTCTGCCTTCACATCTAGGCATTTTCATACATTCTCTGAAATCTAGGTGGAAGTTGCCAAAGCTCAACTCTATCTAGTCTTCTGCACACCTGCAGTCCCAACACCATGTGGAAACCACCAAGGTTTGGGCTTTGTACCCTCTGAAGCAACAGTACCTTGGCCCATTTTAGCTACAGCTGGAGCTGGAGTGGCTGGGATGCAGAATGCCATGTCCTGAGGCTGCACAGGACAGCAGGGTCCTGGCCCTACCCCATGAATCCATTTTTCCCCTCTTAGGCCTCCAGGCCTGTGATGAGAGGGGCTGCCATAAAGATCCTTGAAATGCCCTGGAGACATTTCTCCATTGTCTTGGCTATTAACCTTTGGCTCCTCATTACTTATGCAAATTTCTGCTTCAGGCTTGAATTTCTCCCCAGAAAATGGATTTTTCTTTTCTACCTTATGGTCAGGCTGGAAATTTCCCAAACTTTTATGCTCTGCTTCCCTTTTAAATAAAATTTCCAGTTTCAGTTAATCTCTTTGTGAACACATATGACTGAACACTTTCAGAATCAGCCATGTCACATCTTGAATGCTTTTCTGCTTAGAAATTTCTTCTGCCAGATATCCTAAATTATATATCTAAAGTTCAAAGTTCACAGATCTGTAGGGCAGGGGCAAAATGCCACCAGTCTCTTTGCTAAAGCATAGCAAGAGTGACCTTTGCTCCAGGTCCCAATAAGCTCCTCATCTCCATCTGAGACCACCTCAGCCTGGACTTCATTATACATATCACTATCAGCATTTTTGGTCAAAACCATTCAAAAAGTGTCTAGGAAGTTTCAAACTTTCCCTAATCTTGCTGTCTTCTTTTGAGCCCTCAGGACTGTTCCAATCTCTGCCCATTACACAGTACCAAAGTTGCTTCCACATTTTCAGGTTACCTTTATAACAGGGCCCCACTCCCAGTACCAGTTTTCTGTATTAGTCCATTTTCACACTGCTGTAAAGACTGCCTGAGACTGGATTATTTTATTTTATATTATATTTTTTTTTTTAAAAAAGAGATTTAATTGACTCACAGCTCTGCATGGCTGGGAAGGCCTCAGGAAACTTCCAATTATGGCAGAAGGTAACAGGAAGCAAGGCATGGCAGCAGGAGAGAGAGCAAGAGCAGGGGAAACTGCCACTTCAAAATCATCAGATCTCATGAGAACTCACTCACTAGCATAAGAACAGCACGGGGGAACCACCCCCATGATCCAATCATTTCCCACCAGGTCTCTTCCTCAACGTGTGGTGATTACACTTTGAGATGAGACTTCGGTGTGAACACAAAGCCAAATCATATTACTACGCAAAGCAATCTAGCAATTCAATGCAAGCTCTATCAAAATCCCAGTGACACTGTTTACAGAAATTGATTAAACAATTTTAAATTAACATGAAACCACAGATGATGCCAAAGCAATTGTGAGCAAAAATAGCAAAGCTTGTGGCATGACACTTACTGATTTGGAAATGTATTACACAGCCACAGTAATCAAACAGTATAGTGCTGGCACACACACACACACACACACACACACACACACCAGATGTATAGACAAATGGAAAAGAATACATAACCCAAAAATAAGTCCAAGCATTTACAGTCAACTGATCTTTAACACAGTGCCAAGAATATACAATGGTGAAAGGATAGAATTTTCAATGAATTATGTAGGGAAAACTGGATATCCACATGCAGAAAAATGAAATTAGACCCGTAGCTAATACTATATACAAAAATCAACTCCAAATGTGTTAAATACTTAAATGTAAAACCTGATAGTGTAAACTAGAAGAAAACAAGGGAAAAGTTTCTTCACATCGGTCTTGGAAACTTGTTTTTGGACATGACCAAAATATAGGCAATAAAAGCAAAAATAGAGAATGAGATAGCATCAAACTAAAAAGCTTCTGCACAGCAAAGGAAACAATCATGAGAGTGAAAAGATAATCTACCAACCAAAGCAACATCAACAGAAAAATAATAAATATGTAAATAACAATAATATGTAAAGGACCCAAATTTACATCGCTCATAAGAAGACATACAAATGGCCAAGAGGCACATGAAAACGTGTTCAGTATCACTAATCATCAGTGATATGCAAATCAAAACCACAGTGAAATATCACCTCACACTTATTGGACAGGATATTACCAAAAAAGATATAAGATAATAAGCGTTGGTGAGGATGCTGGTAAAAAGGAACCTTTTTTATGGGAATGTAAATTGGTACCACCGTTATGGAAAACAGTATGAAGGTTTCTCAAAATTGTAAAATATATCATCTATTTTACGATCCAGCAAATCCACTTGTGGGTATAGATACAGAGGAAATGAAGTTAGCATGCTGTAGAAATACCTGCACTCCCATGTTCCTTGCATTGTTAGTCACAATAGTCAATATATGGAATCAACCCAAGTGTCCAGCAATGGATGAATGGAGAAAGAAAATTTGCAAAATATACACAATGGAATACTATTCTGTGTTAAAAAGAAGGAAGTCCTGCAATATGTGACAACATGTATGAACCTGGAAGACCTTGTGTTATGTGAAATAAGCCAGTATGAACCTGGAAGACCTTGTGTTATGTAAAATAAACCAGACACAGAAAGACAACTACATGATCTCACTCACATATGGAATCAAAAACAGTCAAGCTCATAGAAGCAGAGAGTAGAATGGGATTGCCTGAGTGGGAGGCTGAGATGTTTGTCTAAAGTTACAAAGTTTCATTTATGAAAGATGAATAAATTCTGGAGATAATAATATACAGCATAGTGACTATAGTTATCAGTACTGTGTTGCACACTTGAAATTTGCTAAGAGGGAAGACCTTAAGTGTTCTCTTTAAGAAGAAAGAAAAAGAGGAAGGAAGAAAGGAGGGAGGGAGATAAATGGTAGTATGTGAGGTATCAGATATGTTAATTAGCTTGATTGTGGTGATCATTTTACAATATATACATATATCAAAATATCAAGCTATATGCCTTAAATATATGCACTTCTCATTTGTCAAATATATATAATGCTGAAAACTGAATTTATATTAATTTTTAATTTGGCCCAAATGATAGTAGAGCAAAAATGAGGAAAAACATGATTTCCCCTAAGTCTTGTTTTTTTGTTTGTTTGTTTTGGTTTGGTTTTTGTTTCTGTTTTTTTGTTTTTTATGAGACAGAGTCTCGCTCTGTTGCCCAGGCTGGAGTGCAGTGGCGCAGTCTTGGCTCACTGCAACCTATGCCTCCTGTGTTCAAAAATTCTCCTGCCTCAGTCTCCTGAGTAGCTTGGACTTCAGGCATGCCACCACACCTGGCTAATTTTTGTATTTTTAGTAAAGACAGGGTTTCACCAAGGTGGCCAGGCTGGTCTTGAACTCCTGACCTTGTGATCCACCCACCTCGGCCTCCCAAAGTGTTGGGATTACAGGCGTGAGCCATCGCGCCTGGCCTCCTCTAAGTTTTAAAAATAAGGACTTTCATATTTTCCTGATCATGAAATGAAATACATGAGAAAGTACAAATAAATAAAACATTGTTTTATTACTACCTACAGATGAACAATGCCAAAATATTAATGTATTTCTTGGAGGCCTATTCTCCCTTTCTCTCTCTGACTCTGTCTCTGTCTCTCTCTCTCACTCTCCCTCTCTCTCTCTCTCTCACACACACACACCTCCCTTTCATTTTTCCTTCTGTCTCCCTTTCCTTTCCCTCTTCACCTCCTCCAAGTCTTCCTGTCAAAATTCTGGTCATGTAGTTTTATATCCTGTTGTTCTTACTTAACACATAACCAAGTTACAAAACTCAACAGCAAAGTAACATGGTTAATCTCGACTCATCTAGCTCTGGGAGTTGATAGTTGGCAGAAGTGGGAATGTCATATGGCTATACAGTTTTGTTGTTTGGGCCAAAGAAAACAAAGACAAGAGCAAGTCCCCCTATCTTGGCCATAGATTAACTTAAAAATTTTTTTTCTAACCATGCTAAAACAAGAAAGTGTGGCAAAGTGATACAGCATTTCCAGTTTCTGATCATATATTCAAAATAATTTATGAATAGTTTCCCCACCAGTGGAAGACTAAAAAACCAGTATTGGTAATTCAAATTATTATGTAATACTATTTTTAGTAGAAAATAAAAAGTGATTTCTTGAATAAACCCCTCTCACCAATGTACCTTCATCTGTCCTGAATTTTTTTCCTTTCAGCCTTGCAAAAAGAAGTCACTATTAATGTAGACGTGAAAAAAAGGGAAGTTTTCTGTATTTTAGCAAAGTGTTCCTCATTTATGTATATAAAGTAACTATAATTGAGTATAACAATACTATAATTGAGTATAACAACTTAACTATAATTTCATACTCAAACTACAGCTTGGCTCCTCATGCTTCTCCCTTGGCCTCCATGTCTCTGCAGTCACCACTCTATTCTGCTAGATGCAGCAGCTATTTAAAACCCGCTTGACTCCTCTTAAGCCCAGAATATCATCTCCTTCTTTGCTAGGAAGAGCTGACTGCTTTCTTATTTTTCTGGAGCTATTAAGCTTTCTGAATATTTTCCCTCTATCTATACCTTTCTTTCTCTTGTTTTCTACAGTGACAAGTGAAAATATTTCTTTTCACTAATGAAGGATGATGCTTTCATTAGAAACTCTACAAGGGCACTTACTCAAAAGACTACTACTACCTTTGCCTCATGCCCCTTCTTTATTGGTTTCTTCTTTTAAGCAGTTTATCTCCTTTTTTTTGGTTTCATTTTTAAGAATCAAAACAGGCCAGGTGTGGTGGCTCACACCTGTAATCCCAGCACTTTGGAAGGCCGAAGCGGGTGGATCACGAGGTCAGGAGTTTGAGAGCAGCCTGGCCAAGGTGGTGAAACCCCATCTCTACTAAAATTACAAAAAATTAGCTGGGCATGGTGGTGTGTGCCTGTAATTCCAGCTACTTGGGAGCTGAGGGAGGAGAATCACTTGAGGTTGCAGTGAGCTGAGATCGCATCATTGCACTCCAGCCTGGACAATAGAGTGAGACTCTGTCAAAAAAAAAATACACACATACACACACACACACACACACACACACACACACACACATATGTTCCTGATACATAATATAATAAACTGTATAATGATGATAAAATATTTATAAATCTTTCTGTTATTAATCAAAGAAGCTCCTTCTCCTTACGAAATTTGTAAAAATTAGCTTACCACTGATTCCCTTACCTCTAATCAATCAACACTCTTGTTAATATGATATACAAATTTTGTTTTTAGAATCAGATGTTTTATTTGCTCATTCTAGTCCTTTCTAAAAGACATTTTATTTTGAAATAATTATAGATTCACAGGAAAAATAGGACAGAGAGATGCCTTCTGCTGTTCACCCAGTTTCCTCCAATAATTATATTATACATAATAATCAAACAATATCAGAACCAGGATATTGACATAGGTGCAATATTTGTGAAAAGTTATGTGCCATTTTGTCACATGTGTATAGCTGTGTAACCAGCACCACAGCTCAGATGTAGAACTATCCCATTGCCATGAAGACTTCACTCATGCTACACCTTATATTCCCCCCTTCCATCCTCACCATCCCTAATCCCTGAAAACCACTAATCTGTTTTTCACATCTATTATTTTGTCATTTCAAGAATGTTATATAAACAGAAACATGTAGCATGTGACCTTTGAGGCTGGCTTTTTTCATTCTGCATAACTCCCTGAAATCCCTTCAAGTTTTTGTATACATAAATAATTTTTTCATTTTTATTGCTGAATAGCTTTCCATGGTATGGATGTATCACAATTTGCTTAGCCATGTAAATGTCTATGAACTTACAGGTTATTTTCAATTATTTTCCTATTATGAATAAATTTATTGGGAAAAATTTTATACAAATTTTTGTATTAACGTAATTTTTTATTTCTCTGAAATAAGCTCCCAACGGTGCAATTGTTGGGTATCATGGTAGGCGCATTGATTATTTTGTAAGAAATTGCTATACTCTTCCAGAGTAGTTATATCATTTTACATTCCTACTCACAATGTATAAGTTACCCAGTTTGTCTGCATTCTCTTCAGCATTTGGTATTGTCACAAGTTTTTTATTTTATCTATTCAGAGAAATGTGTAGTGATATCTCATTGTAGTTTTAATTTATGTTTTCTTAACAGGTTACAATGTTGATCACCTTTCCATGTGCTTATTATCATCTGTAAATTATCTTAAATATAACAACTTGTCATATATTTAAATAATTTTAGATTGCTTATTATTTTACTGATGAATTTTGTGACTATTTTGTGTATTTATTCTAGATAAAAGTCCTTTGTCAGTTATGTGGTCTCAAATATTTTCTTCCCTTCCTTAGCTTGTCTTTTTGTCATCTGTCTTAGTCTGTTCAAACTACTATTACAAAATACCTTAGTTTGAATAATCTATAAACAACAGAAATGTATTTTGTATAGCTCTTTAGGCTGGGAAGTCTAAGATCAGGGTGCCAGGAGATTTGGTGTCTGGTGAGGTCTTACTCTCTGCTTCATCAGTGGGGTCTTCTTGCTGGGTTCTCACATGGTGGAAGAGGCAAGCGAGCTCTCTCAGCCGTCTTTTATAAAGATACTAATCCCATTAATGACAGCAAAGCCCTCATGACATAATCAGCTCTTAAAGGCCTCACCTCTTAATACTGTCACACTAGAAATTAAATTTCAACATATGAATTTGGGCAGAACATCAACATTCAGATCACAGTATCATTTTAAAAGGGTCTTTTGCATAGCGATCCCTTTAATTTTGAGGGTGTTCAATCTACTTTTGAAAATGTTTATGAATTATGCTTTTAGTTCAAATCTAAGACCTCTTTGCCTAGCCCCAGGTCCCAATGATTTTTTTTTCTGTTTCTGTCTAATAGTTGTATAAGTTTACATTATAAACTTAAGTGTGACCCATTCTAGTTAATTTTTTATAAAGTGTGGAGTTAAAGTAAAGTTTTATTTTTTTGCCTATGGTGGTCCAGTTATTCTAGGACAATTTGTAGAAAGGCCATTTTTCCTCCATTGAATTGTATTTGCACTTTGATCAAAACAGTTGAGTATATTGAATGGGTTTATTTCTGGATTTTCTATTCTGTCTACTGATCTATATGTCTGTCTGTCCACTAATACAGCATTGTCTGTATTACTGTAGTTATATATTAAGTCATATACAGTCACATTTCCTGTTTTATTCCTGATATTGTTTATTTATGTTTCCTCTCTACATTTTCATCAGTCTTGCTATAAGCTCATCAATTTTATAACTTTTTTTCTGAAAACCAGGCCTTGTTTCATTGATTGTTCTCTGTTGCTTTTCTGTTTTTAATTGTAATAATTATAAATGAAATGTCCTTAATTGTTGTAGGGCTAGTCACATTCTCTTTGCATATTTGATGAGTTATAGTAGTTTTTGTATTTTTAAGGAATTAGCCCATGTTTTCTAACTTATGAAATTAGGTGTGTAGAGTTGTTTGTAGTATTTCTTTACTTTACTTATGATATTTGTAGGGTCTGTAGTGATAGCCCCTTTTTCATCCCTAATATTAGTAATTTGTGTGTTCTCTCTCTATCTTTGCCAGTCTTGACACAGGTTTGTTAATTTTAAAGATTTTTTATTCAAATAATCATCTCTTTCTTTCAGTTATTTTCCCTATTGTTTTTCTGTTTTGAATGTCATTAATTTTTGCTCTTCTCTTCATCATCACCTTTATACTTGCTTTATTTTATTTTGCTTCTCTTTTTCTACTTTCTGGAGATAATAACATACTATTGATTTTCAATATTTTTCTCTTCTCTAATGTAAGTATTTAGTGCTATATGTTTTCCTGTCATCACTATCTTAGCTGTATCTCACATATTAAGTTGTATTTTCATTTTATTCAATTATATGTATTTTCTTATGTCCCTTGAGACTTCCTTTGGATCATTTAGAAGTGTATTGTTTATTTCAAGCCATTTGAAAAATGTATTTTATCTTTTGTTAATTGATTTCTAATTTTATTCCATTGTCAGAGAACATACATATAAGATTTAAATTATTTTAAAATTTTTGAGGCTTATACTATGGCATCTGATATGTTCTATCTTGATATACCTTTCATGGTTACTTGAAAAGCATATCTGTTCTACTGTTGTTGAGCAGAGTATTCTGTAAGTGTCAGTTAAATACTGTTGTTTGGTAGTATTAATATGTTCTGTATCCTTGCTGGTTTTCTCTTTGTATGTCTTATCATTTGCTGAGAGAGGGATGCTCCTGTTTCTAACTATCACTGTTGATTTGTATGCTTCTATTTCAGTTTTATGAGTTTTTGCTTTATATATTTTAATATTCTATTTAGTGGATACACACTTAGAATTACTACATCATCTTGGTGCATTGACCCTTTTATCATTGTATAATATTGCTCTATATTTTAGGGACCTATTTTGTCTGATATAAACATAGTCATTTATATTATTTTAATTCATGTTTTCATGATACATATTTTTATATAATTTTACTTTCAACCTACCTGTGTCATTTAATTTGAAGTGAGTTTCTTGTAAATAGCATATAGTTACTTCAAGTTTTGCATCCTCTCTGTCAATCTCTGTCTTTTAATTGGTATATTGAGACCACTTACTAGTGTGTTTATTGATATGTCAGGGCTTAAATCTTTCATTTCATTTTTTGTTTACTGCTTATTATTTCTATTTTTCATTATTCAAGTATCTTTTTCTTATCCTCTGTGGGTTACTTGAGTATTTTTTAGGATTCCATTTGTATTTATTGTTGTGAATATTTCTCTTTGTATAGGGTATCATAGTGGTTGTCTAAGTATTATTATACATTAAATAAATGTAACTTGCCACAATATATTAGTATCAATAATTTTACCACTTCACGTGAAGTTCAGAAAGCTTACTTCCCTTTATGTCATTTTACCCTTTCCCATTTATAAGAAAGAGAGAGAGAGGAAAAGAAAGAAAAGAAAGGAAAAGAAAAGAAAGACAAGAAAAGGGGAACAAATCAGGGAATTCAAAACTGTTTTGTTTCTTGGGTCCTGAAATCCCTATGTCATCTGTTGTTTTTGCTATACACTTCAAAGTCTTCCCATTTTTTTTATTAAGTGTTGTCACTGCCATTTAACGAAACAAATAAGGAAAAGTATGTTTATCTTATATTTCTAGAAGTAGATATCTGATGTAACACTTTTTGGTCAGCATTATTTAGGTATGCTTTTAATGCAATAAAATATATTGAAATTTACAATTTGGTGAAATTGTATATTTGAAAAATATATGCACACACACATTTAGATATTGGTTTCAGCAGCACTGAACTTCTTAATACCAAAAATCTGTATTGGTTTACTAGGGATGTCATCACAAATTACGATAAAGCAGGTAGCTTAAAAAAAATAAATGTATCTTCTTACATTTCTGGAGGCCAGATGTCCAAAACAAGGTGTGAGCAGGGCCATAATCTCTCTTATTACAAAAGCACATGTCATTGGATTTCAGGCCCACCCTAAATTCAGTATTATTTCATATCAAGATCTTTAAATGATAGAAAAACATAAGTAATTTTTTTAAATGTTCCAAAATTTTAAAACAAACTTCTAAATAACTTCTGATTCAAAGAAGAAATCATAAAGAAAATTAGAAATATTTTGAGCTGAAAGAAAACACACAAAAAAGCCTGATATATCACACTTTTGAAATAGAGCTAAACCAGTGCTTAGATGAAAGTTTGTAACATTGAACACAAATATTAGGAACAGATAAAAGAAATTAATGGCCCAAGTTTCCACCTTAAACTAGAAAAAGAATAATAGATTATATAAAAAGTAAACAGAATGAGAGAAATAATATAGATAAGAATATAAATCAATGAAATAGAAAATGAGAAGGTAATTTTTAAAATATTTTAAAATATTGTTCTTGGAGAAGATTAATTTAAAAACAGATTTATCTGGGTTTTAGAAAACAATAGGGAAGACATGAATTATAAATATAAAAAAGGAGAGATAGTGCATCACTAGACTCCTAGAGGTAGTAAATAGACATATGATAAACAACTGTATGCCAATATATGTGATAACAGAGATAAATTGGACAAAGTCCTTGAAAGACATAAAGTTCCAAATTCACACCAATGGAAATAGATAAACAAAATAGCTTTACATGTGTGAAGGAAACTTGGTTTGTAAGTAAAAATCTTTCCACGTAAATAAGTAGTTCTAGGTAAATTCATTGATAAATTCTATTCAGTATTTCAGAAAGATATGCTCCCAATTCTACCCAGACATTTTATAAATTATTCTATGAGACAAGCATTACCCTGATATGAAATCAGGAAATAACATTACAAGAATACAAAACTCCAAATCAATATCATTTCTGAACATAGATGTAAAAATCCTTAACAAATTGAACTTAATGACATGACAATATTACACCATGATCAAGTATGGTTTACTTCAGGAGTATGAGATTGGTTTAATATTTTAAAATCAATCTATGTCTTTCACTCTATTAACAAAAGTTTTAAAAAGAAATAAAAAAGTCAAAATGATGAACTCAATAAATGTAGAAAAAACATTTAACCAAATTTAACACCCATTTATTTTTAAAACTCTTAGCAAATTAAAAATGTGTGGGTTTTTTTCCAGAACATCTACAAAAAAAAAAAAAACTTATCAAAAACAAAACACCAGAAACTACAGTTAGCATCATACTTAATGATGAAAAATGAAATGTTTCTCTTTAGGATTGGAGATCAAAAAAAAGTGCATTTGCTTTGACATATTTTACTCAGTATCTTATTGAAAGTTTTAGACAAATGCAGTAAAAAAAAAAAGTTAAAAAAATACTTATTGGAAAGCAAAAAACAAAACTTTCTTCATTAACATTTATTCACTCTGTAGAAAGTCCTGAGACATATAAAAAAAATCTTCAAGGAGTATTAAATAAATTTAGCAAGGCTGCAGGATAAAAGGTGAACATAGAATGACCAACTGCACTTCTCTTTTTAATAATGAAAACATAGACATTAAAACATTTTAATATTATTTATAATGGCTTACAAAATATGACTTGTAAATGAATTCAAGAAGAGATAATTCTGTTTTTTTAATATATTGCTGCAGTGATTATATTTGTGTAATAATTTCTGTTCACCCTTGTGTTTGTAAAAAAAAATACATTTCTAGAAGTGGAAGCACAAGTTGAGCACATTTTAAGTTTTTGATACATTCAGCCAAAAATTCTTCCATAAATATAATTTGTTAATGTAAAATTCTGTCAGTATCTATAAGAGTGACTCTTTCTTCATACTACTGTCAACATTAGATATTAGCAGTGGCATATTTTTAATGATATTTGCAAATATGATAAGTGTTATAGGTTGTATTATGCCCCCTCAAAATTCATATGTTGGAGTCCTAAACTCCAGTACCTCAAAATGTGACCTTGCTTGAAGATAGGTTTGTTGCAGATGTAACTAGTTACGTTAAGATGATGTCATACTGTTCATACCATTTTCTTTGATACATATAATTTTAATAAACTTTATTATTGGTCTTAATAATCAATAGAGTCTCTTGGTTTAGATACAAAGTTGTTGAACTTTCTGTGATAAAAGATCATTGTATTTACATTTTTTACTTCCTTTTAGATATCAATACGTGGCACTTTCATTCAGATAACATTTGCCACAACTGTAGGTATTGATGCCTGCATTCTCCTCTGCGCATGAGCTCCATGGTGGTAGCAACTGGGTCTATCTTGTTCAGCTCTATATTTGCAGTGTATAACATATTGCCTGACATACAACAAATGCTCAAGGATATTTCTTGAATGTAATAATTTATTAAGAAAGAAACCACTAATCTACTACTAGGTGCACCAACAAACCACAGAGCAAGGAGTTATATGACTGAAGTTCAGGTTTTATTCCACTTATTTTATGGATAGTAGAATGAAAAGAAAGTCTATTGTATATCAAATGCCTAACTAAGAATATAAATGTCAATCATGATTGATAATCTTCTTAGTTTTTGAGCAAACAGGAAGGAAATGAATCTTTCCCTTTATTTTGTATAATATTAACTTCTATAGTAAAATATAAAATGTTATGAAATAAAAAACATTAAGTACAAATATATCAACTTATTTTTCTTTTTTAATTAAATGTTATCAGTTTATCATCTACATTTGCTGCTATTACCATGTACTAAGTTAATATAAGAAAGTATGTTTCAAATCAGTGACATTGGAATATATCTCCTTTGGCACAAATAACAGGACTTTCAGGATTAGTGTTAGCTCATTCCAGCGTTGAGCTCAGTGCCATGCCTACCACAGTATTCAATATCACAAGCTAATGGCAAGAGACTACTGGGAAGTAATATGAAGATCAGATGAAATCACCTAACAGCGTGACAAAGTATACCATATGTTACAATTTCCGTTAGCTCATGAAAATACCAGGAATCTGAAGTCAGAATGAGATTAACAGACCTTTAGTTGTGTCAATTCTTGGAATATAAATTAAGAGCAGAGTGCACATGAAGCAGAGTACTTGTCTATCAAAATAATTATTTCAGAATGACTACAAAAGTGTCATTAGGAAAATAGCAAGGCTAATGACTCTACCATCTAAGGCTTTCTTTTCAAACCAAGGAAATACTGCTTTCAATATTTACAACAGCCTATTATCCTCTCTTGATTTCAAAATCATCTAGCAAAAGAATCTCTTCTTAGGTATAGAAAATTTTTCAGAAGGACTGTCCAAGAGGAGTAATACTTTTCCAGAAGGAATGACACCTGTTCATTTAATTTTTGTTTTTCACATTTATATTTTGTTATAAAAATAACACTTTTGGAATGATTGGTGACAAGTAGCAGGCATATTATTGGAGAAAAGATACCCAAGTCCAAGTTTAATGGATAATTGAAGAGCTAATTATTCTAGAGAATAGGTAATGTTTATTACCTACAGATGGCTGGTTACGGCTCATTTTACAATGTGTTCATCCTTAAATGTGGCAGGATTTGTCCTGCTGTGTATCTGTCAAGTGATTTAAAATAATGCCAGAAAGCTTTTTCTTTTGTTTCAGTCAAGAGATCAAAAATTACTCTAAAATGCTTTCAGAGCAATGTGATTTGACTCCAACCCAATATATCCCAATTATGGTAGAATGAAAAAGAAATATAGAAAATAATTATGTTCACCTACTTAAAGTAAGCTATTATCTATATAATGGCACAATATATTTAAAGAAGAAACAGATGTAAGCAATATATCTTAATGGTAACAACATTCTAGTTGGCTAGATATAAAAGCAAATTACACTATTGGAATCTGATTCTTTTTAATATTGCAGGGAATGATTGTTGCAATTATGACTATTCAAAGTAATCACAATTACCTTGATTCATTGTTTTGCCTCTTACTTTGCGTGCGCCTTGAAATAGGCAAGTGGAACATTTAACAGTAACCTGGCTTTGGGCCATATGTAAAAATGCTTAAAAGTATAGGCTATAGACATGTCAGAACTTACAGTACAAGTTTTAGGAAATGGAATACAAAAGAGATGAAACTGTTAATTTCCCTGACAATCCTGGGCTTGCTATCATTAATAGCTTCCCAGAAATATACTGGAATAATGCATGCAGTAAATATCCTATTAAAAGTAGTAATTCAGGAGGAGGTGATAAGGAAGGGAAGGATAAAACAGAAGTAGAACATCAGTTTACTTTACCTTTCCCCTATGTGATGTTGAAATTCCAAATGAACTTAAGTAAATATGTTTTGTAAAATCATCAAATAGGATGGAAGAAAAAAGACCAAACTTTCTCTACTGACATGATGCACAATGACTCTCTACAAAGCTGATGTTTGTGAGTAATTGTGGCATTTTATTGAAAGATTTGCTTTTAAAAGTCTGTAGAAAAATAACTAACAGTTTTGATGTCATTCATATTCTCCAAATTCAGCACCATACTTTGTTTCATGTGTTTTCTATATTTCTTTCCCCTGACTCACAAATCAAAAAAGTTAAAGCATGTCTTTGTCCAGTACTGTCAAGTACACAATGTGACAGTATTTTATTTTATGAAAAGGGAAATTCTTGAGTGAAAGTTAAATTCATTTTTTAAAATGTCAAAGCAATTTGGTATAAATCATCTTTGAATGCTTTGTGGTACAATCACCCATATTCTTTTTTGGACCTTTGCTTACTTCCCTCAGTGGGTAATATTATCATTTTGGCATATCCATGCATTTAGTGAGGTATTTAAAAAAGCTTTGACTAAGGATGTTAGTGTTTTATGAGGTCTTACTGAGATTTGGGGAGAAATTCCTCAGAGAATACTCACTGAGAGTGAATAGCTTCTTCAGTAAATATAAACATGGTGTGTATGTTCTGATGAAAGATCAAAGCTAGTGGGAATACACTTGTTAAGGTTACTGAGACTCTTCTGAAGGTATAGGTCAAAATAACTGTGCTGGGCATCAATCACTGCCATAGTTCTAAGCAGGTAATGGGCAGCGCCTACTGATATACCTTTATAGCTTTATCTTTCTTATGGTTTTCAGATTGCTGTCAAGATTGAAGGTGTTCTTATTATATATCAAATGCTCTGGAGGAGGAAATGTTTGCCTGAGAGTATATGGAAATATGGCACCAATGAATATTTTTCCTTGCAAAGCACAGTCTTCATTATTTTCAATATTGGATAGAAAGGATTTTCATGATAAATGAGCATATGCTAGTGTTTTTGTAAAAATGCAGATTAATTCTAAGTTCTCTAAGTTATTACTTCAGTGTGATGAATATTGCTGTTATTTTTATTTATGGTTTGTTTTGTCTGAGAACATTATCAGGTTGAAAGTACAGAACAATCGCAAGTTCTATTTTGAGGTTAATCTCTTTTTCTTCAATGACCACTCCCTTATCTTTTACATCTTACTAGTACATTGTGAGGAGCCTATTTTTTTATTTGTAGTTACTAGAATCTTAGTAAAACCTAGGCAACATTTTCAAGTTCTACTTACTCTGTCTATAACAATAACATTCCAAAAATATATGAAACTTCTTTAATGCAAACTGAAAAACTCTGTGTGGAATATGGCCTTTCAAAACTATCATTTTAATCAATTAGCAGGACTTTGTAGAAGTCTTTTACCCAGCGCGATTTTTGTGTGTGATGCTAAGAAGACAATTACTGCTTTAAATAAAATTAAGAGTTATATAAAATCATGGCAACAAACTTCTAAAAATCCTTTATAATAAATTCTGTGGCTGGTTAAGAAAATTAGAAATTGATTCTAAAGTTCTTTCTTCAAAACATTGCATGTGCTGTTAATATGGGGTTTAAGATTTATGAAGGATGGACACCTACTTTTTGACATTTAGAAACATTAAAATTTAGACAACTTAGTAATTAACCTGGTAAGCAATAAAGAGAAAGAGAAACAAACAACAAGAAAAAGACATTCCCTTATTAAACAAACAAGTTTTTTAGCTTTATTTCTGAATGCAGCTTCTGGTTATATTCTCAAAGAACATACTCTGGAGTACCTGGAATTATGTTTGTGCCTCTTTAATAGTTATATGGATATATCATTTACTCCTTTATTTAATAATAGCTGGTATTTATGGAGAACTTAGCACACATCATATTCTTATGAACTACATGTGATTATATTCACCTTATGGTAAAAATAAAAACAAACACAAAATGGAGTCTTAGAGAAATAAGAAATCTTGTGTTCTTAATTTGTCCCCCCAAAAATAAGTCTATTGGATTTTATTTTAATTTTTTATGATGTTAAGCATTTTAATCTTCTCTGTAATTATAAGATAAAATATATATCAATTTTTCAACATTAAAGGGATAGCATTAGGAGATATACCTAATGTTAAATGACGAGTTAATGGGTGCAGCATACCAACATGGCACATGTATATATGTGTAACAAACCTGCATGCTGTGCACAAGTACCCTAAAACTTAAAGTATAATAAAAAAAAAGAAAAGTAAGATATCTAATATCTATAGTGGAAGGGATTTTCTTAGAATTTGACAAATACCAATGTTTCAAGACTTTTACTTCTCAAAGTTATTATTACACTAATCATCATTCTTCCATAATCACTAAATTGCAAGGATTTCATGCCTTTTCCTTTTAGGATTATCTTTCATTTGTCTGTCTTCATAGAGTGGGGACAAATGAAATGTTGCTGCATTGTGGTGAAGTGAGGGCCTTCAGTGCATCCATCACTGCAGCAGTGCACATTGCATCCATCGAGCAGCCTCCCATCATCCACCCTCTCCCACTCTACAGCCCCTCTGATTTCCCATTGTCCATAATTCCACACTCTGCTTCCATGTTTATACATCACTTAGCCCCCACTGACGAGTGAGAACGTGTGGTATTCGTCTTTATATGACTGAGTTGTTTCACTTAAGATAACGGCCTCCAGCTCCATTCCTGTTGCTTCCAAAGACATAATTTTGTTCTTTTTTGTGGCTGAATAGTATTCCACTGTGTATATATACCACATGTATTTATTTATTTTTTTATTTCAATAGAACTAGAGCATCAGATAGGTACAAATCCATCTTTGGATTTTTGCATAATTGTTAGTGATAATCATAATAACACATATTTACTAAGCACTTAACTGTTCCACATACTGCTCTATTTGAAGATATTAACTCATATCATCATGCAGGTATAGTTACAAATAATAATCCCCTTTTACAGATAAATAAAATAACACACAAAGAGTTAGGTGATGGCTGTGTTTAAACAGCTACTGGTATGTGCTGGAGACTTGAGGGCAATTGTACTAATAGAAATGCAGCTCTATCAACTCTAGCCCTAAGCCCTATTCCTAACTAACTGTTTACTCTGCTGTCAAGAAAATGTTATTCGAAGGAAATACGCACTGGTCCTCCAAATTAGGAAGGATTACTTATTCCATAAGAGAAATCTAGGAGATCATAGTTAAATACTATTGTGAAACTATTAGACACACCAGAATAAAAGAAACAGAGGGGAACTGCAATGTACAGTGCACCTGAGAAGAGTGTATTCAAGTATTCCAAAGGCATATGACATTGCGAAAAAGCCACAGAACACCTGCGGATGCAAACTGCTATAGTAAGAAGTAGAAAACACTATAAGATTTCTTATCATTGATGTATGTAGTTCTGCTTCCAATCTGCTAAACCCACTTGATTGCAGAAATAAATCATTGCCATGTTTTTCCTTTATTCTTTTAATTTGAATTTGAGGATACATTTAAAAACTAGTAGGGTTATAAAAGATAAATCCATATTAGACAATAAATAGCGATATAACTGTAACCTTGATTCATATAGGACCACCATATGTAAATTTAAAGTATTGAATACTTAAGGAGAAACTGGTAGAAATACAAGGTAAAGAGTTTTAACAAACGCTAATAGGTCAAATACAAATCAACTATATTCATAATAACAGTGATGATAACCAAAAACTGTAACAAATGCGACTTGAAGTTGAATGAAGACTATCATAAAAGTAGAAAAGAGGCATCCATTTTGCACCCTAAGAACAAGTATAAATTTGTGTAATAAATTTTGCCTATAATAAAATTCCAAATAATTACATAAAACAGAAACTGGACTGCTACTTTTACATAGTAATCCAAGAGAAAGATTATATCCAAAGCCTACACAACAACAAACAGAACATGAGCTATTTTGAGATGAAAATTAAAGGCAACATATGAAATCTGATATG
Organism: Homo sapiens; assembly: GCF_000001405.40. Taxonomy (NCBI): domain Eukaryota; kingdom Metazoa; phylum Chordata; class Mammalia; order Primates; family Hominidae; genus Homo; species Homo sapiens. The sequence continues at coordinate 88,783,086 of NC_000008.11, read as the reverse complement.
GATAGAGAAAAATGAAAATTGTTAAATATAAGACTAAGATAGTAAAAAAGACAGGATTTATTCTTCCATTTCAAACAACCAAGAAACAAGAAAAAATATAGCAAGCAATGGCTTTCAAGACACTGGATATTAGACAACAAAGGTGAGTGATATCTGAAAACATGGAAACAAATGCCCCATATTACTTCATTGAATGAATTTCTAGGCCAGAGATAAGGGAGGTGGAACTCAAGTGAAGCCCAGGGATTTGCCAAATTGAGGAGAATAAGTTGACACTTCAAGAAGCCAAAGTGGCTAGAGTCCTTACAAGACAGAATACCAGAGAGCAAAATGCTACCTATGGAAAAAAACTTAGAAAATGTGCAGGGTCTCCTTCAGTATACAGTGAAATATTAAAAAGCCCACAAATAAGAGGAAGGTATCTGAAGCCGAGGAAGAATCTCCCTGAAAGAATTAGAGGAAGAAGTATCTGACACTCATGCAGTGCAAAGAATACTGTTTGCCTCAAAATTCATAGAGAAGCATTGGGTAGAAAACAAAAAAGGATATTTCCCAATAATGAAGAAAAATTAACCAGAGACTAAATTCTATTCAGGTGTCTCCTAAAAAATTCTTAAAAGCAAGGTCCTAGAGAATCAAAGTTTACCAAGTAACTTAACTGAATTCCATCACAATGTTCAGGAATAGGAACGCCAAAATATCAATCATCCAAAAAGATAAAATTCCCAATGTCAGCCATCTAATCAGAGAATAACTGGCAATTGAAGTAACATGAAAATAAAGACTCGCAATCCAGCAAACCATCAAAACTCACAAAGAGGAGGCATAAATGCCAGAATTATCTGACAAAACACTTATAACTGTAGACTAGTTTTCCCTTAACCACAAGAGATACATTCCAAAATGTGGATGCAGTAACCTTATACATATATACCTCTGATCAAATTTAATTTAATTTAATGTAAGTTAATCTAATGAAAAATGTTACTGACAATCAGAACATGTTTTCTCTTAATATCTTTCACTTACAAATTCTGTCTTAACTGAGAACTTATGATATCCTGTGCTATAATTTTTGCAGTTTGAAGTATGACAGCAAGACCAGCATAGTTTTTTTTTCTTTTTCCCAATTTCACAAATTGAATATTTAGTCTTACCATAGATCTTAGTAACCTCAGCATATGCATTTTTTTCTTTCCTTATTAAGAACTTCTGCCTTTTCACTTCAAGGAAGCACTTTAAATGTTTCCTTTGGCATATCCAAATTGCCTGTCTCGTCCTCTCATACTTTGGGGACATTATTAAGTACAATAAGTGTTACTTGAACAGAAGCACTGTGATACCATGACAGTCAACCTGATAACCAAGATGGCTACTAAGCAGCTAATAGGTAGGTAGCATAGACAGCATGGATACACTGGAAAAAGGGATGAATCACGTCCCTGGCAGGTCAGACCAGGACAGCATGAGATTTCATCACACTACTCAGAATGGAGTGCAATTTAAAATTTATGCATTCTGGAATTTTCCATTTAATATTTTAGACAGCAGTTGACCTGGGTAACTGAAACTACTATTAATATATTTCATATGCTGAAAATTTTAGATAGAGACATGGAAGAAATAAAGTGACCCAAATCAAACTTCAGAATATGAAAATGAATATGTCTCAGGAAAAATATGCTGGATGAGGATAACATGAGATTAAAAACTGAAGATGAAAATATTAGTGATGTAGAAGACTAACAATGGAATATAGTCAAAATGAAATGCAGGAGGAAAAAAAAAAAAAAGCATGAGTGGACCTAGCAAAATGTTAAGTAGATAAATACAGGAGTGATGGGAGTTCTCAAACAAGAGAGATAGGGGCAGAACAAGGGTACATGCTAAAGTATTGGCCAAATGCTTTCAAATTTGGTAAAACTATGAATTGACCCAAGAAGTTTAATTAATCCCAAAAAAGAAAATGAAGAAAATTACACTGGAGCACACTGTAATTACATTGCAGAATCATTCAACTAAATGCAGTTAAAATGAGAAAATCTAAAACAGCGTTCAGAAATAAAAAGATGCATTACATACAGAGAAAAAAAATATAAGAAGCACAATAGATACACTGTGGAAACAATCCAAACAAATAGATAGCAAAGAAACATTTTTAAAGTAAAGGGGAGACAACTGCCAATCTAGAATTCTTAAGAAACAAAATCTCTTTAAAATTTTTAAGTTGATTACATTCTTGAACATAAAAAAAAAGTATTATCAACAGTCTTACACTCCAAGAAATGTTAGACAATGCCTGCTCTTCAGGGTGAAGAAAATGAAATCAGTTGAAAGGCTTTAAATTTTTGTCAAATGCAGTTTCTGAGGCTATTGAGATGATCATGTGATGGTTTTCCTATGTTTAGCCGATCTTGCATTCCTTGGATAAAACTCACTTGATCATGCTATATAATCCATTTTACATGTTTTATAAAATGATTTGATTTTATATAATTTGATTTGCTAGTATTTCATAGACAATAGATGTGGCTAGCTATATTTGTTAATGTTAATGGTTTGCAGTTTTATTATTTTGTGATGATTTTGCTTAGTTTTGGTATGAGGGGAATATTGACTTCATAAAACGAAAGGTGAAGTGTTTCCTTCTCTTCTATTATTTGAGAAAGTGTGTAAAGGGTTGCTGTTAATTCTGCTTTAAACATTTTGTAGGATTCACTAGTCAAGCTATATAAGCTTAGATATTTTGTGGGGAATTACTGTATTACTAATTCATGCTCTTTGCTAGTTATGGATTTATTCTGATGCTTATATCTTCTTGAGTCAGTTTTGGTAGTTTGTATCTTTCTAAAAATTTTGTCTATTTCATCCAGGTTATTGGCATTGAAATTTTTCATAGTATTTTATTATAATAATTTTTATGCCTGTAAGTTCAATAATAATGTTCCCCAACAAGATGATCATCTTGTTGCTTGTTTTCTGTTGGTACCATCTATTCTTCTCCTTTTCTTTCTTTTTTTATGTAAATAATAGTAAAAAAAAAGAAAGTTGGAGTGCTTATATTGATACCAGGTAAAATAAAAGTCAAGGCCAAGAATGAAACCAAGAGTTCACGAAGGTCATTTACTAATAAGCAGTGAGTCATTTCATCAAAAGGACATAAAAGTCCTAAAAAATTAATCACTAATAACAGAATTTTAAATATGTTAGGCAAAAACAAATGGAACTAGAAAGAGAAATAAGCAAATCTACAAAGAACCCTGAAATAACATTGTCAACAACTTAACCTAACAGATAATGATAGGACACTCTATTCAACAATAGCATGTCTTTTTCAAATGTGTATCCTTTTCAAATGCACACAGAACATTTTCCAAATTAGACTATATTTTGTGCTATAGAACAAGTCTCAACAAACGGAAAAGGTTTCAAATCCTACGAAGTGTATTATCTGACAAAAAGAGAAAATAAATTAGAAATTAATAGCAATGATTTTCAAGTATATGTAAATGAAGTGACACATTTATCAACAACCCATATATCAAAAAAGAAAAGAATAATAAATTAAAAGCTATTTTGAACTGAAGGAAAATCAAAGCAACAAATTAAAAATTTGGGGTGCAAATAATGCAATACTTAGGGGAAAATTTATAGCACTGTATTTTTATATTAAAAGAAGGAAAGTCTTACATTAATGAACTCTGCAACTAGTAAAAGAAAAATATAATCCAAAGTTAGAAGAAGGATGGCAATGATAAATAAGATCAGAAGTCAATGAAATAAATACTCAGAAAAGCAATAAAGTTAGAAATGCTTATTCTTTGAAAAGATCAACAAAATAGAGAAATTTCTAGCCAAGTTTATCATAAAAAAGCAGAAAACATAAAACATAAACTAGCAGTATCAGGAATCAGAGAGCTGACATCACTACAAATTCTTTAGGCATTTAAAGATTAAGTAGGAAACAGAAAAAAATGGCTAAACTTTAATCATTGCTGAAGAGTATGATTATAAAAAGAAAGTCAGATATGCTATAGACTAAATGTCAATATTAATATTACTGTTGACCTAAGATTCTTCATAAAAAAGAAAACTAACATACAAATATCAATAGTGTTTTCTCAGAATAACTAATTTAAAAGACAGAAAAAATTATTTAAAATGTTATTAATAATACTGACAACAGTTATAACAAAAGTTATGACATTTACTTATTCCAAAATAAATCTAACAATGTTGTATAAAATCTGTACAGAGAAATATGAACCTTTATTGAAGAGACAGAAAGCATACCTGAGCCAATATACTATTCAATCTGGCATATAGAAAGGCTCTACATGATCAAACTTATAATTCATTTCAAACTAATTTCAGAATTCAATAAAATTCCCAATGAAAGGTTTAACATAGATGTACAAATTCATCTTTAAAATTATATGGAATTAACTGTATCAAATAATAGTATCTATAAGAAATAATATTAACCCTCAGAAAGACATGATCAACATGTTAAGCTAATAATGAAGCTATTGTACATAATGTTTATTTTATTAACCCAAGTATAGATAGATAGCTAATGGATCTGAACTGTGTGCCCATATGGAAATATGGGGAGTTAGTATACAATAAAATTGGCACGATACATCAATAGGGAAACAACAAAATATCAGTGTAACACTCAGGACACTTCATAGTCCACATGTAAAAAATAAAATACAGTCCTGACTCACGGTACACACAAAAAAAGTATTTATAGTAAGACATAATTATAAAATGCAAAATTTTAAAACAGAGTGGAATGCAGAACAACATCTACAAGATTTTGGAGTAGGAAAGACTATTATAAAAAATGAAAACTCAAAGAGGACAAGACTGATTAATTTTACAGTATTCAAAATTAAAAAGTGATTTGCATATAAAAAAACATTTTATTTTTGCAAAAGTTAAATAATATGCCCCATATTTACAAAAGATACCTGTTATGCATGTTAAGTGATAAATCAAAACCAGATTACAAAATGAATGTCATTAAAGTAATTTAAAAATTCAAAATAAAATATGGAAAAATACATAAAGACGTTTTTCTAGAAAAAGAAAACTGAATGCCCAATCAACATTTGAAAAAGTGTGTACCTTCACTATTTATCTGGGAAATGCAAATTAGCACAAGCACTTATTAATATATACATTGTCATTGTCATTGACCAATAGTTAAAACTAAGAACCTTGAGAGTTGGTGAAGTTTTAGGGCAAGTAAAACTCTCAAGTACATTTGCAGACAGTAAGCAGATATACATACTTTGTAAACCAAAATATAAATCATTACTAAATTTACTTAATGTTGCACATATCTATGACCAATAAGTCACATCTAGTTTGAGTTAGTGTAGGCTAACCTGCTCTAATAAATGGATCTCCAAATACAGAATAGCTTACATACAGTAAAATTTATTTTTCTCATTCATGGAATTTTTGAAAGCAGGAATTTCTCATTGACAGGTGACTCTCATCTACATAATGATTGAGCAACCTAGGCTTTGTCCATATTGTGCTTTATTTGCAACTTATCATTGTCTGCTTTAAACTAGAGGCAGAGGAAAAAGACAGCAAATGCCTCTTAAAACCCTTGAGCTGTATTGTTTTTAAGAAGTACAAAAATACAGTTAGGTAGAAGACATAAGTTCTTGTATTAGATAGTACAGTAGGGAAATTACAGTTAATGATAATTTGTTGTTTATTTCAAATAGCTAGAAGAGTAGAAATGTAATGTTCCCAACACAAACAAAAGATAAATGTTTGAGGTGATGAATATCCCAATTACCCTGATTTGATCATTACAAATTGTATACAGGTATCAAAATGTCACATTTACTCCCAAAATATGTACAACTATAACATATTTCTTAACCACCTGAGCTGGATAGAGTACTCTGTGTTTTTGGACGGAATCTCGCTCTGATGCCCAGGCTGGAGTGCAGTGGCACGATCTCAGCTCACTGCAAGCTCCGCCTCCTGGGTTCATGCCATTCTCCTGCCTCAGCCTCCCGAGTAGCTGGGACTACAGGCGGCCATCACCACGCCTGGCTAATTTTTTTCTATTTTTAATAGAGACGGGTTTCACCATGTTAGCCAGGATGGTTTTGATCTCCTGACCTCATGATTGGCCCGCCTCAGCCTCCCAAAGTGCTGGGATTAGAGGCATGAACCACCACGCCCAGCCTGGATAGAGTACTCTTAACATCACTAAGAATCAATTGGACAGAAATCAGTGATACGACCACACATACATACAAGAGGCCTGAGAATGTTTCCTGTTTCCCAATTTTTAAGGAACACTCAGAAGCTCTGTCCCACAGGTGTATACCCTAGAATCATGTGGCCTATGTGCACAAGCATGCTCATATTATTATAACTTAAAATTCCTAAAAGTAGGAGGCAACTTGAATGCCCGTCAATACAAGAAAGAATATATAAAATGTAGTGTATTTATCCTATAAAGCACATGGTAAAAGGAATTAACTATATTTGTCATGTTTTACATTATTTAAAAAACCTTAATGTCAATTGCACCAAAAAAGACATAATTCTATATATGATCAAGTACCTTGAATGTAATTTTTAATAATATACACCAACATTTACATACTAAATGCTTTTTTAAAAATCAAAAGGCCTTTCATAGAATGCCTTCAGGAGAGTTATTCATTTTGGGCATGGAAGATGAGTAATGAGATTAAAGAATAGTGTAAAGATGGCTTTAAGTGTGCCTGAAATATATCATTTAATTATTAAAATAATATATATAAGTGAAATGTTAATAATATTTTGAAATTACAGTATTTCTTCATGCTTTGGATGCAGTTTATTAACTGCTCACCAATAGCCAGGCACACCCTTCCTAAGAATAGAGCTGGCACTGAGAAGCAGCTCTCTATCAGCAAAGGTGAGGTATCAGTCCTCCATTGAGTATAGATGTTCTCATAGGGTTGAATGAGTTCTATACAATGGAATGTAAACAAAAGTGGCTGGCCACACCTTCAACAACTGGCTCCATCCTGCTTTACCCTCTGCCTAGTTAGAATGAAGATTATCTCCAGTGGGACCTGAGAAGCTACATATTAAATGCTGCAGAATCTCCAACTCATGTCCCTCAAAGTATATATATAAGTATTAAAATGTTATTAATAATACTGACAACAGTTATAACAAAATTTATATATATATGGAGTTTATTAAGTATTAACTCACACGATCACAAGGTCCCACAATAGGTCATCTTGAAGCTGAGGGGAAAGGAGAGCCAGTCCGAATCCCAAAACTGAAGAACTTGGAGTCTGATGTTTCAGGGCAGAAAGCATCCAGCATAAGAGAAAGATGTAGAGATGCAGGCTAGGAGGCTAGGCCAGTCTAATCTTTTCACGTTTTTCTCCTTGCTTCATATTCCAGCCATGCTGGCAACTGACAGGATTGTAGTGTACAATCTAGTAGCTAATCTGTAGATACAGATTAAGGGTGGGTCTGCCTTTCCCAGCCCACTGACTCAAATGTTACTCTCCTTTGGCAACACCCTCACAGATGCATCCAGGATCAATACTTTGCATCCTTCAATTCAGTCAAGTTGACACTCAGTATTCACCATCACAAGTCCACCCCTTGTCAACTTGAACGCATACACATATCCTGAGATAATGCATAATCTTCAAATAAAGACAATAATAAGATCATAATTATGTCTAACATAATACGATTATTTTGTGTACAACTGGAAATGCACCAATCCCCAACCCAAATACTATTACATAAAGTTAACAATATTTAAATACTGATATGAAGTCAATAAATCTTATGTCACATGTTAAAGGAAAAAGAAAATAAAATGAAGATATTTTCTTTGTACAAGTGTATACATGCACAAACATGTTACTAACAAAAGGAGGAGGAAATACTCATGACAATTACAGTCCTTGTTTCTGAGCTGGTCATCTGGTCATAGTTGGTATTGAGGACTACCTTCTTCTATTACCCATCCTGTATTCCCTTTGCCTTCAGCAAGTATCTCAGCAGGTCATGGGTTTGTTTGTTTTTTTTTTCCTGGTGGGGTGACCCAAACCTTTATTCCTGAAGGGTATGGGTCATTTGTAGCCCTCCCTGGATTGGGCTGTTGTAGCTTCCCATTGACCTTAATCACAGGGCATGGTAATACTAAGTGATGTCCTAATGGATCTCCTGTATTCCATGCATACTCTTCCTTACCTCCCTTTTGGAGTAGTAGACTGATTTCATCTTGATAGACCAGGTCAATCAACCCAGCCAACATTGTAACTCTCTTCTTAGCCTGTTGACTTAAAGGTAGGAGGAGCCCAAAATGTCCAGGTGGCAATTTAAACTTCAGTTTATGGAATTGTTGCTGTGTCCCCTGGTGGCAGCGTTCCTCCCTCTGGAGCTAAGACCTCTAGGCCAGCAGAACTTAATGTCATGGGAACAGGAAGCAAAAATTTTGCTAGTGGATCATTAGGAGTGACAGAGTGAGTGGTGCCACTTTCATTTCCACCACTTGAGTTGGGGACCCATGAATCCTGTCTATGGAAGTAACAGTACAATATAGTGGATGCCGATTCAGAGCATACATGGTCTTCTGGAGAACTTTGCCTCGGTCTTGCGAAGTATTGTCACTTATCTGGCATTGTAACTGTGACTTCAAAAGGCCATTCCATTGTTCTATCAATCCAGCTGCTTCAGGATGGTGGGGAACATGGTGAGACCAGTGAATTCCATGAGCACGAGCCCACTGCTGCACTTCTTTAGCCATAAAGTGCGTGCCTTGATCAGAGGAAATGCTGTGTGGAATACCATGACAGTGGATAAGGCATTCTGTGAGTCCGTGGATGGTAGTCTTGGAAAAAGCATTGTGTGCAGAATAGGCAAACCCATAACTGGAGTCAGTGTCTGTTCCAGTGAGGACAAACCTCTGCCCTTTCTATGATGGAAGAATTCCAATATAATCAACCTGCCACCGGGTAGCTGGCTGATCATTCCGAGGAATGGTGCCATATCAAGGGCTCAGTGTTGGTCTTTGTTGCTGGCAAATTGGCACTGAGCAGTGGCTGTAGCCAGCTCAGCTTTGGTGAGTGTAAGCCCATGTGGGTGAGCCCATGTGTAACCTCCATCCCTGCCACCATGGCCACTTTGTTCATGGGCCCTTTGGTGATGACAGAGGTGGCTGGGGAAAGAGGCTGAGTGGTATCCACAGAATGGGTGATTCTATCCACTTGATTATTAAAATCCTCCTCTGCTGAGTTCACCTGTTGATAAGCACTCACATGGGATACAAATATATTCAGTTTTTTACCACCCAGAGAGGTCCATCCACATACCTCTTTCCTATATTTCTTTGTCACCAATTTTCCAATCATGCTTCTTCCAAGTCGCTGACCATCCAGCCAAACCACCAGCTACAGCCCATGAATCAGTATATAATAGCTCATCTGGACATTTCTTCTTCCATGCAAAGTGCACAACCAGTGCACTGCTTGAAGCTCTGCCCACTGGGAAGATGTCCCTTCCCCACTCTCCTTCAAGGATGTCCTAGAAAGGGGCTGTAGTGCTGCAGCTGTCCATTTTTGGATGGTGCCTGCATATCGTGCAGAACCATCTTTGAACCAGGTCCTAGTCTTCTCTTCCTCTGTCAACTGATCATAGGGAACTCGCCATGAGGCCATTGGTGCAGGCTGGGGGAGAAAAGGCAGGGTGGCAAGAGTGGACACCATGGGCATTTAAGCCACTTCCTCATGTAACTTACTTGTGCCTTCAGGACCTGCTCAAGCCTGATCACATATATAACACTTCCATTTGATGGTGGAATGCTGCTGTGCATGACACACTTTATGGCTAGATGGGTAAGAGCACCCAGTTCATGATAGGCAGTTCAGGTTGCACGGTAACTTGATGACCCATAGTCAGATGTTCAGTTTCCACCAAAGTCCACTAACAGGCAAAGAGCTGTCTCTCAAAAAAAGAGTAGTTATCTGCAGAAGATGGCAGGTCCTTGCTCCAAAATTCTAGAGGCCTCTGCTGTGACTCACCTATGGGAGCCTGCCAAAGGCTTCAAACAGCGTTCCTATCTGCCACTGACACCTGCAGCACCATTGGATCTGCAGAGTCATATGGCTGAAGTGGCAGAGCAGCTTGCACAGCAGTCTGGACCTGTTGCAGAGCCTTCTCCTGTTCTGGACCCCACTCAAAATTGGCAGGCTTCCAGGTCACTCAATAAATGGGCTGAAGTAACATACCCAACTGAGGAATGTGTTGCCTCCAAAATCCAAATAGGCCCACTAGTCCTTGTGTCTCTTTCTTGATTGTAGGAGAGGCCAAATGCAACAACTTATCCTTCACCTTAGAAGGAATATCTTAACAGGCACCACACCACTGGACCACTAGAAATTTTACTGAAGTAGCAGTTCCCTGAATTTTAGTCAGATTTATTTCCCATCCTCTGGCATGCAAATGTCTCACCAATAAGTCCAGGGTGTTATCTACTTCTTGCTTACTGGATCCAATCAGTATAATGTCATCAATTAAGTGGACCAGTGTGATATCTTGCAGAAGTGAAAAGTGATCAAGTTCTCTCCAAATAAGATTATGACACAAAGCTGGAGAGTTGATATACCTTCGAGGTAGGACAATAAAGGTATATTGCTAGCCTTCCCAGCTGAGGCAAATTGTTTCTGGTGGGCCTTATGGGCGGGAATGGAGAAAAAGGCATTTGCCAAGTCAATGGCTACATACCAGGTACCAGGAGATGTATTAATTTGCTCAAGCAATGAAACCACATCTGGTACAGCAGCTGCAATTGGAGTCACCCCTTGGTTAAAGTTACAATAATCCACTGTCATTCTCCAAGATCCATATGTCTTCTACATGGGCCAAATAGGAGAGTTGAATGGAGATGTGGTGGGAATCACCACCCTTGCGTCTTTCAAGTCCTTGATGGTGGCACTTATCTCCACAATCCCTCCAGGGATGTGATATTGTTTTTGATTTACTACTTTTCTAAGTAGAGGCAGTTCTACTGACTTCCTTTTGGCCTTCCCCACCATAATAGTCCTCACCCTTCACTCAGGGAGCCGATGTGGGGATTCTGCCATCTGCTAAGTATCTCTGCCAATTATGCATTCTGACACTGGGGAAATGACCACAGGATGAATCCGGGGACCCTTGGACCCACTGTAAGTCGGACCTGAGCTAAAACTCTATTAATTACCTGACCTCCATAAGCCCCTACTTTAACTGGAGGACAACAGTGACATTTCTGGTTCCCTGGAATCACCGTCAGCTCAGAGCCAGGTCAGTGGTCCCCGAAATGTCTGATTATTTCCCTTTCCCCAATGCAAAGTTACCCTGGTAAAAGGCCGGGGGTCTCCTTGGGTCCTTGGGGAAGAATGTGAGAAAGATTAACAGCATAAATTGTTGGTAGTGTAGTGGGGTCCTTACTCAAGGGGACACAGACTCCCCTTCATTCAAGGGGTTCTGGGTATGTGAACTGGCTCAAGTCTGGAAATTGATTGAGGGGCTGTGATTCACTGTTTTTATAATTCAAATTAGCCCTTTGTCAATTCGACGTAGAAGTTTTTTGCTTATATAAATTAAGTAGGAATGCAGTAAACTTCCTATCAATTTCACTTATAGAAACACCATGATTAATTAGCTACTGCCAGAGCTCTACCCAAGTCAGACTATTCTGATTGCTGCTTTGCCTCTGCTATCCATTACGGTAGCTACACCCAACTTGCCTTTGATAGTTGAGTGCCACCACTTGGCCCCTCCCACCTCAAGATCCAATTATTCCTATTGTATTTCAATTTTGTAGTTGAGTGACTGCAGTTTCCACTGTTAGATTTGATATACAGAGAAGAGCAATTACAGAGCTCTTCAAAGATTCAGGTGCTGTCCTCACAGATCTATTTTGCAAGGCATTGGTCAAGGGTATATCTTCTGAAGCCTCCCAGATGGGATAAGTAGGTCTAAAATGACAAATCAACTCCACCATCCCAATCTCCCTAAGCCTTTGGATCCCTTCGTCTACAGCTTGCTTACCGTGGGCCTTCTCTAAATCCATATTTCAGCTAACCAAGCAAATAAACTATGAGAACCTTTTTTAACTCCCCAGCTGCAACATTAAATGCAGAGTCCCTACTTAGAGGGACTCTGTTCCTTCCACCATTATCCCACACTCTTAATATCCATTCCCATGCCTGTTCTCCATATTTCTGCTTATATAAATTAGAAAACTCAAGCAGTTCTTTTTTAGTGTAGCACACTACCTCATGGGTCACACTCTCAACCTTACCTCTCAGGGCCCACTGGGATTTTAGTATAGTTGTAGGTCTAGAAGCAAACAAGGGTGTTGGGGTGGCTCGTGTGGAGAATCAACATTATCTTGCCAGGCAACTTCCTCAGAGGAGAACATCGCCATTGCCTCAGGCAGCACAGGGTTTATCTCCTCAAAGGTGGAAAAGTTGATGATAGCATGGGTCGGGGAGGGGATGTTGCCACTACTAGGGATGGGAAGCTGTTTCTTCTGGCAAAAAAAGTTCATCAGAGTTTATAAGCTCAGTGTCCCCAGCTTCATCAGGGTCCTCCCACATGTCCTCATTCCAAGTTCCAGGGTCCCATTATTTTCCAATCAATGCCCTCATTTTAACTGGCAAAGTTGTGCATGCACCTTTCGTTGCAGGTCTGCCACTTGTGTGATAAGAGCTTGTGTCTGTTTTTCCACATTTCAGCTCTTTCTCTACAGGAGATAAGACTCTGACTCAGGGCAATCTTAGCAGATTTGAGGCTCAGTATCTGCTTCCTAAGCCAGGAGTTAGAATCCCTGAGTTCACCATTTTCCTTCTTCACTTTGTCCACTGAACTTAGGAACAACCAACCAGCTTCATTATGTTCCTTGGTTCTGTACATATGGTCAAAGGTATTATGTATAGAGTCACTAAACTCCTTGCCTCTCATGAGTAGTGAATCAGGAGTGTCAAATGCATTCATTTTGCATAACTCTCTAAACAGTTCACTCCAATGACTATTGGTATTCTACATACTATTAGAAGTAGAGTCCTTAGCATTTTTGGGTTGAATCATATTAAGCAGCCAACTCCAAAAACCCCAAAACCAATGAAAGAGCTCCATCCTTTATATTCTGTTCCTCTAGAACCACTCCTGGTAGCAAAATCTGTATTAGTCAGTGTTCTCTAGAGGGACAGAACTAATAGTTTATTAAGTACTAACTCACATGGTCACAAGGTCCCACAATAGGCTATCTGCAAGCTGAAGAGCAAGGAGAGCCAGTCCAAATCCCAAAACTGAAGAACTTGAATTCCAGTGTTCAAGGGCAGAAAGCATCTAACATGGGAAAAAGATGTAGGCTGGGAGGCTAGGCCAGTCTGGTCTTTTTGCATTCTTCTACCTGCTTTATATTCTAGCTGTGCTGGCAGCTGATTAGATTGTGCCCAACCAGATTAAGAGTGGATCTGCCTTTCCCAGCCCACTGACTCAAATGTTAATCTCCTTTGACAACACCTTCACAGCCATGCCCAGGATCAGTACTTTGCATCCTTCAATCCAATCCAGTAGACAGTATTAACCACCACAAGGGCAAAAGGGAGGGATATCTTCACTGTCACAATCCTGTTAGAGAAGCAAGAAACTCTGTATACTTCTAATGTGATCTAGACATTGTGCATTTCAGGCCTTTTTTCACGAATATTCTAATGAATGCAATGTGATAACTTTTCCCATTATTGAAATTTTTTTTTTAAATTTGAAAAACACTACTCTTATTTCACATAATTTATAATGCTTTAAACTTAATAATTAATGAATGAACAAATTAAGGCAACAGTGTTTAAAAGTTAAAAATTTGAGGAACATAGTCTAAAAAACAATGCCATACTACTTCATGTGAAAGACAAGCTGGAAAATATCTGGAATATTTACATAGTTATTTGAAAAGGGGAAACAAAATTGAAATCTGTGATGTGCAAAGGAAGGGAGGCTCTTTACCTTTAAGTAGTTTACACTCTAGCACAAAATCTTATACTCAAGTTGATACTTCCATCTATTACTGCCACTTCTCTCATTTATTTTCTATTTTTGTGTATTTAAAATATTACAAATCATTATTAAATGCTAAATTTAGCTATAATAAAATTTTCCATTTATGATAATATGTTCATCCCCATTTAAGTAAATACATAGTATAAACTCCTGAGCCACCTTGTTTTCAAGATCATTAGTTCTCAAACTTTTCACACATTTTGGCCTTTTAACTGCCATATACCCTGTTGGGTCTACTCTATCTATATTAATAAATAGCCAACTTTTAATGTGTCATTTATAAGGGCATGCATGTGTATATATATCCACAAGAAGAAGCATTAAATCACCATCAGCTAGCTAATATAAACGTACTAAATTTTTTTCTAATTCCAACAAAAGTCAAGAAACTTTCTGTTTAAAATAGCCTACTTGTCCTTATCAAGCCTTTTGTAAATACTAACATGGATTTTAAATTTACATTGTCTTTTTACTAATAGCTAGAAGTACAAAAGTTTTTGGTTGGCAAACAATCCTAGATATTTGACATCTTGGTAGAGAGCAATATCCACAAGAACTGGTATCTCCATGGTAACCAATTATTTTCCCATTTTGTCAGAAACATATTTTTTTCTATTCAAACTTGGATAATCGAATTAATGGCAGAGCCATCTGAGTTATATAAGTAAAAAGTTTATTATTCACTGTGTAGCTACTCTTCCTATTCATGAAGAAAAAATGAATCCGTTGCTACAAAATTAGTTTTCCAAATTATATTCTCTGAAATATCCTATGTAAAAATTTTAACTCAACATAATCTCATTAAAGCAATTACTTGTGTTACATGAAAGGATTTTTTTCTTATGCTGTGATTTTTCTCTATACATGTTTTTTTGGGGGGTTTAAAAAGTAATGTTTTGTTTCCCAGCCTCATCTTTTTCATTCTATGTTTATACCCCATACGTGTTCTCAGTGAAACAGTTAACTCAATCCTCACTTAATTCCTTCTAGTAGGTGATGCTTGATGCAATCACACAAACAACAAGGTTTTCCATCCTTGTAAATTATTCTTTGTTCAAAAAACTTAATAAAAAAGAGGTCAGAATACCAAAATATTTATAATTTTTCAATGAAATTAGATAATTATAAGAACTACATTTAAATGTAAATTAAGAAATTGGTCACATCAAAAAATTATGTTTCCATTTGATCATTTTAGCTTTAATCCAAAATAATGTAGCACTGTTTCTCTATAATACACATATGTCATAAATATTTTGTAGTTGCTTCCTTAGCATTTATGTTTAGGCCTGATATAGTTATCTAAAATTCATCACCTTTTGCTTGCTTAAAACTCCCTGCCCCTGTGTGGTTGTTTTTGATATAGCCTACTTGTTCCTCATCTCCCTAACCCAAAACCCAACTCACCCCACAGCTACTTATTGTGATAAAATTAATGTCCCAATACCAGAGTCATATAAATAAATTTTTCCCTTTACGCATGTTTTTAAAAAACTAGCCAGTCCATAACCCCTGTGGAAAAATCTAGGGGATAATCCCATGGACCTTAATAAGGGAATAGTCTTAAACGTCCTCTCAGTCTCCCTTTTCGCTTGCTGGTTGAGCTCCCTGTCACCTCAGAACTTTCCATAGGCTCTCATTGAAACACTCAACCTCTCTGAGACCTGTGAGTAATAAATTTCTTCTGTTTATACAGTTTGGTTTCACCTCCCCATTGTGTCTCACCTGACACACATATCTGAACCTAACTTGCCCTCGGACACAGCTTTCCTAGAAAGTGGCTAACTTCTTATGGTCACTTTTCAAGGGAGAGAACTCAAGACCAAATTAAAACAAACTATATCAATAGAAATCACAAAAACATGTGTAAATACTATAGATTTGAACTATAGTAAACTCATATCCGGCAATTCTTCATGGGAGATTATTAGCTTAATGGGGTACTACTGTTTAGAAATTATATGTATTCAATTTGTTTTATAACAGTCCATATTTCAATTTTTCCCTTTTGTTTTTAAATAATTACTAAAACATTTCAGGTATTTCTCAGCTTGTCTTTCACATAAGAAAGTAGCATGACTTTATTTTTCAGATTATAGTTCTCGAAAGATTATTTTGAAAATATTGCCATCACAGTTGCCTCATTTGTTCCATCCATATGACCATTCACCCATCCATTCATTCATGCATTCATTCATCCATACATTCCTCAGAAAAGTTTAAAGCATTTTTATTCTGTGTCAGGAATACAGCTGTTGTCTGAATATACACTTATAAATATGGCAGGCAGAGTCCTTCTGTTTTTCAAGTTTTAGAGGATGGGATGATAGAAAGAAAACTAGTATTTTTAAAATTACAGATTGGATACATGTTTTCAAAACATTTTATATTAGATATATGATATTCTCTTTGTGGTGATGACATTTAAGCTGAGCCCTAAAATATTAGATGTGGCTGGGTACCATGCAGGAATTGATGCTACTCAGATGAATATGTTTTTAAAAGTCATTTAATGCAAAAAGCATCATGGACTTTAGTGAATATTTTTTGAAGATTAATAAAAACTTAGAGAATGTACAATAATTACTTCCCTTTATACAGAGATGCTTAATTTCCTTTATTCTCTTTTTTCTTTAGGTGAGGCAATACTGAG
Organism: Homo sapiens; assembly: GCF_000001405.40. Taxonomy (NCBI): domain Eukaryota; kingdom Metazoa; phylum Chordata; class Mammalia; order Primates; family Hominidae; genus Homo; species Homo sapiens. Next base: position 88,766,324 of record NC_000008.11, on the reverse strand, counting down.
TAGAAGCAAAAAACGAAAACAAAACTAAAAAAAAACCCTACTATGTAGATTAGTATCAAAGCTCTGTCAATTACCAGCTGAGGGAACATGGGCTACTGAAAATAGGTCACTGTATCTCTTGTGTTTGAAGCTGAAACTCAGTATCTCTCGCTTATTTGCTATTTCTTATAAGGTTTAAATTAGCACATATATATTACTTACAATTATAAATTACTCAGAAATGACAGATTGTATGAGCTGCATATATCTTAGCTATTATCAACATTTAAAAATTTACTCTCACTTCTGTTTTTTCTGTGATTCCCGAATTTGAAAGAGTTACTTTTTTTTGTTTGTTTGATTTTACATTTGTTCTAAGACTTTAACTCACATTAATTTTTTTGTGTCCTCCCCCATCACCACATGAGATGGTTCTCACTAATAGCTATAACATATTTCCCAACCTTTCCCTAAGTAACATTTGACACAGTTAAACCTCTCATATTCCTTAAAGGTCTATTGGCTTCCATGATGATATCTTACATTCTTCCCCTTCTAAATTTCTACTCATTCCTTTATGACCTCCTTAATGAATACTTTGCCATATACTCTACCACTGATACTTGAGCATCCTTTAGAATTCCTCAGGTAGTCTTCTATTCTCTTCATATTCTAATTGTGGCCATATTTACATTCACACCTTCAGGTGATGATTCCCAAGATTCCCAAGATTTGCATCTTTAGTGTTGACTTCTTTCTTTCATGCTGCAAATAGTGTTTCAGATTTCTTGTAACATAATCACCATCTGCAAACTCCCCAATGTTTGAAACATATATTTACTCAGCGTAAAATCCTTCTTCTTAATGTTTTCTTCTATTGACTCCTACTGATACTCAGTTACCCAAGGGAAAACTTTATTGAAATACCCCAGTTCCTCTAATCTGCAATTAAGTCCTAACTTTTCTATTTCTTTGATATCCCTCCAGTCTGACTCCCTCTATCTCTAGTGAAACAATGTTACTCAAATGTTACTAACAATTTTCTCTAGATATTTTTTTCAATTGTTTCCTAATTGGATTTCCTCTCTCTACTCTTGTGTCATTCTGATCCATCTGCTGCTCTCCAGACCATCTTTTTATCATCCATGTTAATCCAGGTAGCAAGATATAAATTAAGTCTTGGATGCAGTAAACAATATTTCCAGAGACTTTTTTCTCCTCTTGCTATCAAAGGATATCGAATTTCTAACCCATACTTTTCTTCCTCAATTACATACCATTTCTTTTTTTTTTTAAATTTCTTTATTTGTATACCTTTGCTGAGGCAATTTCAGCTATCCAGGAAGCCATATGACGGCTTTCCTGACTTACTCTGTGTGTCCCTATGTCTGGTTGAGACCCAAAGCTGAATTATGTATGTCTTAGAAAATCTTGTCTGTCTACACACTCTTAACCTGTGGCCTGCTTCTTCAAACTGTGTAAGACTCCAACCTAGTTAAATTGGCCAGGAATAGAAGCAGACATTTCCTTTCGTAGGCATCTGTACAAAAACCACTTCTTCAAAGACTCTTAACATTCATTGTAGATAATACATGAACTTGGGGATGAGTTGATTCCAACAGTCCATAGAACACACCTAATCTATGAATTTCACTTTAGATTTAGCTGTATACCCAGCTTTAAAAATGTGCCACTTAAAATAGTGCTCCTCATTTTGGAAGTAAAAATACTTAAACATAGATATTTATATAATATATAGAAAGATAAAATAGAGATAACATAATTTTTTATCTCTTAAGTATTCTTTGGTTTTTCTCTTGATCATACACAAGAAGGGATTTGGGTTCACAATAAGATGGATTAAGTTCAATACTGGTAAATAGGAAAATGACTAAAAATGGTTTCTGATATTCAATAAATATTTGGTGAATCATTAAATGGATGGTTAAATGGCAGAGGGAGTACTGTGTTGATTGAACAGACAAATCCAAATGAAATAGCATTTAAAAAGCAAAGGTAATTGCTATTGTCTCGGCAGCACTTTTATTTTTTTTAGTTATTTCTCAAGGCAAAGGGAAATAAGATAAATTCTCTCATTTAATCATATGTTTATTAAATTGCTGTTCGCTCACATTTTCCATATGCACCTTTATGCCTAGCCTACATATAGGCACTTCATAAATACTTAAATCAACTTCATATGACTTGTCAATTTCTTTCAGGTCAATTTAATCCAAGCATTCTTGAGTTATGTATTAAAAATAATCTCTATTTTACTTTTCATGAATAAAATGTAATATTCTTTGGTTTCTTTAACCTTTAATGTTACTCTAAGCTACTCAATTTCAGATCATTTTAATGATCTTTCACGCATATTCGAGTTAATCCAAAATTTATATCATTATTCCTTTATAGACCTTATGTCCATTCATGTTCCATTCACTCCTAAGTGTATTTGCTCACTATAATTTATATAAAATGTCTAAAACAATACTTGATTTATTCAATCAAAAGGCAATTTTTATTCAGAAAAAGGTAGTTGTTCTCTTCTAAGGTTCTTCCCTGATCTCATTAACTCTATTTCTTCCCTTGTATTTTGAAACATTTTTACTATTTTTATTCTAAAGCCTCTTTTAGATTGTTTTATTATTTGTAATTCCAGAGGTATTACGCCCTAGTTTTTTTAACTATAATTTAACCAATTTTCCCATTTTTGGGGGGTGGAGAGGAGGTGATGACAAAGTCTTTATGTTTTCCTATTTGGTAGACTTTTTAGGTGGTCCCTCTCTTGCTAGCTGTGATGAAGCAAGCTGCTATGTTGGAAAGCCTGTGTATTGAGGAACTGAGGACAACCTCTGGTCATCACCCAGTGACCCTCAGTTACAATAGGCCCTGAAAACTGAATACTGCCAAAAACAGCTGAGTGAATTTCAAGGCAGAACTCTCCCTACTGGAGCTTAAAATAAGACAGCAGCATATAAGAGACCCTGAATGAGAATCCAGCTAAACTGACTAAATTTCTGATCCATAATAATTGTAAGAAAAAAAATCTGTGTTACTCTAAGCTGCCAAGTTTTGTGGTAATTTCTTTATTTCTTTTTTCTTCTTTTACCTTTTTTTTTTTTTTTTTTTTTTTTTGAGATGGAGTCTCGCCTGTCACCCAGGCTGGAGTGCAATGGCGTGATCTCAGCTCACTGCAACCTCTACCTCTTGGGTTCAAACGATTCTCCTGCCTCAGCCTCCTGAGTAGCTGGAACTACAGTCACCCGCCACCACGCCCAGCTAATTTTTTGTATTTTTAGTAGAGACGGGGTTTCATCATGTTGGTCACGCTGGTCTCGAACTCCTGACATCAGGTGATCTGCCCGCCTTGGCCTCCCAAAGTGCTGGGATTACAGGTGTGAGCCACCGCGACTGGCCAAGTTTTGTGGTAGTTTCTTACGGAACAATACATAATTAATACACACTTACGTTTGAATAATTTTTGGTGTGGGAGCTAATTACCCCTATTCTCATCCCAAAACTTTAAAGATGTTGTTACATTCCTTTGTATTCTATAGTTTCTGTTGTTTCTTGGATATTTGTATTTTTTAACTGGCTGTTTTTAACATGTTTTTCTTCATCTTTATTTGGAACGGAATGATTATGAAGTGCCTAGGCATAATTGTCCTTGTATTTATCCAGTTTAAAGTTAGTGATCTTAGTGAATTCATAGATTGATGTCTTCCTTCACATTTTTTAAAATTAAGCTTTTATTATTCCAATATTTCTCTGTTCCATTATCTCTTTCTCTGGAAAGCTAGTAATATTAATTTTACATTTATCGTTTTTGAAACGGAGCCTTGCTCTGTTGCCCAGGCTGGAGTACAGTGGAACAATCTCGGCTCACTGCAACCTCTGCCTCCTAGGTTCAAGAGATCCTCCTGCCTCAGCCCCCCAGTAGCTGGGATTACAGGCACATGCCACCATGCCCCACTAATTTTTGTATTTTTGGTAGAGACGGGGTTTTGCCATGTTGGCCAGGCTGGTCTAATTTTACACTTATAAATGTGTTCCACTTGTCTTTATACTTCACTCTGTGATGTTTCTTTATTCTTTGATTTCTGTGTTTCACTTTAGATATTTTCTATTGAACTCCTGAATTTAAACCTATGCAGTAACTCCTTAATTTTGTATTATTATGTTTTCCAATTTATAACCTTCCATTGGTTTCTCTGAAGTCTATATTTATCTGTTGAAATGCTCTACTTTTTATATATTTGAGCTATTGTCTACTTTATTTTATTTTATATATTAATCTTAGCATTTTGAATTCTTTGTTGTCTAATATCTAACTCATCTCTGGATTTACTTTTATTGCTTTCTTTTCTTTCTTAATTATCAGTCACTTTTTCATGCTTTTTTATATCTAATATGTATTTTTAATTTTATGCTGAAATTGTTAATAAAACATTTAAATATTCTACATTAGGTAACTTTTCCCTAAAAGATGTTTCATTTGATCTGGTAGTCAATTAAATCGCCCTCAGATGATTTTTTCATTTTGGAGTTTAAGTTTTGTTAGGACGGTTTCTTTCAATTCTTATCTTAGTCCTAACCAAGTGTGTGCTCCTTACTGCTGGGTGTGCCTACTTTGATGCTAACTGAATGCACGAGTAATCGTCAAGATTTTCCATTTAGGATGGGCCAGGATTCCAGGTCTTTCCAATTCTCTGCTCCTTCATTAATCTCTGTTTCTTTTATGTTTCCCAGAGTCCTGCACTACACATGTGCAACTTTAAGCTGAGTCTGTAAGAAGCTAAGTCTGTAAGAGCATCTTAAACAGATTTTTTAAATTTCTTCTATGTGATCTACCTCTATTAAATCATGTCCTTAATTCTGACTTGTCTTAGAAACTCCAGCACTCTAATACCTGTTTCATTTTTCCTGTCCTATGACTGTTCCTTTCTGCTTGGAGGTCATTTTTCTGCACCATAGTTTCAAAAGCTCTCAGAGTGAAGATTCCTTAGTATTTGCCTCATGGTGTATGCTTCTCTCCTCTCAAAAAGAGTAATTTTTATTCTTTTTCCAGATGTCATAATCCCATGCAGGACTACAGCTCTGAGGATTCAGGGATTCAGTATGCTAGGCAGGAATCGGGTTTCTTTTGAAGGATGCCACAGCAGAAGCAGAGTCATGAAATTACATTCAGGTGGCTGTATAGGCCAGAGAAAGCACCAAGGAGACTGGATTGACTTGAGTAGACTTTTGAGACAGCTTTAAGAATTCCTAGAAATGCATTCTGAGGACTTTGAGAGAGAACTGAGATGCTATGGTACAAAGATGAAGGGAGTGATCCAATGCAATCTGAGATATTGTAATTAAAGCAAATTTCTTCATACCCAAGTCCTGGAATTGCTTAGCAAAATTCAGATTACTTATAATATTTGTGCTATTATAAATATTTAAGTATAATAATAATTAAAATATTTAAAGTATATCTATCCACGGTGTGTATTTGGGTATGTGTCTCATTTCATAGGCAATGGACGGCCTTTAGATGCAGCATAGGAAAAGCAAGTCCTTAGGAACCACAGCTAGCTGCCTGCTCTCTCTCCAGTAAAGGCAGCATTGTGCCTGCCAAACCCTGGAGCTTAGCATATAGGATGACATGATTTAGATTTCAAAAAATCGTAACCAAACTTAGATTGATATCAAACCTAAAATTTGGAATCAGAAAATGTTTAATTTCCTAGGAAAAGCTAAAAACACAAACAAAAACAAAACAAACAAAACATGACTACCACAATAATAGAAACAAGAGAGGCAACAGTATCAATTAGCAGGAAGTAGAAATGGTGATTTTTCTTTGGCTTACTCCTAGCAAGGAAGCTGACAATCCTTTGCATGTGGTGGAGATAACCAAAGGATTACAAGTTAGGGGCTTCCATTGGAAGGTAGATCAGTACCTGAATTCTTCAAAAGTCACATGTATCTTCAATAAAGTGATTATGGTGTCACTGGAAACATTTATCTCACAGAAACCAAGAACATATACGGAATTTGGCAGACTACCATTTACTATAAAACACTTTGGGAATCATCCACTTAGAAGCTAAAGGAAGCTCATTATCTATCAACTCAACTGATGCAAGACTGACCATGGGGAAAGTAAGCGAATAAGAAAGAAGAGAAATACCAAGAAAATAACAGCAAATACTAAGTAGCCATTTGTGGTATAATAAGAAATACACTTGGTATTTTTTCTCAGTTCCTAGCACAGCTCCTAAAACCCTTGAAATTTCCTGAGTGACAGAAGTGTCTTTTTTAAATTCATAATGAGCTCCTTTGGATCACTCCTGAGTTTATGTTAATAAGGTAGTTTTGTGTAGGGCCCCAGATATTTTCAGGATGGGGCTACTCACCAACAAGACCAAGTGATTAGAGGATGGATCCAGTCTCACCCGCCACCAACCAGAGAAGAGAGTGGGAAGGAGTAGAGACTGGAGATTAAGCTGTATAAAAGCTCTCAAACCATGAGATTTGATGAGCTTCCCAGTTGGTGAATGGTTCCACATGCTGGGAGGTTCATGCACACCAACTCCAAGGGGAGAGCAACTCTTGTTCTTGGGGGCCTTCATGTGATTGTTTCTAGGTACCTTTTCATCTGGCTGTTCATCTGTATCTTTTATAATAAACCAGAACACATACTTATGTTTCCCTAAATTCTGTGAGCCATTCTAGCAAAGTGTCAAACCTGAGGAGAAGGTCACAGGGACCCTCCCTACAGATGATTGGCCAGAAGAATGGGAGGCCCAGACTTGTGATTGTGCTTGAAATGAGAGCACTGTCTTGTGAGACCAAGCCCTTAACTGTGGAATCTGATGCAAAATCCAACTAGATGGTGTCAAAGTTGAATCGAATTGTAGAATACTAGCTGGTGTTAGAGAATTAATTGGTATGAGAAAAAATTCACACATCTGGTGTCAGATGTATTTTGTGTGGGTGTAGAGAAACAATTTTCCCCAGAGCATTATTTTTTATTCTAAATATATCAACAAGTTAATGACGCCTCTGTAAAATATCCGTTATATAATATTGCTAAAGGGACTACTGAAAGTGATATATTTCATATTCTAATCAAATTTTCCAGTATTTGTCAAATATTACCACATAAGCAATCCAAGGTTTTCCCAGTAAGACCTAAGAGGCTAGTTATAGATTATAAACAGACTCCATTAAATTAGTTAGACAAATATAGAGAGATCAATAAGAACTACAGTTAGTACACACCTTTTCTTTTCAGGAACAAATAATTCTAAAGCATTAATCTATTTACTTTGCTTCATATGGCACATGAGACACTGAAAAACAGGAGCATTGAGGGCATAGTTTACAAGGTTCTAATGCCTTTTGTTTTTGAAACAGAAACACTGAAACCAGTGCACTGTCAGTAAAATGACTGTCAATTCATCTTTAAATAAATGAAACATTTATAGAATATTTAAACTTTCACAAACACCAGCCTCGTAGACACTAAAGCTGCTAGTACTCTGTATCTATCTTTGAAAAGATAAAGAACTGAGTCAATTATGTGGGGTTTAAAATTATGCCAGGGAGTCTGAGTATTTTGAACACAGAGCAGAAGACAGAGTACCCAAAGATTCATTTATAATATAAAGCTCTCTGCTACACTATGGTGTTTTCTTGTAATGACTCTCACTTTGAATCTTGATAACTGATTTAAAATGTATTCATTACAGAAGAAAAATAGGATTCCAGATTCCCACAATAAAGGGAATACAAAAATACGGTACATGAAATTATAAATCTTTTATTGAATTATTCAGTTATCTAAGATTATAGTAATTAAATGTGTTTTTTCTCTGCATCAGTATTTTTGCCATCACATATTTAATTCCTTCCAGAAAGGAAAGAGTTATAAAAGTCTTCAATTTCGAATATCACCCACAAAATATCTTTCAGTAAGCAGATTAGATTAGATATGCCATTACAGAGTTATGTAGCAGTTTGAAGTCTATTTTTTCATATATTAAGCTCACATGGTATGTAACTGTCATAATCAAAAAGCAGTGCTACTTGGGATTTTTAAATATGCCACAAAGAAAATAATGAACTTGTCTCTGTTACAGATCCTGGATGTAAAATATTAAATGCCAAAGATTCTTCAACAGGATTGTAAAAGGTATAGCTTAAGATAGCTAATTAAAAGAGTTTAGGAAACTTTTCAATCCTATTCTTATTTGCCTTCTCAGAAGCATTTGACACAGTAAATCAATCCCATATTGCTTTTGTGAAAGTTACTTCTCGTGGGTTTTGGAAGACCACAGTGTCCTTTGATGGATTCCCCTCCCTGACCTGACTCCTAAATGTTGAGCCTCTCAAGGCTTTGTCCCAAGCCTTTCTTTGTTCATTTTCTAAATTCTCACCTTAGGCTCTTTAGCGGGCTTTATATGCCAGCTATATGCTAACATTAAAAATGGAAGAAAGTGTTAAAGCTCTAGAGACAGAGGAAAGGCTTAGAAAGTTCTTGGTTTTAAATACTAGCTGCTAAAAAGTTGATCTCATAGAAGTAAAAAACAGGACAGAAACTACTAGAGGCTGGGAAGGGTAGGAGGAAGGGAGGAATAGAAAGAGATTTGTCAAGGATACAAAATTACAGCTACATAGGAGAAAAAAGTTCTAGTGCTCTTTACCACTGTGGGGTGATGATAGTTAAAAATAACATATAGTTTCAAATAACCTGAAAGGAGATATTGAACATTCCCAATACAAAGAAATGGCAAATGCTTGAGATTATGGCTATGCCAATTTCTCTGATCTGATCACTATACATTATATGTATTGAAACATCACTATGTACCCCATGAATATGTACAATTATTATTTGTCAATTAAAATAGATTTTTTAAAAATCAGCCATATTCTATATTTCTTAAATGTAAACTAAAGCTCAGACCTCTGCTCTTAGCTCCAGTCATTTATTTAACTTGCAAGTTAGTTATTCCTCTTAGATCCTCATAAGTATCTAAGATTTATCATGTCCCACCAAAATTAAATGTACTGTATGTAGGTTTTCTTTATTTCAGTAAGTGACTCTTCATCCACACTCGGTACCTGGAAGTCATCATTAAACTATTTAGAACTCAGAAGTCATTGTTAACAATTCTTTATTCTTTACATTCCAATACTGTATTAGGAAGTACTGATATGGGTATTTATAAAATATACCTGAAATCACTCATAAAATCCTTGTCACCTGAATAAAAATGTCTTCTAGTGGTGCCCATTTCTATTTTGATTTTATCCAAAGGATTTTACACCTTCATCAAACTAACATAATAATACAGAAAACATAGTCATTTAAATAGATGGTAGAAAAGCATTTAACAAAATTTTATATATATTCATGTTAAAACAACCAGAAAAACAGTAACATAAGGAAGTTACTTCAATCTGCTAAAGAGTATCTATGAAAACCTTACAGTTAAAATCATAAGAAGAAACACTGAATGTTTTCATCCTAAAATTAGTAAAAAGGCAAAGAAGTTTGCATTTACAACTGCTAGTCAATAATTGATTGGATTTTATGTTAGTGCAATAAAGCAAAAAGGAACGAAAAGTCATAGATATTAGAAAGGAAAAATAAAACAAATTTACTTACAGAGGACATAATCTTTTATGGAGAGAATTCCAAGGAATCATTAAATAGACACAAAATTATGAATTTAGTAAAGTTGCAAAGGGCCATGTGAATGCAATTATATTTCTATATACTGGCAAATAATACCTGCAAACAAAATTTTAAAATGCCATTTACAATAGCACTAAAAACATGACATACTTAGGAATGAATTTAGCAAAATATATACAAGACCTGTACAATGAAACATATGATATTCTGTTGTAAGAAATTGCAAAAGAGGAGAACAAATGGTGAGATATACCAACTTCATAAATTGGAAAACACAATATTTTTATATTATCCTAAAATTGATCTAAGGAGTCAACACAATACCAGCCAAAATCTTTATATGTTTTGTTTGTTTTGCTTTGCTTTGTTTTGGTTTCAGTAAAAATTTTCATATTGATTTTAAAGTGACAAATATCTCATTATCTCACTTCACATATTTATATGTAGACTATAAATTTGTTCTCTTAGAAATAGACAGTAGAATAGTGGTTACTAGAGGATGGAGAAGGTAAAGAGGAGGTGGGAATGGGGAGAGATTGGTCAATCAATACAAAGTTACAGTTAGGAAGAATAAGTTCAGTTTTCCTATTGTACAGTAGGATGACTAGACTTAACAATAGTGTATTGTACATTTCAAAATAACTAGGACAAGTTCTTTAATGTTCTTATTACAAGGAAATGATGTTTAAGGTGATGCATATGTTAATTACCCAGATTGGATCGTTGTGTAATGTGTACATGTAAAAAAACACATTATAACTCAAAAATATGTACAATTAGTATGTCTATCATAAATTTTAAAAATGAAATAAAAAGAATCTTTAATAGCCAAAACAGTTTCGAAAATAAAGGACACATTTTAAAGACTTTATTTCAAAACGTTTTTTGTTTTCTTTTTGAGACAGGGTCTTGCTGTGTCACCCAGGCTGATGTGGAGTGATCTCCACTCACTGCAGCCTCAACCTCCTGGGCTCAAGTGATCTTCCCACCTCAGGCTCCCAAGTGCTGAGACTGCAGGCGTGAGCCCAGAGAGTTATTTCTATTTTTTGTAAAGATGGAGTCTCACCATATTGCCTGGGCTGGAAGACTTTGATAAGGCTATTCTAATAAATACACTGTTACGTTGATATAAGAACAGACATAGAAATTGATCAATCAAGCGTAGATGTTAAAAGTATTTTACTTCTTAAAAGAGCATAAAGGGAAAAAATCTACAATCTCTGTGATTTTGTTTTGGTAATTTTTAGATAAGAATGCCCCAAATCATGAACTGTAAAATATAAATAAATAACTTAGGGATTACCAAAACATAAATGATATGGTTTGGCTGTGTTCCCACCCAAATTTCATCTTGAATTCCCACATGTTGTGGGAGGAACCTGGTGGGAGGTAATTGAATCATGGGGGCAAGTCTTTCCTGTGCTGTTCTCATGATGGTGAGTAAGTCATACAGATCTGATGATTATATAAGGGGGAGTTTCCCTGCACAAGCTCTCTTCTCTTGTCTGCCGCCAGATGAGACATGCCTTTCACCTTCCACCATGACTGTGAGGCATCCCCAGCCATGTGGAACTGTAAGTTCATTAAACCTTTTTTTCTTCCCACTCTCAGGTATGTTTTTATCACCAGCATGAAAAAAAACTAATACAATACATTTCTTCTTTCCAAAAGAGATCCCCAGAAAATAAAAATGCCTAGTACGGATTGGGAGGAAATATACATATATCTCAAAAAAACTGGTATCCAGAATAAATAATGAATTCTTATAATTCAACAATGAAAGGACAATTCAGTGAGTGTGGGTAACAGATTTGAACAACCATTTGACACAGAAAGTATAATAATCATCAGTAAGCACACGAAAATATGCTCAACGAAGAAAGCTTCAATATAATTTTAATGAATTGTAATGAGATGCTATTGTATAACCACTAGAATGCCAAAAAATAAGAAGACCAGCAATATTAAGTGTTGGTAAATATGTAGATCAATTGGAATTCTCGTCCATTGTGGGTAGGGATGAAAAATTGTGCAGTCACTTGGAAAATTCCTATAAAGCTAAACAATTACCATATGATACAGAAAATCTACTTTTAGATAGTTACAAAAGAGAGATTAAAATATATTTACACAGAAATGATTTGTGTGAAAATGTTCATAACAACTTTATTTACCATAACCAAAAATGAAAAGCAACCCATATGTCCATCAGTGGATTAATGGATAAGGAACTATGATATATTAAAATAATGGAATATTGTTGAGCAATAAAAAGGAACAAATTTTGGATATGCAAATTATTGTCAAATTTTAAAACATGCTGAATGAAAGAAGGCAATAAAAATGTACACATTGTAGAATTCCATTTGTATGAAATTCTAGAAAAAGCAAAACTAAACTATATTTCTAAAAGCAGATCAGTGGTTGCCTGAGGCTGAAAGGAGCACAAACAATTTTTTGGAGTGATGGAAATTTTCATACTTTCATTGTGGCAGTGGTTACACAGAGGTATATATTTGTCAAAATTTATTCCACTGTGCACTTAAACTGGGACCTTTTATTGTATGTAAGCAAGCAATGTTACTTTAAAATATATAACCTAGAAAAGAGAAGATAACTAAACCTCCTGACTTATAATAAAAATACTACCATTTATTATGTACTGAACATGAGCTAGGCCTTTGTCTAAGTACTTTAAATGCACTATCCCACTTAATCCTCATAACATCCTTAATTAGCAGAAACTATTGCTATCTGTCTTATAGATGATGGAAGTAAGTTTTAGAGAGCAAGACAACCAGATTTTTTCTTGCATTAAGCACTCAAAGATTATTTAGTGTTGTCTTAAAGTTTCTAGAAAGCTAAAAAAAATTCCTATTTCTACTTTTTAAATTGCTTTTTCTTGGCAATGAGATTAAGTCTACTTCCTGTGGAGTGAAACCTTGAAAATCAATACATCTGTTTAACAGTTTGAGTTATCTGGAATTCTCATTGGGGCCTTCTTCCTATATAAAAAACAGGCCAAAATGATGACTTCAACATTATCAAATGTAAAATGAAACCAACGAATAGAAAAAGCATTCTACATTTTAATGTAAATTATATATAAATAGCTATGCTACATGCATGCAGTTTCTTCCAAAATATGATGATCTTCCCACATTTAAATTTTTATAGGGATAAACTAAAAATATAAAAAAACTTTTAAAATATATACATAACATTGTACAATAATATATGAAATATACTTTCTGAGGATAGAAAAGTTAACAAGATTGGAATTAAAGATAATATTTTGCTAAAAAGATATGCTGATAGCAGCATATTAAATTTTGCACAGAAAATATAGTATCAGAAGGAAATTTTCTGAAGAGAATATTTAATCTTCCTCAAATTTCTATTTCCTCTGTGTATAGTCGAGAGTCAGAATGTCATTTCCAATAGTGTTCTCAGTGTCTTCAGAAGGTTTCTTCCTCCTGCATGTCTTGGCTACCCTTCTACAATTAGTTATTACTGGTAGCAGACAGCAAGCATGTAAATAAAAAAAAAATTATGTATTTCAACAATTTAAGATATACATAATATTTCTAACAAAAAGCTTCATAGCATTTCCCTTTTGTAAAGTTTATCTTATAACCTATGTGTAGAATTCAGAAGATCTTACTATAGGTGATGCCTTTCATAGAACAATGTATGTTCATCATTGGCCTTTGCCTTTATGACCCAAATTTTCTCTGCAAATTTAGGTAAACTGTTCTTATAGACACTTTATTCAAAGAATACCTTATTCAGAGAATAAGATTATATATGTATACATGCCCACATATGCACATACATTCATGTATACACATGCACACACATATACATGTCTATATTATATATTTATAATTTATGTCTCTGGAAATAGTGAGCAATATGATCAATGACCTAGATTGTCACTTGAAATTCACTATAATCATATCTAACAAGTAATATTGGTAGCAGGAGGAAGCAGACAAATTCCTAGGCAGAAGGGGCGGGTCCCCATAAACCTGACTTTCAAGCCAAAATCAGCCTGAAGCCTGAAAATAGGGTTGCCAGTTTGGGATGGAGTCTGCAACAGGAGTGAGAACTTCTATTCCTGTTCACCCACTCTTTCCCAATTGGTTCTTTCTAAATAGTGCTTTTTAACCAATCAAATGTTGCCTTTTCCAAGGCTACCTAAAGCCCTCACCTCCCCCATTATAAGCCTATAAAAATCCCAGACTCAGCCATACAGGGAGACTACCTGCCTTCAGGTAGGAGCTACCCACTTCAGGTTCCCTCTCTGCTGAAGGCTGTTCTGTCATTCAGTAAAACTCTTCTCCACCTTGCTCACTATTCAGTTGTCCTCATAACCTCATTCTTTTTGGATGCACGACAAGAACCTGGGATCCGCCAAACAGTGGGTGTGAAAGGAGTTGTAAAGCTGTAGCCCTCCTGCCCTCTGCAGGTGTCTAGTGGTCACCTTACATAACAGGAAGCAGTGTCAGGACCGGGCCAGCCCAGGAGTTGCAGGTCGGAGCGGTGCAACAGGACCGAACAAGCTGGGACATGCCGCTGTTCTCCAAAACGTGTGGATGGCAGGAACCAATGAACTGTAACACAAATGAGCTGCGACCCTTCTGGGGCCCAGACCTCAAGACTCCCCAAGCCAGAGTGGTAACATACTGTAACACCCTCTTTGAGGCTCCATGGTTCCTGGCCTTTCTGAGTTTTTCAGGTGCTACCACATTCCCCTCATCCAAACACCAGCACCCAAGGCAGAAGCTGCTTGCAATACACCTGGTCCAGCTGCAGTCTCGCACAGAGCCAGCACCTGGAGCTGCTTTCCCCACAACAGCAACCAACATGCCTGGCTCACCGTTGGCAGGCGTGAGATCTAGGCCGCTAGCATGCTGAGCCAAGTACAGTTTGCCAGCCCAAGTGGGTGGAACAAACCCAGCAGGTGCAAGCAAAATTCAAGCAGGGGTGCTGCTGGCCACGGAGGTCTCTGGCTGGTGAAGCAGCAGTGAAAATATCCTGTGTCAATATCTTATCTCAGTGAATGCTATCAGTAAGAAGTAAGAAAGCATTTTATGCAGAAGGTTTTATGAAAACCCATCAAAAAGGAATATTCTTGGTTTATGTACAATGAGCTTTCTACAAAGAATGATTTTGTACATTTCTCCCTGTCATGCTTGACCATAAAACCTGCCTAGTGATTAAACAGTAACCATGAGTCTGTGTCCAGACATGCAAGTGAACATACAGAACAAAAGTAAACAAATAAAAGCCACTTAAAATGATATTTTCAGTCCTGGAAGAGCAGAAAGGAGGATATTGCTGAACTTTTGTAAACAAGCATCAAAGAGTAATTTCTCTTTGGTTTTATTTTCTCTTAAAAACAACTCTGACAACCCAAATTCAATATTTATCTTGATTCCCAAATCCTTCAGTAATCACAGGAAAACTGGATACTACAAGTTTTGAGATTTGGAGGGAAAGCAAAACATGGCATGGTCAAAACTACCTCTTCACGTGGGCAGGTATGTGTGAAATAAACTCCACAGAATTTATCGAATATGTGCTACAAGTTATTGAGGAAGAGCCCGAGGGGAAAAAGCCAGACTCTGTTCTCACCTACATAAAACTTACACTCTACTATCCAGAATGATGGGTTATTTTTATTTATTCATCAATACACTTAGTGAGCAGCATCTGTGACCCAGGCTAACTGCTAGGAGTAGGGTGCTAGATACTAGGTCAGACCTTCAAGTTTTGAATAGACAAGCAAATAATTAATAGCATTTAACACTATGGTGTGAGTGATGTGTGATCATGGAAGATAAAATAGTATGCCATGAGATACTGTAAAAAAGTACACCAATATATAGTTTCCTTAAGAGGCCAGAATCAGCACACGCTCCTCCAGATTTGTAAACAGGATTGACACTGTAGCAAAATAAGCATGATAAGATATAAATTTCATAATAATGTGCCTTACTAATAGATCCAACTCTCCTAACATGGTTATTATGAAGAGTAAGAAGTTCTTTGCAAAGTCTTATTAGCCCCTTTAACAAGTTTTAATACAAACTGATGCTTCAATTACTAAGTTAAACAGTTTAATTAACGAGCACAGAATTGGAAATCATGTTGTTGTTTTTCAATACAAACTTGTCAATTGAGGGGCTGTGGTTCTGACAAGTCACTTAAAGAATGTGCTTACGTTACCTTAGATACTGAAGAGAGTAATATTTATTTTCTCATCTACTTTACAATGCTTGTATAGTAATGGAGCAACTACTTTAGCTCCAGAAAAGAAAAATGGTGTGTAAGAACAAAATACTCTAATGCTATCATTTAATATTACAGAGAAAGAGTTGTAATAAATTTCAGCATTTTTACTTTCAAAAGACCTTTCTCTTCATTAAGGTGTCAGTGGCAACGGAGGAAGCAGTTCAAGGGCTGCAAGAGGACAAGCATCAGTAGATTCCCGCCAGGTCCAGATTGGATTTCAACTTTCATTTGAAAAATTAAAAAACTCTGGACTCTAAATTTTAGAATTGGTCAGAAAAATGTGTGACTGACATTCTTTCTTCTGAAAAGTAGTTACTAAACATTTTAACTGCAGGGAACCTCATTAGTCCAAATAATTACAGCTTAACTCTGCATCAAACTGGCAACAAATGTATCACTGAAGATGTACAGATGCTTGTAAAAAATACTTTATGATGGCACATTCTTTCCATGTTTTGCTATTATAGAGTTATTAAAGAATGTGTATGAAACAGGAATGTGTGCAACACACACACATATGATTCATACTTAGATGGTCAAATATTAAATGGTAAGTTAAAAGGAAATGGTTTGAGATCACACAAGAAGCCCCTGAAAGAAAGGAAGAGAGAGAGAGAACATCAAACTACTTGCAAAACGATACATAGACAAATGTACTATTCAGCCCCGATCCAGTTCCGTGTGTGCCACAGAAGCAGCCTTGGTCATTCACAAAAATAATTCAATGAAATTCCAAATTTAATATGACTGCCAAGCTAATAAGCAAATTTGTTTCCATTAGTAGGTGGCTTGCTATTCAGCTTGAGAAAATCAAAACCAGCAGTGAATTCAACAATTAAGAGGCACTTTTACCCAAGCCATCTAAGTGAGCTATAGGTATTTTATTTACTTATTTTCTTTTTTATTGACAGATAAGATTGTTTGTATTTACCATATACAACATATTGTTTTGAAGTAAATATGCAGATGGATGAATACATCTACCTAATTAACATATGCATTACCTCATAAAGTTGTCATTTTTATGGTGAGACTCCTTTATATTCACTCTTTTAGCAATTTCAAGAATCCTGTATCTTGCTACCTATAGTCACCATGTCTAGTATAGATGATTCTGATGTTCCCTTTGTGAATTTCACAAAAGAAATGAGAACGAAAGCCAGAGAGAGCCAGTGGGTAAAGCAGGGGGATTAAGAAATTAATATAGATAAAATTAAATGACTTAAATATTCTCTCCTCACTCTTTTGACTCAATCCACAACTCTGGAACACATATTGAATTTTTAGACTTAATCATTTCAATTTCTCTAAATCACTTTACCAAATGTCCTCCTGAAGGCAGTGAAATGATATATTAAAAAATTTGTATGGATATAAAGTCACATGTTCCCAAGGGATAAGTGCATCATCACAGAAAACTTTGGACCCTGCTGGATACATTCTTGACACCAGTTGAGGGAAACTAAAGCAAAAGAAATCAGAGAAACTAGCAAATGCCATGTAATTGAATGTATTTAAAATAGCTCCTGCCTTCTATGTGTGTCTGGTATCTGGACTGCAGGTCACGTTATGTTCCACATATATCTATAAATCTCCTTTAACAATATTGTATATAATAACATCTCTAATGATTTGTAAAGAGTAAGGAAGCGTAAGACATAAACTTTTTCATTTAAATGGACTGGGACACACAGATACACATAAAATATTTTAAAATGCTAAAAAATGCATAACAATGATCTACTGATTTATTGTTAGATTTCTTTTTAGCTCACACATGAGACTTTTCCTGTGATCAAATATCTATTTTCTAATGTGTATGCTTGTAGAAACCTTATGAGCTCTTTTCCTACTTAACGTATCATAAAGTAAAAACTTATTGGTGATTATGATAATAAGAAAAATTAATGGTTTTATCAGACGATGTCTGATAGTTTCTTACAGCATCAAAAAATCATAATGTGGAATAATCAAGGCACAAAAACCTTTGTCTTCTAGTGAAAAATGACAGATTAATCACTATATTATGAAATCACAAGCAAAAAAAAATGCAGTCACTTTCTATTTTATAGCATTGCAGAAAGACTGGTAGGGAAACAAATATACCAAATTAGGAGCCTAAAGAACTGGGTTCTAAGTCAACCTTTGTGACTTACTAAATATAAGCTCTTTGAGTTTTAGCTTCCTCCTCTGTAAAATTGGTAAGCATTATTACAGTTAAGCAATTACATCTATCTCTGTGAAACTGCTTCGCTTGTTTTGGATGTATTATAATTACATGCTTAGTTCCTAGAATGTAACATAAAAAGTGCCTTTGAAAAGAACTTTGTTTTAGATATGAGATAATTTTAATGCTAATTTTGCCATGTGACAGATGAAATCAAAGCCCTTGGATATTTAAATTTGAATGGAACAGTAGAGAATATATACAAGTTAAACATCCCTAATCTAAAAATTCAAAATGTGAAATGCTCCAAAATCTAAAACTTTTTGAGGACTAACATGATGCCACAAGCGGAAGATCCCACACTTGACCTCATGTGATATGTTGCAATCATAACTTTTGTTTTATGCAAAAAATTACTTAAAATATTGTATAAAATTACCTTCAGGCTGTATGTTTAAAGTATATAAAAAACATAAATTTTGTTTTTAGACAGAGGTCCCATCTCCAGGATATCTTATTCTG
Source organism: Homo sapiens (assembly GCF_000001405.40). NCBI lineage: Eukaryota > Metazoa > Chordata > Mammalia > Primates > Hominidae > Homo > Homo sapiens. The sequence continues at coordinate 88,747,662 of NC_000008.11, read as the reverse complement.
TAAATGCAAATATTCCAAAACCCCCCCAAAAATTCAAAGTGTGAGACACTTCTGGTCCCAAAGCATTTTAGATAAGAGATATTCTCTCTGTACAGCTTTAAATTTTTTTAGTGGGCATTAAAAATGATCTCCAGGCTGACTCTCTTTTCGGACTCAGCCCGCCTGCACCCAGGTGAAATAAACAGCCATGTTGCTCACACAAAGCCTGTTTGGTGGTCTCTTCACACGGACACACATGAAATTTGGTGCTGTGACTTGGATCGGGGGACCTCCCTTGGGAGATCAATGCCCCATCCTCCTGCTCTTTGCTCCATGAGAAACATCCACTTACAACCTCAGGTCCTCAGACCGACCAGCCCAAGAAACATCTCACCAATTTCAAATCCGGTAAGCGGCCTCTTTTTACTCTCTTCTCCAACCTCCCTCACTATCCCTCAACCTCTTTGTCCTTTCAATCTTGGCACCACACTTCAATCTCTCCCTTCTCTTAATTTCAATTCCTTTCATTTTCTGGTAGAGACAAAGGAGACACGTTTTATCCGTGGACCCAAAACTCCAACGCCGGTCATGGACTGGGAAGGCAGCCTTCCCTTGGTGTTTAATCATTTCAGGGACACCTCTCCGATTATTCACCCACGTTTCAAAGCTGTCAGACCACACAGGGACGCCTGCCTTGGTCCTTCACCCTTAGTGGCAAGCCCCACTTTTCTGGCAGAGGGACAAGTACCCCAACCCCTTCTCTCCATGTCTGTACCCCTTCTCTGCTTTTCTGGGGGAGGGGCAAGTACCCTTCAACCCCTTCTCCTTCACCCTTAACAGCAAGTCCCGCTTTTCTAGGGGACAAGAACCCCCAATCCCTTATTTCCGCACCCTGACCTCTTATTTCCATGCCCCAACCCCTTCTCTGCTTTTCTGGAGGGCAAGAACCCCCCACCCCTTCTCCGTGTCTCTACTCTTTTCTCTGGACTTGCCTCCTTCACTATGGGCAAGCTTCCACCTTCCGTTCCTCCTTCTTCTCACTTAGCCTGTGTTCTTAAGAACTTAAAACCTCTTCAACTCTCACCTGACCTAAAATCTAAGCATCTTATTTTCTTCTGCAATGCGCCTGACCCCAAAACAAACTCAACAGTAGTTCCAAATAGCCAGAAAACGGCACATTCAATTTTTCCATCCTACAAGATCTAAATAATAATTGTCATAAAATAGGCAAATCGTCTGAGGTGCCTGATGTCCAGGCATTCTTTTACACATCGGTCCCTTCCTAGTCTCTGTGCCCAATGCAACTCATCCCAAATCTTCCTTCTTTCCCTCCCACCTGTCCCCTCAGTCCCAACCCCAAGTGTCGCTGAGTCTTTCTAATCTTCCTTTTCTACAGACCCATCTGACCCCTCCCCTCCTCGCCAGGCCGAGCTAGGTCCCAATTCTTCCTCAGCCTCTGCTCCTCCACCCTATAATCCTTTTATCACCTCCCCTTCTCACACCTGGTCTGGCTTACAGTTTCGTTCCATGACTAGCCCTCCTCCACCTGCCCAGCAATTTATTCTTAAAAAGGTGGCTGGAGCTAAAGGCATAGTCAAGGTTAATGCTCCTTTTTCTTTACCCCAAATCAAATAGCGTTTAGGCTCTTTTTCATCAAATATAAAAATCCAGCCCAGTTCATGGCTCGTTTGGCAGCAACCCTGAGACGCTTTACAGCCCTAGACCCTAAAAGGTCAAAAGGCTGTCTTATTCCCAATATACATTTTATTACCCAATCTGCTCCCGACATTAAATAAAACTCCAAAAATTAGAATCTTGCCCTCAAACCCCACAACAAGACTTAATTAACCTCACCTTCAAGGTGTACAATAATAGAAAAAAGCTGCAATTCCTTGCCTCCTCTGTGAGACAAACCCCAGCCACATCTCCAGCACACAAGAACTTCCAAACGCCTGAACCACAGCAGCCAGACGTTCCTCCAGAAACTCCTCCCCCAAGAGCTTGCTACACGTGCCAGAAATCTGCCCACTGGGCCAAGGAATGCCCACAGCCCGGGATTCCTCCTAAGCTGCGTCCCATCTGTGTGGGACCCCACTGAAAATCGGACTGTTCAACTCACCTGGTAGCCACTCCCAGAGCCCCTGGAACTCTGGCCCAAGGCTCTCTGACTGACTCCTTCCCAGATCTTCTCGGCTTAGCAGCTGAAGACTGACACTGCCCGATTGCCTCAGAAGCCTCCTAAACCATCACGGACGCTGAGCTTCAGGTAATTCTCACAGTGGAAGGTAAGCCCGCCCCCTTCTTAATCAATACAGAGGCTACCCACTCCACATTACCTTCTTTTCAAGGGCCTGTTTCCCTTGCCTCCATAACGTGGTGTGGGTATTGACGGCCAGGCTTCTAAACCTCTTAAAACTCCCCAACTCTGGTGCCAACTTAGACAATACTCTTTTAAGCACTCCTTTTAGTTATCCCCACCTGCCCAGTTCCCTTATTAGGCTGAGACACTTTAACTAAATTTTCTGCTTCCCTGACTATTCCTGGATTACAGCTACATCTCATTGCTGCCCTTCTTCCCAATCCAAAGCCTCCTTTGCGTCCTCCTCTTGTATTCCCCCCACCTTAACCCACAAGTATAAGATACCTCTACTTCCTCCTTGGCGACCGATCATGCACCCTTTACCATCTCATTAAAACCTAATCACTCTTACCCCGATCAATGCCAAAATCCCATCCCACAGCATGCTTTGAAAGGATTAAAGCTTGTTATCACTCGCCTGCTACAGCATGGCATTTTAAAGCCTATAAACTCTCCTTACAATTCCCCCATTTTACCTGTCCTAAAACCAGACAAGCCTTACAAGTTAGTTCAGGATCTATGCCTTATCAACCAAATTGTTTTGCCTATCCACCCATGGTGCCAAACCCATATACTCTCCTATCCTCAATACCTCCCTCCACAATCCATTATTCTGTTCTGGATCTTAAACAAGCTTTCTTTACTATTCCTTTGCACCCATCATCCCAGCCTCTCTTCGCTTTCACTTGGACTGACCCTGACACCCATTAGGCTCAGCAAATTGCCTGGGCTGTACTGCCGCAAGGCTTCACAGACAGCCCCCATTACTTCAGTCAAGCCCAAATTTCATCCTCATCTGTTACGTATCTTGGCATAATTCTTATAAAAACACACGTGCTTTCCCTGCTGATCATGTCCAATTAATCTCCCAAACCTCAATCCCTTACAAAACAACAACTCCTTTCCTTCCTAGGCATGGTTAGTGTGGTCACAATTCTTACACAAGAGCCAGGACCGCACCCTGTAGCCTTTCTGTGCAAACAACTTGACCTTACTGTTCTAGCCTAGCCATCATGTCTCCGTGCAGCGTGCTGCCGCCCTAATACTTTTAGAGGCCCTCAAAATCACAAACTATGCCCAACTGACTCTCTACATTTCTCATAACTTCCAAAATCTATTCTCTTCCTCATACCTGATGCATATACTTTCTGCTCCCCGGCTCCTTCAGCTGTACTCACTCTTTGTTAAGTCCCACAATTACCATTGTTCCTGGCCCGGACTTCAATCCGGCCTCCCACATTATTCCTGATACCACACCTGACCCCCATGACTGTATCTCTCTGATCCACCTGACATTCAACCCATTTCCACATATTTCCTTCTTTCCTGTTCCTCACCCTGATCACGCTTGATTTATTGATGGCAGTTCCATCAGGCCTAATCACCACACACCAGCAAAGGCAGGATATGCTATAGTACAAGCCACTAGCCCGCCTCTTAGAAACTCTCATTTCCTTTCCATCGTGGAAATCTATCCTCAAGGAAATAACTTCTCAGTGTTCCATCTGCTATTCTACTACTCATCATAGATTATTCAGGCCCCCTCCCTTCCCTACACATCAAGCTTGAGGATTTGCCCCCACCTAGGACTGGCAAATTAGCTTTACTCAACATGCCCCGAGTCAGATAACTAAAATACCTCTTAGTCTAGGTAGACACTTTCACTGGATAGGTACAGGCCTTTCCTACAGGGTCTGAGAAGGCCACTGCAGTCATTTCTTCCCTTCTGTCAGACATAATTCCTCAGTTTAGCCTTCCCACCTCTATACAGTCTGATAACAGACCAGCCTTTATTAGTCAAGTCAGCCAAGCAGTTTTTCAGGCTCTCAGTGTTCAGTGAAACCTTTATATCCCTTATGGTCATCCATCTTCAAGAAAAGTAGAACGTACTGAAGGTCTTTTAAAAACACACCTCACCAAACTCAGCCACCAACTTAAAAAGGACTGGACAATACTTTTGCCACTTTCCCTTCTCAGAAGTCAGACCTGTCCTCAGAATGCTACAAGGTACAGCCCATTTAAGCTCCTGTATAGACGTTCCTTTTTATTAGGCCCCAGTCTCATTCCAGACACCAGACCAACTTAGACTGTGCCCCCAAAAACCTGGTCATCCCTACTATCTTTTGTCTAGTCGTACTCCTATTCACCATTCTCAACTACTCATACATGCCCTGCTCTTGTTTACACTGCCAGTTTACACTGTTTCTCCAAGCCATCACAGCTGATATCTCCTCCTGCTATCCCCAAACTGCCATTCTTAACTCTTGAAGTAAATAAATAATCTTTGCTGGCAGGACTATGCTGAATCTCCTTAGGCACTCTCTAATCAGATGTCTTAGGTCCTCCCAATTCTTAGACATTTTATACCTGTTTTTCTCCTTCTCTTATTCCACTTAGTTTTTCAATTCATACAAAACCGTATCCAGGCCATCACCAATCATTCTATACGACAAATGTTTCTTCTAACATCCCCACAATATCACCCCTTACCACAAGACCTCCCTTCAGCTTAATCTCTCCCACTGTAGGTTCCCACGCCACCCCTAATCCCGCTTGAAGCAGCCCTGAGAAACATCGCCCATTCTCTCTCCATACCACCGCCCAAAAATTTTCGCCACCCCAACACTTCAACACTATTTTGTTTTATTTTTCTTATTAATATAAGAAGGCAGGAATGTCAGGCCTCTGAGCCCAAGCCATCGCATCCCCTGTGACTTGCACTTATACATCCAGATGGCCTGAAGTAACTGAAGATCCACAAAAAAAGTAAAAATAGCCTTAACTGATGACATTCCACCATTGTGATTTGTTTCTGCCCCACCCTAACTTATCAATGTACTTTGAAATCTCCCCCACCCTTAAGAAGATACTTTGTAATCTACCCCACCCTTAAGAAGGTTCTTTGTAATTCTCCCCACCCTTGACAATTTACTTTGTGAGATCCACCCCTGCCCACAAAACATTGCTCTTAACTTCACCGCCTATCCCAAAACCTATAAGAACTAATGGTTCTTTGGTTTTGAACCAAAGAATCACGCTTTGCTGACTCTTTTCGGACTCACAGCACCTGCACCCAGGTGAAATAAACAGCCATGTTGCTCATAAAAAAAAAAAAAATGATCTTCAAAGTCAGTTCTTGACAGATCTTGCACCTTGATTTCACCTAAAACTCTCATTGTGTCATTTAGATTAGAAGAGATGAAGCATCAATGTGTCCTACGAACTCTCTGCACATTTTCTATGGCCCAGAATTGTGCAAACTTTGTAGCTATTTCTGTGAGTGGTGTTGGTAGAATGTGGATGTATGCGTGTATGTAGGAAGGAAAAGTTTAGGAATGATGGAGCCCCTGAACTTTGTCTTCTCCTTCCTTTCCTGAACATCATGATGTCAAAAACGTGTATGGGTGGGTCAAGGCTGGAAAGTCCACTTGACTAAAAGCTATGCATTCCATATCCTCAGCATTCCCAACAATGCATTACAGTATCTGACTTCCCTTCAGAATTCTTCAAAAATATTTTTTGATATGTGCAGCACATAGATAGTAATGATTTATTACTCCCTTCTTAGCCCTTACCTGTTTATTTTCTCTTATATTCAAAGTATGCAGAAGAGTGAACACAATTTGAATTTCTATCTTGTGTTGCAAAAATCTAGCATCTATCAAAACACAGTAGAAGTCTAATTAGACCCCAGATGCTTCTAACATCTGATTAACCCTCATATTATCAGTGTCACATACAATTGAGTATTAAACATTTTGTCAGAATATTTGAAGTCTCCAAAACTTTTATACTCTTTTTTTTAGTAAAACTTGATGACAGATTTGCTTCTAAGACGTCTGTAGACTCCAAGAAAGTACTTTAGGGGAGAAGGAGAAAACGGCAGCAGCAATTCCTTCCTCAGTTGACATCCTAAAATTGGCCATGACCACCGACTATTCCCTGCAAAATTTCACAGGCGTAAGGCATGGAAATTTCCAAAGCCTCTAGTTAATCCTGCATGAGGATAAGATGGAGTTTTGAAAATCAACTTAAAGGGAAAACCAAGAACAGGGCTCACATGGGTCAGCACTTAGGTGACACTAGCAGAGTTGGTGGATCATGGGCATTGGAAAAAAGCTTAATATTTTTCAAGGAAAGCATTCCAAGACATAGGGCCAGCATAAGAGTTCTACTTGCTAGTAGAAAAGGGTCGTACTGCTTAGTGAAAATATTAGTTAGCCTTATCAAAATTCCCATGGGTCTGTTAGAAATGGATGAAGCAAACTACAAGCTCCACTGTGTAGAAGAAGACTCTTTGCCTAAGAGTTTAGATAGACACCTAGAGCACAACATTCATATCAATACTGAGTTTTTGTAATTGCAAAAGATGATCCCTGGCTATATTTCCAGACACAGGGCATGGAAAAACCCTAAATAGCTTTGCATACAAAAGGAAGGGTTTTTTTTTTCTCTCCTGCCCTGAAAATGGCCACTTGAAATAGAGAGTAAGAGAAGGTCAAGCAAGAAAATGAAATAACTAAAGTGTGTTTAAAACAAGGATTTAAATGTATTCTGCAGTGATATGAAGAGTCAGGAAAGTAAAACCCCTTCTGTTTCCCTAAACATTTATATTAGTCAGGGTTTTCTAAAGGGACAGGATTAATAGGATAAATGTATATATAAAGAGGGGAGCTTATTAAGAAGTATTGACTCACAGGATCACAAGGTGAAGTCCCACAATAGGCTGTCTGCAAGCTGTGGAGCAAGAAACCCAGTCTGAGTGCCAAAACCGCAGAAGTAGGAAAGCCAACAGTGCAACCTTCAGTCTGCGGCTGGAGGTTCTAAAACCCCTGGCAAACGACTCGTGTAACTCCAAGAGTCCAAAAGCTGAGAACTTGGAGTCCGATGTTCAAGGGCAGGAAGCAGCCAGCACAGAAGAAAGATAAAGGCCAGAAGATTCAGACAGTCTAGTCCTTTCATGTTCCTCTCCCTGCTTATATCCTAGCCATGGTGGCAGCTGATTAGATGGTGTCCACTCAGATTGAGAGTGGGTCTGCCTCTCCCAGTTCACTGACTCAAATGTTAATCTCCTTCAGCAACACCCTCACAGACACATCCAGGAACAATACTTTGCATCCTTCAATCCAATCAAGTTGACACTCAATATTAACCATCACAACATTCAAGAAAGTATACAATACAGGCAAAAATGTGTGGGTATTTATGATATATTTACATATGAGTATATGAAAAATCTCACAAAGAAGTTTAGCTTTATTTGGAAAAAAATAAAAGAATAGCCATCAAATGTAATGCAGAGAACAAGAGTTCAACAGAGGTAGGAAGTCCAAGATGAAAGAGTCCACGAAACTTCTGGAGGTTTTTTGGGATTCTCAGAAACAGTTGGGGTTTTTAGTTTGTTTGTTTGTCTTTTTTTAAATTAATATAACAGTGAAAGGGAGGTTATAGTCATACTTATTTAGTTAGCTCTTAATGGGGCGCTAACAACCAGACTTCAAGTGTATCTTGAAGGCCCTCCTTAGGTCCTAGTTATCATTTAAATCTGATCTGGCACGCAAATTAGGATTGCCAGATAAAATCCTGAAAGCTCAGTTAAATTCAAATTTCAAATTTAAAAATAAATTCTTTGTGTGTCACAAATGATATATAGGCCATAGCAATACTAAAAATTTATTCATTGCTCTGTACTCCCAGCACTTTGGGAAGCAGAGGCGAGTGGATCACTTGAGATCAGGAGCTTGAGACCAGCCTGGCCAACATGGTGAAACCCCATCTCTACTAAAAATACAAAAATTAGCTGGGCATGGTGGCACAAGCCTGTAATCCCAGCTACTTGGGAGGCTGAGGCAAGAGAATTACTTGAACCTGGGAGACAGAGGTTGCAGTGAGCCAAGATCACACCACTGTACTCCAGGCTGGGTGAAAGAGCAAGACTCTGTCAAAAAAATATATATATACATATATATATTATTAATTGCTTATCTGAAATTCAAATTTAATTGGGTATTCTGTATTTTATTTTATTTGTTCAATCTGACAGCTATAACATAGATACAATTTTTCTTTTTGTTTACTTAAGCTTAATTTCTGCTTGCTCAATCTGTCTCGCATTAGTCTTCATTATCACTGTACTTATTCAAATGGAGTCACTTTGTCTTATCCATCAACTTGATATCATCTATCTGTGAGTGATTTCTATTATTGGATGTCTTTTAATGTGCTAGCTAACTTAGAGTTGCCTTCTGCCTCTGATGAACTCAATATATACAGGTTCCTCTTCATTAGGGAATAACATTTTGACATAAACAGACATAAATACTATTCCAATCTCCACAGATGAAACTAGACATTCTAATTATGGTAGTTGCTGTGGATACCTTTTAAGGCATATTTCCATTTAACAAATGCATCATAGATTAGTCAGTATTCTAGGTAATGGTAATAGAAAATTTAAAAATAAGACAGGATTCTTGTCCTTAAAGTTCTCACACTGCATTTGGGAAAAATGTGAATAAATGAGTAATTTCAATATTAATTGCAAGAGATAGGAGGTATGCACAAGAAGTGGCGGATAGAGGCCAAGGAGGTGGATCACTTAAGGTTAGGAGTTCAAGACCAGCCTGGCCAACATGGTGAAACCCTGTCTCTTCTAAAAATACAAGAATTAGACAGGCATGGTGGTGCATGCCTGTAATCCCAGCTACTTGGGAGGCTGAGGCAGGAGAATTGTTTGAACCCAGGTGGCAGAGGTTGCAGTGAGCCAAGACTGTACTACTGGACTTTTTCCTGGGTGACAGAGCAAAAATCTGTCTCAAAAAAAAAATGGGGGGGGGAGAAATTACAATATTTGATATTAATACTTAAAAGAATATCATACAAATTTTAGCCTTTGTGCTTGAATAAACAATTAGATCAATGGAGCATATACAAAAATTTTATTCCTACTAGTAGACTTTAGAGATCAGAAGGAAAAAATGACTGATTCAGTAAGTAGTACTGATACATCTGATTATCCATATGGAAATCAAAGTTGATTCCTGTATCACATCATTTTTAAAAAATCAAATTCAGGTAGAATGAAGACTTACATATTAAAAACAATGGTATAACCCTTTTAGAAACCAATCAACGAAATTATTTCTGATTTTGAACTAGGCAATATTTCTTCAAAAAGACACAAAGTAATGTGTTCATTTGAAGACACTAAACTGGGCGTAAAAAGTCAAGCCACAAACTGACAAACCACAACCCAAGCAATTGACAATGGATCAATATTGAGATACGTGAATAAGTAAGTGCTACAGATCAATAATACAATATTATCAATACTATAGAAAAAATGAACAAAATGGGCCAGTGCAGTGGCTCACTCCTGTAATCCCAGCACTGTGGGAGGCCAAGGCAGGTGAATCACTAGGTCAGGAGTTCAAGACCAGCCTGGCCAAGATGGTGAAACTCCATCTCTACTGAAAATACAAAAATCAGCCAGGCATGGTAGTGGGTGCCTGTAATCCCAGCTACTTGGGAGGCTGAGGCAAAAGAATCACTTGAACCCAGGAGGTGGAGGTTGCAGTGAGCCAAGATCACGCCACTGTACTCCAGCCTAGGCAACAAAGAAAGACGCCATCTCAAGAAAAAAAAAAAGAAGAAAAATGAACAAAATATATAAGAAGTCAATTCAGAGAAGAATAACAAATAATGGCCAAAAAAAACCCTATTAAAAGGATAGCAAATATCATTATTAAAAAATCAAAGAAATATACAATTTTAAAAAGGAATATTTTCTAGAACAGTAAAAATTAAAAGGTTTGAGAACACCAAATGTTGTATGTACATGCAGTAAGTCTCTTCACATGGGGCTTCTTAAACTGCAAGTTGGCACTATTATTTTTGAAAGTCTTTTGGCAATATGTAATAAAGTTTCACATGCAAAAACAAAACAATCCAATAATTCCACTTCAAGGTACACACTCTGAAGAAACTCTTAACACATGTGAACCAGGAAACAGGTCCAAAAATTTTAAAGTTGCAATGTTCATTGCTGCTTTGTCATTTTAAAAATCTAGAAAAAAATATCAATTGACAGTAAAACAGATGGGTACGCTGTACATGGATTGAATTGAATGCAAAGCAGTGAAAATGAATGAAATACAGTTGCACAATCCACCAGGGATTAATCTCAATATATTATTTTAAAAAGTATTTTTATTATGAAGTTAATAAAATACATATTATATAATTTTATTAACATGCAGTCCAAAACAAATATATGATAGTAGTTATCTTAAGAAAGAAAGAGAGGTATACAATTAGAAAGTAAAATCCAGAAAGCATTCAATGAACAGGCAATATTTTATTTTAAATCTGAGTAGCCCATTCATAAATGTTTGTTTCACTTTTGAACTGTTAATATATTATATGTATTATTCTTATAATGCTTTTTTTGTGTAAAACCTGTAATTCATGCCTCAGTTGCTATGTTGGTAATGTCTTAGATGGAAATCTTGGCACTCACTATAATATTCTAGACATTCCGCTTGATAATTATTATCACACATTTGAGATCTATTTGTTCCTGGCTTCCATCATGACTAACCAAACAACTTCCTTGGTGCCCGGATTTAGAAATACTGTGAATTGTTCACTAGTTGTATTGGTTTCTGATCACAGAAGTTTCTTCCAGTATCTGGTGTTATCACTGCTGCTTAGCCAGCTCCTTAGTAGCCCAACTTCAGGCTAATTATTGCCCAGGCAATAGGTTTGTGGCTTGCATTTTTTAGATCATAACATTATATTTTTCCTATAAACTGTCATATCTGCCTGGATGACATATCTGTTTACCTGTAACCAATTATACTTTGTCCAGAAGTTACTTTTCCTTCATCAAAAGGTTTTGTTTGTTTCCTGCATGCCTGACACTGTTGTCAATTGTAGAAATCACAGTATTCCTTTCATTTCATCCAGCCTTGTTAAAGTTTTGGGAGGAGTTTGAATTTACACTGTGTTTCCAGTCCCTAAAAGATCTTTCACATATATCATGCAGTTTCCTACCATAAGCGCTAATAACTTTAATTAATCTGCCAGTGTTCTTTCTCCAACTAAGGCCAGTTTAGTGACAATGTAATGCATTTCCTCATTGAACCTGACTATAGTTCAATACATACTTTTTTTAAAAATTGATGAATGTTGTTTGCTTGTTTGTTTGTTTGTTTCCTCAGTGCAAAACCTCCTTATCTCTTTCAGCTAAAGGTGGGGAGATTTCTATCTAATAGTAATATTTGAAGGCAATCAGGATTTTGCATCAGAAGAGAAAGCCATTAAGAATGGATTTTTGGGCCGGGCGCTGTGGCTCACGCCTGTAATCCCAGCACTTTGGGAGGCGGAGGCGGGCAGATCAAGAGGTCAGGAGATAGAGATGGTGAAACCCTGTCTCTACTAAAAATACATAAAATTAGCCGGGCGTGGTGGCGGGCGCCTGTAGTCCCAGCTACTCAGAAGGCTGAGGCAGGAGAATGGCGTGAACCCGGGAGGCAGAGCTTGCAGTGAGCCGAGATCTCGCCGCTGCACTCCATCCTGGGCAACAGAGTGAGACTCCGTCTCGAAAAAAAAAAAACAATGGATTTTTGTAAGTTAGGTTCAACATTTTTTTGGTCTTATAAAAAGACTTGTTAAGTCAGAACGAGAGGAGTAAGGGCCTCTCCCATTCAAATTTCACCTCTTGGCGAAAGATGCTCTGTTTTTTGGCCCTTCTCAAGAGAAGTCCTTGTAGAGGTAGTGACTTTGACAACTAGTTTCTACTAAGCTATAGAAACCCACAGGCTTAATCCATAATACATTCCCCACCCTTCATCCTGCTCTTCTGCAAATCATTCGTCAACATGTATTGTTGCTTATTATTCACTAAGATCTTATTTGTGATGTAGTGAAAATATAGATACAACAAAATGACAGGTAAATTAAATTGGAGAGCAGAAACATACACACATATACAGAATCGCAAATACACAGCCACACTGCAACTATCACCATGAATCATGAACACTGCTACCATCACCAACAACCAGTAATCCTAAATTGGAGTAATGAAAGGGAATAAATCTAGAAAGATATCTCATTTCCAAAACTGTGTGAAAGTGATTAGATGTTTTAAAATAATAGGTTTGTTTTAATTAATATAGCTACTACACTGACTCTCATAATTAGTTGATATTTTCAAGAACAAGACAATATAAAATATGATTTTTGTGTTGCTATGCAGGAGAATATAATCAATTTGCAAGTAGAGAATGTAACAGAATTACATGCACAAAGGGCTGCTTTTTTTTTTTTCCTGTTGCGTACTCAGAATAAATGCTATTTGTTAAGGTTAACAAAGCTCACACAAAAGCTGTTTCAATCCAGGGTTTAACAGTGTAAATTTGGAGGCATTACCTTGCGGATTTACCTTACATCCCTGGGTTGAATGTCTTTGTGACTGGCTTTGATCAAAACTATACTAGAGGCAAATCCTCCCCTGCCTAATGAGTATCAGGTCAATGTGAAGCAGGGTATTGCTAAATCTACAAAGATACTGACTAAATCTAGGCTCAACAAGATAAAATGTTTATATTATTATCATTTTTAATTTTGATGCATGAGCAGCTCAAAACTAGTTGTATACTCATATTATTAAACATTACTGTAACATAAGGGTCAACCGATTTTCTCAAAGCTAAATTATTCAGAAAACAAAAAACGTACTAGAAAGAGCATGGGCTTGAAATTTAAACAGACTGATTGTGTTCAAACTCTTTTTACAACCTACCATTTGTGTGATTTGAAGTGATGTACTTAGATTTTCTATGTGTGTTTCCTAAGCTTTAAAATGAGAACAACATTATTTACATCAGAAATTTGTAAACTTTTTCATGTATGGCACATGAGATTAAACATGGGGCAATTTGTGGGTATTTATGTGGAGCTCGGCAAAATGTAATCTTTATATTATATATTTATTAGAAAAATACAATTCAAGTCTTGGGTAAAATACTGTATTAGTTTGTATAATACTTCCAAATAGTTTCATGAGCAGCTTGAGCTTGATCCATGAACATAACATTTTGGAGGTTTTTAAAACATCAGGTCTTAAGTTTGCTTACATGTTTATAATAATCCTTTCAAAATATTGTTAGTTGTCAGCAATATGTAACTCTGCATAAGTGCATAAGAAATATAAAGCATTGGCCGGGCGTGGAGGCTCATGCCTGTAATCCCAGCACTTTGGGAGGCCAAAGCGGGCAGATCACAAGGTCAAGAGATTGAGACCATCCTGGAGAACATGGTAAAACCCCATCTCTACTAAAAATACACAAATTAGCTGGGAGTGGTGGCATGTGCCTGTAGACTCAGCTACTCGGGAGGCTGAGGCAGGAGAATCACTTGAACCTGGGAAGCGGAGGTTGCAGTGAGCCAAGATCACACCACTGCACTCCAGCCTGGTGACAGAGCAAGACTTTGTCAAAAAAAGAAAAGAAGAAGGAAAGACATACAAAGCATTTTAGAACCATGCAAAATTGTTCAATTGAATTATATTTACAGTTGAATAACTTATTTTATTAATAAATATTAAATGTACTGTTATAATGTGAATGTATTTTAAATGTAACTGAATTTTTCATATAAATGATTTCACAGTAAAATGAAGCCTTTATTTGCAAAGTTTTGTATACTTTCTGAGAAATTAACTCTGGGGTGAGTTCAAATAGCACTATTAGTTCCAGTTTTCTATTGCTACATAAAAAGCCACCCTTAATTTTACAACTTAAAGCAATAATATTAATTTAGTTTTCTCGCAAACTTGCAATTTGGGTAGGGTTCAGCAAGGATGGCTTATTCCCCTCCCCTCAGCCCCACCCCAGTGGTATCAGCTACAATAGCTTAAGTGCAACTAAAGGATCCATTTTCAAGAAGACCATTTACATGGCTGACACCTTAATACTGGCTGCTGGCTGGAAGCTCATCCAGGTGCTGTCAGCCAGGGGCCTTAGTTTACATCTATGTAGTCATCTTCATAGAGATCCTCAGGCTTCTCTCACAATGATGACTGGGTTCCAAGAGCTACAATTCCAAAAGACAGGAAAGTGGAGACTGCTAGTTTTTTATTACCTGGGCTCAGACACTAGGCATCACTTCTGTTTCATTCTGTTGATGAAACAGTCACAAATTCACCCAGATTCAAGAGGAGAGAGCACAGACTGCCACCATTTTCTATCCACTACAATATTCAACGATAGAGTTTGGAGGTGCCACCCATAGTCATGTGTATCATGAGACAGTTTGCCTGTTTGTTATGCTCTACAGATCCCTGAAACCCAACCCCCTTCAGCAGCATCACCAGTTCCTTGTGGGTAATGGGCAGTAGTGAATTCTGAATCTATTACAATTGTTGAGTAGCTATCCAGGTAATAGAGCATTTTCTTGGCCAAGCCCAGGATATTAATGAGTATCAGCAAGTACCTGTTCTGCTCACTGTCTGTGAAGATCATGGAGTGTTCATCTGCCTGTGCGGTGCTCTGCTATCTATGGGGTACTTCTCATTGACAGACACATTTCCAGGAATTCTGACAAACTGAAAACCCTTCAAGTTTTCCTGAAAGTTGAGAAGTTCAACATCTTGTTGTACACCTGTCTTAGTCAGTTTGGGCTTATATAACAGAGTACCATAGACTGAGTGGCTTATAAACAACAGAAATATATTAGGTTTCTGCAAACATAATTGCAGTTTTTTATTAGGTTGATGCAAAAACCACAATTACGTTTGCACCAACTTAGTATTTCTCACAGTTCTGGAGACTCAAAGTCCAAGATCAGTAAACAGCAAGGCCAAGTTCTGGTGAGGGCCTCCTTCCAGATTGCACACTGACAACTTCTTGCTATAAGATCTCATATGGTAAAAAGAGGAAAAGAGGGGTTGAAAACTCTCTACAGTTGTTGTTGTTGCTGTTTTGGGTTTTTTTTTGTTTTTTTTTCAAGACAGAGTCTCACTTTGCCACCCCAAGCTGGAGAGCAGTGGCATGATCATAGCTCACTGCAGCCTAGAATTCCTGGGCTTAAGGAATCCTCCCACCTTAAGCTCCCAAGTAGCTGAGATTATAGGCACAAGCTACGTTGCCTGGCTCTTGGGATACCTTTTATAATCCCATTCATAAGGATTCCATCCTCATAAGCTAATTATTGGTAAAAAGCTTCACCTCCTAATTTTATCACAATGGGGGCTGGAATTTCAATGTATGCATTTCAGGGTGACAAAAAGTTTCAGTCCATAGCAACGCCTATAATCTATTGCAGCAAATCAGGTGTGAAACTTGTTTCCCTTCATAGAAGGATTAACCATGATGCATATAATATGAGCTAATAATAGGTATGTAAATAGTGGTTAAAAATGTGGACTCTGGGTTCAGACCATTAAAATTAAATTTCTGGTTTCATCTTTATCTAGTTGTTTGATGTTGTTGGTAAAATAGAGATTTAAAAAGATTTTACCTAGGGTTGTTATAAGGAACACATAGGATAAGGCATATAGTAGATAAAGTCCAGCACATAGTTGATATTATAATAAATTGCTCTAATTATAATAAATCTCATAATTCACATATCTGCAAGCCATGGGTAAACCCAAGGTTTTCAGTGGTGCTTACTTTTATAATCTTTTCAAAACAATCATTAATGGTGATTTACTCAATTTGATAGTTTTTTATTTTTAGACTTTTTGCCTTATACTTAATGTTCTGTAATTATTTTCCTCTCATTTACACTGCTTGAAACACCTCCTATTTCAATATTGCCTATGGTATGTGATAATTCACTTCAATTTCATACAGTAAAATATTAATGAAGAGGCCAAGGAAAAACAGACCACAGATTTGCTAGATCTGCAAATTAAGACTCCAAATTTATTACTATGTTTTCTTTATCATCTTGAAGCCAGCTTTCAATCTAATTGACTCAATTTTTATATAGGATCTAATTTTTACAAACAAAATTTTAGGAAACAGTATATAGTAAGAGAAAATTAAATTTCACAACTCAAAAGTTCATTTAATTGATTTTTAATGGTGTAAGTTAAGCTTTCCAAAGTGATAGATTTTTATTCAAAAAGCATAGTTAATCAGTATGTGGTGCCTCCCTGCCTTTCCCTCATATACTTCCATTAAGATTGGCACCCATCAGAGGATTGACATGAGATCAAAATATGTGGGGACGTCAGCCTTTTAGTGTGCTGAGTGTCAATGAGGGACAAGGCTGAGTGGAGAAAGGAGTGCAAGGAAAAGAGCAGAGACCAAGAAAATTGAAACAGTAATATTTTCTCAAGAAGGAACTAAGTGTGAGTTCTTAGAGTACTATAGGTATTTCCAACCCACTTGAGTTCAAATAATATTTAAGAAACAAAGGGAATCTGTTCTTGGGTGAGCAGAATAGATTATATATATGTAGAAGTAAAATCATCATGAGGCCATCATAGAAATCCAGTCGTTTGGGGAAATTTGCTAAGCATAACAATGGAGACAGAAGAAAAATTCAGATGCCCTGAAAATAGGGATTGACAAAAAGGGAGAGAGAATCAATAGACTTGGGTCAGATGGCTGAAGTTCTTCACAATATCTCATTCTCAAAATATCAGTAGTTTGCAAGGAGTAATCAGAGACAATTGTACCAAAGGCCTCTGTCAGAAGTGAATCTAATAGAGAAGACTGACCTATTTTCCCTGATTTCCTTTAGTTTCAGGGACCTATTTATTAATATCACTCAAGTTTATTATGGCTTTGTCAATTTTTCTTGGTTTATCTCCAACTTATGTTGTATTTATTGTGCACTAGTTTCAAAACTTTCTGTAGAACTTGAAAGGCCTTCTTTCATTATCTTCTTGCACCTAGTCTTGCAGCTCATAATTCATCTTTCCTCAGAACCCCGTAGGTAAACTTTTCTTCAGCGTCAGGTAGTAAATACACTAGGTTTGAATTTTTAGGGGTGGTTAAATGGTCTCTGTTACAAGTTCTCAATTCTGCCTTTGTAGTGCAAAAACAGCCACAGACAATAAGTAAATTCATGGGTGTGTCTGTGTCCTAGTGAAATTTTATTAACAGAAATATGTAGCCCATTATCTGTAGTTGTAGTTTACTGACCATTGCCTTTAGAAGGTAAACACACCCCTTCCCTGAAAAAGCTTTTATGATTTTTGTTTTGTTCAAATTCTTAGTTTTGCTGTTACTAGGATATGACTTCTTGCAGAATTTTTTTTCTTGTGTTAATCCTGAATGTCAAACTTTTTTTTCTTGTGTTAATCCTGAATGTCAAACAATAACTTTTTTCCAAAGACTGGAGCTTTTATTTTGGAAAATGTCCTTCTATTAGACTGATGATTTTCTCTGCCCATTCTCTCAATTCTGTTATTTTGTTATTATACTAACGAATAGTTGGAATTCTTGAACTAGCCATTATATCACATACCTTTTCTGTATACTTTTTCTCTGGTGATTATAAAAAAATTAAGTCCTTTCTTTTATCTCACTTATTTTAACTTTAATTGAGTCAAATCTGCTATTCACTTCTTTTTTCTAAATTAATATTTGGTGGGGTTCGTTTTCTCAGTAGTCAATTAAAATAATTCTGTTTTCTCTTTTTATTTCTTTGGGTGGGCTAATTTTCTGTTTGCTATTTCAGTTTCTTTGTGCTAGGCAGAATAAAATGCTTATTTTTAATTATTTATTATATATGTAATTTGTCATATAAGCAGAGTAGTATTTATCTCTGGCATGTATGGATGAGAATTTGAATGAGGAAGAATTTTTATTCACCATTTAGTGAAGTTCAGGTATTTGCTACAGAAAGCTTGCTCCTAATAATGAGGGTGCACATTGTGCAACTGGGGCGAGGTGTGTGGGGGGTGTATTTTTTTTTTTTTTTTTTTTTTTTTGAGACGAAGTCTCGCTCTATTGCCTAGGCTGGAGTGCAGTGGCACAATCTTGGCTCACTGCAAGCTCCGCCTCCCGGGTTCAGGCCATTCTCCTGCCTCAGCCTCCCAAGTAGCTGGGACTACAGGCGCTGGCCACCGCAGCCGGCTAATTTTTTGTATTTTTAGTAGAGATGGGGTTTCACCATGTTAGCTAGGATGGTCTCGATCTCCTGACCTCGTGATCCGCCCACCTCAGCCTCCTAAAGTGCTGGAATTACAGGCATGAGCCACCGGGCCCGGCCGGGTGATAGAAAATCCTTTCCCTCTTGGCAGTCCTAAATTACTTGGTATTCTATTGTGTTTTTCTTTCCCAAGTGACCAATCTAGGTATAGCCTATGTTAAAATTCTCACTGCAGAGAGCCATACTTGTAGTTTAAACTCAAATCCCATTAAAAAAATAACAAGAGCAAACACTAATACTGCACTTAATATATTTCAGGTGCCATTCTAAGTACTTTCCATTTATTAACATTTTTAATACTCACAACTCCATATGAACAATTATCTCTTATATACCAATGGATAAATTGAAATTTGCTAGATTATAAAATTTGCCCAAGTTTACATAGATAACAAGTGGAAGATGTGGTACTTAATCCCGTAGTTTGACTCCCAAGTCAGTGTTTTTAACCACCACCATACTATTTTAGCTACTAGGTGAGCAATGCCCAAGTTATTCTCTCAGATTGTCAAGCAATGGTTGGTCTAATCTCGTCCTTGACAAATGGCCCAGTCCTTCTCTGATACTTGCTTGACTTGATCTTGTGATTCCAAAATTCTTTTGGGAAATTTTTGTTGTTTTAGATGTCTGCCTTTTTGCCTGTGTAGAATTAATTCCTCAGTTCTAATGAGTTTTGCTATTAATTTATGCAAATCATATTTATCTGAAATTCTTCAGTATTCCATTCTCCTTCTAGCTTATTCTTATCCTTCCAATGTTTCTATGTTTTATGCTTATTTTTAAAAATACTTATTCTACTATTTTAATGAGATCTAGGATGAAAGGAGATGTAAAAAAACAGTGATCTTGAGTCAGAAAATTCCCCGTGAGCTTTACAAAAATGTGATCAATTCCTGAAAAAATTGCATTGGAATTTTGATAGAAGCCTCTACTAATTACATATTTACTTAAGGATATATGTCACTATCTAAAAATTTTTCTTTATTTCTTTAAAATAGTGTGTGTGTTTGTGTGCATGAATTTGTCTGGATGTCCGGTGTTCTACATTTCTTAGTGAAGTTATTTCAGTATTGTCATGAAATATATCTCTGACTTATTTTTTTAAACAGAAAGCATGAAATTATACTCTGAATATATATTCTTAAGTCTTCCATTTAGCTAATATTATTGAGCATCTACTTGTTCCTGCTAAAGGTGCTGGATATATAACAGTGAAAATGAAAAAGATATTTACTGTTATAATGTAGCTTACTTCTAGTGGGAAAAATCTATAGCCCATGTTTATTAAAAATAAAGAAATTATCAACTATGCACATACAAATACGTAGATTAAACAAATTTAAAACATCCAATACTTTAGAAAGCCTAGAGAAATAAAACATTTCCTCATTAACTGAAAATCAATTCCAGATTAGCACTTTCAAAATTAATGTAACCTTGATATTTTCTTACATGCCTGGGGAATGGAGCTTTCCTGTAGGTATTCTGGTGATTAGAGTTAGAAGGTGAATTCAAATCAACAGCTACTTATTGATTAACTATGTGTAGTCAGCACCATGTACACAAAACCATTCTAGTGAATACATTAAAAATCAGACAAGGAATATACACACCTAAAACACTTATCAATACCAGACTATAAATTACTAAGATGCAAATGAGAGGTATTGATGAGTTCTCACAGGAGTTCAGAAGACATATAATGTTTGTACAATAATATAATTATCGATAACATTACACTGAAGCAAATCTAATTTTTATGTAGCAATTCAGTAGGCATTCAGCATATTTTCTCTTCCTCAAGATCATATTATGAACATTAAAATAAGGCATAGCATATGGAAGCTAAAAAATACTAATTCATTGTGTATAATAAACCAAACTTAAACAGAACACTCTTTGCCAATGGCACATATATCTTCTCTTGTTTACTCACTCAAAAATGCAGTGTATTTCTCTATTTTTTATGTATGCATTATAAGATATTTTATCATGAAAATGCTGTGTTTTGCCAAAAAATGAAATGTACTTTTGTGTTATTTTGAAGCTTGTAATACCTACAAGATATCTTCTTAAATGGTCTATAATGATCTCTAGAACATAATATGTCATTATAAATGAAAAGATTTTATAAACATGTAAACATATAGTGATGGCACAGTATATAAACACAGCTTATATATTCACAAGCTATCTTATTAGAATAGTTTTTATGTTAGTGTTCACAAAACATAAAGATAGTTTTATGTTTAACTTTCAAAGCCTGTAATACTATCCCTTAGAGAAAGAGAAAATGAATGTGACTGTCAAGTGAAAGTATTACTATGAAATTATAGATTTTGTTACTATGAGACAATTTTCTGAATAATGACAGTGATATTTTATAGTTGACAGGAAAATTACTAATTAAAATATGACTATAGCCCTTTTTGAACTATTTATCTGACAGTATAAGACATTTTAACTTTGGGTACAATATGTAGTTAAATATTTTTTCAGTGCTATCAGTTTTCATTAGATGTGATAAGATAAGATAAGATCCTCTATAGTATATTCCTAAGATCAGTCATTATATCCTATTTAAGATTTGAAGGGGGAAAGGTAGTCAAAATAGGGATTAACTTAAGAGTCTAATACACAAATACTACAAGCCCTCATTTCCTTGTTTCAACTGTCTGCTAGATAAAGCAGGGAAGATATAGCATGAAAAGACAGAAATATTGATATGATAGTAGAATTATCTGGAATTAACAAGGTTCAGGAAAAAAGCCATTTTTTAAACATATGACTATCTTCCTCACTTGACTGAAGATCCCTGAAGGTAAGAACAAAATAGAAATAAACCTTGACACCATCTACAATTATTCATTGAGGTATGAGTATCCCCTATTATTTTTTCCAAATATTTATGAAACTGATAAATCGCATTGTTATTGTGGAAAAATATATATAAAACATGATGTAATTTTAGCCATTTGTAAATATACAATTTAGTTGCATTAAATTTATTCACAATGCTGTCAACCCACACTATTATCTATACCCCCAAATGTTTTATCATCCCCAACTCACCAATAGCTCTCAATTTCATCTTAGTAATTTATAGTCTGGTATTGATAAGTGTTTTAGGTGTGTATATTCCTTTTCTGATTTTTAATGTATTCACTAGAATGGTTTGGTGTATAAACCCTGTACCCATTAAACAATAACTCTGTACCCGTTAAACAATAACTCTCCCTTCTCCCCTCAACAACCCCTTCAACCCTTAGTAATTTATAGTCTCCCTTCTGTTTCTATGAATTTGTTTATTCTAAGTATCTGACAAACATGGAACCATACAATATTTATCTTCTGTATCTGGCTTATTTTACTAAGCAAAATTCTTTCAAGGTTTATCCATGTTGAAGCTTATATCAAAATTGTATTCTTTCCATGACATTAGCAATGTGGTGAAGTAGGCTACCCCAACCTTTGTCTCCCCGTAGAAACAACAATTAGACAGCTATCTTTGGATGAAAATAGATCTGGATGAGTTCAGTTCAGATAAAAAGCTGCAGCAACACATTGAAGGAAAAAAAATAACTACACAGAAAAAATAGGGGAAAGAGTTTTTTTGCCTGCATCGTCCTATCCTCCAGCCTGGGACAGTTCAGCCTCGAAAAGAAACTCTCAGCCCATGATTTTCCCTCATGGTGAAAAAGAAAGTAGGGCAAATGACTAGCTGCCCTGGCCTTTTGGGTCACTGCTTGAAGGGTCCATTTTGGTTGTATACCAACCAGACTACCAGAAAGATCAATATAGATGAGATGTCTGGAGAAGCTGAAAACAAAGAAAAAGGGCAGGGCCAAACAGTTTCAGCCATGCAGCAAGTGATACTATGGTCCCCAGTGGCCTGCAGGAAGACTCTAGCAGTTGTTGCTGCTGAGGAGCTCAGTAGCCATCAAAGTTGCTGTGGAAACACTTCACCACCCTGGGCCAGAACCAGCACCCACTCGTCTATCCCCCTGCAAAAACATGCACATTCAAACTCCAGCATTGCTGTTACTCTACTCCCTTCTGTGTTTAGGATCCTGTCTCTGCACCCACTCTATGTATGCCCACATCTGACAGGAGCACCACAGGTGGCAAGCCCACACCATAGTCTCTGGCCATGGTCACTCTGTTAATGCTCATGCTTCCGACCCTAATTCTGCAACCATTCTGGGCAATTTTGTGCCTCACACACTGGCATCACTGCCACCAAAAGCACACTCAAATGCTGGAACCAGCACCATAATGAATTCCCTCAGCCATAAATTCACCCTGTGGAGGTAAAATAAAACAAGAGAACTGCAACAGCCTTCACCATTAAGGACCTCAAAATTCCTAGCTATGTCAGGAGAGTAAAAGAATGCCCACAGCCTTGGCTAATGAGATCTCCCTGAGTCTATGCTGACACTGACCTCAGCTGATGGAGCTGCATGGAAACTAGGCTACCACACACTTTTTAGCCAGTGCCCTTGTACCCACCAATAGGTGAATAGCTTCCAACACACACACACACACACACACACACACACACACAGAGAGAAGTATGTAAAGTGAGGAAGAGGTGACTATTCCCTAAAATAGGAAGACATCAATGCAAGGTTATAATAAACAAAAAAAGTAAAAAAACACGACACCACCAAAGAAACACAATAATTTTTTAGTAACTGACCACCCCAAAAATGGAGCTTTATCAATTCCCTGACCAAGAATTCAAAAAAATATTAGGAAAGCTCAGTGAGCTACAAGAGAATAAAGAAAATCAACTAAACAAAATCAGGGAAACAATGCATGAACAAAATTAGAAGTTATATAATAAGAAACAATTTTAAAAGACACAGAAATTCTGGAGCAGAAAATTTCAATAGAGAGCCCCAACAGAAAACTCAGTCATGCAGATGAAAGAATCAGTTAACTTGAAGAGAGATCTCTTAAAATTATCCAGTTAGAGGAATGAAAAGAAGAAAAAAATGAAAATAAGTGAAGAAAGCCTATATAACTTATGGGATACCATTAAGTGAAACAATTTACATATAAATGAAATTCCCAGAAAGAGTGGAGAAAAAGAAAGGAGCCAAAACTAATTTTTTTTAAATGATGGAAAATTCCTCAAAGTGTGCAGAGAAACAGGCATCCAAATCCATTATGCCCATAAACCCCAAATAAGCTGAACATCAAGTGATCTTCAGAGATACATTATGGCCAACTTGTCTAAAGTCAAGGACAAAAAGGAAATGTTGAAAGGGACTAAAAAAGCATAACATCACATATAAGAGAATCTCTATAAGACTGTTGGTAGATTTCTCAACAGAAACCTCACAAACCAGCAGAAAATAAGATGACATATTCAGAGTACTGAAATAAAAAATTGCCATTCGAGAATATCAGGAAATATGTCCTTCAGAAAGAAAGGAGAGATAAAAACTTTCCCAAGCTAAAACTGAGGGAGTTCAACACTGCTAAACATGCTTTACAAGACATGCTTAAATAAATTCTTCAAATTGAAATAAACCCATACTAAACAACAATACAAAAGCATATGAAAGCATAAATTTTACTGGGGAAGGTAACTATATAACCATATACAGCTCATTCTTACGCATTAATGGTGATGCATAATTTATTTTAATTCTAATATAGAAGTTAAAAGATGAGAATTTTTTAATGCATACACAATATTAATAAAAGCAAATCATGACTACAATAACACAAAGCTGAAGGAGAAAGTAAAACTGTAGTTTTAACTTCATTCTTAACTGAGGTTAAGTTGTTACCAACTTAAAATAGAAGGCTTAACTATAAGATACAACTTATAGTATCTCAGAATAAGATACAGTATACAAACATTAAGCCAACCACAAAGAAAAATCTGTAATAGATATACAAAAGATAAAGAGAAAATAATCAAAGTAAAATGTTAAATAATTATTAAATAACAAAATAAGACAGCAAGAGAAGAAAAAGAATAGAGAAACAAATGAAAAATAGATCGAAAAGAATGAACAAAATGGCAATAGTAAGGCCAAACTTACCAATAATCACCTTACATGAAAATGAACTAAACTCTCCAATCAAAAGGCCTAGAGGGGTTATACAGAAAAAAAATTCACAGATATGTGTACAATAGGCTCACTTTAGACTTAAAGACACACATAGGCTGCAAGTGAAGGAATAGAAAAATATATTCCATGCAATAGATAATGAAAAGAAAGCAGGTGTGACTACACTTATATCAGATAAAATATAGTTTAATTCTAAACCTGTCTCTAAAGACAAAGAAAAACATTATATAGTGATAAAAGATTAATTCAACAGGGAGATACAACAATCATAAATATATATGCCCCCAATATCAAAGCATGCAAATATGTGAAGAAAATATTAACAGATCTGATGACAGAAATTGACAGCAATATAATAACAGCAGGGGACTTTTGATATTCCACTTACAATAATGAATAGAACATTTAGACAAAAAACCAAGAAAGATACAACAGACTTCTACAATGTGTAGACCAATGGAACTAACACACTCAAACAGAACTTTCCAACAAACAGCATAAGAATACACATTCTTCTCAAGAACACATGGAATATTCCCCAGTATAGATCACTTATAAGGTCACAAAATAAACCTTAACAAATTTAAGGATATTGAAATCATTCCAAGTATTTTTTCTTGACCACAATAGAATGAAACTTAAAACGAATAACAGGAAGAAAACTGGAAAATTCACAAATACTTGTAAACTAAACACATAGTTTGAACAATCATTGGGTCAAAGAGGAAATCAAAATAGAATTAAAAATGACAATACAACATACCAAAACCTATGAGATAAAGCAAAAGCAGTAATAAAAGTACAAGAGTAATATGAGAAAAGTTTACAGTGATAAACACTTACTTTATAAAAGAAAAAAGACCTCAAATAAACACTTTAACTTAACATCACAAATAACTAGAAAAATAACAACAAACTAACCTAATGTCATGGGGGGGTGGGGGAAAGGAAACAATCAAGAGTAGATCACAAATAAGTACAATAGAGATTTTATGAAAATAGAAAAGAAGAAACAATTCCAGAGCTGGTGTTTAGAAAAAATAAGCCCTTTGTTAGACTAAGAGAAAATGAGAGAGGACTCAGATAATAAAATCCAGACATGAAAGAGAAGACACTACAATCTATGTCTCAGGAATAAAAATGATCATAAAGGAATATTATGAATAATCATATCCCAACAAGTTGCATAACTTAGAATAAATGAATAAATTCCTAGGGCTATATAACCTAACAAAATAAAATCAAGATGAAATAAAAAGCAGGAACAGATAAAAAAATTAAGAAGATTAAAGCAATAGTCAAGTATCTCCTAACAAATAAAAACCCAAGACTAGATGGCTTTATAGATGAATTCTAACAAACATCAAAGAGGAATTAACACCAAACCTTCTTAAATTTTTCCCAAAAATAGGAAATGATCAAAAACTTCCAAACTTATGAGTTCAGAATCACCCTCATACCAAAATAAGACAAACATTACAAGAAAAGAAAACCACAATATATTTCTAATAAACATAAAATAAAAGTACTAAATAATATACAAGCAAACCAAATTCTGCTAAATTCAGAGCATCACACACCATGACCAAGTGGGACTTATCCCTGGAATTCAAGGATTGTTCAACATACAAAAATCGATCAGTGTGATATAAAACATTAATAAAATTTTTAAAAAATGGCTATCTCAATAGATGCAGGAAACACATTTGATGAAATTCAACATCCATTCATGATTAAAACAATTAGCAAAATACAACTGTCCCTTAGTATCTGAGGGGAATTGGTTTTAGGACCTTCTGTGGATATAAAAATCCATGGTTTCTCAAGTCTCACGGTCGGCACTTGCAGAACTGCGGATACAAACATCGCCCTTTCAAATCTGCAAATTTTGCATCCCACAAATTATATGTTTTCTCTCCATGGTTGAATCCAGAGATGTGCAACCCAGGGATATGGAGGACTGTCTATAGTTTTAGAAGGCACAATAAAAGCCATATATGAAAAGCCCACAGCTAGCATCATAATTAATGGGGAACACACAAAAGTTGTTCCTCTAAGATATGGCCCAAGGTAAAGATTTCCACTCTATTCACTTCTTTTGAAAATAGCACTGAAAGACCTAGCCAAAGCGTTTAGACAAGAAAAAGAAATAAATGGCATCCAAATAAAAAATCATTTCTATTTGTTGATGACATAATCATATATGTAGAAAACTGTAAATATTTTTTAAAAACTGTTAGAACTGATACACCTTTAGTAAAATTGCAAGTTATAAAATCAAAATACAAAAATAATTACATTTCTGTAAATACTCATATACAGACACATTGAAATATTATTCAGTTTTAGAAAAGAAAGAAATCATGCCTTTTATGACAACATGCATACAACTGGAGGGTATTATGCTAAGTGAAACAAGCCTGACACAGAAAGACAAATGCAGCATAAGCTCACATGTGGAATCTGAAAAAGTCAAACCCATAAAACAAAAATTAGAATGGTAGTTACCAGGGGCTGGAGGAAAGGGATATGGGGAGATATTGATCAAGGGGTACAAAGTTTTAGTTATGTGAGATAAGTAAGTTCTGAAGATCTAATGTACAACAATGTGACTATAGTTAATAGTATTCTATTGTGTACTTGAAATTTACTAAGAAGATAAATCTTGTTTTCATAACAAAAAAGTAAATATGTGAGGTTATATATGTTAATTTAGTTCATTGTGATAACATTTCGGAATGTATTCATATATTACATTCATACACTAAATCATCTAGTTGTACTCTCTATATATATGTGTGTGTGTATATATAACATTTTTAACTGCCAACTATATTTCAATAAAGTAGGAAAAGAATTCTTTATATGGCTGAATAGTATTCCATTGTGTCTTTATGCCACATTTTGCTTATTTATTATCTGTTAATGGACACTTGAGTTGTTTCCACCTTTTGGCTATTATGAATAATGCTGCTAAGGACATTGCTGTATGGGTTTCTCTTCCCTGCTTCAATTACTTTGGATACATACCTAATAGTGGAATTGCTTTGGATACATACCTAGTAGTGAAATTTCTGGGTCATATGATTATTATATTTTTAACATTTTTTAGAACGTGCTGAACTGTTTCCCACAGTGGCTGCACCATTTAACATTCCAACCAGCAATGCAAGAGGGTGTCAATTTTTTCACATCCTCACCAACACTTGTTATTTTTCAGGGGTTTTTGTAGTTGCCCTCTTAGTAGGTATGAAGTGGTATCTTATTTGGTTTTGATTTGCATTTCCCTAATAACTAACGAGGTTGAGCATCTTTTCAAGTGCTTATTGTCCATTTGTGTATCTTTAAAGAAGTGTTTGCTCAAGTGCTTTGGCCTTTTTGAACTTTTTTTCTTGTTATTGTCATTATTGTTGAGTTTTAAGTGCGTTTTATATGTCCTAGATATTAATCTTGTATCACTTACTTAATTTCTAAATACTTTATCTCATTCTACAGGTTTTCTTTTAACTTTTTTAACTTTTTAAGGGGGGGCATATCCTTGTTTTTTTATTTTTATTTTTCTCTCTTGTTCTCTATAAACAAACCAGAAAACAAACATTTTCCCAGTAGCAGAAGCCAGAATCAATCTTGTCATCTCTTAACCTCCCAAAACCACATCAATATATGATCCTTTTGGTTTTGGCTTCCATGTCTCAATTTCATCACCTTTTATCCACTTCCATTCCTGTGACCACCTTATAAGTTACCATCATTCATAGCAATCATGGTATCTAAAAAAATCACAGTAAACTAGTAGGAAATAAATTGTATAAACTTTCTGCAAAACATTTAAATAATTTATACTGCGCATCATTTTTTCTTGTCCAACTTCTATTTTAGAAACAGGGTGTATAAGTGCAGGTTTGTTATAAAGGTATATTGTGTGATGCTGAGGCTTGGGCTATGATTGAACCCCTTGCCCAGGTAGTGAGCATAGTACCCCATAGGTAGTTTTTCATCTTTGTTCCTCTCCCTCTCTTCCCCCTCTATTATTCCCCAGTGTCCCCATCTTTATGTTTATGTGTACTCTATGTTTAGCTCTCACTTATATATGAGAATATGCATTATAATCCATCCCACAGAAACACAAAAGATCTTCAGAGACATTTATGAACACCTTTATGCACACAAAGTCAAATATCTAGAGGAAATGGATACATTCTTGGAAACATTGAACCGAGATGAATGTAGAAACCTAAACAGACCAATAACAAGTTCTTAAACTGAATCAGTAATTTAAAAAATCCTACAAACCAAAACAGCCCTTGACCAGATGGACTTACAGCCAAATTCTACCAGATGTGCAAAGAAAAACTAGTGCCAATCCTACTGAAATTATTCAAAAAAAATTGAGGAGGAGGACTCCTCCATAGCTCATTCTGCAAAGCCAGCATCATCTTGATACCAAAATCTGACAGAGACACAATGAAAAAAAGAAAACTTCAGGCCAATAATCCTGATGAACATAGATGCAAAATTCCTCAACAAAATATTAGCAACCAGAATCTTTTAACTTTTTTGATAGTGTCCTCTGATAAACAAAAATTATTAATTTTGATGAAGTTCAACTTTACTGTATTTTTTTCTTACCTGTGTGTTTGGTATCATATCAATGAAATCATTACCAAATCCAGTGTCATGAAGATTTTCCCCAATGATTTCCTCTAAGACTTTTGTAGTTGCAGCTATTACAGTTTTTGATAATTTTGAGTTAATTTTTGTATATGTTGTAAGGTAAGGATCCAAATTCATTCTTTTGTATGTGGACATATAGTTTTTCCAGCACCTTTTATTGAAAAGATTGTCCTTTCATTCTTTGAGTGGTTTTGGCATACTTGTAGATAATTTGACTAAGTATGCAGGGGTTATTTTTGTGCTTTCTATTACATTTTATTAGTCTACATGTTTGTCTTTATGCCAACACCATACTGTTGTAAGTACTATGGCTTTACGGTACATTGCAAAGTCAGGAAATGTGAGTCCTCCAGCTTTATTTTTCTTCTTTATATAATTGACTATTTGGGGCCCCTTAAAAATCCATATGAATTTGAGGGCATTTTTCCCATTTCTATGAAAAAGCCTGTTATAATTTGTATAGGGATTGCATTGAATCTGTAGATCACTTTATGTGGCATTAACACATTAATAATGTTAAGTCTTCCTGTCCATAAACACAAATCTTTATTACTCATGTCTTATTTAATTTCTTTCAGCAATATTCATAACTTTCAAAATACAAGTATTTCACCTACCTGGTTAGATCTATTCCTCAGTATTTAACTACTTTAGACTTTATTGCAAAGAGAATTGCTTTCTTAATTTTCTGTTTGGTTGGTCATGTTGTCATATAAACACTCAACTGATTTTTCTTTATTGAATTTTATACTGCAATGTTGCTGAATTCATTTATTAGCTATTGGGGATTTCTACTAGGTTCTTTGGGATTTTCTAGGTATAAGACCATGACATCTATAAATAGAGATGGTTTTAACCTGATTTTTTTTTCAACATAAATGCTTTTTCTCTCTCTCTTTTTTTTTTTCTTTTGTAGTAGCTCTGGTAGGGCCTTCCAGTACCATGCTTAATAGCGTGGTGAAAGCGGGCATTCTTGTCTTCTTCCTACTCTTAGGGGTAAAGCCTTCCATTTCACCACTGAATATTATATTTGCTATGTGTTTTTCATAAGAGCCCTTTATCATATGGCTGAATTATTCTATTCTAAGTTTTCTGAGAGTTTTTATCATGAAATTCTCCTCAATTTTGTTAAATACTGCTTCTGCATCTATTGAAATGTTCATGTGTTTCTTTTTTACCTATATTCTATTTATGTGATGTATTACATGGATTGATTTTCCTATATTGACGCACCCTTGGTTTTCTCTGTTAATCCCACTTGATTGAGCTGAATAATACTTTGAATATATTGTTGGATTAGATTTGCTAATACTTTATTGAGGATAGATATTTGCATTTATATTTGTAAGAGATATTAGTCTGTAATTTTATTTTCTTGTTATTTTATTATCTCGCTTTGGTATCCAAGTAATGGTGGCCTCATAAAATGAATTAGAAAATGTTTCCTCCTCTTCCATTTATTGGAAAAGTTTAAGAAAGATGCATATTAATTCTTCTTTAACTCTTTGTTAGAATTCACGTGTGAACACATCTGGTCCAGGGCTTTTCTTTGATGGAAGGTTTCTAATTATTGATTCAATCTCTTTAGTTAGTATAGGTCTGTTGAGATGTTCTATCTCTTTTTGAGCCAGTTTCACTAATTTATGTGTTTTCAGGAATTTTTCAGTTTTTCTTTATAATCCAGTTTTGTGGAATACAGTTGCTGATAATATGCTCTTATAATTATTTATTATAAATATTGTCATAATTATTACCCATTTAGTCAAAGTTTCAAAGGATGTACAATTTGGGTTGGGAATGCTATATCAATATTTATTAAAGTGACAGAACGGTAAAGAGTGAAACTTAAAGCATAGACATGCAGATCACAAAAGTTTGAGTTTATATGGCCTGAATTGTCATTGAGTAATGGTTTGAGAAAGAGTACTGGTGAAGAAATAAAATTTGGTGATGAAGGAGGTAGAATGCCAAGTTAGGGACTAAATACCTAATGTAAATCCATTTATCACATAGGTGTTGGTTATAGGACTTTCACCCATATTCTAGGATGTCCTCTCATCCTCTCAAGGTAAAAGTGAATACATTTCTATTAAAAGCCATAATTAATTGCATAAACTATTCAACTGGGTTGAAAGTATTCAGGCTCTGGTGAGGCTCTGATGTACTTTTCTCTGCCATGCTGAAAAAAAGAATTTGAAATGCTGTCTGAAATTGGTCATTTGACCCCAGGCAGAAAATAAATTCTAAAATGTTATTAATGCTCAGTTGTCCTCCTCTGGGACTAAAGTGACTTAACTCATCTATATTTTCTCTTTTTCTTTGTCAGTGAGTACACCTTTTCCAAATCATCTGATGAGTCAGAGTCATAAGAGGTTTATGGTGCAGTGAAAAAGTCAGCTGCTCTTAGTTATAATCAATGTTCAAAGAGCTTTAACCTATGTTTTCAAGATTGATGGCCTGATGCCCAGTTAAGATTACTTAAGATAGACAGACTGTGTCATCACCCAGAATTCTGATTTCTTGTAGGCATGCTAAGTCAGAAAAGCCATCAACATTATCTTATTACTTTCCTCATCCATGACCACACAGTGACCTTCTTCACTGAAGAGTCAATGTTTAAAATCACTATTACCCTTTCCTGTTGCCAAGGACCTCGCTCCAAAAGAAATGCATTATGTAAGTTAGTCATCTGTTTGTGATTTTTCTTATTTGATATGGCAAAGGGCCATGCTGACTCAGAGCCAATTCAGTAGCCAAAGCTTTAGAAAATCACTTGACATGTAAACATATTCAAATCCTCTGATCTTTCAAAAGTCTACATTTTAAGGAGCTATATATATATATATATATACACATACATGTATCCCTGCCATTTTATAACCTTCAAGCAACTACATTGGTGCTTTTGTCTTCAGTTTACTCATTTATAAAATAAGGGCTTTGGACTCTATAACCTGCTGGATCCTTTGGGGGACTATATATTGGGGGTTCTTATATTTTCCAGTTTTGCTGAAGTTTTATTGTTTACTGTGTCGACTGAAGAAAAGCTAGTGTGAATCTCAGCAGCTATCAAAATTGAAATAAACTACTATTTCAGAATTTTACCCAGGCATTTAAAAAAACCTCACAATTTATTTTTGGATATTAAGTAAAAGATGATCCAGAAATCCAAAGATATTAGTAATTTAATTTTAAGAGTTATTACAGATGGGAAGTACTGTCCCAGCAAACCATTAGCAACTATTTGAGGAGGAATTTACCATGTTCAATGTAGGTCCAATTAGTATGGTTTGGAACTTTCCCTTTCCAATATTGGTTGAAAAACAATGTATACTTAAAAGTATGTTCCTGGGGTATTAAAATTACTGACCATGGTGCTCTCTTGATGTCAACGTAGGTATTACCTGGTTATTTAAAAAGAAAATTCTATGGAATATTATTTAGAAACTAACTTTGGAAGAATAAATTGCCGCTTTTAATAGGAAGACTAGCAATCCAGTGAAGCCATTGACAGAGAACGAAAGTGTTGGAGAGGAAAACTTTTCCTCTACCCTCTCAAATTCAGGATCTGGGTGGAGGATATGCTGTGAAAATACACATTAACAAGAGAATAAAACAGTTTATTTGCATACAAGAGCTTACAAAAGAAGTAGTTTCCTAAAAGTTAAATTAGAAGTTTATATATCTAACTTAATAGGAGAAGCAAGCCGGGAGAAAAGACTTCTATAAGGAAAACAAATGGATTTCTTTAGGAAAGACAAATAGTTTTTTGGGAGAACAAACAAGAGATAAGAAAGTTTGTGATAACATTTGTTTATGCAGGTGTGAGAACTCTTTTCATCTTCTTTATGGCCATCAAACTCCCCTGGAGAGGGGATTTATGGTAGATTTACCCTTGGTCTTGTTTCTGGGAGTAAAGCCACTCTCAAGAGAGGATTTATGCCAGCCTTATTTCCCAGAAGTGGCTGCTTTTAATCAGAAGAAGGAAGCTCTGAGAAGATTCTTTTCTGCATCTGTGGAATCTCAAATGTCCTCAACTAAAAATAACCATACCAACTCAAGGATTCTTTGTGGGTTTTGGTATTTCTTCCATTTTGAAACATCTTGAGAAGTTTTACAAACGAGAAGCTGTGTTGGTTGCTGTAGAAATAAGATTTGGGTTAGAAGCTGTGAGGCAAGAGATCTGCAAAGGGAGAGAAGAACATAGATTAGAACAAGGATGAATAAGCAGAAAATAATAAATCTAAGCACAATGCCCCATACCCCACTGAACCTGTCTCCCCATCTTGGGAATAGGTCAGCCTAGTTAAAGACTATGCCTCATTTATTTGATGAAGAATATTAACCTTTTTTTCCCAAAGGTGTGAATTTGACACAATTTTTCCTGTGTGATTTACATAAAAGCAGCATTGTTTTCCCATAATTGCTCAAGTTCCACCTTTTGTTGTGCTCCAAAATTGTCTCATTCCGAATACTTCAGTGTATCCAGAATGGGACAATTTTGGAGCGCATCAGAAGCTAAACTTTAACTCCCAATTGGAGTGCTCCTAGAGACTTTACGTGTTATTGCATATTGGTTGTATTACTTTGGAAATATCTACCATCATTCTTTCTAAATCATATGTTTCAAAACTTGGAAAAAAGGTCTTCATCACTAAATAGAGGTTGGAGCTGTAAGACACAAGTGGGTTTTCTATGATGTCTCATTGAGTACATCCATGTGGTGTTATCTTATGAACATAGGAGCTCAGATTTGCAATTTAGCTTGCATTTAACGTACAATTCCCCGTGAAGGAGGGTGCCAGGTATACAAATTCACATTGCCCTCAGCATTTAAGTAGAAACACTTTATTAATATATACTTTTTTGCCCCTTGAAATGCAGAAACTAGTGTTGTTCATGAACAAGGTCAGAGGGGAAACTGTGACTCACGAAGTTGGGATCTGATGTCTTTCACAACCTCTGTCACCAGTTATGTTGGATCTGTGCTTCTCTATTTACATGTGTCTCTATCAGGATGTAAGAGCAAAAGAAGTTGTAAAATATTTCCTAGAGAAGACCTACAGCCTGATCTTGGCAGTTATGAAAATCACTTTTACCACCTAACCAAGTTAATAAAAAATTTTGGTTTACCCACATACGATTTTTTAGAATAAGCAGCCTGATCAGAGAAACAGCTAAGCTATTCCAGATCCTGCTAGCATGGCCCATAAACCAAGAGTGACACCCAGTGACCATACAAATGCTTGTATCTTAAAAGTTAGTAATAGAACCATCTATGACATTTCTGCAGGGTTTGAAATTACCCCATGGTTTGATTTCAGTGTTGTCATGGTATCTTACCTAGAAAGGGTCCAGTACCATTTCTGTTTCCAATGAAAAGGGAAATTTGTCCATTCAATAACATCACCTGAACAAAGAATAGAACTTGAGCTTCCATGGAATTTTCCAAGCGCCAAATCAGTTTACCAGAAAGAGAGGTGGCATGATTTTTGTCTTCCTGTTTGTAGATACCATACCCTTTTGTACATCCATAGTCCAGTCTGTGTCCACCAGGTGTTTGCATTGGCAGAAACAAAAACTAGTTAGCTTCTTCTGTATACCGATATGTTGACATAACCAAAATTCGGATTGATGAAAGTTGCCAGTGTTTAGAAGACTGGCGCGAGTAGGTGCTGGATTTATGCTAGAATTGTCAAAAAAAGCCATAAGGGTTAGTTGAAGCAAGACACAGTTTAGAAAATATCTCATTGTGAAGAAACAGAAGAAGAAAAAAGTAGCAATCTCTAGACAGTCCATCAATAAATAAAGGGGAAGGTTTCTGTTTAAAGCTCAAAGAGGTTTTTAAGGTTTTTATTTACTTTTTTTTCCTTTGGTCAGAGAAGAGAAAGATATCAAGGGAAAATAGGTGGAAAGGTAGTTCTTGATCCAAGATATTGGAAAAAATAGTCCACTTTATGTTGTCATCTGCTTTGGGACCCTGTGAATTGGCCCTGAAAATCCTTGGTTTGAAGTCAGCTGTAAGAATAGCTTTTCAATTTTTCTGGAAATTATGATCTGGGTCTAGCTTGGCATGACTTGCATGAATCCAGGAAATATTTCTTTTTATTTTGATGGCCATGTAGGTGTTCAGCAATGCTTCACAAGGTACTTCCCAGAAAGATGACAGTGTATGCTTTCTTGTCAAAATTTTGATGTATACTTGATAGCTTGGTCAAAAGGGATAGAAAGCTTGTTGGTAGACAATGGCCATGACTTTTTTGCCTGTTAATGGTAAGCTCCAAGTACAAGAGATAGTTCTTTTAGATATCTAGTCATAATACTGAACCTTTCACTCAGGTCCCCATAATGCTCACTCACTTCAGGAACAAAAAGTTTGGAGATGCTAATAGGCATAAAGCTATCAAAAATTATTCAAAAAGCAGTTAATCCATCTCTCTTGTTTGGGGTTTTCCAGATTTTATTGGGGTCAGGGGTGATGCTTCTGGCCACTTAGGTCTATTGTACTGACATATTTTATAGTTCTTTTGCTGTCTAAATTATCACATTCCACCTCTCTGAGGACTGAGGATGGTAAAGAGTATAGAATTTTAATGACTATCCTAGAGTTTTTGTGAACATGTGATTTACTTCTGTTGTTAAGTGAGTTCCTTGGTCTGATTTAATACATTAAGTAATGCCAAAATGAAGAATAATCTCAATTTTTTTTTTCATTACTACCATGTGGCATCAGCATGTCTAGTTGGATAGTACTCAGTCCATCTACTAACTGTGCAGGTAATCACCAATTATGAGTTGAGTATTCCTTATCTGAAATGCTTGGGTGGGACCAGAAGTGTTTCAGATTTGGGATAGTTTTGGACACTGGAATAGCTGTATCATATTTACTGGATGAGCATCCTTAATCCAAAGACCTTAAATAAAAAATGCTTTCATGAGCATTTCCATTGAGCATTATGACAACACTCATAACGTTTTGGATTTGTATCATTTCAGATTTTGGATTTTCAGATTAGGTATAGTCAACCTATAATGAGAATAACCTGAATCCTGAGGGAAATCTATAAAGTCCACCAGGAGTGTTGCAAAGGGAATGTGGGTCTCAGAGGATTTCATGGGGTATGCTACTTACATCCAGAAATATCATAAGATTTACAAGTAATACATTGGTAAATAATTTGATCAGAAATTCTGTGGATTCCAGGGCAAAATCACTGTCATTTACCTCTTTGATTTGCCCTTCTTTACACATATATTCCATTTGATGGGCAATAAATAGAAGCACAAAACAATAAAAGATAAAGGACTATAGGAAGTCCATTTGGTCCAACGTATAATCCTTCTAACAATTGTCTGGAATCTTCTTGCAGCCTTTTTTTTCATTGTAGGGTATCTGCCAAATATTATTGACGTCAGTAAGTGTTAAAGGCAGGGTTGTAAGCTGGGTTAAAAAATGGGTTATTGCCAGAGTTGGGGGTTCATGTTTGGCAGCTTTGTCAGACGTATTGTCTACCAGAGATACAGTGTCAGTCTCCTTGGCATGTGCCAACAATAAACAAAAGCAACCTCAATTAGAAGATGAATAGGCGTAATAGGTTAACAATTACATGGCCATTGGCAATAGGGGTACCAGCAGAGGTCAGAAACGGGACTTTTCAATACAGCCAACAGTATGGCAGAGTCCAAAGCACATCTCAAGTGTAAATAGTGTCAGTTTTCTCTTTGCCAAGGCTCGTGTAAGATCTAGACTCAGTGGTTCAGGCTGATTATATAGAAGGCAGAATTTGTCTCAAGTGTTTCATTTAAGGAAACCATGGCACAGTCAGTTACTATGTATCGGTGAGAATTCTGCTTGACAGCCATGACAAAACAGAAGTCTGGACTGTCTAAGAAGATGTCTAAAAAATCATAGTTTTGAGACCATTTATATAGCTACAAAGGAATCACGTAGAATAGAATGGGCTGTCCATCATCAAGGAGGAGTAATAGAATAGCACGGTTCAGGGTGTTACAATGATACAATAGAGAGAGAATTGTTAATAGGTCCTGTTCATCAGTGGTCTGCCATTGTATAAAGAGGGTGCTGTGTTTTATGAGCTTGTAAGAGCGCTGACACATCAAGGGTAACATAGAGGTGAGTAGGGAGGCCTAATGTAAGAATAAAGGCTTTTTCCATTAGGGTGGCAGCTGTGGCTTTCGCACACAGGCATGGAGGCATGCCTGATGTCACAGGGTTGATCGAAATAAGAAATATGCCATAAAAAGTAATTGAGAGACAAACGGCTGTTCTAGAATACTAGCAACAATCTCATTAATTTCATGGCAATATTGTTGAAAAGGTTTGTCAAAATTGGATAAACTGAGAGCTGGGGGTGTAGATAATGCTTATTTTAATGCTTCAAAGGAGGCCAGTGTCTCAGAGGGCCATAAAAGGGGTTCTGAGGTTATACCTGAGAGGAAAACATATAAAGGCTTGGCTAGGATGGCAAAATTAAGAATCCATTGATGGCAATAACCAGCTGCCTCTAAAAATTTCTGGTTTTTTTTCTTTCTTCTTAAGAAAAGATTGTCAAAATTCCTTCAAGATATTTTACTGTGAGTTTTTTAGTGCTCCGAGATGCTTTATGGCCTAAATAAGTCAGTTGTCTGTACCCATGGACATTTAGATTTGGAGGCTTTGTAGCCTTGCTCAGTCAGTACCTTCAGAAGGATTAGGGAGTCTATACAAGCATTCTATTCAGTTTGGTTGCAAAGTAGGAGGTCATCAACAAATTTGACAAGCGTGGAGTCCTGGGTAATGATTATAGTGTCTCAATTCCTTTGAAGACTTGGGAAATATTGAGGGTGACTTCACAACTCTTACTGGTTCGAGATTCTTGGCTCTCCATATAATAGCAATTAACACGAGGCCAAACAAACTTTTCCCAGGTAAGGTTTATTAAAACTTATGCCCAGAAATGTTGGGCATAACGGAGACAGTGCAGGAAGAAGGGTTCTCTGGCTGGCTCCCGGAGGGTAGGTCCTTGTGGTGTTTTCAGGAGCCTAACATGAATAACCTATGAGGTAAGCAAGCATCGTTACAGGTGCAGAGTGGAGTGCCAGGTGCACAGGCACAGTAAGAAATCATACTAACACATACACTGCATGATCAGAAAATGACAAATAAGATCCACCCTGAGCAAGGATCAGGACCTTGCCCCTAGGGGAAGGTTATGATCAGTCACATTCCTCATCTTGTGTGCATGTGGGTGGTAGGGTCGACTGTCCTGGGTAAGCTTTGTGATGGAATGTTGTTTATCCTATCTTTCTAATAACTTGCAGTATCTCAGAGAGTATGGGGATGATGGTGCAAGGTCTGATGGTTAGTGGGTATGCATGAAAAAATACATTAGTGGGAGTGGGGCCAAGTCCCACATCTACTCTGTCTCAAGTTCAAATCTAGAGACATATATTTTTAGATTTTTTTATTATATCATCATTTAATTTCTAGTATAAATTTCTATGTTATTTAACTTAGCACGCCAAGCAGTCAAAATATCAGAGACTTAACCTAAAAAAAATTCTGTTTGCTCAGATTAATTCAAATGGGCTCAGCTAGGCTTCATTTGTCTTCTCGCTCTAGAACCCCAGCTTAATGAGTAGTCACTATCCAGAACATGTGTTCTCAAGGTAGAAAGCAGAAGAAGGGGAGATGAAGAAAAATAAAACAAATGTATTTTTTAATGCCTCTGCTGGGACTTGGCATAATGTCACATCTTCTCATATTCAATTAGCCACAGCAGTCACATGGCCAAGCCCGAATCAGTGAGGAAGATAGGTATATTCTACCCACAGTAAAGCATAGCAAGGGGGAGGAGTAATTAAGAGTTCTAAGAAATCAAAATATCTACAACAATGTGCAGGGTAAAACATTTAATTGAATGGCAGAAAGTAAGTGTCTAATAAAAATATATATAATTATATTATAATCATTACATTGTTTTATTAGTGCAAACACGGTATGCAGACTAAATTCTCATCAATTACACAGTCATTAACTTAGTAAACATGAGATGTCATAACATTTATTAATGTTTTTGTCCAGTCTATTACATAGAAATCGTTAGTAAAATAAGTTGCAATAAATAAAACATGATTTGGTATGGCTTTATTATCAGTCATAAGTACCGTGATTTTTGATAAATGAATTAATCTTTAAAGGTGTGGAGCATAAGAAGTAATACCTGTACTTTTTAATTTAAAAAAATAGCACTCTGGTGAATGTTGGTAATACTTATTTAGAGGAAATACAATAGAAAGAAGTCAGTAATAACTTTAGGGTTTTACATAAGGAATTGGTACCTCCATCCTTAAATGCATCAGTGGTCCCCAAGTTATATTTGTGTTGGAGAGATAAGCCAAATGCCATTACTCTGACCTACAGTGGTTTGTATTTTTAGAAAAGATGAAATAACCAACACTTGCATTTTTACATCTGTGATATGAACCAATCACCCCATGAAATTGGATGAGCACTAAACTTTTGTAAAAAAATGATTAGTCCTATTTTCTAAGATAAAAATAATAAAATATGAAAATATTTGAAGGGGAGATTTTCTTCTTCTAAGCCATGAATTAGATTTCTTTGAGAAAAATGTTGAAAGCCACACATTTCCCTGAGAAGATGAAAAACTAAGACGTATTATTTATTATTTTAAACTTAGCAAAGAGAGTGCTAAAAGAAATTACATGTTCTCCTAACAACAATTTGCTTCCTAGCATTTTTTTCCAACCCCTTTCATTTCTATATGCAATGAGAACAGAAGCACAGAGGAAGAGTGTGCCAGTAGTGATGTCAACTACAGAGGAATAAAGTTCATGGGCTGATTTTGAAGCATAAACAGCATACAAATCAATGCATTCTAAGGACTGCTGAAACCCAAATAAAATCTAGTTTTTCTGAAGCAATATGTTTCTTTGCTTGAGGCATCAAACACATTACAGCATTACATTATTTTGCAAAAAAATATTTTGGGAGAAATATTCTTGAATTTCAATAATGAATATATGCTCAGAAAGCTCATCTGCCACTACATCTAGATATGCTTTATAATTTAGATTTTGTTATCATCAAAAATACTAATCTAAGACGTTATTTTATGTTTACTAGGTTAATAAAATGTTGATGAGACATAAGCTCATTAAAAGTTAAAGCAATCTATATGCAATGTTACCTCTTCTGTTCTACTATAGTAACAGATAATTACAATCAAAATGAAAAAAATGCCACAGTCTTTATGATTTTAGAAATTCTCATTTCTAGAATTTATTTTGAAAAATATTTTGGCCTATTGGCTTATGCAGAAAAATAACTGGAAAAAAATGTGAAGGAACAATGCTGCAAATTAAGATTATGCAAAATTACCCAGACTCATAACACATTTTAAGAACTATTTAATGAAATTGCAAATAATAAGGCATATGTTTTATATATGTGCTGTTTCTTAGAGCCACAGTAAACTTCAGGCAAATTTATGGCTTAATAAACATTTACAATTTCCAATTAAATAGATTAAATACATTTAGTTTATTTATAATGATATAACTATATGCTTAAATGACAAGGATGCTTCTTGAGGAAACAGCAATAGAATTTAAGTCTATCAACTCCAAACTGTGGCCTAATGAGGGCTCAGGGCAGCATTTCCTTTATTCTTCATTAGCTCAAAGGTATTAATCAGGCTGAAGCAAGTATCTGATTACAGGGCTGGGAGGAGTCACTGGTATGAGAGGCAAAGAGGTTGAAAGCTGTTATATTCAAGGGGCTGGTACTTTTCCATGGCTTACCTCTGTAGATTGCTTCTTTGTATTAAAAATTCTATGTGATTAGTGGGCACAATGAGTTTGTGATGAATAGCCTTTTACTTAGTTGGGCACTTTGTCCTGGGAAGACCAGAGATTCTAGGATAGGGCCCAGAGAAAAAGAGAATTTAACTGGTGTATTTAGCTTGTTGCTCTAGGCTTTGAAAAGAAAATGTCTTTTTACTTGTATTTCATCTTTCTTGCCACAGAAATTATAGAATGCTAAAGGTCTTTGGAAAGGAGTCAAAGAAGCCAGAAGAAATTCCCCAACTTTACATGGTTCAAACTGACTCACCAGAATAGGAGCCTGCATAAGGCTTTGTGGGTGGATGGTGAAGAGCGTCTTGCAGCAACTCGAGAAGCTAACAGTCTCCTAAATGCTATTATTCTAGTAACTTCACATTTCTTTCACCCTAATTATGAAGAGTAAGCATATACATTAAGCTCAAAAATGCCATGAGGCCACAGAGCTAGAGGTGGAGCTTTAGGTATTTAGTTTTAAAAACCTGAAAACTGATTAAAAAAGAGAGCTCTCTTTTTTGTCGTCTTTGCATTATCTTCACTCTGTATATAACCCCGTGTGGAAAGGCTGCATGAGATCTTTGGAAGAAATATGATCTTCCAGCCCATACTGGTGCTTTTCTTCTTACCTGGATCTGAGGGGTGGAGGAAGGTGGAATAGATTCATTACCTGCATTTAATTGCTCATTATTTTAATTTTCTACAATTTTGTTTTCTTGGTAGCATTAATTGTTTTATATATATCTACCATTTGTTTTTATGTTTTCTTCTATTCCTTTTTTTTCTTCTGTGTTTATTCAAGACTTTATATTTTAGAGCAGTTTCAAGTTCACAACAAAGTTGAGTGGAAAGTACAGAGAGTTCCCGAATAACTCCTGACTCCACACACATACAGCATCCCAAACCAAATATAACTAAATATCGCAGATAAGAGTGGTATATTTGTTACAATCAACGAACCTGCATTGACATGTCACTATCATCCAAAGTCTATAGTTTATATTAGGATTCACTGTTGGTGTTGTATAGGATATGGATTCTGACAATGTCAAATGCTACTTTTTATAGTAACCTATCAACACTAACACATGTATGTAGTATACTTTGAATAGTAATGTTCAAAGTATGACTTTAAACACTGTGATGACAAAAATCATGGAATATAATAGTAATCGGAACTGCTATTTATTGAGAACTTTTCCTCTTGTCCTTTATTGGAGGCAGTTCTCAGGATTAGGGGAGGAGACAGAACTGGAGTGAATCTATTAAAGGTAATATCATATAAACTCTCTGTGAAAGTCTTGCTGTGTGACTTGGACCTAAGCAGTGCAATTGTCTGGTCCCCACAGTCTAGTCACTAGTAATTTATAAAAAGTCTAAGATGCTGTGAATAAAAAGCCCTTTTTTCCTTTTCACACTTACCCAAGACCTGTAGGAGAAATAGTTACTGGGGAATAAATTCGAGTATTGGTGACACCCTTGGTCTTATATTTTCTCCTTACCCTGTGCCCTATTTTTCTAAAATATGCCTAGTCATTATTTAAAAATCAGTTCATACCTCACCGTGTTGAGGAAGGCTTTTCTTATTACTGTATTGTGACAAAATTAATCACTCCTCATTTTCTGCTTAATACATAATTCTATCAAGGCACTGCATATTAATTTCTGTGTTTACATGAACATCTCCTACAATAGATTTCCTTAGTTGAAAGCTAGAGGTCTCATTAATCTCTGTTGTACAGCAAAAAGCACAATGTCCTGCCTGATGTATGTGCTCAATAAATAATTTTTATTTGAATTAACTAATGGTTACACTACAGCTTGTTTTTTATTCCCTTTAGTTGAGACTTATCTTTGTTTCTCCATATGGTTTTTCTGTTATATCCCAAAGCATTAGCTGTTCAAATAAACAAAGATTTAATTTTTCTATAACTAATCTAATATTTATCATAAGCACCACCATCCCCAGCTGGATAACTCAAGAAAATTAAATTTGGTCCACTTCAGTTAACTCATTCCATTCCAGTAATTTAAGCAGTCTCTTCTGATGACCCAGACCTACTTTCATTGTTCTACCAATGTTAAGTCTGAGATTTTCACTATGCTTATTTTCAAGATAGCATATGTATATATGGTAGAGAGGAGTCTTTAAATACTTCATTATTTATATGACCACATTAGTCTCTGCTGTAAAGGTAATAATGTCATCTTCTCCTCGGACTAGTGACAGATATAAACTGGTCTTATTAGGTTGTTTGTTTGTTTGTTTTTGTGGGGAGGTCAATAAGCTTTTACCAAGAACTGTAATCCTATTTCTAATCATTGGTCTATTAACTCTTCACTCATTTCACCTTCATCATTGTGATCCCAGCCATCAAAGTGTAATTTTCAATTAGTTCAAAATATAATTCTTATACACACAACCCAAATATATGGTAAACATGTGTTAAAAATGTCTTAACTCACAAATAAGAGAAACAGCAACATAGTAAAGCTTGTTGAAAGAAAAATTCAATAAATGGAGTTTTATATATAAACATTCAACAAAAGAAATGCTGAAATACGTTTTCTAAGAGAAAACTTATTCATCATCTTTCTGGGCAATGAAAACCTTTTTAGTTATCTTTTTTACTGAAGAGAAGTCAACCACTGAACATATAACTTTACAAAGTCTGAATCCCAATAAAGGGTAAATAATGTAATAACAATGGTGTACTTTTAGAGTATTCAATAATCTTTGGGTAGACATGTTATGCATGCCACCACGCCCAGCTATATTTTTTGTATTTTTAGTAGAGAAAGGGTTTCACCGTGTTAGCCAGGATGGTCTTGATCTCCTGACCTCGTGATCCGCCCGCCTCGGCCTCCCAAAGTGCTGGGATTACAGGCATAAGCCACCGTGCCCGGCCCTATTCCTCCCAGTTTTTAGCTATAACACCTTCTTCTCTAGGAAAGCAGATATTTCCTATGATTTTATTAATTCCCCTATCTATACAGATTTGGGGGAGGTGGTTTGCCCTGAAAACCCAGTTTTCTGATACATCCAAGAAAAGTCATTGATTTTTTAGTTTGTCCAGCTTTATTTTTCTGTAAGGATGTAAGTGACAACTTCTAAAGTTGTCTACATATCATGGTTAAAACTGAAAGTCACCATAAAATATCATTATGAAAATTAGGACACACAGTAAGATGGCTATTATCAAAAGATCAAAAAATAACAAATATTGGCCAGGATGTGAAGAAAAGGGAACTCTTGTATATTGTTGGTGAA
Source organism: Homo sapiens (assembly GCF_000001405.40). NCBI lineage: Eukaryota > Metazoa > Chordata > Mammalia > Primates > Hominidae > Homo > Homo sapiens. The sequence continues at coordinate 88,703,252 of NC_000008.11, read as the reverse complement.
AATGTAGATTTGTACAGCTATTATGTAAAACGCTATGGAAATTTCTAAATAAATCTAAAATAGAACTACTACATGGCCCCAGCAATCTCTTTTCTGGGCATATACTCAAAGGAAATTAAATTGCCATCTCATAAAGTTATCTGCACTCCTGTGTTCATAACAGCATTATTCACAATAGCCAAAATATGGAAACAACTTAAATATCCATCAATGGACAAATAAGAAACAGTGGTGTGTATATAGAATGGAATACGATTCAGCCTTAAAAAAGACTGAGCTCTTGCCATTTTCCACAACATGGATGGGGCTGGAGAACATTATGCTAAGTGAAATAACCCAGAGACAGAAGGAGAGATATTGCATTGTTTCACTGATATATGCAATCTTTTAAAAAATTAAAAATAGATACACAGAGAGCAAAACAGTGGTTATCAGGAGTGGAGAGGGTGGAATGGATTTGGGTCTGAGGTACAAAGTAGCAGATATGTAAGACAAACAATTCCAGAGATTTAATGTACTACTTGAGGACTATAGGTAATGAAATTGTAGCATATATGGGATTCATGCTAAATAAGCAGATCTTAGCTGCTCTTGCCACAGAAACAAAAAGGAACAAGTAACTATGTGAGATGATAGATATGTTAATTTGCTTCACCATAGTAATCTTTTTACTGTATATACATACGTACTCCAAACATCATGTTATAAACCTTAAATATACATAATGAAACTTATTTTTAAACAAGAACATTTAAAAAGTACACCCAACCTTTTCTCTGAAGTACACATATTTCTAAAATAATAGTTGGAAGAACAATTGGAAGAATATTCATTGAATATAATGGAGTGCCTACTACTGAGGCAAGGAAAACAGAAGTGAATGACATAGTAGAAAGGGGAAATAATAAAATACAGTTTTAAAAATTGTGCTAAACTTTTTGTTCAACTGTGGCCTTCATACCGAAAAAAAAAAGCAACAAAATACACAATAAGCAATTATTAGTTTACAAAGATATATTGAGGTTTGTTAATACATGAATTCAATGAAGATATCAAAGTCAAGACATGGGATCTTTAGATATCTCCCCTCTCCTGTCCACATTTCCAGCTCTATGCTGAGGGTTGTTTTATTTATTGCTCTATAATGTTGCCATTATCAGTCAGCACTTCACTCATTCCCGGAAACATACAGAAAACCTCTCCTTGGTTTCATTGCCCACATTTGCATTTCGTATAAATACATGGAATTGAACCATGCAGAAAGAGAGAAAGGCATTTTACTTGAGTCATCCCATCAGAACTAACCTTAAGCATTTCCTAAGTATGTGTCAAACAAAATGGGCATATACAGATAGACCCAGAAAATTATATATAACATACTGACCTACAAATTCAAACTCAGCCTGTCAAATCCTAACTCTTCATTTGATGCTTTACTATGTCACCTATGATCTGGTATTTATTTCTGATATTAATACTACCCTATTATACTGCTGTATTGTTCTGTATCCTTCCCACTTTTCTTCGTCTCTTGTATCCTACACGCAAACACACACACACACACACACACACACACACAGAGAGAGAGAGAGAGAGAGAGAGAGAGAGAGAGATTTCTCTCAGATTTTCCCTTGATTTTCCTTTCCCATTGTCTTCACACAAAATCAGGCTGCCTCATTTTAATCATAGAAAACCATCAGTCTTCCAGCAGGTCCCTCTTCAAATCCATTTTACCTCATAATTTCCTCTTTAATTTATCATTCCCTACTCAAGAGCCTACAACAACCTCGGATTCCCCTAGTAGCTGGCACAAAGCTCTTTCCTAGCTTTCAAACTAATTGTCTATTCTTCCTCAATATGCAGTTTCATTTCATTTATGTGACTCTTTTCACAGTCCCTGAAGACAACCTGCTTATTCTGATTTTTATTCTAAAAATACCTGCTTCTTATTCTACATTTTGTTTTTAGGTCTTTATTAATGTCTTGCACCCAGAATTGGAGTTGTCAGTCTCTCCTTTATCAATCAAAAGCCTACTTGTATTTTAAGAAGAATCCAAATTGTTCTGTTTTTATGAAGGTGTTTTTGGTAATTCATTATTCCTTGTCTGTACCTCCCAGCTCTTCTTTGTTTGAATATAATTGTACTTACGGTCAGAAAGAAGGACTGAAGAAGGGAGGGAGCAGTATTTATGGATTATAATGCTATAATTTACATGTTATTTATTTCTTTAAAAATAGCCTTATATTATGCTTATTTTATGTATAAACAAACAGAAATATAATATAGCAAATAAATATCACAGCCAGGATTCAAATTGAAATCTGTCAGATTCTAAAACTTTTCTCTTTCAATCAAAGGGGATTAAAAAAGTTACCTCTCAGTGTATCTTTCTCTCAATAAATCCTGGTTACACTCTTGAGAGGTCTTAGACAATTTCTTTATATTAGTTTTACATCCCCAACTGCATTAAGTGGAAGGACCGTCTACTAGTTCATTCTCATGCTGTTAATAAAGACATACCGAAGACTGGGTAATTTATAAAAGAAAAATGATATTTTTTTTTGAGACAGTCTTGCTCTGTTGCCCAGGCTGTAGTACAGTGGCACAATCTCGGCTCACAGCAACCTCTGCCTCCTGGGTTTGAGCAATTTTCATGGCTCAGCCTCCTGAGTAGCTGGGGCTACAGGTGCATGCCATCACACCTGGCTAACTTTTTGTATTTTTAGTAGATGGGGTTTCATCATGTTGCCCAGGCTGGTCTCGAACTCCTGAGCTCAGGCAATCTGCCCACCTAGGACTCTCAAAGGACTAGGATTACAGGCATGAGCCACCGTGCCCAGCCAGGAAAGAGGTTTAATTTACTCACAGTTCCTCAGGGGTAGGGAGGCCTTAGGAAACTTACAATGATGGCAGAAGGGGAAGCAAACATGTCCTTCTTCACATGGCAGCAGCAAGGGGAACTGCAGAGCAAAGGAAGGGAAAAGTCTCTTATAAAACCATCAGATCTTGTGAGAACTCACTCACTATCATGAGAACAGCAACATGGGAGTAACCACCCCCATAATTGAATTACCTCCCACCAGGTCCCTCCCACAACACAGGAGGATTATGGGAACTTCAGTTCGAGATGAGAATTGAGTGGGGATACAGTCAAACCATATCAGACAAGAAGAGTCACATACATATGTGATCGATATTCATCACTATCTTACAACTAGTTACTAACATATCTGTCTCCTCTTCTTGATTGTGATTTATTTAAGAAAATGAACTTTCTCTTCATGATTACAATTTCTAGAAAATGAACAATAAGTGAGTAATTTTTCTATCTCTATTAGTTGGATAAATGAATTCATGTATTAAGCAATCAATTAAGAAATAATATATTATTGGCAAAGTAGATGGCTTTAGAATAATGCTTTGACCTAGTATTAGGCAATAAATGCCAGTTGATTATAAATTGGTAAACAAAAAGGTAGAAATTTTGATTAAACTAGATGTGTTATTGTGACATTTGAAAGAGTGATAGTAATATTTTTAAAACAAAATTCCCATTTTTTGTTGTGTCCATGCATTTACTCCATTTACACTTCTAACTCATTTTGGTGTCAATGAGAGAATAACTGCTATAGAAAATACATTTAATATTTAATTTATTTTTATGAATAATGTATTATATAAATCTATATTTTATGTATTATAAATTTAAGGATAAACATAATACAAGTATAAATAAATTTATAATATAAGTATATACATACATTAAATTAAATCTGGAAAATAAATTATTTATTAAATCCCATATAATAAAGCTACACTGAATTTACCAACAGCTCACTTAAGAATCGGAGCTTTTTAAATTTATAAAATTATTATGCCTATACATATGAGAAACCTGTATGAATACTCAGTCTTTTTAAACCAGATTCCAGAAATGTCTTACCTAGTTCATTGACAAAGGTGTAGCATAATATTAAACCTCAAATATTTAAAATTAGGCCCTTATATTTGCTGGTTTTCACTGAAAAAGGCAGACTAAAATTATGGCAAACTCCTCTCAGTCTTGGAGTTTGGTTTTAAATCTTCATATTCAATGAATGACTGAAGTGAGTTTTAAAGGATGTTTATCTGTATGATTTAAATCTATCACTAAAATATGTAGTTGCAAATTTTGACTATACAGAAAAGATTAATTCTCTAAAATGAATGTACTTTCATACCAGCAATAATGTAATAAAACAGGGTTTATTGCAATAGCATGGTTAATATGATTGCATACCAAGGAAAATTAATAACTAATTTATGAAATGTGTTTTGTTTTTATTAGCATAAAGAAGATTTAAAATTGTTCTTAGCTTTAAGTACAACTTGTGCAGGTGAGTGATAAAATATTAGTGAAATACGTCACACATACAATCATATTAACTCTCCTTAAGGCTCAAGGTGACCCCCAAGCAGCTGTTGTTTTGGAAGAGAAAAAGAAACATTGTACAGTAAAAATAAAAACACAAACTTTGCTTTATGTAGGAGAGTAAAACTGAATTGAGCTGCCTTTTGTGGAGACTAAGTTAAAGAAACAGGTAATTGTGCACATAGTTAAAGGCCAAAATAAATTTTATCATATATCCCAAAGATACTGTGCTTTCTGTCTTATATTTTAAAGTCAAGCTTCTTTCAGACTTGGGTTTATTTATCAAGAAAATATCCATGAATCCTTAATGTTTCTTGTTGACATTTAAAAAATTGATATGACTGAAGATGATAAGGTGTGTATGTTAAAAGGCGAATATGAAAATTAACTTCTGTGGGAATTTTTGGCTTCCACTTGCAGTATATAAATCTGGAAAGAGCATCATTCTCACTCCAGTATAGAAAAGTCAGATAATCTGCAAAAGCACAAGTTTTCCTGAAGCCTTACAGGGCAAATTATTATGGAATTTTGACTAAAAAATGTTACATGAAATATGAAAAAAAAAATGGATAAAATAAAATGCCCAGCATCCACTGGGTCAGGGAAATTACACTAGACCCAGAAACAGGTGGTCTGTTTTGATCTAGGCTGTATTCTAGGTGTGACCTTGGGCATCCTACAGCATTTGTACCACCTTCAGTTGGTCCCATTTCAGAGCATTTCTCTTTATTTTCAGGAAAGTTTTCCACTCTTCTCAGTTTTTCCATTGTTTCAAGATGCCTATATTAGCAATTAATGTGACTCTAGATTGTAATTTTTACCTTCTTTGTGTACATGTTAATGATAACACAAGCTGCAGTATCCTAACTGATGCTTGCATTTGACTGCAATATATTCTAATTTGAATATTTCCCAAGTTAGTGGTTTGGGGTTTTTAACATTCTGTTGTATTTGTAGATTATTCAGAAAAATAGACACCTATATATCTTTGCCCAAATTGCGTTGACTATAAACCATAGGGAAAGAATATACAATTAGTATTTAACGTGATAGTATTAGCCTACATATGAATATGCATTTTAGTTTATTCTTGTGATAATTTCATACTGATTTTAGCAGAACACTACACAAATAAAATGTCCCATTACATGAGACTTTAAAAAGTATACAAAGGAAGAAAGAATATGAGTAAAAGTACTGAGCATTTCCTTAAAAAAGAGTGAGGAATTAGCAACCTCATTAAGATCTATGATGTAGTATGCAGCTTCTGGATATTCTAGCTGCCTTAAAACACTTTGAAAGATTTTATGAACTTTCGTATAATTAAGATATGAGTCCTAGCAACTTAAATATGTCTTGAAGACTGCAAGCAGTTTGCCTCAATAGGCAAAGTTTGCAATAATTTGTTTATTTTCTTAAATTCTTATTGTACTTTATACAAATAGCATTTCTTAAAACCTTGTTTCCCTCTAATAGCTACAAAATATTTTTAGAGTTTTGAAGTTAATTCTCCATTTGTTCAATAACAGTAACAAAAACAGTGAAATAAGTGCAGTTTCTAAATGACATTTTTATGTCTGCAGCCAGCAATTGAAACACTCCCAAACACTGCAATTCCAACAGCATTCTTTCAAAATAATTCTGCAAACCATTGAGCCAATGGCTGCCCTTATAAAAGATAAATAGGTAGTAACTGTAATTTATTTTTGAATTTTCATATTAGAAAGGACAGAAACTGAAATTGTTCTAAAAGGTAAATTATATACAGGAAAGGTTGATGTAAGTGCATGGTTTTGGTGCCCTTTAGCTAGCCATCTGTATCCTGAAGAGAAAATAGTCTACACTTTTTTTTTTTCAAATGTTGAGTCATATCCCAATTATGCAAGAAGTGATTATCTAACTGCTGAACTATCTAAAAGTTCTAAAATCTCTCCCCACACCCCCAATAGTTTGATTTTTTAGTCATTACTTTCTTTACATCGTTTATATGGCACGGTAGGTGGGTTTATTTCTATGTGTAAAACATATTAGAGTAGGGCAGGGAACTTCTGGTTTCAAAATGGAAGTGCAGAAGCAAGCTGGCTTTACTTCTACCAAAAGAAAAGCAAATATACAGCACCCAGGTTATGACCAGCAATATCCCAGAACTCAAATATGAGGATGAGACAGCTCCCAGGACAATAGAGAAATGAAAAATCTCTGATAAAAGAATCAATCTTCCATTTCTGTGATGTGCCTTCTTCTAATCTACTGGTACCAAGCGTGTAGAAAATTCCCTCATGTCATGATTTCTATACTGGAAATAATGAGATCAAGGTGAACAACCATCTTCCCTACGATTTTGAGTTCCCTGGCAGGAGATATGTTCCTGCCTTAACCCAAGGGAAGTATTGTGAGTGCTTGAAGGGAGAAATAGTCCTAAGGGCAGTCAGAAACAAAGGAGGGAGGTAGGACTACTAACTCCAGCCCTAGAAGCTGTTCTTTAACTTGGCTAAAGGAGATGCCAAATCACAGTAGTTGTTCGGCAACACTACACTGCAGGAATTACATTCCACAAGATCCCTAGGCACAAATCCCTAGACAACCTTTCCATACTGCTGTATATTCCCTTTGAAGCCTCTCCTATTCTACACAGGCAGCCCTATTTTGTCTGCTAGAGCTAAGTCACGCCTGGGACTAAGGCATTATCCAGTGCCAAAAAGGAGCAGTAACCTAGTGGGGGAAAAAAATCAACAGGTGAATTACAAAAAAATTCTAGTCAAACATATCCAATAAAAACCAAAACAAGCCACACAGAGAGGACTGGAATAAATAAATAATCATTCAATGCAAATACACAGATGCACATCCACATAGCAAATAAGAAATAATGAGTGCCCCAAACAGACGAAGCAAGGAACCAGTAACTGACCCCTAATGAGATGGCGGTATGTGAGCTCTCTAAGAATTCACAATAGCATTTCTAAGAAACTCAGTGATCTCCTAGATAATACAGAAAAGCAATTTGGATCAGAGAAATGCAACAAAGAGATTGAAATAACAAAAATAAACAAACAGAAATCTTGGAACTGAAAAACACCTTTGCTGAACTGAAACATTTTTTTAAAGGCACTCAACAGCAGATCATATCAAGGTGAGGAAAGAATTCATAAGCCAAAATACAGGCTTTTTGAAAATATACAGTCAGAGGAGAAGAAAAAAAAAAGAATGAGAAGAAACAAGCACTACCTACAAGATATATAAAATTATGTCAACAGATCAAATCTAAACATTATTGCTGTTCAAGAGGTGGCTGAGCAAAAGCAATGTATAGAAAGTTTATTAAAACAAATAATGACAAAAATCTTTATAAAACTTAAGAAAACTGTAAATAACCAGGTACAAGAAGGTCAAAGAACATTGAATAAGTTGGACCCGTATAAGACTACCCCAAGGCATCTAATAGTCAAACTCTCAAAGGTTAAGCACAAAGAGAGGATCCTAAAAGTGGCAAGAGGAAAGAAGCAAATATCATATAAAGGAGCTCCAATTTATCCAGAAACAGAGTTCTCATTGCAAACCATACAGGCCAAGAGGCAGTGGGATAACGTTTTCACAGCATGGAAAGAAAAATATCTGCCATCTAAGAATATCATATCCAGCAATATAATCCTTCAAATATAAAAGATACATGAAGACTTTCCCAAACAAACAAAAGCTGAGAGAATTCACCACCACCAAAACCATCTTATAAAGCAATGCTAAATGCAGTTCTTCGATCTGAAAATAAAAACACAAACATGCAAAAAGAACAACTGAGGTTGTAAGATTAAATGATATAATTAAGTATGCAGACAAATCCAAAATACTCTAATACTGTAATTGTGTGTGGCTTCCACTCATATCTCTAGCCCAAAAGACAAATATTTCAAGAACAACAATAACTAAAGCAACTTGTTAAGACATAAGCAATATAAAAATATTAAAGATAAGAACAGAAATGAATGAGACTAATATAACAGCACAGAAGATCAACAAAATGAAAAGTTGGCTTTTAGAAAAGATAAGCATAATTGATAGCCTTTAGCTAGACTATGGGGAAAAAAAGACAGAAGGCTCAAATAGAGAAAATCAGAAACAAAAAATGAAGACATAACAATTCAAACAAAAAGAAAACCGAAATCATTAGAATCTGTTAGAAAAACTATATACTAACCAATTGGAAAGCCTAAAAGAAATGGATACATTCCTAGACACATAGAGCCGACCAAGGCTGAACCATGAAGAAATAGAAAACTTCGACTAACTAATAACAAGTATCAAGATCAAAGCCATAAAAAAAGTATCCCATCAAAAACATCTTAGGACCCGATAGCTTCACTGCTGAATTCTACCAAACATTTAAAGAAGACCTAATATCAATTCTACTAAAACTCTTCAAAAAAATTAAAAAGGAAAGTATAAATCCAAACTCATTAGTTAAGGCCAGCATAACACAGATACTAAACCAGACAAGGATACATACAAAAAAAAGAAAACTATGGACCAATATCACTGATGAAGGTACATGCAAAAATCCTCAACAAAATACCAACAAACCAAATCCAGGAGCTCATCAAAAAGATTATATAGGGCATGATGGCTCACGCCTGTAATCTCAGCACTTTGGGAAGCCAAGGAGGGTGGATCACAAGGTCAGGAGATTGAGACCATCCTGGCTAACACAGTGAAACCCCGTCTCTACTAAAAATACAAAAAATTAGCCTGGCGTGGTGGTGGGCGCCTGTAGTCCCAGCTACTCGGGAGGCTGAGGCAGGAGAATGGCATGAGCCCAGGAGGCGGAGCTTGCAGTGAGCAGAGATCAGGCCACTGCACTCTAGCCTGGGCGACAGAGCAAGACTCCATCTCAAAAAAAAAAAAGATTATATACTATGATCAAGGGAGATTTACCCCCAGGATGCAAGGCTGGTTCAACATATGCAAATCAATGATACATTAACAAAACCAGGAACAAAAATCATGTGATTATTTTAATAGACGATGAAAAGACAGTTGATAAAAAACTGGGTATAGAGGAACAGACCTCAAATTAAGAAAGACTATATATGACAAAGCCATAGCAAACATCATACTGAGTGGGAGAAAATGGAAAGCCTTTTCTCAGAGATCTGGAATAAGATAAAGTTATGCACTCACCAGTTTTATTCAACATAGTAATGGAAGTCCTCGCTAGAGCTATCAGACAAGAGAAAGAAATAAAGGGCATCCAAATTAGAAAGGAAGAAGTCAAATTATCTTTTTTCGCAGATGGCATGATCTTATATTTGGAAAACTCTAAAGACTCAACCCAAAATCTGTTAGAACTGGTAAGCAAAATCAACATATAAAAATCAACATATAAAAATCAGTAGTGTTTCAATATATCAGTGATGAAATAGCTGAGAAAGAAATCAAAAAGGCAATGCCATTTACAATCGCTACAAAAAATATAAAATATCTAGGAATGAACCAAGGAGGTGAAATATTTCTACAAGAAAAACTACAAGGCTACGGTAACCAAAACAGCATGGTACTGGTACCAAAACAGAGATATAGATCAATGGAACAGAACAGAGCCCTCAGAAATAATGCCACATATCTACAACCATCTGATCTTTGACAAACCTGACAAAAACAAGAAATGGGGAAATGATTCCCTATTTAATAAATGGTGCTGGGAAAACTGGTTAGCCACATGTAGAAAGCTGAAACTGGATCCCTTCCTTTCACCTTATACAAAAATTAATTCAAGATGGATTAAAGACTTAAATGTTAGACCTAAAACCATAAAAACCCTAGAAGAAAACCTAGGCAATACCATTCAGGAAATAGGCATGGGCAAGGACTTCATGTCTAAAACACCAAAAGCAATGGCAACAAAAGCCAAAATTGACAAATGGGATCTAATTAAACTAAAGAGCTTCTGCACAGCAAAAGAAACTACCATCAGAGCGAACAGGCAACCTACAGAATGGGAGAAAATTTTTGCAATCTACTCACTGACAAAGGGCTAATATCCAGAATCTACAATGAACCAAAACAAATTTACAAGAAAAAAAAAAAAAAAAAACAAGCCCATCAACAAATGGGCAAAGGATATGAACAGACACTTCTCAAAAGAAGACATTTATGCAGCCAAAAGACACATGAAAAAATGCTCATCATCAGTGGCCATCAGAGAAAAGCAAATCAATACCACAATGAGATACCATCTCACACCAGTTAGAATGGTGATCATTAAAAAGTCAGGAAACAACAGGTGCTGGAGAGGATGTGGAGAAATAGGAACACTTTTACACTGTTGGTGGGACTGTAAACTAGTTCAACCCTTGTGGAAGTCAGTGTGGCGATTCCTCAGGGATCTAGAACTAGAAATACCATTTGACCCAGCAATCCCATTACTGGGTATATACACAAAGGATTATAAATCATGCTGCTATAAAGACACATGCACACGTATGTTTATTGTGGCACTATTCATAATAGCAAAGACTTGGAACCAAGCCAAATATCCAACAATGATAGACTGGATTAAGAAAATGTGGCACATACACACCATGGAATACTATGCAGCCATAAAAAATGATGAGTTCATGTCCTTTGTAGGGACATGGATGAAGCTGGAAACCATCATTCTCAGCAAACTATCGCAAGGACAAAAAACCAAACACCACATGTTCTCACTCATAGGTGGGAGTTGAATAATGAGAACACATGGACACAGGAAGGGGAACATCACACACTGGGGACTGTTGTGGGGTGGGAGGAGGGAGGGATAGCATTAGGAGATATACCTAATGTTAAATGACGAGTTAATGGGTGTAGCACACCAACATGGCACATGTATACATATGTAACTAACCTACATGTTGTGCACATGTACCCTAAAACTTAAAGTATAATTAAAAAATAACTAAATAAAGAAATAAAGAAAAACTACAAAATACTGATGAAAGAAATTGAAGTGGACACACACAAATGAAAAGACATCCCATGCTCATAGATCAGAAGAATAATTGTTGAAATGTACATTCCCTAATGCTGTGCACTTGTGTCAACAGATTTTCTTTTTTTTTTTTTTTATTTTTTTTTATTTTTATTATACTCTAAGTTTTAGGGTACATGTGCACATTGTGCAGGTTAGTTACATATGTATACATGTGCCATGCTGGTGCGCTGCACCCACTAACGTGTCATCTAGCATTAGGTATATCTCCCAATGCTATCCCTCCCCCCTCCCCCGACCCCACCACAGTCCCCAGAGTGTGATATTCCCCTTCCTGTGTCCATGTGATCTCATTGTTCAATTCCCACCTATGAGTGAGAATATGCGGTGTTTGGTTTTTTGTCCTTGCGATAGTTTACTGAGAATGATGGTTTCCAATTTCATCCATGTCCCTACAAAGGACATGAACTCATCATTTTTTATGGCTGCATAGTATTCCATGGTGTATATGTGCCACATTTTCTTAATCCAGTCTATCATTGTTGGACATTTGGGTTGGTTCCAAGTCTTTGCTATTGTGAATAGTGCCGCAATAAACATACGTGTGCATGTGTCTTTATAGCAGCATGATTTATAGTCCTTTGGGTATATACTCAGTAATGGGATGGCTGGGTCAAATGGTATTTCTAGTTCTAGATCCCTGAGGAATCGCCACACTGACTTCCACAATGGTTGAACTAGTTTACAGTCCCACCAACAGTGTAAAAGTGTTCCTATTTCTCCACATCCTCTCCAGCATCTGTTGTTTCCTGACTTTTTAATGATTGCCATTCTAACTGGTGTGAGATGATATCTCATAGTGGTTTTGATTTGCATTTCTCTGATGGCCAGTGATGATGAGCATTTCTTCATGTGTTTTTTGGCTGCATAAATGTCTTCTTTTGAGAAGTGTCTGTTCATGTCCTTCGCCCACTTTTTGATGGGGTTGTTTGTTTTTTTCTTGTAAATTTGTTTGAGTTCATTGTAGATTCTGGATATTAGCCCTTTGTCAGATGAGTAGGTTGCGAAAATTTTCTCCCATGTTGTAGGTTGCCTGTTCACTCTGATGGTAGTTTCTTTTGCTGTGCAGAAGCTCTTTAGTTTAATTAGATCCCATTTGTCAATTTTGGCTTTTGTTGCCATTGCTTTTGGTGTTTTGCACATGAAGTCCTTGCCCACGCCTATGTCCTGAATGGTAATGCCTAGGTTTTCTTCTAGGGTTTTTATGGTTTTAGGTCTAACGTTTAAATCTTTAATCCATCTTGAATTGATTTTTGTATAAGGTGTAAGGAAGGGATCCAGTTTCAGCTTTCTACATATGGCTAGCCAGTTTTCCCAGCACCATTTATTAAATAGGGAATCCTTTCCCCATTGCTTGTTTTTCTCAGGTTTGTCAAAGATCAGATAGTTGTAGATATGCGGTATTATTTCTGAGGGCTCTGTTCTGTTCCATTGATCTATATCTCTGTTTTGGTACCAGTACCATGCTGTTTTGGTTACTGTAGCCTTGTAGTATAGTTTGAAGTCAGGTAGTGTGATGCCTCCAGCTTTGTTCTTTTGGCTTAGGATTGTCTTGGCGATGCGGGCTCTTTTTCGGTTCCATATGAAATTTAAAGTAGTTTTTTCCAATTCTGTGAAGAAAGTCATTGGTAGCTTGATGGGGATGGCATTGAATCTGTAAATTACCTTGGGCAGTATGGCCATTTTCACGATATTGATTCTTCCTACCCATGAGCATGGAATGTTCTTCCATTTGTTTGTGTCCTCTTTTATTTCCTTCAGCAGTGGTTTGTAGTTCTCCTTGAAGAGGTCCTTAACATCCCTTGTAAGTTGGATTCCTAGGTATTTTATTCTCTTTGAAGCAATTGTGAATGGGAGTTCACTCATGATTTGGCTCTCTGTTTGTCTGTTGTTGGTGTATAAGAATGCTTGTGATTTTTGTACATTGATTTTGTATCCTGAGACTTTGCTGAAGTTGCTTATCAGCTTAAGGAGATTTTGGGCTGAGACGATGGGGTTTTCTAGATAAACAATCATGTCGTCTGCAAACAGGGACAATTTGACTTCCTCTTTTCCTAATTGAATACCCTTTATTTCCTTCTCCTGCCTGATTGCCCTGGCCAGAACTTCCAACACTATGTTGAATAGGAGTGGTGAGAGAGGGCATCCCTGTCTTGTGCCAGTTTTCAAAGGGAATGCTTCCAGTTTTTGCCCATTCAGTATGATATTGGCTGTGGGTTTGTCATAGATAGCTCTTATTATTTTGAAATACGTCCCATCAATACCTAATTTATTGAGAGTTTTTAGCATGAAGGGTTGTTGAATTTTGTCAAAGGCTTTTTCTGCATCTGTTGAGATAATCATGTGGTTTTTGTCTTTGGCTCTGTTTATATGCTGGATTACATTTATTGATTTGCGTATATTGAACCAGCCTTGCATCCCAGGGATGAAGCCCACTTGATCATGGTGGATAAGCTTTTTGATGTGCTGCTGGATTCGGTTTGCCAGTATTTTATTGAGGATTTTTGCATCAATGTTCATCAAGGATATTGGTCTAAAATTCTCTTTTTTGGTTGTATCTCTGCCCGGCTTTGGTATCAGAATGATGCTGGCCTCATAAAATGAGTTAGGGAGGATTCCCTCTTTTTCTATTGATTGGAATAGTTTCAGAAGGAATGGTACCAGTTCCTCCTTGTACCTCTGGTAGAATTCGGCTGTGAATCCATCTGGTCCTGGACTCTTTTTGGTTGGTAAACTATTGATTATTGCCCCAATTTCAGCTCCTGTTATTGGTCTATTCAGAGATTCAACTTCTTCCTGGTTTAGTCTTGGGAGAGTGTATGTGTCGAGGAATGTATCCATTTCTTCTAGATTTTCTAGTTTATTTGCGTAGAGGTGTTTGTAGTATTCTCTGATGGTAGTTTGTATTTCTGTGGGATCGGTGGTGATATCCCCTTTATCATTTTTTATTGTGTCTATTTGATTCTTCTCTCTTTTTTTCTTTATTAGTCTTGCTAGCGGTCTATCAATTTTGTTGATCCTTTCAAAAAACCAGCTCCTGGATTCATTGATTTTTTGAAGGGTTTTTTGTGTCTCTATTTCCTTCAGTTCTGCTCTGATTTTAGTTATTTCTTGCCTTCTGCTAGCTTTTGAATGTGTTTGCTCTTGCTTTTCTAGTTCTTTTAATTGTGATGTTAGGGTGTCAATTTTGGATCTTTCCTGCTTTCTCTTGTAGGCATTTAGTGCTATAAATTTCCCTCTACACACTGCTTTGAATGCGTCCCAGAGATTCTGGTATGTGGTGTCTTTGTTCTCGTTGGTTTCAAAGAACATCTTTATTTCTGCCTTCATTTCGTTATGTACCCAGTAGTCATTCAGGAGCAGGTTGTTCAGTTTCCATGTAGTTGAGCGGCTTTGAGTGAGATTCTTAATCCTGAGTTCTAGTTTGATTGCACTGTGGTCTGAGAGATAGTTTGTTATAATTTCTGTTCTTTTACATTTGCTGAGGAGAGCTTTACTTCCAACTATGTGGTCAATATTGGAATAGGTGTGGTGTGGTGCTGAAAAAAATGTATATTCTGTTGATTTGGGGTGGAGAGTTCTGTAGATGTCTATTAGGTCTGCTTGGTGCAGAGCTGAGTTCAATTCCTGGGTATCCTTGTTGACTTTCTGTCTCGTTGATCTGTCTAATGTTGACAGTGGGGTGTTAAAGTCTCCCATTATTAATGTGTGGGAGTCTAAGTCTCTTTGTAGGTCACTCAGGACTTGCTTTATGAATCTGGGTGCTCCTGTATTGGGTGCATAAATATTTAGGATAGTTAGCTCCTCTTGTTGAATTGATCCCTTTACCATTATGTAATGGCCTTCTTTGTCTCTTTTGATCTTTGTTGGTTTAAAGTCTGTTTTATCAGAGACTAGGATTGCAACCCCTGCCTTTTTTTGTTTTCCATTGGCTTGGTAGATCTTCCTCCATCCTTTTATTTTGAGCCTATGTGTGTCTCTGCACGTGAGATGGGTTTCCTGAATACAGCACACTGATGGGTCTTGACTCTTTATCCAACTTGCCAGTCTGTGTCTTTTAATTGCAGAATTTAGTCCATTTATATTTAAAGTTAATATTGTTATGTGTGAATTTGATCCTGTCATTATGATGTTAGCTGGTGATTTTGCTCATTAGTTGATGCAGTTTCTTCCTAGTCTCGATGGTCTTTACATTTTGGCATGATTTTGCAGCGGCTGGTACCGGTTGTTCCTTTCCATGTTTAGTGCTTCCTTCAGGAGCTCTTTTAGGGCAGGCCTGGTGGTGACAAAATCTCTCAGCATTTGCTTGTCTATAAAGTATTTTATTTCTCCTTCACTTATGAAGCTTAGTTTGGCTGGATATGAAATTCTGGGTTGAAAATTCTTTTCTTTAAGAATGTTGAATATTGGCCCCCACTCTCTTCTGGCTTGTAGAGTTTCTGCCGAGAGATCCGCTGTTAGTCTGATGGGCTTTCCTTTGAGGGTAACCCGACCTTTCTCTCTGGCTGCCCTTAACATTTTTTCCTTCATTTCAACTTCGGTGAATCTGACAATTATGTGTCTTGGAGTTGCTCTTCTCGAGGAGTATCTTTGTGGCATTCTCTGTATTTCCTGAATCTGAACGTTGGCCTGCCTTGCTAGATTGGGGAAGTTCTCCTGGATAATATCCTGCAGAGTGTTTTCCAACTTGGTTCCATTCTCCACATCACTTTCAGGTACACCAATCAGACGTAGATTTGGTCTTTTCACATAGTCCCATATTTCTTGGAGGCTTTGCTCATTTCTTTTTATTCTTTTTTCTCTAAACTTCCCTTCTCGCTTCATTTCATTCATTTCATCTTCCATTGCTGATACCCTTTCTTCCAGCTGATCGCATTGGCTCCTGAGGCTTCTGCATTCTTCACGTAGTTCTCGAGCCTTGGTTTTCAGCTCCATCAGCTCCTTTAAGCACTTCTCTGTATTGGTTATTCTAGTTATACATTCTTCTAAATTTTTTTCAAAGTTTTCAACTTCTTTGCCTTTGGTTTGAATGTCCTCCCGTAGCTCAGAGTAATTTCATCGTCTGAAGCCTTCTTCTCTCAGCTTGTCAAAATTATTCTCCATCCAGCTTTGTTCTGTTGCTGGTGAGGAACTGCGTTCCTTTGGAGGAGGAGAGGCGCTCTGCGTTTTAGAGTTTCCAGTTTTTCTGTTCTGTTTTTTCCCCATCTTTGTGGTTTTATCTACTTTTGGTCTTTGATGATGGTGATGTACAGATGGGTTTTCGGTGTAGATGTCCTTTCTGGTTGTTAGTTTTCCTTCTAACAGACAGGACCCTCAGCTGCAGGTCTGTTGGAATACCCTGCCGTGTGAGGTGTCAGTGTGCCCCTGCTGGGGGGTGCCTCCCAGTTAGGCTGCTCGGGGGTCAGGGGTCAGGGACCCACTTGAGGAGGCAGTCTGCCCGTTCTCAGATCTCCAGCTGCGTGCTGGGAGAACCACTGTTCTCTTCAAAGCTGTCAGACAGGGACACTTAAGTCTGCAGAGGTTACTGCTGTCTTTTTGTTTGTCTGTGCCCTGCCCCCAGAGGTGGAGCCTACAGAGGCAGGCAGGCCTCCTTCAGCTGTGGTGGGCTCCACCCAGTTGGAGCTTCCCGGCTGCTTTGTTTACCTAAGCAAGCCTGGGCAATGGCGGGCGCCCCTCCCCCAGCCTCGTTGCCGCCCTGCAGTTTGATCTCAGACTGCTGTGCTAGCAATCAGCGAGATTCTGTGGGCGTAGGTCCCTCCGAGCCAGGTGTGGGATATAGTCTCGTGGTGCGCCGTTTCTTAAGCCGGTCTGAAAAGCGCAATATTCGGGTGGGAGTGACCCGATTTTCCAGGTGCGTCCGTCACCCCTTTCTTTGACTCGGAAAGGGAACTCCCTGACCCCTTGCGCTTCCCAGGTGAGGCAATGCCTCGCCCTGCTTCGGCTCGCGCACAGTGCGCACACACACTGGCCTGCGCCCACTGTCTGGCACTCCCTAGCAAGATGAACCCGGTACCTCAGATGGAAATGCAGAAATCACCCGTCTTCTGCGTCGTTCACGCTGGGAGCTGTAGACCGGAGCTGTTCCTATTCAGCCATCTTGGGTCCTCCTCCGTGTCAACAGATTTTCTATTGGGTTGTGCAGTTCAACCTCCAGGCCTATAGGAGGCACTTAGGGATAAAAGCCAGCTGAAGCCAATGCAGATGGACATAACGCTGGAGCTGGATCTTTATTTATGGTTGGAAGTCCTCTGCTGCCTCAGGCGATGGGCTGTCCTGTGGAATGCACCAAGGTCTGAGCTCGCAGCTCAGCCTCTAGAGGGTGACCAAGCTAGGCGGGGCCCATACTTCACCACTAAGCAATATATCCATGTAACACAACTGCAGTTATACCCCTAAATCCATAAAAATAAAAAAATTAAAAATAATATTTCCTTTAGGAGACAAGAGTGAAAAAAGTTTGAGGAACATAACTCTATAATAACATTTATTTATATAACATATTGTTATTGTCTGTATTTTTCCAGCCTCCATCCAACTGTAAATTATGACTTTTTTAAGGATGAACACTACATTTTGCTCATTTTAAAATCTTTATTCTCTATTATAGTATATTTGTATATTATGTGTAAAAGAAATGTTTGTCAAATAAATATATTTTATATATGTAAACTATATATAAATATATATGAACTATGTATATATATGTGTGTCTATACACATATATAGACATATGTATGTGTGTGTGTGTATAGTTAAAAGACCATACTGCCCAAAGCAATCTACAGTTTCAATAGAATCACTGTCAAATACCAAGTCATTTTCAAGGAAATATGAAAAAAAAAAACCTAAAATGTGTATGGAGCCAAAAAAGAACTAGAATAGCCAAAGCATCCTGAGCAAAAAGAACAAAGCTGGAGGCATCACACTACCTAATTTCCAAATATATTACAAGTCTATAGTAACGAAAACAACATGGTATAAAAATAGACCCATACACCAATAGCACAGAATAGAGAGCCCAGAAATAAATCCATGTATTTACAGCTAACTGATCTTCAACAAAGCTGACAGAAACATGCATTAGGGAAATAACCCCCTCTTCAATAAGGGGTGCTGAGAAAACTGGATAACCTTATGCAGAAGAATGAAACTAGACCCATATATCTCTTCATATATAAAAATCAAATCAAAACAGATTAAAGGCTTGAATCTAAAGCCTGAAACTCTGAAACTCCTAGAAGAAAACAATGGGGAAATGCTCCAGGACACTGGTCTGGACAGATTTTTGTGTAAGACCTGAAAACCCCCATGTAACTTAAGCAAAAATAGACAAATGGAATTACATCAAGCTAAAAAGCTTCTGCAAAGCAGTGGAAACAACAAGGGGAAGAGACAAACCAAAGAATGGGAGAAAATATTTGCAAACTATCCATCTGACAAGGGATTAATAACCAGAATTTATATGGAGCTCACTCAACTCAGTAGCAATAAAATAATAATCCAATTACAAAATGGGTAGAAGATCTGTATAGAAATTTCTCAAAAGAAGTCATAGAAATGGCCAACAGCTCTATTAAAAAATGCTCTACATCTCTAATCATCAGATAAATGCAAATCAAAACCATAATGATATATGATCTTAACCCATTTAAAATGGCTTACATCAAAGACACAAGGAATAATGAATGTTGAGGAATATGTGGGGAAAAGGGAACCCTCCTGCATGATTAGTAGGAATGTAAACTATTACAATCACTATGGAAAACAATATGGAGGTTCGTCAAGAAACTGAAAATAGAACTGCCATATGATTCAGCAGTTCTGCTACAGAGTATATATCCAAAAGAAAGGGAATCAATATATCGAAGAGATACCTGCACTCCCATGTTTATTGCAGCACTATTCACAATAGCCAAAATATGGAATCAAACTACATGCCCATCATTTGATGAATGAATTAAAAAAATATGATATATATACATATTGGACTGTTACTTAGCCATAAAAAGATGGCATCCTCTCATTTGCAGCATCATGGATGGAACTGGAGGATTATGTTAAGTGAAATAAGCCATGCAAGAAAGACAAATATAGTGTGTTCTCCCTTATAAGTAGGAGCTAAAAACATAGATCTTAAGAAGATAGTAGATTGGTGGTTACCAGAGGCCAGGAACAGGAGGGAGGAAGGAGGCATAAAGAGAGGTTCATTAATGAGTACAAATATACAGTCAGATAGGAGAAATAATACCTAGTGTTTGGTATATCAGCAGGGTGACTATATAGTTAACAATCATCTATTCAAAATCTATTTCAAAATATCTGGAAAAGAATAATTCAGAAGCTTCTAGCATAAGAAAAAATAAAAAATAAATATTTAAGGTGATGGAAATCTCAGTTACCCTGATTTGATCTTTATACATTATAATATATCTAAATATCAGATGTATCCTGAAAATGTGTACATCTATTATGTATCAATACAGAAATAGAATAGGGAAGGGAAAATTTTCTGAAACAAAACACAGAAAGCACAAATTATAAAGAAATTATTGAAGAGTTTAACTGTACCAAAAACCACAAGTTTGGGTATAATAAAAAAAAAAACACTGAGTAGGAGAACATATTTGCAACACACATATGTGGCAGATTATTTTTACGTTTTGGAATCTCAGTGCAAAGCCTTGCTCCTCTATCTCTATCATTTTTGAAGGAGGCTTTGTCTGGCATCCCACCCTACTTCAGTGTCTCCAGGCTATGGGTTGGCATTAAATCGGCAGTTCACAGTGCCTTTCCTGTGCTCTCATTAAAGATATCAGAGATCCCAGGTGTGGAAAAAAAGATATGTTGTTCCCTCCAACCTTCCTGTTGTATACAGCTTTCATACCCCATGGTCCTAGGTAATGGGCAGCCTGGTTCCAGTCCACCAATGCGTTAAAGTGTCTGTGTGTGTGTGTGTGTGTGTGTGTGTGTTTACAGCAGATCACTTTTAGCCGTCATTACCTTTAAAGTTGAGTTCCAGGATTAGATTAGATTGCACAGTGTTCGACATTTGATGGAGATACTTACTGGGTTGTTGGGTATGATTATATCAGTTACTTTCTCTTTTAAATATTTTATCTATCATTGCTATGCGTTTGACTTAGAATGTTCTCAAAGTATGTGTTCACCATGTACATCATTTTGGCTAAAACTTGATTTCTCAGCTCTTTTACCCAAACCATTTCATGTTTCATAAAAAAAACTATGTCCGTATGTCAGTATTGTTTAGAACAGCAAGGATTTCAGTATACATACTAATATTTAATTATAATATTCATTTAAACTAATACTGAAATAGAAATTTTCAAGTCTTTACTTCTTCATTGTATTCATTAATTGAATAAGCAATTATAGTTCTCAGCATGAGTTGGCATTTAAAGTGAAAAATTCTACTGAATATTATGATTCTACTGCTATTTAATGTAAATGAGTCTTTGCAATTTTAGTGACAGTTGTATCAATGGAATGCCTGCAGGCCAGAATTCTGTTTGATATTTCTAGCAGGAGACTCTATAGGAAACTTGACATAAAATAATTGAATAGTTTCAAAGCAAAATAATTGAATAGTTTCAAAGCTTTAAACAACAAAAAGATTTGAGTTTATTGATTCAGCCCTTTCTTCCATCATATTGTACCAATAATTTTCATAATTCTATATTTGACTTTGTAACATTTACAGTAAAAATATTTTAAAATATGTTCATATGTTTTACTATTTAGAATCGATGGTATCTTTTGATATTCCTACTACTAATTTCTGCTAATATATTGGAGAATTTGGTTTTATCAGGAAACATTATATTAAGCTCTCCATGTATAGGGATATAGGCAATATAACATACTGGTGAAAACTCAGGGTTCAAACCCTGCCTCTACCAATGATTAGCTGTGTGGCTTGAGCCAATAATATTACCCTTCCAAGCACTACATCAGAGAATTATTTGTAAGGAATAATTTTAAAGCACTAGAAAAATATCTTACACAGAGCAAGACCATGATAGTTAATAGCTATTATTTTTATGAAGATTCTCTTCATTATTTATCTTTGAATCCCCAATTGAGCTATCACACTCCCTTGCATATTGTAATTGCTGATGAGATTTTATCTGATTATGTATCCCCTTTTAACTAATTTTTCAACCTTAGAATTTTTCACTTTCTGGTACCTAAAAATATTTCAAATAAAAATAATGTAAGTCGTGTTCATCATTAAAATGTTATAAAAATACAAATTCTGTTGGCATGCCTTACTTTTAAGATGACGGTACTGACCATGTCTATAAGTGTACCAGTGGTAAAGGGTAAACTATATGAGTGTGAGCAGCAAAAATCTCTCTTTTGCATAGTAAGCATGTGAAACTTTTGGTGTTGGTTTTGAAATAACGTGAGGGGTTTTTGTTGGTCTGCCTGCTTGCATGATTGTTTCTAAGACTCAGTATTAGCCTGGATGAAGTTTTTTTCTTCCAGAGAGTGAAAGTGGGTGAATGTATCACTTCATTCCTTAGGGAAATCATTCTACTGAAGAACAGGAAACAGAGGGACACAAAGGTTAAGTAACTTGACAGCTAGCCCAGTGAATTGCCTTCTGAACATTACCATCTATATTTCCTGGTATCCATGCAAACATGTACAGTGCCTCTTGAAGATGAAATGACTTCCACTTTAGTAGATAAACATATACAGGAACATTGGCATCAATGTCTATACTTTGCTCGTGCTTTGTTTACTTCACCTGAAATTTCAACATTTTAAAGGCAGGTTGATTGAGACATTTTATTTTCCTGTGTCCTTTTTCATACTTTCCATAGATACTCTCAGTGTCAATTCATTACTTCTTAAAATCAGCTTGATTCCCTAGGAATTAGGTTACTCCCATTTCTGAGAGACTGGATTTCCAGAGAGTATTCAGGCAGGGTTGTTCTTTAAAAAAATAATCTTCCAAACTTCCACTGTCTGTTAAGTATTTTTAAGTATTCTATAAATATTCTGTATGTATTCTTTCTTAAAATCATTCCCTCCTAAAAATACACGCTGCTGTCTGTTCTTTATTTGGCACAACTCTGTTCATCATTACCTTTACCTCACTTCACAAAAAAAAAAAAAAAAAAAGAAGAATGCGCACTTCCCATTCTCCTTAAACCAAAGGATGGTGCACTGCTCTATGGAGTGTATAAAGCTCTGTGGCACCAACCAAAGACACAGATGGAGAATATATAGCTCTTGAGAGAGTGTAACAGGAACCAAAAAAATGAGGAAGGCTTTGTTATGAGATAATAACAGGGGCAACACTTATTCATCTTAGGCATGTGATATACTCATGCTCGTCTTTCCATTCCATCTGTCTGTCTGTCTGAGTGTCTACATATCTATCCACTCTTCAATGAATCTATGTTAGAATTAGATTTCAGAAGTCAGATATTAATTACAGTGATTCATAAGATGCATGTCATTATGAATTTTAAAAAACAGTAAGCCTGGACAGGCGCAGTGGCTCACACCTGTAATCCTAGCACTTTGGGAGGCCGAGGTGGGTGGATTGCCTGAGCTCAGGAGCTCGAAACGACCCTGGGCAACATGGTGAAACCCCGTCACTACTAAAATACAAAAAAATTTAGCCAGGCGTGGTGGTGTGCACCTGTAATCCCAGCTACTCGGGAGGCTGAGACAGGAGAATCGCTTGAACCCAGGAAGCAGAGGTTGCAGTGAGCCAAGATCGTGCCATTGCACTCCAGCCTGGGCAACAGAGCAAGACTCCGTCTAAAGAAAAAAAGAAAAACCAGTAAGCCTGATTTTCCTGATTATTTGCACAATGAGAAATGGATTTGCCTATTGATTAGGTGGCAGCACTTAAATTGACTGAGTTAAATCTGCAGTTCTAAGGAATATATACTTACTGTATACAATATGTAAATCTTTATATATTAATGTATGTTTCAATTATTTTAAGGTGTCATAAAATATAAAAATACAATATTTATTTATTCCTTCACTTACATATAGTCATTTATGCTGTTTTTTTTTTTTTTTGCTACTATAAAAAAAGCACCATAAACATTCTCTACCTTCCTATATACAAACTGAATGTAGGAATTCACAGAGAACTATGTTGTATTATAGTATTTGTACTTTTCCAACTTTATAATAGATATTTCAAAATTGTTTTTGAACATGATTATATCACATTATATTGTAACTCCAGCAGAGTTCAGGAATTTCTGTTTATCCTCATGCTCTCCAATAATTGATGTTATTATGGTTTAACTTTTTCTTTTATTTTTTTCCTCCATTTGATGTTTATTATGCTGGTGATTAAGTTATGGCCTTTTAGCTCCAAATCCACTTTGAAATGCTTTAGCTGGGACTGGATCCACATTTGTGCTTTGGGAGATGTTAATAGGAGGCGCTGGAAGAAACTCAAAGCTGGAGGAAGAAAAAGGGTCTTGCTCCTTCCCGTGTGCTTGCTGTTTCTGTCAGCAGCAGCAAACAGTCAACCCTGGCAGTAGCAATTGGTTCCCATTTAACAGTTATTTCATAGTCACCAAATTAGCCGTATCACACTCCCTCAGTAATATCAGTACATCAAGAGATCTGAATTCCAGCTCCACAGAGCAAAAGAAGTGCTACAAAATTATTTACTTCAGGAAGAAAATACAGTCACTTCTCATTCTTTGCAGTATAGTCTATAAAGTTGCTATGAACACTGAATAAGTGAATATTGAACTATTCCTCCAAGAGGAAATACAGAGTTAAGTTCCTGTGAGCTTCTGGTGACACTTTCATCAACCAAAACACCATTGTATTTTATAGGTTTGTTTATCCACGTCCTTGTAAAACAAGCCAGCCTCATCAGTGTCAAAAACCTGCTTTTCCACATGACCTGTTCCTGTATAATACTTAGCAGGTATTTTCAGATTTCTTCCACAGCCTCCTGATCTGTAGATACTGCCTCTCTTGTAAGTTTAACATATTCCACACCTTATCATCTTTTGAAACTTGAGAAATGGAAGCTAGCCAGCATAAGCGAGAAGGGCTTAACATTTCTTGACTCTGGCTTTCAGCCCCACAACAATGCTCCCCACTATACTTTTTCTTTTTTTAATGGAGCATCATCTCATGAATCCATACATTTAGTTGCTTTTCCATCTTTTCAATAGTTACATCACAGGCTATAGATGTTACTTTAGCACTTTCCAGAGTGCTCTCACATACAGATCAGTGAATTTTCTCTTCCTTTCTCTGGATGTACGGTATTATTGATTCATTAACATTGAACTCACAGCCAACAGCATTGGAACTCATGACTGCACGAAGCTTATCTAACACATGTATTTTCTCCATATGGCACATCACAGCCTTCGTGTGCTTGGGAACACTAGGCAGTATTTCAGCACTATGCATAACAGACCCTTTTAAACCAGAATCACCAAAAAAAGACACAGAAAATAAGAAAAGCTTGTCACTCAGTTGACCACAAAAAGGAAACTTGTTTACTGTCTGAGAGCAAAACCAGGGAGGAAGGGCATTGTCTTCAGCCTCAGCTAAGAAGGTGTGTGCTGAGTGACTCAATTTTTCACCACTCTGAGTATGTCCGCAATTTACTGGGAAAATGCTATCAATACTAACTTCGAAGTTACAAATAATTTTAACAAATAGGCAAATGATGATGATTGACATCACAAGGAGGAAAGGAGATACAAAAACATGTTAACCAAAAAATTCAGTGGGCAAATTTAAAAAAATTGTCAGTGCTCTGTTAAATCATAAAAATTATGAATAATTTTACATAAAAACAATTGTACTTAAAACATTAAACAAAAATAACATATAATGGGGGAAATCAAAATTAATACTTGATATGTTTGCCTGTAAAATAGTGTCATTTAAGTCAAATGAGAATATTGAAAAATTAATTGAAATTAAAGAATGGAAGTAGAATATTTTGCATTCAAGCAATATAGAAAATAAATGGGAAAAAAATAAAACAACCCATGATACGGAAAAAAATAGAAAAAAAGAGGCAAGGAAAAAACATGTTAAAGAGAAAGCATAAATTAAAAAGTTAAAAGCAAATATATAAATCCTGGCAAAAAATGAAAAAAAAAAAAAACTAAGACAATAATAAAAGACAGAGGTTGGAAAAAATCTATATGCTGTTTAAAAATATAATGGCACAGAAGCTGAGAAATAAGATGAAAAGTTTTACCCAGTAAATGCTAATTAACAGCAATATTGACAACAAGCAAAATAGAATGCATGGCAAAATGCAATAATAGTAATAAATAATAAAAATAATAATCCACCAAGAATATTAGTCATGAACTTGTATTCACTTTAACAATCTCAGAATTTAATAACAAAATCAACATAATTTCAAGGAAAATAGTAATCTTTATCACATCTTTATCAGAAACAGACCTAATAAGCAGACTGAAGAGTTGTAAGAATATAGGAAATATGAATTACATGAGTAAAAGCCATGTAAAAATATTGTACAAAGACCTCTACATACTAGGTCAGTATCCATTCTGCTCAAATACATGTGAAACTTTTATAACTGATCAAATTTCAGTTAATTTAAAATTGATGGCAAAAGGTTAACGGTTCAATATTTTATCTCTTAAAAACTTTATTTTAAAACAATCTTAAACTTACAGAAAAAAAATGCAAGTACAATACAAAGAACCTCTTTCCTGACTTTTTATGTGCCATATGAGAGTAAGTTGCCAATCTGATACCTCATCACCCCTGAATATGTATTTCCTATAAACAAGGACATTCCCCTACGTTACCATGAAATAATCATGAAATTTACATTTATAAATTATAAATCTAAATTGCGTTTTGCCAGTTGTCACAATAATGTTCTTTATAGTAAAGGCATCAAGTTTGGAATTGTGTTTTACACTTAGTTGTCATGTCATTATAGTATCCTTCAATAATAGCTAACATTTATTTCAACGCTTGTGCATTTGGGGGGATTTTAGGCTATTTTGTACCAGACTTTCCTGTAAAGCTACTCTTTTCCCTTCTTTTTTTTTTTTTTTTTTTTTTTTGAGACAGAGTCTTGCTCTGCCGCCCAGGCTGGAGTGCAGTGGCGTGATCTCGGCTCACTGCAAGCTCTGCCTCCAGGGTTCACACCATTCTCTTGCCTCAGCCTGTTGCGGGAACCTTAGATGTAGACCTGTTAAGACAGGGAAGGGTCCGAGTAACCATGGAAAATATGGTCACTTTATTCAGGGCGGTGGAAAAATACTGTCCTTGGTTTCCTGAAAAAGGAACCGTGTATGTAAAAGTATGGGATCGTGTTGGTGCAACATTCCGGGAACTGGTCCTGGCAGGGAATTATGTTCCGGTCACTGGGCCTTGGTACGTGCTGTCCTAATACCCCCTCAACCCTTCTCTCCTGCAACGCCTTCGTTAGCTGATCAGCTTCTCCATTTGGCTACTCCTCCCCCACCTAACGATTCTGAGAATTCAATGTCTAACTCTGGTGACTTTGGATAACGGTCGCCCCCTGATGATCTTATTTCTTTTCATTTCACGAAGAGCCCGTACTTGTAGCTCCCGCGGCCCCGACTCAAGACAGCCTGGGACCATACATATGCTAATTCTTCTCTCTTCAAACCTCCAGAGTTGGCTAATGCCGCCAGGACCAAACTACAATTTACCTATAATTCTGCAGGCCCTCCCCCAACCACTTCAGGCCCTCGCCCTCCTGTCGTTTCCGTTCCCCAACTGGTCACTTTGCCATCCACTCAGCCTGCTTCTCTGTACCCTTCCTCACACATGGATGCCAGTAATCACCAGTATACTTCTGCTTCTCCTGCTCCCCCAATGTCCCTTTCTCACACCCTCATTCCAGTCCGACCCTCTCACCCTCAGTTTCCCTTATCTACACGTGCTTTTCCTTTCACTTCTATGCCAACTCCGTCTCAGATACCTACTCTTGAAACTTCAATGCAACGCTTATTATGCCAAAATTGAAACTTCAATGCAACGCTTATTACACCAAAACAAAGAAACAAGTGGATTAGACACGTGGGCTTATCTGGTGGCACTAGAACTTCCTAAATTCCAAGGGATACAAATGCGTCATTATGGACCTCTCGATCTTACCTTTTTAAAATAATGTGAAGTTGCTTGTACTGAGTATGGCCCTACTTCTCCTCATGTTAAAATGGTATTACAAACTTTTTTGTACGGAGGTCACTTTGCTTCCTTTAGACTGGGACCTTTTGGCAAAAGCTGTTCTAACCCCATCTCAGCATTTACAATTTCGTACCTGGTGGTCAGAGGAGGCCCGTTTGCAGGCTCAGCTAAATCGGACTAATGGCATTCTAGTTACTCAGGCCCAGCTCACAGGCTCCGATAGTTTCTCTCATATTTATGCCCAATTAGGCTTTGATGCTCTTACCACAGTGTAGCAGGACGAGCTGCAGACAAAACCTCTTAGACACCGAGTTGTAGAAGGAAGGGCTTTATTCAGCTGGGAGCATCAGCAAGTTACTGCCTTAAAATCCGAGCTCTCCGAGTGAGCAATTCCTGTCCCTTTTAAGGGCTCACAGCTCTAAGGATTTCACATGAAAGGATCGTGATTGATTTGCGGAAGCAAGGGGTACGTGACAGGGGCTGCAACCACCGGTGGTCAGAGAGAAACAGAACAGGGCAGGGAGTTTCACAATGTTCTTCTGTACAATGTCTGGAATCTATGAATAACATCGGTTTCTAAGTTATGAGTTGATTTTTAACTACTGGGTTTAGGCCAGGCAGGCCCAGGACTGGTTTCGGGCCTGGTGCCGGGCTACCTGTCTTTGGTTTTACTTCCTTGTTGTTGTTGTTGTTTTTAAACAGGTACTGAGTATAAAACAATACAAAACAATATGAGAGGGTCTCTCTCTTCCCTCAAAAGAACAAGTAATAAAGGTGTGTGTGAGAGCTTGGGATAAATTACGCGCCCCAGGCCAAGCTCCTGTTTCTTTTACTACCGTTAAACAAGGTCATGCTAAATTGTACCCTAATTTTTTAGCCCTGATCACGAGGTGTTTACTAAACCCCTCCCAATTACTATAAAGAAGACAGGGCTGGTTTAGGTTATCTTTTTTAATGGCAGCCGCTGCTATGCCTCCTGATCCTATCCCTTTACAGTGGAAATCTGACACACCTGTGTGGATTCAGCAGCGGCAGCTTTCTAAACAAAAACTGGAGGTTTTAACTCAATTAGTTTCTGAACAGTTACAACTTGGGAATGTGGAACCTTCTCTTTCCCACTGGAATTCTCCTGTGTTTCTAGTAAAAAAGAAATCAGGCAAGTGGCTGATGATAACTGATTTAAGGGCCATTAACGCTGTAATTAAACCTATGGGGGCCATCCAACCCGGCATGCCTGCCCCTGCTTTAATACCTAAGAATTGGCCTCTCATAGTTATTGATCTTAAGGATTGTTTTTTTTTTTCATATTGCTTTACATAAATCGGATTGTGAAAAATTTGCTTTTACTGTACCATCTATCAATAATCAGGAGCCTGCAGCTCATTATCAATGGAAAGTACTTCCTCAGGGAATGCTAAATAGCCCTACAGTCTGCCAGCTTTATGTTGGACAAGTGCTTTCACCAGTTTGAGCCCAATTTCCCCAGGCCTATATTCTTCATTATATTAATGATATTTTAATTGCTGCCCCCACTGATAAAGAATTAATTGACTGTTATCAAATTTTGAGCCACTGTGTTACAGAGGCTGGATTACACATCGCTCAGGATAAAATTCAACAGACCACTCCTGTTCAATATTTAGGAATGGTGGTCGATAAACAATGTATTCAACCTCAAAAAGTTCAAATTAGGAGAGATTCTTTGAAAACTTTAAATGACTTCCAAAAACTCTTGGGTAACATTAATTATTTAAGACCTACTTTAGGCATTCCGACCTATGCACTGTCTAACTTGTTTTCTATGCTGCAGGGAGATTCCAATCTCCACAGTCCCAGGACTTTGACCCTTGAGGCTTCACTAGAACTGAATTTGTAGAGGAAAGAATCCAGACCACCCGTTATCTAGAGTACAGCCATCTCAGCCTTTTCAGCTTCTAGTTTTCGCTTTATTGCATTCCCCTACTGGGCTAAAAGTTCAACATAATGATTTAGTGAAGTGGTGATTTCTCCTCATTCTGTGTCAAAAACTTTGTCTGTTTATCTGGACCAAATAGCCATCTTAATTGGACAGGCTTGGTATAGAATACTTCAAATTTCTGGATTTGATCCGAATTTAATTGTAGTTCCTTTAAATCGGCTCGAAGTTCAAGCCGCCTTTCAACATTCCGTACTGTGGCAAATTCACTTGGCTGATTTTATTGGCATTATTGACAATCATTATCCAAAAAACAAATTGTTTGATTTTATAAAAATGACTTCTTGGGTGGTCCTTCGATTGACCAAAGATCAGCCCATTCCTGAGGCTATTACAGTGTTCACTGATGGCTCCAGTAATGGAAATGCTGGTTATGTAGGTCCTATAAACAAGCTTATTTCTACCCATTATACCTCTGCTCAAAAGGCAGAGTTAATTGCTGTAGTTACTGCCTTAGAGGATTTCCCCCAAACCTTTAAATATTGTCTCTGATTCTACTTAACATGGGAAAGAGGATATGCTTGTGTTTCACCAGGAGATCATAAAACGAAAACCACAGGGAAAAGACGTCCACGTCAGAGACTGCCCTCAGACGTGGTGAGATCTGTGCCAACTCCTCCGAAGCTGGCACATCAAACCAAAATGTGTCTGGTTCAAGTCTGGGCTGCTTATCTTCCAGAGAGATCCGCTACAGAGAAACTGGGACATTTGGTCTCCGGCCTCTCCCTTTCTCCTTTAAGACAAATGAAAGAGGGAGTAATGGGAGATACCCCATACTTTCAATATAAACCTGCAGGAAAACCATGCCCTAAGAATTTTGAGGGCCCATCTAAAACCTTAATTTGGGAGTATTGTGTTAACTCACATGCAGTAATATTAAAAAATGACTCATGGTTTAGTAATAGACTGGGCACCAAAGGGCTATTTAAAAAACAATTGCTCCTCTGGTGGAAGGGAATGCCTGGAGGCTACTTATTTTACTTCTTATCAGGAGAACGAGAATCATCATTCTACTTTGCATAGGAGGTTCAGCTCATTCTTTCCCTTAAAATGGGAAGATAAAGGCATTACCCTGCCCGCCCCCCTCCCCGCCCGTGGCCTCCTATGATATTCCCCATTCTGAGCCCAGAACACCCAGAACTTTGGAAATTGGAAACTGACTATTGCCATGTCTGGACTGCGAGTATGGGAAGGGGAAACTATTCTGTCTGTTGTCCCTGCTACCGTCCCCCTCTCTCAGTATCAACGTAGATTCAGACATTCTGCTTTACTTACCTCCAACCTGACTGTTCCCATACAGAGTTGTGTTAAGCCTCCTAACATGCTGTTAGTGGGGAATATCAAAATTTGGATGAACAATCAAACTGTCCAATGCATTAATTGTCATTTATACACTTGTATTAACTCCCATTTTGACTCCAGGAAAAGTGTAATGTTGGTTTGAGCTCGAGAACAAATCTAGATTCTGGTAACTTTGCCCAGACCTTGGGAATCCTCCCCCTCAATACATTTAATTAATGAAGTGTTACAGAGAATTCTAAAAAGATCTAAGAGATTTGTTTTCACTTTAATCACTGTGATCATGGGCCTAATTACAGTCACTGCAATGGCCACCACTGACGGAATGGCGTTACCTCAATCTATTCAAAAAGCTCATTTTGTTAATGATTGGCAAGCCAACTCCACCCAAATGTGGAATTCTCAACAAGGCATTGATCAAAAATTGGCTAATCATATTAATGATTTAAGACAGTCTGTTATTTGGCTTGGAGATCGGGTAGTGAGTCTCAAGCATCGCATGCAAATGCAGTGCGATTGGAATACTTCGGATTTCTGTATCACCCCATATTCCTACAATGAGACTGATCATTCATGGGAAATGGTCAAAGGACACCTTCTGGGTAGGGAAGATAATTTATCACTGGACATAACTAAATTAAAGAAACAAATTTTTGAAGCCTCTCAAGCTCATTTATCCATTGTGCCTGGAGCTTAGGCGTTAGATCAGGTGGCAGAAAATCTTTCTGGACTAAACCCCACGACTTGGATTAAGTCTATTGGGGGCTCCACTGTAGTAAATTTTGGAATTATGTTTCTCTGTTTAATCAGCTTGTCTTTAGTGTGCTGGACCAGTCAAAGAATCCTGTGTCAAAATCAAGAGAATGAACAAGCCTTCATCGCCATGGCACATTTATATAAAAAGAAAGGGAGAGGTGTTGCAGGAAGTCAGGGACCCCAAACGGAGGGACCGGCTGAAGCCATGACAGAAGAACATAAATTGTGAAGATTTCATGGACATTTATCACTTCCCTGATCAGTACTCTTGTGATTTCCTATGCCTGTCTTTACTTTAATCTCTTAATCCCATCATCTTTGTAAGCTGAGGATGTATGTCACCTCAGGACCCTGTGATGATTGCATTAACTGCACAAATTGTTCGTAAAGCATGTGTGTTTGAACAATATGAAATCTGAGCACCTTGAAAAAGGAACAGGATAACAGTGATGTTCAGGAACAAGGGAGATAACCATTAGGTCTGACTGCCTGAGAGCCGGGCAGGACAGAGTCATATTTCTCTTATTACTGAAAACAGGTAAGAGAAATATTGAATTATTTCCCCAGTAAGGAATATTAATAATTAACAGCCCTGGGAAAATAATGCATTACCAGAGGGGGCCTCTAAAATGGCCACTCTGGGAGTGTCTGCCTCATGCAGTTGTTGATAGGGATGAAACACACCCTGGTCTCCTGCAGCGCCCCCAGGCTTGCTAGGATTAGGAAATTCCAGCCTGGGAAATTCTAGTCAGACCAGTTCTCTACTCTTGAACCCTGTGTCCTGTTAAGACATTTATCAATGACAATGCGTGCACAGTGGGACATGGAACTTCATCAGTAATTCTAGTTTTGCCCTGGCCTTGTGACCTTGCCCTGCCCATTTGCCTTCTTTTATTGCTTTTGAAGCATGTGACCCACACCCTATTCATATACTCCCTCCCCTTTGAAAATCGGTAATAAAAACTTGCTGGTTGTGCAGCTCAGGGGGCATCACAGAACCTGCTGACATGTGATGTCTCCCCCAGACACCCAGCTTTAAAATTTCTCTCTTTTGTACTCTTTCCCTTTATTTCTCAGACTGGCCGACACTTAGGGAAAATAGAAAAGAACCTATGTTGAAATATTGGGGGCTGGTTCCCCTGATATCAGCCTCCCAACTAGCTGGGACTATAGGCACCCGCCACCATGCCCAGCTAATTTTTTTGTATTTTTAGTAGAGATGGGGTTTCACTGTGTTAGCCAGGATGGTCTCGATCTCCTGACCTCATGATCCACCTCGGCCTCCCAAAGTGCTGGGATTACAGGCATGAGCCACCGCACCTGGCCTATTCTTTTCCCTTTTCATAATTAATAAACATTTTGTAGAGAAGTAATTTGAAACTATGTAAATGTCCCCTTTCTATTCAAACTTTCATTTATTAGTGTATTAATGTATATTAATATAGACTCATTTTCTTCTTACTATCATTGTTCATTTAAATGGCTCAAATTCCTTTAGATTTGGCCAGTAGGATCCTTTTGACATGCCCCCATTACTCTTTGAACACTTCCTTACTTTCTGGTATAGGAAGATAGAAAGTACTATACTTTCTGGTATAGTACTTTCAGGCTCGTCTTGTCTTTTCCTGAACTTGGTGAATTCAGTCATTTCTGCAAGAAACCTAGTTACCTATACATCATGCTCTTTAGTCTAAACTGCTTATTGGTATGAGGAATTTACTGCTATAAGGCACTCTCCATGGACAGAACTAGGGAATGTGTGTATATATATGAGTGTAAGCATATCTGTGTGTGTGTATATATACACATCTATATATATTCAAATCTTTCTATCTATAATCTATCATTTATCAATCATAATTTATAACTTTGCATCAGTATTTCCAATTCCATCACAATAGGAGAATTTTGTTGTTGTTGTCTACATGCTTGTAAATACCTTTTTAGACAGAAACCTAATTACAATTTTTTAAATATAACTACTGATATAATCAATCTCCATTATACAATCAACTTCTGATTGCAGCAGCCTCCCTCTCCCCTCACATGAAACCTTCTCACCTGGCTTGGGTTCTGTCTCCTCATGCCATGTTGCTGCTCTATGTAGGCACTCTGCTCAGGCTCTGACACCCTGCCCCAGACTGCCATCAAGAATATACATGTTCTCACTTCTTTTGAGCACTCACTTCAGGCACCCTTATGCATAAACACCCTACTAAGTCTCTTGGACTCTGACAACTATATGGTAACCAGTCTCTGAGGTGACCTCAGGTGATCTGTCTTCCAGTGTTCATAATCTTATGTAGATCCTACCCATAATGTACCAGTGTTAGTATCTGTGACTAATAGCCTAATGCAGAAATTATGGGATGCCATTCTAATAGTAGGTTGTAAAAGCTGTGGCCTCTCCCTTGGTGACATCTTCTCTTGGTAGTGCTCTTTTTGATCTCTCACCATTAGATCAGTCACTCTGAAAGAAGAAAGCTTCCATGTTATGATAAGCTCTGCAGATGCCAACATGGGGAGGAAATAAAGCCTCTGGCCAACAGCCACATGGATGAAGTGGGAAGTCAACTCTCCAGCTCTAGTGGAAGCTTTAGAAAACTCAATGGTAACTTCATATGAGACCTTAAGTGAAAACCACAGACAGAAAGAAGCTGCTGCAGATTCCTAACTCCCAGAGACTGCATGAGATAATAAGCGTATGGAGTTGTAAAACATAAGTTTTGCATTACTTTGTTAGATAGCAATAGATAACAAATAAACATCCCCTGTTTGGTGCTACCCTCTGGCCTCCACATGAACACCACCTTCACCCTGCCTGAGTTCTGACATATCACATCAATCATCCCCACTTATGGATACCCTCATCTCCTGCCTGGGTTCTGACACCTCATACTGGGCTTCCTCTTTGCAAAGACAATGTCCTGGTAGTGCTCCACCTAACTGGAAAGTTCAAAAATGGAATTAAAAGGAAGAGGAAAGGGAAAAAAGGAGGAAAGCCAGAACCTTAATGTATTTGGAAATTTAAAATATAAACTAGAAAACACCACAAAGAAATAACAAAATTTATTGTGGTAAACAGACAAAGCATTAAAGGAATTTTCAAACATTAAAGGTATGTGTCTATGTAGATGAAATTAGATAGAGATTTGGATAGATATACTTATCCAAAAAATATGGTGTAAGGGAAAAGGATAAACCCAAAAAACTGTTTTTAAAGCCATACATTAATGAAAAGTAGGACAAATCTAACATCTAACTGGGTAATAAATAAGTAAAAAAATAAAATTACATTAAAGATAGAAAAAAATGAGCAAAACTAACATAATTTACTATTATATCTAAAGAATAAATTACTATTATACCTAAAGAATAGTCAAAATATCTGCAGAAAAACTATAAAATCAATAGAAAATTTCAGGTGGTTATAAGATAAACATTTAAATATGTTTATATTTAGCAAGATGCTAACAAGATTAGCTATCATTTGTTGCTACTTATACTACTTATTACTACGTGTTAATAAGTAGCTATCGTTTGTTGCTACTTATACTACTTATTACTATGTGTTAATAAATACAAGAAGAGATACCATTTACAATAACAAGAAAAAACACAAAAATAACAAAGACCCAAAAGAAGAGAAACAGCATAACCATGATTGGCAATTTTCTATGTAAAAAGATGAAAAATCATTTTTAATTTAATCAATAAATTTAATTCGATTCTTATCAAATCCCAACAGGAATGTTCACTGGACTTGATTAAATAAAATGGAATGTAATCATGAAATATAAATGGCAGAGAAATGCCCCGAGAATTCTGAAGCTGAAATAAGGGAAGAAATTGGAGGGTTAATAAGGTGGTGATGACGATAGTTTTTCCACCCTAGATATTAAAATTTAACATATCGTTACAATAATTTGAACAGACTTCTGGAACAATAAAGGAAGCTCTGAAATGTGAACTTTCAATTTATAATAAAGAATATATTATACGGAATATATTCTACACAGTCTTTAATAAATCTTACAAAAATTGCATATTATTATTAGATACATTTAAATATATTATCAGTGGATTAGAGATTTAGGGGTTAAAAATGTCATAAAACTTTAGGTAAAAGTATAAGCGATAAAGTTGATTACCTCAGAGATAGAAAACCTTTTCTTAGACTGACACCGAAAGCACACATTGAGAAAATAGGGATGCGTTATTAATACATTACAATTGAAACTTCTGAATGGCGAAATACACCAAGAACAAACTAAAAAGTAACAGATGTGTTGAATTATTTGAATGAATTTAAAAGATAAAAACTGCCAAAATAATAAGAAAAGACAAACAACCTTTCAGAAAACTGGGTGTGGGATAAAAATTGCCTAGTAACAGAGGAAACAATGGATCACAAAGGCACTAAATTGTGCTCGATTGTTTGGTAATTAAGATAATACAGACTAAAATTATAAATTATTTTTATACTGATCATGTTGGCAAAAATC
Organism: Homo sapiens; assembly: GCF_000001405.40. Taxonomy (NCBI): domain Eukaryota; kingdom Metazoa; phylum Chordata; class Mammalia; order Primates; family Hominidae; genus Homo; species Homo sapiens. The sequence continues at coordinate 88,667,093 of NC_000008.11, read as the reverse complement.
ACAAATCTAATAAAATCCAATGTTGGCAATGATATGGTAAATATTTTTTAAACCTGATAAGCCCATAAATGGGTATAATTGATTTTTGAGAGCAATTTGTTAATAGATGCTAAATGTCTCAGACAAAAAAAACCACTTGTTCATGATGAAGGATCACTTTTATGTATTACTGTATCCAATTTGCTAATTTTGATTCAGAGTTTAATGTTAATGTTCATGAGGGATATTGTTCTGTGATTCTCTTTCTTGTGATATTTTCAGTTTTGTTTTTAGCCTAATATTGCTGTAATAAAATGGTTTGAGAAGACTTTCCTCCTTTATTTTCTGAACAAATTTTGCGGAGGTATTGGTATTATGTTCATTTATGTGGTTGTGTGTGGTAGGGTAGATAATTTAAAAATTCAACATCTTTAATTGACATAGGGTTATTAGTGTTTTATGTTTATATCTGTAATCTTTTAAAATTTCTAAGGGTTTGTGCATTTCCACAAGTTGTCATATTTATTAGCATAAAATTGTTTATGATATCCTCTTTTTTCCTTTTAAGGTCAGTAGGAGATGTAATGATGTTTCCTGTTTCATTCTTGATATTGACAATTTGTGGTTTCTGTGTTCTTTTCCAGAACTGACTGTCCAGATACTTATTTATGTTCTTGATCTTTAAAAACAAAAAAAAAAAAGAAAAACGATTTTGGTTTAATTACTTTTCTCTATTTTGTTCTTTGGGTTTAAATTTTTCCTCTTTTTCCAGTTTCTTAAGGTGTGAACTCTGACTTTGTATATTTATCTTTTTTTAATATAAACACCGATTTAGCAGCATTTCACAAATTTTCACAGGTTAGATGTTCATCTTCACTCAGATCAAAGTATTTTTTCAGTTTCTCTTGTAATTTATTCCATGACCTATGGTGATTATTTATAAGTATATTTTTAAATTGCAACCATTCAGTGTTTTTCTGGTGACATCAGCATTTTCATGGCTTAGTGTTGGTACATTGTATTCATTTCCTAGAATTGCCATAGAAAAATACCATGGACTGGTTCCTTCAACAATAGAAATTCATGTTCTCACAGTTTTGGATGCTAATCCAAGATCGAGATGCTGGCAGGGTTGGTTTCCTCTGCGGCCTCACTCTGGCTTACAGATGGCTGCATTCTAGCAGCCTCTTCACAAGATATTTTCTCCGTGTGCAACATCCCTGGTGCCTCTCCTGTTCATCCCAATCTTTTCTTCTTGTAAGTACACAGATTAGATTAGGTTCCTCTCAAATTGTATTATTTAACTTAACCATCTGTTTGAATACCTTCTCTACAAATATTATTACACTGAGCTATGGGGAATGGGACTTCAACATATGAATTCGGGAGAACACAATTTGGCCAATAATATATGATAAACTTTCTCTATGAATTTACTTTCAGCCTATCTGTATCTTTAAACTTTAAGCACCTCTCTTGAAAAGTGCATATAGTTTTGTTTGTTGTTTTTAATCCACTAAGACTATTTTTAAATTTTAATTGAAATGTTTGCTCTATTGTCTTTCTTTTTTTTAAGTAACACTATTTTTAAGGTATATATTTAAGATATAAAACATGAGGTTTATATACTACAGATAAGCAAATTAACATATTCATTAACTTTCATAGTTACCTCTTTTTCTTCTAGTGGTAAAAGCACCTAAAAGCTACTCTCTTAGCAAATTTTTAATATACAATACAATATTATTATCTGTAATCCTCCTGCAGTACATTAGATTTCTAGACTTATTCCTCCTACAAAATTGCTAATTTGTACCATCTGACCTACATCTCCGCATTTGCCCTCTACCCTGTTTTAACCACTATTCTTCTATTTTTATGTATTCAGCTTTTTTTTTTTGATTTCACATAAAAATGGGATCATGCAGCATTTGTATCTTTGTTCCTATACTATTTCACTTAGCATATTTTCTCCATTTGATCCTTGTCATTGCAAATGACAGGATCTCCTTCATTCTTAAGGCTAAATCATATTCCATTGTGCATTTATATATGTACCACAATGTATACATTTCTTTCTTCATGTATCTGTTGATGGGCATTTAGGTTTTTTTCTGTACCTTGGCTATTACCAATAATGCTGCAATTAACATGGGAGCTCAGATATCTCTCCAGGTGCTAATGTAATCCCTTTTAGGTATATAGACCTCAGAAAAACTACTGGGTCATATGGTAATTCTAATTAATTTTTGAGGGACAATCATACTGTTATTACATAATGGCTATACTAATTTACATTACCAACAACAGTGTACAAGAGTTCCCTTTTCTCCACACCCTTGCCTGCAGTTCTCTCTTGTATTTCTGGTAATAGCCATTCTAACAGTTGTGAATTGATGTCTCATAGTTTTGATTAGTGATGTTGAGCACCTTTTTATATAACTGTTGGCCATTTTTATGTCTTCTTCGGGAAAATGTCTACTCAGGTCCTTTGCCCATTTTTAATTTTTTTTTTTTTTTTTTTTTGCTATTGAGTTCTACAAGTTCCTTATGTATCTTGATATTAACCACTCATTAGATACATATTTTCCCAATATTTTCACCCAATCTGTAGGTTGCCTTTTATTTTTGATAATTGTTTCCTTGGCTGTGTAGAAGATTTTTAGTTTGATGTAGTTCTTTTTTTTTTTTTTTTTTTTTTTTTTTTTTTTTTTTTGGTTTTTGTTGCTTGAGTTTTTGGCACCATATTAAAAAAAAATTATTGCAAAGCCAATATCAAATAAATTTTCCCTTGTGTTTTCTTCTAGGAGTGCAATGGTTTCAGGTCTTTTAGTTAGATCTTCAATTCAATTTGAGTTTATTGTGTTTGGTGTGAGATGAGTGCACAAATTTATTCTTCTGCATGCGGATATTTAGTTTTTCCAATACCATTTACTGAAATGTCTATCCTTTCCCCATTGTGTGTTCTGGGTATACATGTGAAATATCAGTTGACCATATATAAGCAGATTTATTTCTGGGCTTTCTATTCTCTTCCATTGGTATCTATGTCAGCTTTGTGCCTGTAGCTTGCTGTTTTGCTTGTAGGGGTTGGATTGTATCTGTATGTTGCTTTGGGTAATATGGGTATTTTAACAATATTAGGTAATGCAAGGCTGGCTTATAACATATGCAGATCAAATAATGTGATACATCACATTATCAGAATGAAAAACGAAACCATATAGTCATCTCAATAGATGCAAAAAAAAAGCATTTGAAAAAGTTTAACATCTCTGCATGCTAAAAACTCTCAGTGAAAAGGTATAAAAGGAAATGTTCTCAACATAGTAAAGACCGTTTATGAAAAGCCCACAAATAATATCATAATGAATAGGGAAAATATGAAAGCTTTTGCTTTAAGATTGGTATAAGGCAAGGATGCCCACTCTCACCTCATCTATTAACATGGTACTGGAAGTACTAGCATAAACAATCAGACAAGAAAAACAAATAAAAGTCGTCCAAATCACAAAAGAAGTAAAACTATCCAAGTTTATGGATGACATGATTCTATATGTAGAAAACTCAAAGGATCCTACCAAAATGTATTTGCACTAATAATTGAATTCAGTAAAGCAGCAGGGTACAAACTCAATAGCAACATACATAAATTAGTCATGTTTATGACTATTATGATCAATGAGAAAAATAAAAAAATCTTTTACAATAGCATCAAAAAGAATAAAGTACTTAAGAATAAATTTAACCAAAAATCCAAAAGATTTGTACACTGAGAACTATAAAACACTGATGAAAGGAATTAAGTAAGCTACCAATAGATGGAAATGTAGCCCATGCTCCATTTTCAATTAATGTAATCATTGAAATGATTAGATTTAAGTCTATAATTTATTATAATTTTTCATTTGTCTCTTCTATTTTTGATTTGCTGTTCTGCCATTTTTGTCCTTTTATGAATTATCTCTAGAATTCTAGTTTTAATTTTCCTATTTTGCTAGATATACCTTATTGTTTTTTGTTTGTAAGTTTAGTGATTGTCTGAGATAATACTATATACATCCTTAACTTTTCACAATTTATTTATAATTCTTATTGCAGTGCTTTGCATGAAGTGCTGTAATTTTGCAAAAATATAGAGGATAAGTTCGTATCCTCCCATCTTTTATGTTGCAGTTTATATAGACACTACACAATTTGGCTTCCAAGAATTATATGATTTATAAAGTAGTTAGGAGGAAAAAGGCAAAAAATGCTTTTTGCATTAAATATTTCAGATGATATTTATTTATTTACTATATTGGAAAATTTGAGTTTCCAGTTGTGTCATTTTCCATACACCTGAATAATTTTCCTTCTCATTACTTGTGCAGGTCTGATCACAATGAATTATCTTAGTTTTCTTTCACCTAAAAATATCTTTACTACACATTTATTTTTAAAGGATATTTTTGCTAAATATCAAATTCTGATTTAACTTTGTTTTCTTTCAGCACTTTAAAGACATTCCTTTTGGGGGGCCTTAATGATTTCTTGTTAAAAGCCCAGACATTCATTAGTTTATTGTTTTCTTACCTGTAACATGCCATTTTTCTCTTGAAGCTTTCAAGATTAGCTCTCAACATTTACCTTTCAGCAATTTCATTTCACACAATTCTTTTTTGGTTTTATTCTACATGTGCTTATAAATCATCTTGTATTAGTACATTTCTATTCTTCATTAAATTTAGGAGATTTTTATATAATATTACTTCAAATATTATTTTCTGACTCATTCTTTCTCTTTTCCCATCCAGGATCCAATTATATGTATGTTAGACCATGTGAAACTATTAAAAAGGTCTCTGAGTCTCTCTTCTCTTCTCATAATATTTACAATTTTTTCTCTCTTTTCTTCACTTTCTATTTTTTTAGTAATCAATGTTCAAGATCATTGACTCTTCCTTCTATTTTGCAGTTAAGTCCATACAATTATTATTTTTTTCATTTTAGTTAACACATAGTCTAGTCCCAAGATTTAATTTGGATATTTTAAATTGTTTATATTTATCTGCTGAAATATCCTATATTTGTATTCATTGTGATCATATTTTATCTGATTTTATTTGCATAGTCACAAAAGCAACTTGAAAACTTCTCTTTCGGAAGTCTTTCATCTGACTGATATAAATATTTGGTTCAATTTTTTTTCTTGATTTTTGAGACTGTGTCCCATTTTCTGTATTCACTTGTTGTATAAATTTGAATGATGTACTAGACATTATGGACATTATGTTGTAGATAGTTGAATTCTGTTTTTATTTTGTTTTTGTTTTTTAATGAGTGTTTATTCCTTAGGTTTAGTTTGACTGGCTTTAATTGCAAAACTGCTTCTTAGTCACAATTCCATTCTCAAATGAGATCTTTGTCTTTTGTTGAGTAGCTCTGGGTCTGTTTAGCTCAAGCATGGCTCAGAGATGAATCAGAGCTCTACATAGACATAATTTGGGGATGTCTATTCTGGATATATTCTTCTTGAAATTTTACTGCTCTCTTCAGCAATCATCTTTTCCCTGATTTCAGTTTTCTGTTGGCCCAGGGCTTAAAGATTACAGTTTATCCAACTCCATCACTGGCATGTCTTTCATCAATAACTCTGCTGCCATTGTCATGCCATGCCACCTTTAATTAGCCCAGGCTAAAAACTACCAAGATGCAACTCACTTGTTCAGTTTTCTCCAATTCTATTCACTTTCTGGTACCTTCATATAATTGCTTTTGTATTATACTTTCATATTGTAGACTTTTCCTTGCAGGCTGAATGGTTGCTTTTAGAATTTGAGGACCTTATACTCCAGAGCAGATATCTTTATCATCTTCTTTTGATTTTACTTTTCTTCTTACCATACATTTTTTGAGTCTTTGATTATTTCTACTTTCCTACTTTCTCTTATCCACATTCTTTTCTTTTAAACACAAGCTACACATTATATTTTCAAATTTTTCCAGTGGTAATCTACACACACATACATGCCCATGCACACATACTTTCTAATATATAGTTATTTAATAACTGTATTTTGCTGCTAAACATAACAAGAATCTTTTCATACTTTACATATCACAGAATTATTCAACCACATATTCTTGATTATTTATACCTAGAATTTTTGTTTCATGTATGATATATAGACTTTGTTATTATTTGACAGTACATAGTTATTGAAACTTACCATGAAAATTCACTCACTTTTTTGGGGTGGTTATATTCTCCTGATTTTACCTGTGTTCATTTCCTCCTGTTAGAAGTTTAACCTTTTGGAAATATTTCATTGAAGTGGTAAATCCCCATAGCTTTTGCTTGTTTGTTTATTTTGTTACCATATACTCATTGTTGATGATAGTTTAGCTAACTATAAAATTCTGGAATGAGAAGTATTTCCCATTAACTCTTCAATGACATGAGTGTTTTCTGGACTTTCTTAGTTAGCAAAAGGTGACTACTTGGTTCTGAATTTACACCATGGTATCAGCCCCTGCTTAGTTCATTACCATTTTTAGAGATTCTGCTTTTTATTTGTAAAATTTCTTCACATGTTCCTTGACCTAGCTATACTCTTATTCCCAGGATGACCTGTGGAATAGGTTGGGGGATAAGACTGAGAATACGAAGGAGCTACACATACATTGACCCTTTCCTAAGCCTCAGTATGGTTAATTGGTAGGGCTTTTACCTATAGCTCCCAAACAAAAAAATTCAGTCATGCATTCAGACCCAGAAGCCCCTTTCAGGAACTCAATTTTCATTAGTTGTACTGTGTAAAATGTCCTCAGATGGAGTTTGAGGTAAGATAGATATAATGGCCAAATACATTTTATAAAACAATATTTATGTATTTTGAAGGATAAACAATTAAAGTTAAGGTATTATCACAGTTGTAAATGTTATGTTTCATATAATTGAAAAGTTCTTTATCACCCAGCCCTTACAGAAAAATATTATTACCAGGAGCAAATTTGATTTTATAACTCTATTTAGCAAAGACATTTCAATGTAGGTTAAGATAAATATGTGTCTTATTTGTAATTATATTGTGTATATTTTTTTACAGAACCATTTTTTCCTACTGTATTATAGAAATAACTAAAGAAGAAGGAAGAGTTATGTGCCTTATACTATGATGAAGAAGGACACCCACACCTTACCTAACATGTACATTAACACCTGCATTGGCAAAAACCTAAAAAATAAAATATTTACTTAGCAAAGAAACATATTTGCATGAGTCTTGCTTTCCTAAATATTACTTTATTTGAAGACACTTGTTTTGGTGTCAAACATTACCTAAATTAAAATGTTTATTTCAATAATTATGGCAAAACAAATGTTTGTTTTGGGCCCAGTGTAAATTCACAAATGTTCTTGCAAATGTTCCATAGGCCAGCTGCTACTAACACTCCTTTTTAAACTTTCTTTGCCAAGAATTTTATCTACACTGGCTGCCTATTTGAAGACATTCATGAAAATGTTTACCAGGTAGAATGTTATTCATGTTTGCAAATGTTGTCTATTCATTATACTTTTTGGTTTCCAAGCATAAAATATTTTCATGTGCATACTTCTTGTTGATTAGTGGATGAAATTATTTAAAATAAAATGGAAGAAAGATATCACGTTAATTGCTTAAAAGGGAATAAAAATGAAAATCAAATAAAATTATTCACTTGATAATATGCACTAAGAAGACTGGCATTTAAAAAATCTAAGAGGAAAAAGATTAATAAAGAAAATTGGTTATTTACAAATAGTTTGAAATGGCTAGGGATGAAGGCTCCAAACTGAGTTTCCAGGTTGATTCCTAGAATGATACAGAACTGGCCTTCTAAAGAAAGTTCTCTCTGCTTCAGTTCAAATGCTAGGAAATAGAAAAGCTGCTGCCCCAACTAATGACTCAACCTCTACTAAGATCCAGGGATCAGGAAATCTAAGTATAATCTCCAGGATAACAAATTCTCAGTGTTGACATTTCCAGCAAAACTGATGTCCAATGCCCACTAAGCTAGGGATTGAACACTAAACTATCCGTTCTAATGCTACTGAAATAACCACATGCATCCATGAAAATACCTGCAAGCAAAAACAATGGAAGCCACAGAATCTTCATATCATTTCAACTTTTTATGTTTCCACAAGGAAACATCAGCTTGGGAGGAGCTGGAATACATGTAGGACATAAACTGTAAGGAGGTCCAGGAATTTTAGACTTCGTAGCCTCTAGAGTATAGTCAGTCCTGAAATAAAGGGGGCTGGAGTTGCATTTATTGATTTAAGCTGAAATAATTGCCTGGATTCATATTAAAGAGATGGCTTTATCAACTCTACAGTCTCATTTCTGTAACAGCATTTGACATAAAGTGCAAATCTATTAGCTAATTATGCAAATCGAAATTGTGTATTGCCAAGTAAGACTACCCAATAATTCTATCAAAATATACTCATGAGCCATTGCACCATGCTGATTTAAATGGCTTCTCCTTTCAGGAGAGAAACTTAAATTGCTGTTTTTGCATTAATTCGTCATTATTTAAAAAAAATTTGATGTGGTGTGGATTATGAAGTATTTCAAACACATAAACTCAATCAGGAAGCATTTACAATTGCAGCTACTATTCATATGTAGACTATTTACTGGTCTTCATCTGTGCTACTTTTGGTACCTGATGTATGTATGACTAAGAAACTGGCAGCTACACTGTGTGTTTGGGGCTTGCCTTTTATTTTTATTTTTATTTTTTTGAGACAAAGTCTTGCTCTGTCACCCAGGTTGTACAGTGGCACAATCTCAGCTTACTGCAGCCCCCACCTCCCTGGTTAAAGCGATTCTCGTGCCTCAGCTTCCTCAGTAGCTGGGATCACAGGTGAATGCCAACACACCTGGCTAATTTTTGTATTTTTAGTAGAGATGGGGTTTTGCCATGTTGGCCAGGCTGGTCTTGAACTCCTGACCTCAAGTGATCTGCCTGCCACAGCCTCCCAAAGTCCTGGGATTACAGGCCTGATCCACCATTCCTGGGACAGGGGTTTTCCCTTTATAATAATTGACTGCATATATTTTTTCACCTGACCACCTTGAATTGGTTTCATAGGAACTCTCCAACTCTGTCAAGATATTCACACTACCATTCCACGTGGCATTCCACTGATTCATTTCAGTGATGACAACATGTAGAAAGGCCTTATACATCAGGATATGGTAGCCACCCTAGTTAGTACAAAACATGCATGCCTGAGAGTGGGACATAAACCTCACAAAACCAGCGATGAATGAAGTGTTAGGGGATTCCCTCAATGAAGTGTTAGGGGATTCCAGTTGTCTGAAGCATGTTATGATACTCTCTTAGAAGTGAAAGACAAGTTGTTTCTCATATCTCCTTTAACTAAAAATCAGCTAATGTTTGTCAGGTTTTATTGTATATATGGTATGTTATTGTATTGTATTTATCAAGAAACCAATAAAGCTATCATCCTTGAGTTGGGCCAGATCCTGAGAGGATTCTCTGACTGGTTCAGCCTCTTATATCAAGAATTCTGTCACCCTGCTTTTATGATCCAGGTGATCCAATGATGCTCACTGGGTTGTGGCAGATCAGGATGTTCTATGGAGCTTGCTTAAAAGCCCATAGAAAAATCACAGTCCTACAATTTTGAAATGAATTGTACTTTCTAATACACTTCCTTTCTCATTCAAAGAAATAATTACTGGTTTGCTATTGGGTAATGATATAACCTGGAAAACCACCGAGTACTTCATGTAAACAGAAGACCAAAGCTCTAATTCAAATTATGTGTGTGTGTGTGTGTGTGTGTGTGTGTGTGTGTGTGTGTGCTCAGCAGCATGTCAGCATCTAGTAAAAGAATATACATGAGTTGGATTACAGTAAGCCCTGAATGGTCCTTTAAGTTGCTGAAGCAGCTGACCCATACTCCTGAAATACATAATGCTCCTGCAGGCCAACTCTTCTTCACCCACTCTTCACAGGAAATCTATATGAACTATTTAAGCCATTTGTATACATTACTATACAATGTGCAGACACCTGTCCTAAGTTGCATCATTTCAGTTTCACTCATATGAGGCCCTGAAGACACTGAGGAATGAGAAACCTCCAAACTTCAAATTTTATATCTGGTTATCTACATTGCTCAGAACAAAAGACACTAAGATATGAATCAGTCATGATCCATGATCAGTGGTTACTGGTTTGCTCAATAGTCAGTTGTTTTGAAGGAACATATTAGAAAACTAGTGCCAAGTAGGTTTTAGGGAGAGTTATATGAATGAATCTCTTAGACCCAGGGTGTGAAAATACTTGTATGCCATTTGAGTAACTACCAACGAGTCCATACCTGTTTCCTCTAAAGCCAAGTGAACAAGATGCCCCATCCTTTAGATATCACTAAATTTCTTTCTTCAGCCACATCAGTGTTTGCTCAATGAGCTAATGAACAAAGTGGCCATGTGTTCAGGGATGGAAATAATACCTGGATTCAGCAACTATAGACATCACCTCATGACACTGGTCTAGTAACTGATATAGTAGCTAAGTGTCCAGTCTACCAACCGCATACTCGAACACAGCCTGCCCAAATGATACTGTAACTGGAATGTGATATAGCCAGAAAATAGAATCTAATCAATAGAACTTTCCATTGGCCAGTGGATAGCAACTTCAGATAAGTTATCCTATATTACATTATACTTCAAATTGACCATTATTTATCCTAATATACTGATAAGCTATACATAATTTCACAATTCCAAGGAGAATGTGTTGCACAAAAGAAATATTTACTAATATTAAACATTAGTAAATCTTTCTTAGTAAATTCACTCTCTTGGAAAAATCAAAATTATTATGAAGACTGGCCATTACTTAGAAAAATTTAAACTATGAAAATATGGATGCAAAACTGAATTATAAGTTTGTCTACTGCTTTTTGAAGGAATAAAATGGACGTTCCTCATCATTATGAATGAGATGTACTGAATCCTTATTGAATGAATGCAGTTTATGATGGCTAGAGTTCAAGTTCTGCTTAGAGTTTACATTTGTTACGGTTTAAACCTTAACAAGGAAACTTTAATTTCTTCATCTATACAATGGAAATAATAATAATTGCCTCATGGGTTACTTTTTATAAAGACTTAAACCTAGATAGCAAAAGTAAAGTATCTAAAGCTTGCTTTCACACAGTAGGCTCTTCATGAGTGTTATTTTTCTTCTCTCTGTAAATGTATGAATGATTTCTTTGCACTTATACCACAAGTTGATTTATTTTTATTTTGAAATTACAAGTTATACTTGAATACATGTATTTATATGAAAAGTAATATTGGGAGGGTTAGTAGACTCCTACACCAGTGTTCTGAAAGCACCTCAAAATAACTTTTCTTTTTCTTTTTCTTTCTTTTTTTTTTTTTTTTTTGAGATGGAGTTTCTCTCTTGTTGCCCACGCTTGAATGAAGTGGCACCATCTCGGCTCACTACAACATCCGTCTCCTGCGTTCAAGCAATTCTCCTGCCTCAGCCTCCCAAGTAGCTGGGATTGCAGGCATGCACCACCACGCCCGGCTAATTCTACATTTTTAGTAGAGACGGGATTTCACCATGTTGGTCAGGCTGGTCTTGAACTCCTGATCTCAGGTGTTCCACCTGCCTCGGCCTCCCAAATTGCTGGGATTACAGGCATGAGCCACCATGCCCAGCCGCAATAACTTTTCAATAACCACCACCACAACATGAAAACACACAACCAGTGTCACTTCTCTGTGCTTTGGTGTGACTTCTCCATATAGCAAACTGCTAGTTACCTTTCAGTGCAGTATACTGGTTGGCAGCTGTGGTTAGTAATTATCCAGTTTAAATTTCATCTGAAATCCCCAACCATCATGAACCATTATGAAAAAAACACTTAGCCAATAGTGGCGGCACGTGACTATAGTCCTAGCTACTCAGGACAATGGAAGGGGAGGATTGCTTAAGCCCAGGAGTTGGAGGCTGTAATAAACTATGGTTGCACCACTGTACTCCAGAGTGAGACACTGTCTCAAAAAGAAAAAGAAAAAAATTACTCATAGGATGGGCCCAGTTCCTAACCTTCAATAAAGCATTGCTACCAACATTTGAAATGCATTCGACATTCTTATAACTGCCGTTTTTCAAGCCATTTTACATTTTCCTTCTTGCAGGGGAATGATTTCAGTTAAACTTGCAAGCAACTCTAGCTGAGACTTCCCTGTAACTGTCATAAGTGAGAATTTTTCAAAAAATGAATACTTTGTGAGGATTAAGTCTTCTAATAGGAGCTGTTTATTTGTGGAGTCTAAATTAACTGCCTCAATTCTTCTGGGATAACTCGACACCCCTGAGGTATTTTTTCACTTACTAAATAAAGTTAAGTTACTCCTTAGGTTATATCATAATCACACATGGCATTGGCAATTGTCAATTTGTTGCAAATAACCATTATGACTCAAAAGTGTCTTGAAAGTGCCAATATTGTTGACATGAGCTTAAAAGTAGCCTTTATCAGGTTTGCGCTTTGGGCTTTTTTTAATGTCCTTGGAAGTCGGTGCAATTTTATTTTCACACTTTAACTGTGAAGTAGGCCACTTCAATATTATTTTCTTGTCTTTATTATGTCTTTTTTTTCCTATTCTGTAAAGTATCTGCCCCACAATCCACAGATGACAAAATTCTAAGGGAGTTTTTATAGTTAGGTACTTACATATGAAGTATTAAAAATAACATTTGACAACACCACCATGGTGAGGTTATGAAATTTATCCTACAGAAATACTTGCATGCAAGATTACTTATAAACAAGAGAATGCACAAAGACATAGTGATATTATAAGGATATTGAAGACAAGCTAATTTTATACCAATAGAGCATGGATCAAATAAATTACTATGTATCTATTTATTAGAATATTAAAGGAGTAAATATATATACTTCTTTTACCTATTAATTATACATAATATATTAATTATTATATTATTAATATATCTAATATGTAAATATGTGCACTTAATGTGCTAATTCATTAATATTTTATAACAGTGTATGCTTGTAAATGCAACGACTCTCTGGAAATAGACTTAAGGGCCTTATAAATAGTTTGTCTCATTGAAGAAGTACTAAGTAACTTTGAAACAGAGGCAGTCCAGTTGGAACAGGTAGACTAAGGAACTTACATAGTGAACTGTTTTTATTTAACAGATTGCAAATTCAGAGTGTTCACTGAGATATATTACAAGATGTTTTTGTCTTTTCTCAAGTTTTCCCTTGATGTTACAAATGTGGCAGTGGCATTGCTGTTTTACTCCCCTCCCTCAAAACTCACTGATAATAACCAAATGAAACAAAACAGAGAAGAAAATTACCACAACTGCAAATCACAATCAGTTGTGATCAACAACCAATCAGATAAACAATGTCTGCCAAATAAAATGAAATATGTCTCAAAATTTTAAGCTTACATAGAACAGATACATGCCCTCTTGGCCTCAGGCAGCATGCAGATTTTTCTAGACATAGTCTTGAAAGGTTCATCTAATAATATACCTTTAATCCTACTGCAATAGTGCTCTATAGAAGAAACTAGAAATATTTTTGCATGGCTTCAATTTAATGGTGCAAAAAGTGAGGGGAAGCTGAAAGAAGAAAAGGCAGTGCGTGATCTTCCTTAGTGATCTTCTTTATCAGTGCTGACCAAAGACAGCTGAGCAAGTGTAGACAACACACTACATACATGCAGGTTACGGAAGGCCATAACCAAAAGCCACACCAATCTCTTATTGCCCCAGTGAAGGTGATAATAAAATATAAAAGAGCAATATGCCCCAGGAATGAGTATACCATAAATCTGTGAGAGTGTCGTCAGAGAACAAAGCTGCTAGCTAAAGCTTCCAACGCATGCCTCTTCCTTCAATGCTTTCGCAGTTATTCTCAAGTGCTGGCTTGCATGGATCTACCCCACTTAAAAAGAAATAACACGAAAGGAACCAACAGTAGACCAATCCAAAAATATGTTTTTAACTAAATGATACACATTAGAGGAGGAATTAACTCCCCCAAATCTTCAGACATGTAGTTCTCTATATTACCAAAGAAATGAATGGTCACGGGTCAGTTTTCCGGGAGAAAAAAATTCTGAGAGAAGGATATTAATGAAGAAATAATTAGAAAATTAAAGAGATTAGATGTGATCTGATGGATCTAGAGAAAACAACTAGAAAAACAAAATTATCGTTAAAGTCCAAATGAAATTAAATGAAAGCAATATCACAAAGGACATGCAGAGTCTATACAAATGTTAACAAAACAAAATGATATTAAAGCAAGAGATAAAAGAGATCAGAAAAAAGATGGTAGATATGAAAGAAAGGAAATCCAAATAAGCACAATTTACATTCCTGGGGAATGAAAATAAACAAGTAGAGGATACATAGAAAAAATGAAATATAAATACATTTATACACACACACACACACACACACACACACATATATAAATAAAGAAATAAGTGATGCTACAAATTAAATGACAAAAACCGTGTCCCAGGAAGAACTGATAAAAAATGATTCATTGCTAATTGTATCTTGATAAATTTGCTAAATCTTAAATATAATAAAAGTACTCTAGATATACAGACAGGAAAAATTAGTCACCTACTTCAAGGAAAAATCAATCTAAACTCAAGTTTTTCAGTACCCAAAATTTAATGGCAAAAATGTAGTCGAACTTTATATAAAAATTCTGAATGTTATGGTATGTGCTCAAGAAAACTGGCAATCAATCACATGTAAAAACAATGGACAGATAATCTCAAATGTGCAAAAACTCTGATCAAATATGCAGTGATCCTGTGTCACAGTTTGTCAGAACTCATTTATGACTGTTGTTCTTAACTGGCATTAAAACTGCCCTTTTTCATTTTTAAACTTGTCATGGTTTGGATAATACATTATATTGTTATACTAATAATAAACTGTACTCAAAATTAAAAACTTGACAAAATTCAACCATCTAAAATATGTGCACAAATGAAAAATCAGAAATGGTAACATAGAACTTCCAGTTTCAGCTCTAACATGGCAACAATTTATAAGTCATCACTTGGATTCTAAGAAGACAAAAAACTGAACAGAGTAAAAGTCAATAACTTTTCTTGGCTCATGAGACAGCTGAGGTTTCAGGACAAATCATCTCCCCGTACTCAGTAGAGACAGGTGAATATAGTGAGTCACAGCCAGCAGCTTGCCTGAGCAGAAGCCACTGGAGCCATAAACTAACAAACACACTTAATAGGAACTTTGATGAGTGGCTGGAGGCTGAGTGTGAACTAACCTGAGAGTGAGAAACTCCCTGGGCTGCAGTTTTAGTGGGGTCTACATGCTTTCACGGGTTTTACCTCCAGGAATCCCTACCAGGTCTCAAGGTAGAAAGCCAAGAAATAAAACAAAACAAAAACCCCTCCTGTTTTGGCTGAGAGAGGAAAAGTAAACATTTAAAAATACTCCCAGAATGTTCTTTAAAATAAAGAACTACTCAGACTTTAGCATAGCCTGCTCCAACCTATGGGAGGAAAATTAACCAGCTCCAGCTGCCTCTGGCCTAAAAGCTAAGAAACACTTATGAAGGTCACAGTCCAGAGACATGGGCTCAGTAAAGATGGAAATTTAATCATAAGATTATAAACCTTTTTCACCTACAACATCATAAATAGGGCTTCAGTATAATAATGATGTATTACCATTAGAGCTATAAGGTGAAGATTCTTTTTAAGAAGGAGATTTTTAAAGAAACCCAAAGACAACATGGGGAAAAAATAAGGACACTAGAGGAAATTGACACCAACCATTACAGCAAACATGAAACACAACCCAGCTCCTACTCAGATTAACAAAATCTGAGACTAAAGGCCTGCCTAATATGACATGTGTGTCTTTCAACAAAAAATACAAGGTATCCTAAAAGTCAAGAAAAAACACAGTTTTAAGAGACAAAGCAAACATTAGAGCTAGATGCATATATGAGACAGCCTTTACAATAACAGACAGAAAATTTAAACTATCACCAAGTTATTAAGGGCTCTAATGGAAAAAGTGAGCAACATGGAAGAACAAATAGGTAATGTAAGCAGAGAGATTGAAACTCAATGAAATAATCAAAAAGAAATGCTTGAATCAAAAACACTAACAGAAATTAAGAAAGATGTTGATGATTTATCAGTAGACAGAACATGCCTGAGGAAAGAATCAGTGAGCTTGAAGATAAGTCCATAGAAACTCCCAAAATTGAAATGCAAAGAGAAAAAAAGAAAAAAGCAGAAAAAAATCAAGTAACTATGAGACAATTTCAAAAGTTGTGACATGCATAGTTGAAATATCAAGATGAGAAGAGAGAAGGGAGTAAAATAAATATTTGAACTAATAATGGCTGAGAACTTTCCAAAATTTACTGCAAAACTATATCACAGATTCATAAAACTCAGAGAACATAAAGCAGCCTACTCACCAAAAAAATCTATATCCAGGAATGGCATACTCAAATTGCAGAAAGCCAAAGACAAGGAGAAAATGTTACAAATAGCCAGAGAAAAATAACCTTATTAATAGAGGAAAAATAAGAATTATAGTGGATTTCGTGTCAGAAATCTTGCAAACAAGAAAAGAGTGAAGTAAAATATTCACAATGTTGATAGAAGGAAAACCTACCCACCTAGAATTATATGGTGAAATTATCCTTTGAAATGAAAGAGAAGTAAAGACTTTCTCAAACAAACAAACCAAACACTCAGATAATGTGGTGCCAATAGACCTGCCTTGAAAAAAATTATAAAAGAAGTTTTTTAGGGAGAAGGAAAATGATACATGTCTATACAGTAAAAGGGACAATGACAAAGAAGAAATAAATGGAGGTAAAATAAAACATTTTTTCTTAATCGATCTAATGGTAACTATTTTAATAATAATATTATTATATTGGAGGATTATAGTATATGGGTAAGTGAATGGAATGAAAGCAATGTTATAAGGAACAGAGGGAGAAGCTGGACTACTCTGTATTATGCTATCTATACCACCTGTGAAGCAGTATAGTGTTATTTCAAAGTGGATTTAGATTTGTTGTAAATATATATTTCAGAAGCTAAGAAAACCACTAAAATGTTTTATAGAGCTATATTTGATATGCTAAGATAGGTGATAAAATTGAATCATATAACATTCTACACTAAAACCAAAGAAGGCAGAACAAGAGCAGAAGAAAAAGAAAAACAAAGAAAAGTAGAAAAGAAAGACACCAAAATTTCTTGACACAAAATTGCCAGAGAGGCCCTAGATTTTGCTTCCACATAATCAAAAATCTACTTTTCATACTTAACTAGAAATTATTTGAAAAAGGAAAAACAGTCCAGCAATAAGGGGTAAATAATGATTTCCATAACTGAAAATTCTGTGACAGTGATCGTGTTGTAATTTTAGTATTTGTTGCCCACTTTTTTTATGTGAAAAAAGTCACCTTTTAAGGAATTAAGAATAGGCATAGAAACTCAAGTTCCAGGTAATAAACTCATATTCGAGGAAACAAATGGTAACGAACGACTGTATTCATATTGTCATGCAAAATTAAGCCCATTTTTTCTATTTTGAGTAATTTACATCTTTTTAAAACAGACGCAAACATTTTTCCCATTGCATAAAAATATTTTTTTAATTCATACATGGTCATTTCAAAAACTTTAAATTCTGATACCCTAAGAGTCATTCATTTTTGATGAACATATTCCATAAGTTTTTGAGGCATTTAAATGCATTGAACCTGCCAGTTGTATGTATCTATCATTAGAGGTTTAATTGGAAAAATAAGTTGTTTGTTTGGACATGTTTTTGAGTAGCTCTTTTTCACACTTCAGTTTAACTGGTGAATTTTAAATATTGTATCAGTCAAGGTTCTCCAAAGAAACAGAAACAGAATGAATAGGGGAGTGTGTGTGTGTGTGTGTGTGTGTGTGTTTCACTATAAGGAACTGGCTCAGTGGTTATGAAGACTGGCAAGTCTAAAATCTCCTAAAGTCATGTGCCATTTCCATTCCAAAAGCTGAAATCTGTGGCAAATATTCCAATTTCAGTCCAAAGGGCAACAGCTACTGTACAGCCAGCAAGAGCGGATGCCTTAGTTCAAAGGCCAGTAGGCAAGAGAATTCTTTCTTATTCAGGGTAAGATAAAGCCTTTTGTTCTTCAACTGATCAGATGAGGCCCACCCACATTATGGAGTGCAATCTCCCTTACTCAGTCTAGCAATATAAATGTAATTCTCATCCTAAAACACCCTCACAGAAATACCTAGAATAGCATTTGACAATATATTTGGATACAACATGGCCCAGTCAAGTTGAAACATAAAATTAATCCTCATAGAAATGTAACATTCTTCCAAATAATTTCATTGATCATATTCAGTCATTAGCTAAATTATTTGTACATCTCATCAAAATATTCCATACTATTTTCAGGGTTATTACTGAATATCACTTAGGATTCACCCCTATGTGTCACTCTTCTGAACAAGGGTCCTAAGCTACTTACATTTCGAAATAAAGTTATCTATACAGAATTAGATGTAATGTCTAAATGTCTCAATTATGACAAGAGAATTTATTGTGTATGTGTCTTATATTCTTTTGATCTATATCAGAAGCCATTATGTGGTATCTATCACACAAACAAAGAAAAGAGTATGGCTTTCCCTAGAGGAATTTGAAAGTCTTTAGCAAAATTTAGAATAATAAATATATAATTTTTTTATAATTTAGTCCTTCTGTTAACCATGATAACGCTGTCACATTTTATACACTCCAAGTTAATTATAACAAAAATAATAGAGAGAACGTGAAACAAGCATTACGGAAATATGCCAAAAGAATTCTTTTTTTTTTTTTTTTTTTTTACACTTTAAGTTTTAGGGTACATGTGCACAATGTGCAGGTTTGTTACATATATATACATGTGCCATGCTGGTGTGCTGCACCCATTAACTCGTCATTTAACATTAGGTATATCTCCTAATGCTATCCCTCCCCCCTCCCCCCACCCCACAACAGTCCCCGGAGTGTGATGTTCCCCTACCTATGTCCATGTGTTCTCATTGTTCAATTCCCAACTATGAGTGAGAACATGCGGTGTTTGTTTTTTTCTCCTTGTGATGGTTTGCTGAGAATGATGGTTTCCAGTTTCACCCATATCCCTACAAAGGACATGAACTCATCATTCTTTATGGCTGCATAGTATTCCATGATATATATGTGCCACATTTTCTTAATCCAGTCTATCATTGTTGGACATTTGGGTTGGTTCCAAATCTTTGCTATTGTGAATACTACTGCAATAAACATACGTGTGCATGTGTCTTTATAGCAGCATGATTTATAATCCTTTGGGTATATACCCAGTAATAGGATGGCTGGGTCAAATGGTATTTCTACTTCTAGATCCCTCAGGAATAGCCACACTGACTTCCACAATGGTTGAACTAGTTTACAGTCCCACCAACAGTGTAAAAGTGTTCCTATTTCTCCACATCCTCTCCAGCACCTGTTGTTTCCTGACTTTTTAATGATTGCCATTCTAACTGGTGTGAGATGGTATCTCATTGTGGTTTTGATTTGCATTTCTCTGATGGCCAGTGATGATGAGCATTTTTCATGTGTTTTTTGGCTGCATAAATGTCTTCTTTTGAGAAGTGTCTGTTCATATCCTTCACCCACTTTTTGATGGGGTTGTTTGATATCTATGACAAACCCACAGCCAATATCATACTGAATGGGCAAAAACTGGAAGCATTCCCTTTGAAAACTGGCACAAGACAGGGATGCCCTCTCTCACCACTCCTATTCAACATAGTGTTGGAAGTTCTGGCCAGGGCAATCACGCAGGAGAAGTAAATAAATGGTATTCAATTAGGAAAAGAGGAAGTCAAATTGTCCCTGTTTGCAAATGACATGATTGTATATCTAGAAAACCCCATTGTCTCAGCCCAAAATCTCCTTCAGCTGATAAGCAACTTCAGCAAAGTCTCAGGATACAAAATCAATGTACAAAAATCACAAGCATTCTTATACAACAATAACAGACAAACAGAGAGCCAAATCATGAGTGATCTCCCATTCACAATTGCTTCAAAGAGAATAAAACACCTAGGAATTCAACTTACAAGGGATGTGAAGGACCTCTTCAAGGAGAACTACAAACCACTGCTCAATGAAATTAAAGAGGACACAAACAAATGGAAGAACAGTCCATGCTCATGGGTAGGAAGAATCAACATCGTGAAAATGGCCATACTGCCCAAGGTCATTTATAGATTCAATGCCATCCCCATCACGCTACCAGTGACTTTCTTCACAGAATTGGAAAAAACTACTTTAAAGTTCATATGGAACCAAAAAAGAGCCCACATCGCCAAGTCAATCCTAAGCCAAAAGAACAAAGCTGGAGGCATCAGGCTACCTGACTTCAAACTATACTACAAGGCTACAGTAACCAAAACAGCATGGTACTGGTACCAAAACAGAGATATAGATCAATGGAACAGAACAGAGCCCTCAGAAATAATGCCACATATCTACAACTATCTGATCTTTGACAAACCTGAGAAAAACAAGCAATGGGGAAAGGATTCCCTATTTAATAAATGGTGCTGGGAAAACTGGCTAGCCATATGTAGAAAGCTGAAACTGGATCCCTTCCTTTCACCTTATACAAAAATTAATTCAAGGTGGATTAAAGACTTAAATTTTACACCTAAAACCATAAAAACCCTAGAAGAAAACCTAGGCAATACCATTCAGGACACAGGCATGGGCAAGGACTTCATGTCTAAAACACCAAAAGCAATGGCAACAAAAGCCAAAAGTGACAAATGGGATCTAATTAAACTAAAGAGCTTCTGCACAGGAAAAGAAACTACCATCAGAGTGAACAGGCAACCTACAAAATGGGAGAAAATTTTCTCAACCTACTCATCTGACAAAGGGCTAATATCCAGAATCTACAATGAACTCAAACAAATTTACAAGAATTCTTATGCTTTCTTGTAGCCCTATTTATCACAGAACACAACACAATAATTAATCAGAGAAATACGTACTTAAGTGAATCTTTGTTCTTCGTTTCTCATGTTATAACAACACAAATAGCTAACACTTGAATATGGAAATGTTATGTTCTTTTGGTGCTTATGGATATAATCCTGCTTAATCTTCACAACTTTTTGAGATAGTTATTCCTAGCTTTATTTTACTGATGAGGAAACTAAAGCTCAGAAAAGTAGTGTTCCGTAGCCATCAGCAAGCAGTATAAGTCAGAATTTAATTCAGATTTTGTCTTTGAAATATCTTATTCCTAGTTTCCATTAGTACTTTCCCCATAAGAAATGTTCTCCTTAGTTAAAATAAAAATGTAAAGGTTAGATTATATATTTCATCTAGAATTGGCATGAAATAACACTTTATAAAATATATTAAAATTTCATGACATCAAACTTTCTGAAGTTCAGTGTTTTTATAAATTCATCCAAATTTACATTGAAATTACTCAGTTTCTATTATATATCAAATCCATCAGATTTTTTAGAAGGGCACAAATGTGTTTATTTCTATATTTTGAAAACTTTGTTATTCTTTAACACTAATAGCATAGATGTATTGATATAATATATGCTGATGTTTCCTTGAAAGTAAACTAAAACTCCAAATCAGGCCTGGTTCAACTTACCAAAGAATTTTGTTTGTGCTACTATGTATTTTATCTCAATAGGAACTTGCATCAGAGGCTACACTCAAAAGAGTCATCTCATAACCATTCCTGCTAAGGATTAGCAATGAGAATCTGGGAACAGAGGTCTGTTAGGTGTCCCTGCATGCCTGAGTGTAGCTATGATCTCATTTTAGGCACTATTCTAATATCTTTGTTTTTTTGTTGTTCAGCAGTGAAGCCTGTGGAGACCTGGAAAGAAATATTATTTCCTGTAGTTCACCATCTGTGGACCAAAGTTTGTTTTTTGCTTTTTTTTTTTTTCTTATGGTACAATGCAATGCATACACCACACAATTTTGGCCTAAACCAAATAGTTTGTTTCATCTTTAATTTGTAATTGGTTTAGTATACAAGTGCAGATAAATGCAAATTTAATTTGCAGAATGTGCAGAAGGAAGAAAGTTATAAGAATATAAAATATATGCTACAAATATTCAGCTAGTGAAGTAAAATGATCATATAGCTTTTATTTGTGGGTCAAAGTGCCTAAAAATACAGGTGATATGGTTGGGATCTGAGTCCCCACCAAATCTCCTGTTGAACTGTAATCCCCAGTGCTGGAGGTGGGGCTTGGTGGGAGGTGGTGGGATCATGGGGGCACTTTCTAATGGTTTAGCACCACCCACCTGGTGCTGCCCTCCTGATAAATTTTTCATGAGATCTGGTTGTTTAAAAGTGTGTAGCACCTTCCCCCTCTCTGTCTCTTCCTCCTACTCTGGCCATGTGAAGTGCTGGCTTCCCCTTTGCCTTGTGCCATAATTGTCAGTTTCCTGAGGCCTCCCCAGAAGCCGAGCAGAAGCCATCATGCTTCCCATGCAGCCTGCAGAATCATGAGCCAATTAAACCTCTTTTCTTTATAAATTACCCAGTCTCAGGTATTTCTTTATAGCAGTGTGGGAACAGACTAGAAAAAAGACAAATTCATGGTAGATATTGACATGAACATATAGCAACATGTAAGAAGTAGTATTTGAGTTGTTATTCAAGATTCAAGTTGAGAAAATACAGGTCAAGATGCTTAAAATGGTCATAAAGCAACTTAAAAAAATAATAACAAACACAAAACAGAAAAGGCCAAAGCAAGAGTTAGTTTCGTCATGTGAAGCTAACTAGGGAACTGGGGTGTAACCAGTCATGTGGCTGCACACACCATGCCAAAGATGACTGAATGTCAAAAGTTGTGTAACAAAAGTGGGAGTGTGTGGCAAGCACTGGGGATCATTGTTGCTTTTGTGGTATGCCAACTTGTGTATTTTACCTTATAACACTTATCTATGGAATGCCATTTTCAAAAATTTCCCATGCTGTGAAAGTTCTTGTCTGATTCTATTACTATAAAGAAATGCACATTTAAAAATTTTGCTGCCTATATAAAGAAATAGACTACCTGACCAAATTATCATCTGCTGAATCATTTTATTGTATCACATCTCCATCTGATGCTAAGCTTTATTAATACCTATATTTACTCTAAGCTCTCAAACACATCTTATAACCTATTTACACAAATCCATATGTGAGGTAATTATAAAGTCATGGCAATACGTTATTGTACTAATTTTTAATGTTGATGAATGCTTACTTAAATTAGAGCAAATAGTTGTCATAAAAAACCCACAATCATTAAAATACATTTTGAAACTCAGCAATATTTTACTTAATAAAACTTTATGTTTTATAAATCCATTGATATTTTATTTAAATTAAGTAGCTCAGGGTTTATTAATAATAAAAAAGTCTTGAATTGCCTAATTTAGCTTCTTAGGGGCTCCCTGTGCAATTAGACTGTGTGAAACAGAGAATATTCTTAATAATTAATTAGAAAATTAATGATTAAATATATAAATGAATGAGTGAATAAACCAATGAATATAAAAAAAGAAAAAATGGTCAAAACTGCCAAAATTAGGACTACATTGAAAATTATTGAGAAAAAGTAGAAAGTTTCCACAATACTTGTAACATGTTGATGTGGATATTTAGGTTCTTATTATTCGAAGTATACACACACGCATAAATGCACACTGTTCACACAAAAATCATTGAGATAATGAGATAAATATAACTAAGTTGAATATAGGTAAGAGTCAAAACTAATTTTCATATTGGATTTCATCAGGAAATTGTATGTCCATTCCAAAGTAGGTATCTTTTAAAAACTGCCAATATAATATACCTGTAAATACTATTATAGAGCAAACATCATTTTATAGAAATGATGTAGATCTTTTCATTGCAGATTTTTGCAGATCTTAATAGCCAAGGAGCATGTGCATTAATAGATATTCAGGGAGACAAGTCTTTGGATCTCACTTGAATTTGTCCTAACAATATGGTAGGAGAAAATCCCAAGTTGGGAAATAGATCTGGCTTGATACCTGTCCAAAGACCCTGACAGAGTAGAAATAAGTCAACTGAGAAGAGGTTCAGCCTCAAGGAAGACATCTCAATATAACTGTGGAAAAATCTCTGTCAACCATGAGTTCACAGTTCAAAATCATGAAATATACAGGAAATAAGTTACTATAACAAAAAATAAGAAAAACAAGCAGTAAAGTTGAACTTACCATTAGCTTTAGACATACAAGACTCCTCAACCATGGGACATAAAATAACTATGTTTACAACATTTAAAGCATAAAAGAGACTGTTTAGAACTGGTAGAGGGAAAATTATACTAGAAAAACAAGAGAACAGGCAAATTTGAAAGAAAACAAAGGAGACATTCTCTAAGTATTAACATCAAAATTTAGATCTCAATGTCAAATAATGCGTAAGTAAAAATTAGGAAATTGAATAGTAATCTCAAGAAATTACTCAGGATGCAGCAGAGAGAGACAGATGTAGAGACAGAAAATATGTCAGAGAAGTTAAGCATAAAAAGACTTTATATTTTATTATACTTTCAGAAGCCAAAAGTACAGAAAATAAAGGTGATATGATATTTATAAAACCGATGGCTAAGAAATTTCTAGACTTTAGGAAATACAGTGAACCTTTTGCTGTGATTAAGGAAACACAGCAAATCCCAAGAATATATTTTTTAAAAGAAGGGATCAAATGTAAGCATATTATGGGTATAAAATCCCAAAAATTGGTGGCTTAACAAAGCCCAAATTCCTATTCTACAAAGTTATCCTTCTATCTAATTGTGACATCCCCCAAAGGGATGTCCTCATTCATATGATTTAAGGCAGGTCAGTTGTCTACATTTCAAACAGTCATAAAGAAGGAAAGAAGAGAAGAGGAGCATAGTTTCCTTTAAGGGCATGATCTGGAAGTTGTTTATATTGTGCTTTTTGTTTATTTTATCCCTTTGCTATAACTAAGTCAAGCATGAGGAAATCTGGAAATCATAATCTTTCAGTTGGAAGTTACACGCACAGTAAAAAAAAATTACAAATCTATTACTATAAAACTGTGCTGCCTGAGAAAGTAGCCACTAGTCACGTGTGGCTGTTTTAATTTAAATCAATTAAAATTAAATACAATTAAAAATTTGGTTTCTCATTTCCACTAATCATAAGTGTTCAATAGCCACATAAGGTTAGTGTTGGAAACAGTAGCTTAAGACATTTTCATAATTCAATACACAACATTCTATGGTCTAGTGCTGCTCTAGAAGGATAGACTATAGATTAAAGGAATTTGTCTTTCTGAGTCATTAGCTATTCCTTTTGCCACCCTCATATTTATGTGACCCTTTATTTCTACACTTGAAACACACTCTCATTCAAGAAAGACAGTCACAACATCTTATCCAGTTATATTAATCGTGCTCAAGTTCAAAATCTTTGTGTTCCGCCCCTTCCAACAGACTCAGATGTGACTATTCTAGTGATCTACATAATGAAAGTTGATTGATCTATCTGTGGCCACCCTATAAACAGTGGTGGAGCAGGAAAAGGAAAAGTACATTAAAAATACCATTTAACCAAAGGAAGAAATGGAACCACCCAGCAGTCACTGCCCCCACAAAATTATGAAATTCCTCCCACCCCCACAAGAATTGTTCAATAGCCAGGCTGGGTTCAGTTTTTCTCAGACCATCTAGCAATCCTGGTTTTTCTTTCTGGGAATTATTCTCTGGCCCACTGTTGCCTTTGGCTCTAGCTGTGAATTTCTGGAAATGTCTTCCTTGGGGCCGTAGCTGAAGTGAGCATTGGCGAATATTCTTTCGGAATATCTTGGTGCAGATTTGTGGGTTACTTTAGAGGTTGAACAATCACAAGCTTTTGCACTCCTCGAGGTCATCTGAAATCAAGGTTTTGCATAGGAGCACAAGATTCTTAATTCATTGCCACTGGGCAGATTCTTAGTTTTCTAGCTTAAAAGTCTTAATGGGAAATACTTGAGAGTGATTGGTACTAAAGTTGAACCTCCTGCTAATGCTGCCTCTTTAAAGATACTTGTTAAAATTGCTTCTGGTTGGGGCACAGCAATAAATGGATTTCTAAAGGTTCTCTATCAACTTACATTGCAGGCCACAGGCATAGAGTGCCAGGGCTTTCTAATTATCATTTGACAATGGCAATATTCAAAATATTTTGCATTGTCTTCCTCTAACCTAGCAGGTCAGTGTGTATTAAGAAAATGGGAGGCATTGGCAAAACAAAATTATTGAGAAATGAATGAAAAGAAGTCCAGGATAGTTTCTGTACTATGATGTATAAGTGAAATTTGATCCTATCTACAAAATTAAAAGAGACAAACTACTTTAGCATCCTCTGGCATTTCTGTCAGATTTGATGGAACTTGCTCAAACAATTTTAACATTGCCAAGTGAAGGGCACACTTACAGGTAGACTGAATGATTTATAGCAGAAAGACTTTTCACTATCTAGTCTATTAATCGTTCACTTGTGTGTGATAAAGTTCCAGTTGCTTCCTAAGCTAAATGACTGACAGCAGCTTGCAGGTATAAAACAGCCTGAGTTCTGGTCCTAGCTTTACTACTGTCTTAGCTATGTCAATGCAAGCCTTTTTATTTCTTGCTTGTAAGATGGCAGGTATACTTTAGTCCTGCTATATGGAATTAAGCTGACAACACCGCTTATGTGACATGCTTTGAACTAAGAAATATTGAAGTAATAGCTGAATTTTCTTTCTTAAAGCCTAGAGAATGATTTCCTTTCAGCCAATGGGAGAAATCCTAACCAAGTGTAGCCAGGTGAGAACAAGTAAACAGAACAAGTCTCAATAATAAGTATAGCTATAATCCATTGTCTCATTTCACCAGTTGTAAAGATAGCTGCCATAGCTTTTTGGTATTCTACCCAGCAGTGTGGGATTTATAACACAGGGCATTTTATATTAAATAATCTGAAGGATATTCAGCAGAAGCATCTATCTCAAAACACTTTTCTAAGTGCATGTCCAAAGGATAGAAATAACAAGAATGAAGAATGCTTCCCCTGCATTTTCAAGTTTCCAACAAGCTCTTTAAAAATGAAATTTGTAATGCCACAGAATTAACTGTATACTTAAAAATGGTTAAATTGGTAAATTTCATGTTATTTATTTTTATCACAATTTTTAAAGGAATATTTACCAGGTTTTAGTTCTCAGAGAAAGCTCTTGGAGAATAAATATGAAAAAAAACCTTATTATGTTTATTTTTTTATTTCTGAAATTTTATTTTTATAAAAATTATATTTGTTTTTTGATGGGTGCAGCAAACCACCACAGCACATGTATACCTATGTAACAAATCTGCACGTTCTGCACATGTATCCCAGAACTTAAAGTATAATAAATAATTAAATAAATAAATAAATAATAACCTTATTTTTTGAGTGCTAACTTTAAGTTAGGTGCTTTCTATCTGTGACTATATTTATTCTTCACAAGAACTCTTACAGATATTATTCACATTTGCAGATGAGAAGCTAAGGTTCATAAAGAATACACAGTTTACCTGAGGATGTAGAACTAATAAGTAGAAGAGCCAGGATTCAAACCCATACTATTGGCCTGCAAAGTCACTATAAGGAGGCCAAGGCGGGTGGATCAGGAGATCAGGAGATGGAGACCATCCTGGCTAACACAGTGAAACCCCGTCTCTACTAAAAATACAAAAAAAAAAAAAAAAAAAAAAAAAAAAAATTAGCCGGGCGTGGTGGCTGGCGCCTGTAGTCCCAGCTACTCGGGAGGCTGAGGCAGGAGAATGGCGTGAACCCGGGAGGCAGAGCTTGCAGTGAGCGGAGATCGCGCCACTGCACTCCAGCTTGGGCGACAGAGCAAGATTCCGTCTCAAAAAAAAAAAAAAAAAAGGCAGAAGCAAAGGGCAAAGGGAGGAAAGTGGAAAAGAGCTCATGGATTCCATAGGCTGTGGAAAAATGGAATAGAACGTCTCTATCATATTACAACTACTCTAAGAGTTTTACTATATAGTCCATTCTGGAGCAGTTTCCTGAGTGATCATAAAGATAGCACAACGTGAATCCAGCAATCAATGCAAGTAAAAGCGAGAAATATAAATATCCTGTTGATTGGTCAGTTGGTTGGCTGATTTTAGCCAGTAAAAGCCTTATGCTGTCTAAGGAAAATAAGACTTTTGTTTAGTATTGAATACAACATCCTATCCAAAGTATGTTTGAAAATGAATCTGTTTGAAGTTTTCTCTCAGAAACAGCTAACTTTTAAAAATGAAATTTCAAAATTTTATTTTATCAGAAATGTAGCCTTTATTCAATCATGAAAAACAAATAAAACATCTGCCTCTCATAAAGGGTAAAGACCAAAGATGAGTTATAAATAGTTTCAAATATACACATATACAAAAGTTACTATAAAAATAGAATGCAGGTAGTGAATGCTTTCCTTATTCTTTGCAATTCTTCTCTGTTCACTTTTTTCAACTTTACAGCCAATAGTTCACAGAAAATATTAACTTTGAGAATCTTAAAGTCAGATTTACTAAAACTCCTAAAAAATGATTCAACAGCAAAAATATGCCTATGGCACTTACTGCTTTTTATAGAAACAGTAAAAACCATTCCTCATCATATGCAACCAAGAAAGTCTTTAACACTTAGGTTTAGAGGGTGACAAAACATTTTAAGAGCTGAAGTCTCATATACAATTTTTTTCATCAACAAAACCTCATGACTAACCACTATTCTTTTCCTAACATTAGTGTGATCCAGGAGAAGAGTAAAAGATGTAGCCTGTAATTGCCTTTGGGCTGCTGTAATATGTGCTGAAATAATTAAGAACTATGTCTCCAGTATTAGAAGTGGGGAATCTGCATGGGTCTGCAGCAACTCAGCTCTTCCCTCCTCACAGGAAAGAACTCAGCTGAGAGGCATAAAGCAGAGTGAGAGATTGAGGCAAGTTTTAGAGCAAGAGTGAAAGTTTATTGAAAAGTTTTAGAGCAGGAACAAGAGGAAGTAAAGTACATTTGGAAGAGGGCCAAGCAGGCAACTTGAGAGGTTCATGTGCACTGTTTGGCTCTTGACTTGGAGTTTCACACATTGGCATGGTTCTGGGGCTTCTGTTTCTCCTCCCTTGATTTTTTTCCTTGGGGTGGGTTAACTGCATGCATGGTGGCCGGCCAGCACTTGGGAGGGGCCACACACACAGTGTGTTTACTGAAGTTTGTGTGCATGCTCGCTTAAGGTGATTTTCCCTTACCAGTGGAGTGTTCCCCCAGAGGAAGGTCACATACCAGTTAAACTCTGTCATTTTGCCTCTTAGTGCAGATGCTTGAGCTCAGTCGCCCAGCCCCTGAGATCTTATCGGGAAGCTGCTAATCACCAGCTTTAGGTGTTTTCTATCTATTTGGAGACTGTCTTTCCCTAGTGCCAGCTGAGACCAATTATTAACTTAGCAAGACAGTTTAACACCACCTGACTGTCACCTAATGGTTGCCTGACATTAGTGTGGGGTCCCTCTTCTGCCCTGCTCAGGTCTGCTTAGCTACCTACTCTAACTCTAGGAATCACATCAGAAACTTATCAGAGGAGGATTTTGTCTGTTTTTTGAAATAATTTAAATCACCTTACAAAATTCATAAATAGGCTACTAGATAAATAAAGATATCCAGATTGCTAAATGCTTAATGATTCAATTTTGTGATGGCCCATTGCAGGAGTTAGCCCACTACAAGGTAGAGGGACATTCACCACAACAGACCACCTCCACATTTGACTCCAACTGCAAGCTCAGGAGATTTCCAAAACCACCTTCATGTTTGATAATTTTCTAGAAGATCCCAGAACATACTGAAAGCTACTATACTCATGTTCGTGGTTTATTTCAGAGAATAAATACAGAATAAAATCATCCAAGAGAAGAAACACAGGGGGCAGAGTTTAGGGAATTGCCAAACATGGAACTTCTGCCATACTGTCCACATGCAGTCTGGATGCATTTCTTTCTTAGCACTGATATGTGATGATATACATGGAGTATTGCCAAAGGGTAAGCTTGGTTCAGAGATTTTATCAGAACACCATCACATAAATATGATTGATTGGTTGATTGTCCATGTGTTTGCTCTCATTCTACAAGCTCACTGATAGCCCATGACTCAAAATCCCCACCATATATCATATTGTTTCACATTCTGGTGTAGCCAGATCCTATCCTAAATCACATTGATGATATCTGGCTAGCCCAAAGCTCACAGAAAAACAAAGATTATCTTCCAGAAGCTAAGGGCATAGAGCTGACCTCTTTTGGGGCAAAGTTATATACCCACATGTATTAGTTTGCTAGAGTTGCCATAACAAAATACCACACATTTGGTGGCTTAAACAACAGAAATTTATTTTCTCACCATTTTGAAGGCTAAAAGTCCAATATCAAGGTGCCACCAAGATTGATTTTCTCTGAGGCCTCTCTCTTTCTGGCTTGCAGATGGCCACCTTCTCCCTTCCTCCTCATGTGGCCTTTCTTCTGTGCATACACCCCCCTGGTGTCTCTCCTGTGTGTCCTAATCTCTTCTTGTGGAGACACCAGTCAGATTGGATCTGGACCCTCCCTAAGAGCCTTGTTTTAGATTAATCACCTCTATAAAGACCTTATCTCCAAACACGTCAGTCTGAAGTACTTGGAATTAGAGCTTCAGCACATGAATTGAGGGGAAAAAATTTAGCCCATAACACTGCCTAAATTCTAAGGTAAGGCCAGTGGCTTTTATCTTGCCTTCTTTAAAAAACTTAGTACAATTCAAGGTGTATATTACAAATCAAGTCAGAAAATAAGTATTAATTCACTGATTTAAAAAATCACTCTATCTTCCTGGAATTGATATTTCACAGGAAAGGATACAAAAAAGGAATTTGGGTGTTTGCTTATTTGTTCCAGTCAGCATCTCAGTTTCAGTGTTTTTGTTCCCATTACAAAGAGACAGAACTAGATATTACAACAATATCTGCGAGGGAACAATCATCTTGAGCTTTTTTTTTTTTTTTCCTGTATCTATGAATTTAGTTCCTGAGACATTGATGTGGGGTGAAATAAAATTTTGTTGTGATTATAGAAGAAACTGTCAAGGTAAGGTTAAATATGCCATATATTCAGTATGTGAAAATAGAAAGTCTGATAAAACCAATTTTTAGGTTGTTGATTTGTTTATCTGCAATTTTTTGTAGTTCTGTGAATACTCTGTAGCCATTAGGAAAGCCCTCTTTGTGTCTGTATGTGTTTGACTATCTCTAGTATTCAGTGCTGTAATTGAAGAAATCTCCTATGTTTTAAAGTATGACTTTGAGGCTCTGATGTAGCTTTTTGTTTATTTGTTTGTTTGTTTGTTTTACTTTGCTTTGTTTTGTTTCATTTAGAAATAAAACAGTATCACTCTGCTGTCCCGGCTGCAGTGCAGTGATGCAGTCATAGCTCCACTATAGCCTCAACCTCCCAGGATCAAGTGATCCTCTTGCCTCAGCCTCCTGAGTAATAGGACTACAGGTGCGTGCCACCACACCTGACTAATTTTTTTAAATTTTTTTGTTGAGGTAAGGTCTATCTGTGTTGCCCAGGCTGATCTTAAATTCCTGGCCTCACACAATCCTCCTGCCTTGGCACTGATATGTTATCTCTTTCCTGGCACCAAGCGATGATATACATGGAGTAATTCTTTTTTTTTTTTTTTTTTTGAAATGGAGTTTTACTCTTGTTGCCCAGGCTAGAGTGCAATGGCTCCATCTCGGCTCACCACAACCTCCACCACCTGGGTTCAAACGATTCTCCTGCCTCACCCTCCCGAGCGGCTGGGATTACAGGCTCCTGCTGCCATGCCTGGCTAATTTTGTATTTTTAGTAAAGATGGGGTTTCTCCATGTTGGTCAGGCTGGTGTCGAACTCCTGACCTCAGGTGATCCGCCCACCTCGGCCTCCCAAAGTGCTGGGATTACAGGTGTGAGCCACCATGCCTGGCTACATAGACTATTTCTAACTAGAAGAGTTTACCCAAGCCCTGGTTCAGGGCTTTGTGCTGGGATTACAGGCATGAGCCACCATGCCTGGCGTGATGTGGCTCTTTTAAAGGGAAGTTTGGCATTATTATCAGAGATCACATTTTTTAAAAAATAGATTTTAATTTTTAGTACTGTTTTAGATTAACTGAAAAATTTTAAAAAGAGAGTTCCCATATACCTTACACCCAGTTTCTCCTATCGTTAACATCTTACACTATTATGGTGTATTTGTTTTCATTAATGATTAATATTGATATTATTATTAATTAAAGCCCATAGTTTATTCAGTTTTTTTCTGTGTGTTTTTGTTTTAGCTAAAGTCATTTTTCTATTCCAAATCCTATCCAGGATATGACATTGCATTTAGTTGTCATGCTTCCATAGGCATCTCCTGACTGTGACTGTTTCTCGGACTTCCCTTGCTTTTGATGATCTTAATAGATATGAGAAATACTGGTTGGGTATTTTGCAAAATATTCCTCTATCCTGTATTAGAATATGTCTCATATTTTAGTGTGCTTCTTTTGTTGTTGTTCTTTATGATAAGACTCGTATTATGGATTTAGGGAAGGAAGATCACAAGTAAAGTGCCATTTGTGTCATATCTTATCAAGTATGCATAATATCAACATCATTCATAACTGTTGATGTTAGCCTTAATCACCTTACTGAGGTAGTGTCTGTCAGCCTTCCCCCCTGGGAAATAGCTCTCTGTGTCCCCCTTTCTACACTGTAGTCTGCAGAAAGAAGTCACTGTCCACAGCCAACACTTGAGAAGCAGAATGTTATAATTCCCCAGCTAGAGAATATCCACATAAATTATTTCAATTTCGTTTGCATGGAACATTCTTTTCTTCTCCCCTATTTATTCATTTATGCAGTCTTTTATTTATATCAGAATGGACTCATGAATGGTTATTCTATTTTTGGTGTTCTAAGTCAACAATATTTTGTTGTTCGTATTATTTCAACTTAGGCATTGGGAGACTTTTCAGTTGACTTTTATGCTTCTTTTATGCTTCTTTGAGTGACCTAATTTTCAGAAAACATGAAATGGTATAATAAAAAGTTTCCTATTAAATAAATAATAAATCCACAGATATACTAGAGATCTTGTTCAAAAAGCCATACATGCCCCCCTCTATGTTCTCTTTCTCTGGCTGTGTGTTTTCTACTCTTTAAAAAATTATTTTATAACCATTACTTCTCCCATTGTCAGGTTCATGACTAAACTATACCCCAAATTATTGCACATTATCTGCTGTTCAGCAAGAACTTATAAACTTCAATATAATATAAAAGAGTGATTCTTTCACATATCCTAGCAATCTTCTCCAACCCTGACTGTAGTTCAGCTTAGTAGATTATTGTAGTATAAATAAGTTGTATAACTCAATATTAGGGCAAACTGAAAAACACTAAAAGAAAACATGTTTTGGGGGTGGGTATAGTGGCTCACACCTGTAATCCCAGCACTTTGGGAGGTTGAAGCGGGTGGATCATCTGAGGTCAGGAGTTCAAGACCAGCCTGGTCAACATGGTGAAACCCCATCTCTACTAAATATAAAAAAATTAGCCGAGCGTGGTGGAGGGCACCTGTAATCCCAGCTACTCGGGAGGCTGAGGCAGGAGAATTGCTTGAACCTGGGAGGCAGAGGTTGCAGTGAGCTGAAATCACTCCATTGCACTCCAGCCTGGGCAACAAGAGCAAAACTTCATCTCAAAAAAAGAAAGAAAAAGAAAGAAAACATGTTTTCTATATGCTTTTCTTCAAGGATAAATAGTCATGCCAATTTTTATTTAGCTCTGTACAATGATCTGAGTAAAACCTTATTTTTGCTGGAACTTGTAAATGCTTTGGCAAATGAATTCTATAGTCTTGGGTCAGCTACAATGATTTTAGCATGTGTTCAGTGAAGTTAGGAGATAGTCCAGTAGGCAAAAAAATTCCAAAAGCAAATTTGATATAGTAATCTCAGACTCCTGTTTCTCTTGAGTCCTGAAAGTGAACATGCTTTCTGTAGACAAAATGTTTTAGTTATATACATTGTTTTACATGGAGCTTAGAATAAACACACAGATGTGATCTGCGTTGTTGAAGAACTGTCTTTATAAGCATCAACATCGTTTTAAGTATTAGGCAATGCATATTATACTCTATGTAACCCTTTGAAAACCAACAAACAAACAGAAAGTCTGATATTCTGGTTGTTAAAATAAAAGGGATGAATCAAAAATAAGATTCTTTTCCTGTAACATGAGAGATACATCAGTCAGTTTTCTGTATTCTATATAAGGCTCTTAATCTAAAAGATTTTCTATTTTTTCCTAATTTCCTTAATTTATTTAGTCAGAGTTCAATGATTTGTATATTAATCAGTTTCACACTCAAGTACTTTATGCTAGTTATCAATAGCAAGATTAATGATAGATATCCTATGATCTTAAAGATCTTTTCGATTGAACAATAACATAAAATGTACCATTTTACCAGGCCCTAATATATCTTATGAATATTTTAATTCATTTTATTTAGCTAGTTAAATTTATATAAATTAAGATTTCAATTACATTTGCTCAACATTTTTAATTCACACTTAGTATGTCTTCTTATAGTGCTTGTATAATTTTAGGTTGTTCCACATTAACTTTAGCTTGTTGCTAATTCACAACCAGTACATCCTTCTGTTTGACTCATCCTATGTTATTTCCACTTGTCATTACCAGCTTTTTGTTTCCTCTGATATTCGTCAGCACTGCAGAGGAGTTTCTTTCTTTCTTTTGTATTTAATTATTCCACTGTTTCATTAGCACTGTACTACAGTTTCTTAAACTTCTTATAGTTAAGTCATATTTACATTTTTGAAAAATTTTAAACATGATCTAACAAATATTTTCATTAAGTGAGCTGTTAGAAACATAGAATTTTTATAACAACTCTTGAGCACTCTGTTAATACCTATTATAATACCTATTAGTTCTGAAATGTAAGCAACTAGTATGACCAATATCCACTTGTATAATTTTGTGATCAATATAAGAAGACACTTATAAAAGTGATGGATGAGTTTACGTCATACATTGTGCTGATGGTTTCACAGGTGTATCCTTATCTCCAAACTCATCATGTTGTTTGCCTTAAGTATATATGGCTTTTTGAAGGTCAATCATACCTCAATAAAAGTGCTTTTAAGAATATTATATCTAGAAGTCACTAAAATATATCTATGATTTAAAAGGTGGAGTCTTGATACTACAAAATATAAAAAATAAATTATTAATGCAAATATTACAATAAAATGGGTGTACTTGAAAAAAATAAAATTTAAACATATTGATTTCTTCCAATAACTGAAATGTTTTAGGATTTCTGGTATGATTATGTGATGATCATGTCTTTCTGAGCCATGAGGAAGAAAACAATTTTTGTTAAACAGAGTTAATCAACAGTATTATCAAAATAGGCTTTGACAAGAGACAATTATCTTAAGAGGAAAGAAAATGAAAAAACATTGTAACTATGGCATTTCAGTCTCAAAATTAAATATTAAAGGTTGCTGCACTAAAGTTTATTTATAAACAATAGATTTGAAAAAAATAGAAAAGTCAAATTAATCAAGTCTCTGCTCTTAGAAAGTAGGAGAGGGGAATATGAATCATGGTGAAATATTCCCGGAGCCTTCTCTATCACAAAGTCCTGACTGGGGCAGATTTACAGGAGGCTTATCCCACCAGCTGAGGGAAGAACATTCATCTGACTCCAGCCCCTTCTCGCCTTCCTGTCTCACTTAAGGAGAAAAGAAAAGTACAAAGTCAACAGGGCTCTGGACTTCAGGGAAATCAATGGGAAACACTGCAGTCAGTTACGCTGTAGAAGGCAAGGGATAAAATAGCTGTACCCCTGGGAGAAGCATTTGTGAAGGTCACTGTCCCAAGACAGAGGCCCACAAAAACACTGAAATTTAATGGTAAGATTATCAAATGTACCCCTTACCGAAGCCTTACCCCTACACCAACATGGCTCCAGTGTAACAGTCTGTTACACCTAGAAAATCTGCAAGACTCTCATTGGGAAGGGATAGTTTAGGGAAGCCCAAAGTTAAGAGTGGGAACAAAAAGTTATTAGAGGAATTTGAAGCTTCTGGGACCTACGACTACAGCAAACATTAAACACTGCCCAATCTCTAGTTCGTTTAGCATAAATTTTTATACAAAATGTTTAATTATCTCAATTTATATTATCTAATATATGTCTCCCTTTCAAGCAAGATTAAAAAGCATGTGAAGAAATGCCAAAAGTCTTAAGGGAAAAAATCAAGCATAGAACCAGACTTAGCTATGACACAAACTGGAAGTTTAAATAACTAAGATTAATACGTTAAGGGCGCTAATGAGGAAATAAATGATATGCAAAATACGGTAGATCATTGCAGCAGAGAAATGGAAAATATAGGACTGAATCAAACGAAAATGTTGGAAACCAAAGACAGTGTAGTAGAAATGATGACCTTCAAAGTGCTCATTAGTAGACTCAACAAAGCTACAAAAAATAATCAGTGAACTTGAAGACTGGTCAGTAGAAATTATGCAAACTGAAGCACAAGTATAAAACAAGAAATTAGAAAACAGCATCCAAGAACTAAGGGACAATGTAAAACCACATAATATACTCATAATTGGGATCTCTGATACTGGAAAATGAGAGAATTGGGCAGAGAAAAAAATTGAAGAAATAATGGCTAAGAATTTTCTAACAGTAGTGGTAGCTATCAAATTGCAAGATGTAATAAACTCACAGACCAAGAAGGAGAAAAAACTGCTCAAAATCAAGGACACAGAGAAAAGTATCAAAAGTAGCATGGGTGAAGAAAGGAATATCTTTTCTACAGAGGAATAAGGATAATAATTACACTACACTTGTTTCAAGCTATAAGCAAGCCAGAAGAAAAGGAATTGACATTTTTGACATTTTGAAAGGAAATGAACCAATGCAGAATTCTATACCCAGCAAAATTAACTTTCAAAGGCAGAGGAGATATAAAGACTATCTCAGACAAACAAAAACAGAAATATATTTTAATTGCTAGCAGACCTACTTTATAAGAAATGTTTAGGCTGGGCACAGTGGCTCACACCTGCAATCTTAGCACTTTGGGAGGCCAAGCTGGGCAGATCACGAGGTCAGGAGATCGAGACCATCCTAGCCAACATGGTGAAACCCCATCTCTACTAAAATTCAAAAATTAGCTGGGTGTGGTGGTGTGCACCTGTAGTTCCAGCTACCTGGGAGGCTGAGGCAGGAGAATCACTTGAACCCAGGAGGCAGAGGTTGCAGTGAGCCGAGATCAAGCCACTGCACTCCAGCCTGGCAATAGAGCGAGACTCCATCTCAAAAAAAAAAGAAAAAGAAAAAGAAAAAGAAATGTTTGAAGAAATTCTTTATGCCAAAAGAATGTTTTCTAGGTCAGAAACTTGGATCTACACAAAGAAATAAATAGTGGTGTAAATGGATAAGTGGATGTGAAATATAATCCTTTTAATGCCATTTTTAATTACTAAAAATATAAACCATGAAATAATAGCAACAATGTATTATGTGTTAAGGTGATGTGTAAAAATAAAATGTATAACAACAATAGCACAAGAGTGGTGAGTGTGAATTAGGAATACTGTTGTAAAATCTTTACATTGCACGTGAAGCTTTATACTGTTATTTGAAGGTGTATGCAAATTATTAAAAATTCAAATTTTAAACCCTGGGAGACTGATAAAAATTATTTAAATAGGCAAATAATAAAAGACATTAGAACAGAAGGAACTGAATCATAAAATATCTCCAGTTGAATCTAGAGAAGGCAGTAAAAGAGGAAAAATAAAAAACAAAGGCAATAAAAATAGAGCATCTAGCTCTTCTCAAACTATTCCAAAAAAAATAACAGGAATAATTATCCCTAAGTCATTCTATGAGACCAGCATTATCCTGATAGCAAAGTCAGACAAAGATGCAATAAAGAAAACTACAAGCCAATATCCCTGATAAATATAGATGCAAAAATTTTCAGCAAAGTACTAGCAAACTGTTTCCAACAGCACATCAAAAAGATAACACACCACGATCAAGTTGGATTTATCCCAGGGATGCAAGGATGATTCAACATATGCAAATCAATAAACATGATATATCACATCAACAGAATGAAAAACAAAAATCATATGATCATCTTGATAGACACAGAAAAAGCATTTCATAAAATTTAACATTAATTCATGATAAAAAGTCTCAACAAACTAGGCATAGAAGGAGCATATCTCAACATAATAAAAGCCATATATAACAAAGCCACAGATAACATCAGACGGAATGGGGAAAACCGAATGTAGAAAAATTGAAAGTCATTCCTTTATGAACTGAAAGAGGACAAGACCTCCTCTTCAAAGCAGTAATAGAAATCATAGCCAGAGCAATCAAGCAACAGGAAGAAATAAAAGGCATCCAAATGTGAAAACAGGAATTGAAATTATCCTTTTTTTGCTGATGACATGATTTTATATCTAGAGAAACCTAGACTTCCCCAAAAAACCTCCAAGATGCAATCAATACATTCAGTAAAATTACAGAATACAAAATCAATGCACAAAAATCAGTACAATTTCTATACACTATGAACAAACTAGCTGAGAAATAAATCAAGAAGGCAATCCCATTTACAATAGCAACAACAATGACGACAACAACAAGTACCTAGAAATAAATGTAACCAAGCAGGTGAAAGATCTCTGAAAGTAAAAGTACAAAACACTGATGACAGAAACTGAAGAGGACACACAAAAGAAAAATGGAAGACATCCCATGCTCATGGACTGGAAGAATTCATGTTGTTAAAGTGACCATTCTGCCCAAAGCAATCTACAAATTCAATGCAATTCCTAGCAAAATATCAATGCCATTTTTCACAGATTTTTTTTTTAATCCTGACATTCATATGGAGCCAAAAAAGGGCCCAAATAGCCAAAGCAATCCTGAGGGGGAAAAAACAAACAAACAAAAAAAACCTAGAGGCATCACACTGCCTGACTTCAAAATATTTTACAAGTTTATGGTAACTCACACAGCATGGTATTGGTACAAAAACAAATGCATAGACCAATGGAACAGAATAGAAAATATAAAAATAAATCCACATATTTACAGCCAATTGGTCTTTGACAAAACCAGTAAGAATGTGCCCGGGGAAAAGATACCCTCTTCAATAAATGGTGCTGGGAAAATTGGATATCTATACATAGAAGAATGAAACTGGACCCTGGTCTCTCAACATATACAAAAATCAGCT
Organism: Homo sapiens; assembly: GCF_000001405.40. Lineage (NCBI taxonomy): Eukaryota > Metazoa > Chordata > Mammalia > Primates > Hominidae > Homo > Homo sapiens. Next base: position 88,627,491 of record NC_000008.11, on the reverse strand, counting down.
CAAAATGAATTCAGGACTTAAATGTAAAACCCCAAAATACAAAGCTACTAGAAGAAACATAAGGTAAAGATTTTATGACTAAGATTTCAAAGCACAGACAAAAGAAACAAAAATAGACAAAATGGGATTATATCAATCTAAGAAGCTTATGCATAGATAGCAAAAGAAAGAATCAACAGAGTGAAGGAACAACCTGTTAAACACACACACAAACACACACACACACACACGTTTCCATTATAAAGTGGGAAAAAGACATGAATGGACATTTCTCAAAAGAAAACATATAAATGGACAATAAGCATATGAGAAAAGCTCAACATAATTAATCATCAAAGAAATGCAAGTCAAAACTTGACATATTATCTTACCCTAGTTAAAATGACTACTATTAAAATGAAAAAAAATAACAGATTCTGGTGAGGTTGCACAGAAAAGGGAACTCTTACACACTCTTGGTGGGAATTTTATATAGCCATTACAGAAAATAGTATGAAAATTTCTCACAAAGCTAACATGGAACTACTATATAATTCAGCAATCCCACTACTGGTTATCTATCCAAAGGAAAATATATTAGTATATCAAAGTGGTACCTATACTTGCATGTTTATTGCAGCACTATTGACAATAGCATAGATATGGAATCAACCTAAGTGCCTATCAGCAAATGAATGGATAAAGAAAATGTATATATACAAACAATGAAATGCTATTCAGCCATAAAAAAGAATAAAATCACATTACTTACAGTAACAGATATGAAACTGGAGGTCATTATGTTAAGTGAAATAAACCAGACACAGAAAGACAAATTTCAAATGTTCTCACTCATATTTGACAGATAAAAATGTTGATCTATGGTGGTAGAAAGTAGAATGATGAAAACCAGAGGCTGGAAAGGATGTGTGTGGGGTGGGGGAGGGATTAAGTGATGTTGGTCAATGAGTGCCAACTTACAGTTAGATAGAAAGTTTCAGTTCTAATATTCAATAGAGTAGGGTGAGCATAGTTAGCAACAATGTATTTTATATTTCAAACTGACTAGAAGGGAGAATTTGAAATGTTTCCACTACGTAGAAATGATGAATACTCAAGGTGATGGATGCCCCAAATATTTTGACTTTATCATTACACATTATATGCATGCAACAAAATATCACATATACCCCACAAATATGTAATATATTATGTATCAATAAAAAATAAAGCAGCTCAGAAGACAACAGGTTTTTATCCAACCATTTTAATGATTACTTTAAATGTGAACTTCTAAAAATACACTGAATGACAAAAATTGTCAGATTGGAAAAGAAAGCAAAGCCTGTCTATATGCTTCTTAAAAGAAACCCCACTGTTGGTATAAGATTTAAATAGAGCAATTTTTTAATGAGGAAATATATTTCACAAATATAGTTAACTGATTTTTACCAAAAGCAAAAGAAATTCACTGCAGAAAACATAGTCTTTTCATCAGAAATTCCTCAAACAATTGAACTTTGGCAGGAGAAATATAAACTTTGAGACATATCTTACACCGCTTTAAAAATTAACTGAAAATGAATTAGAGACCTAAATATAAAATTACAGGATTTCTAGAAATAGTCATAGGAGAAAATCTATGTAATCTTGAATTATGTGATGAGTTTTAAAAAGGCAACACAAATTGCACAATTCATAAAGAAAAAATATTGATAAATTGGTCTTTATTGAAATTCTGATATTTTCTCTGTAACATACATGACTAAGACAATGAAAAGACAAGCCTCAGACTGAGATTAAATATTTTTAAATTACATATATGATGCAGAATCTTACAACTCCAATAATAAGTAATGCTGATATATTGATATTGATATGTGCCTTGAGATATGATTTGATGAGAGAAATAATTTACATAGTAATTATCTGTTGGAATCTTCTAGGAAAAAAACTCTTAATCCCAGTCTAATCTTGGAGATAACATCAAACCAACCCAAATGGAAAGAATTCTTCAATTGTCTTCAAATTTTCAATAACAAGATTGATAAGGAAAGACTAAGAAACTCCAACACACCAGAACATATAAGGGAATTAAGATAAAGAAAAAGCCAAGTAAATAAACAGACAAGGAATGCCATTTAGTTATCAGTCTAACCTAATGAAAAGAAAACGCTACTTAAAATGACAAACTGCAGTGTGGTGTCATGCATTGGATTCTGGAACAATGCTGAAATTATAATAAAGTCTCTATTTGGTTAATAGTATTTTACCAATTTCAATTTCTTAGCTTTGACAAATGTGCCATTTAAGCAAGGGGAAACTAAATCAAGAGTATACAGTAACTCTGCACCTTGCTTGTAACTTTTCTGAAAAACTATAATTATTTCAAAATTTAAAAGATTATTCAAAAACTTAATTTGGTTTATGTTCCTTATAGCCAAGAGCTACTAAATGCATATACTACTATAATAGTTTGTGGGAAATCAAAGGAAAATAAATAAAAGAAAATAACTAAATCTATAAAAGGAATGAGGGCCTTGAAAATAGTTACAAGGCAAATGAATTATTCAAATTGTGATATTGAGAAAGAATGTATAGTAAAACAAAATAGAAATAACTAAAGTACTAGTTGTTGCCATTGGAAGAGATAGAGCCATCCCTAACAGAAATGCTGAAAAAATTCAGGAAGAGAAAGACATTTTAGAAAAGAACTGATGTCTTCAGTTTTGCAAATGGTAAGTATGCCTTGATGTGCTGGAAGTGTATGCAAGTGTACAGGTCAATGAAGCAGTTATTAGAATGTAACAGTCAGAAGACAGATTGGAACTGGAAATAATGATCTGGTGCTAGCACACAGAAAGACAATGGCTGAAATCCTAAGAGTAAATGGCTAAGGTAGAAATTTTTGGAAAAAAATCAAGTTAATGAAAGAGAATGAGAGAGCATAGAAAGGAAGGGGGTTCTAAAGACAGCACTTTAAAAAAATACACTAGGAATTCATGAAGAAGAAGAATAAAAGGAAATGGTAAAGGAGTAGGGAGGTAACAGGCAAACAATGAGAGTAATATATTACCACCTAAAGAGAAGAGAGGATGGCAAGAATTAGAAGTATTCATTAGTGTCAAGTACTACAGGGACAAGGATCTATGTTAACTGAACGAACACCGTAAAGTATGGATACTGAGAAGTCATTGATTACCAAAGGGATCAATAGATAGGCAAGGAACAAAAGTAGAGAAAGTACTTCCAGAGGATAAGAGATGTCACTTCTCTCTTATTTCCTGGGAGACAGTAAAATCTCATTCTCCCTCCTTACATACAGTGATTACTCCAGCAAAATGCCCCACTCTTGAAAAGCTCAGCAAAAAATGTTTGTCCAGTGTACATACTTTTTATTTTGTGGAAAATCCATTTTCATGAAATGAGAAGGGATGCAATTAATAGCCCCAAACTGAAGCTCTAAAAATAAACTATGGAGCTAAGGCTACAATTATATTTAAACATTGTGTTTATGGAAGGGGCAATTAATAAGCAAATAGTGTAGGTAATGTGCACTAAGCACCTGAAGAGATGCAATAGTAAATCAGCTGCAGTAGACTTCCTCAAAGATAGAAACATCTAATTAGTGTGATATGTGAATAGACACACACACACATATACATAACATTTTAACATTATTTTTACACAACATCTTTGAAATGGAAACCAGTAGTCAGTAGTCACAATCCAGCTGCCAGCAGGCAGAAGACAGCCAAAGCATTCTATTATGCTTGTGTTTGGCCGTCATGTTGGTTTCTTGTTTGTTTGTTGTTTTGTTTTTTGTTAGTTATTTGAGCACTTTGGGTTGAGGCATATGCTTTGTATATTACTGTATTTAGCAACATTCTTTATCATCTTACTTCTAGCTAACAAGTGTATGGCTCTTCTGTGGCCCTTGAAGGTGGTTCAGTTTTGACTGTCTGTACATTATATGCAACTAGTCTTGTACAACAAGCAATAGAGCAAGTTTCTTTTTTCTTATTTTTGGAAAATCAAACATTATGAGCATTTTTAAGTGGAAATGTTTAACACTGTTTTACTTTGGATTCTGCCATTTTCCTTTTTCTATGTTGATGTGCAAAGTTTCACTTTAGAAATTCCAGTCATGCTTTCTGCCTTCTCTGGATTTGGAAAGAAGCAGACAGAAATGCAATAGAAATTCATCATACTGGAATCTATGTGCATGAACAATAGTTCTACCTGCTTGAATAAAAATGCCATGATATTTATATCTAGATTTGTAAATATGGAGATTCTGAAGCAAGACCATAGATCCACAATTGTCAAAATAGCTCTAGGCCAATTACCTATCTGCATTTATATAGCCCACAAATAAAAGCAAACCAGGAAATCCAGAAATAAATCAATCACTATTTATTGAGTGTTTCATTGGAGCTTTGTTCTACGCATGTAGCTTAAAGCTGTAGCTTTATTGACTGATGTGGATCACTGCACAATCAATATGGCTAGGGCAACATTTATCAGTCATAAAATCTGGCTGGGACACACAAATAGATGTGTTTATCCTGTAGTTCACATTATAATTACGTGAGAACATGACTTCCATCTGAATTGTTTAAATAATTAAGAACAGATAAGAATTGTCTTAATAACTCATATTATTTAGATAAAGCCTCCAAAATTATTTCTGCAGTATATATTGTATATAATATGCAACTTTTTCTTTATCAGAGTGTTTCTAAATACTTCTACTTTAATCAATTTTATGTTAAAAGACTATATTTCTCCCTTTTATTATTTTTTTGTGGTCTAAAATCTTATAATAAAAACCAGGATAGAACATCTATAAGTTACTGAAAATAGATGTCAGTAGAATACAGGATAACAGATCTGGAAAATATTTTGGAGGAATGAAATAAAGTGATTCTTCTGTTTAATCCTTAATTAATGGCCCCAAAAAGAGGATTGCTAACTGTCTTTCCAAAGAATGTAACAGAACTCTGAGCCTCCACCAACCACAGCTTGACCTCAACCTAAAATCCTTTGGTTTAGTAGTGGAATAGAGGAGAGATAAAGAGAGACCAGAGAGTTCAGAGAAGTCACTGCTGCCTTAACAGCACAAAACCAGTGTTCACAAAACCCTCTCTCGGAAGCGTTCACCAGAGATCACACTGCAAATATTTGATCATTTCTTTTTCTTTTTTTGGACACAATAAGCAAGGTAGAGAAAAAATCCACACAAAAGCATAGCTGGCTTTTCAAACTGTTCTCTCATTCATTCATTCTATTCTTTATGGAATAGCTGATGAACTAAGCAAAAACCTTTATTTTCAAATAAATTATATAGAATGCATTTGCCTTCTTGTCACATGTTTGGAAGAAAACGCGTAACATCCATTTCGATTTGTCTAAATGTTTTAAATATGCTGATAACAGAAAAAAATGACCATCCTAATATTTCAGAGACGTTTTGTTTGTTTTCTTTAAAAAATACATTTATTTAAAAATAGACTTCAATCTATTTCCAGAGTTTTAGTATAGAAAATGTTTGGAATACTTAGCAAATGTTTAGATTATTACTTCAGACCTATGATTACCTGTTCACATGTAATGTGATAAATATTCTACATCAATGGATATAATTTTATTTCAGCAATCCCTGTTTTAAACGGTCTAGAATACATCTTCAGTGGAGGTTTCAACTGGGTACAAACTGACACTCAGAGTCTAGTTATATCCAAAAAACTGTATAGACAGCCCGGAGAGGTTCAGAAGCCAAGATGCAGGCAAAGGGAGTTTCAGGGGATGGAGAAAGTCTGTTCAAAGAACATTTGTGAAAGGCTGTAAGGGAATTAAGATAAAGAAAAAGCCAAGTAACTGAATAGACAAGGAATACCATTTAGTTATCAGTCTAACCTAATGAAAAGAAAATGCTACTTTTAACATTCCTAGATATTTTAAAACATTTCCTATTGGCCCTATACACAAATGTAATTTTTTTCTTCGTATCTCCCCCTTTTTTTTTTTTTTTTTTTTTGAGACAGGGTCTCACTCTGTTGCCTCGGCACAGGATGTGATCTTGGTTCACTGCTATCTCTATCTTTTGGGCTGAAGTGATCCTTTCACCTCAGCCTCCAGAGTAGCTGGGGCTACAGGTGCATGCTCCCATGCCTGGCTTATTTTGTTTACTTTTTGTAGAGATATGGTTTCACCACATGGCCCAGGCCAGTCTCAAACTCCCAGCCTCAAGCAATCCTCCTGCCTCAGCCTCCCAAAGTGCTGGGATTACAAGTGTGAACCACCGTGCCTGGCCTGTAAATTTTCTCTTACTAGGTTCTCTGTACCCCACAGGAACCATAATGAAGTATCAACTGAGATCCTGTTTCTCAACAGAAATATAGGACCCAGCAGGAAATCAGTGCAATAAGAATTGTGTAGAATATTAGTTTTGGAGACTCTTAGACATACCTTTAGAAATTCTGCAGAAAACTAAAATACTACCTAAGGAAGAAGTTTCTTGTAAACGAAATTTAAAAGTTAAAGTTAAATGACTTTCATTCTACTGACTGAAAGAAATCCTGGGAAAATTTGGGATTCCTCGATTTAAAAGTGTAATATATTGGAGCAGTTTGGCTTTCAACCACAAACAATTCCTGAATTAGACACTGTAAATGAAAGAATCCTCTGTTAGACCTTTGACAAGTCTCTTGCAAAATGCATATACAAACCCTCTTTTTTTCTTCATTTCTTCCTCATTTTGGAACACTTAACATTTTAATTTCCCTAAATTATACCTTTATGTGGGAAAATTATTCTTTTTTTCTTATATTTTTGAAGCATGTATAACTTTATCGAAATATCATCTTGCCCACACTGGATCTTATCTGTGCAACAATATCTACTAATGTTTCTGGCATTTATTTGCTTGTTTTTCATTTTTGTTTTTGTTTTGTGACAGGGTCTCACTCTGTCGCCCAGTGCAGTGTGCCACTGGAGTGCAGTGGCACAATCATGGCTACTTCAGCCTTGACCTCCCAGAATCAGGTGATCCTTCTGCCTCAGCCTCCCAAGTAGCTGGGACCACAGGTGACCACCACCATGCCCAGCTTTTTTTAAGTTGTTTTTAATTATTTGTAGAGATGGAGTCTCCCTACTTTGCCCAAGCTAGTCTCAAACTCCTGGCCTCAAGGAATCCTCTCACCTAAGCCTCCTAAAGTCCTGGGATTACAGGCATAAGCCACTGTGTCCAAACTATTAATGTTTTTTTAATTTTGGTAAAATATACATAACATAAAATTTACCATGTTAGCATATTTTTGGGATCCAGTTCAGTGGCATTAAGTATATTCACACTATTGTTATAACCATCACCACTGTCAGTCACTAGACTTTTTCATTTTCTCAAATTGAAACTTTCTACCCATTAAACAATAATTTCCCATCTACCCTTAACCTCAGTCCTTGAAAACCACCATTCTACTTTGTATGTCCATAAATTTGACTACTCTAGGTACTGTGTATAAGTGGAATTATAACAGTATTTGTCCTTTTGTTTCTGGTTTATTTCACTTTGCATAATGTCTTCACAGTTCATTCATGTTACAGTATGTGTCAGAATTTTACTTCTTTTTAAAACTTAATAATATTCAAATGTACAGATATACTACATTTTATTTATTTATTCCTCCATTAATGGACATTTTGGTTGTCTCCACCTTTTGTGGACCATTGTGAATAATGCTGCTATGAGCATTTATGTATAAATATCTGTTGAAATCTCTGCTTTCAGTTTTTTGGGGCATACTCCCAGAAGTGGAATTGCTAGATTAAATGGTAACTCTATGTCTAATTTTTTGAGGAATGTCCATGCTGTCTTTCTCACTGGCTACACCATTTTACATTCCATTAAGCAGTGTACAAGGGTTGCATTTTCTCCACATTCACTTCAACTCTCGCTATTTTATGGTGGTATTTTTTTAATTTTAAAATACAATAGCCACCCTAAGTGTGAAATGGTGTTTCATTGTGGTTTTGATTTGGATTTCCCTAATGATTAGTTACACTGAACATTTTTGCATGTGCTTATTGACTATCTGTATATTGTCTTTGGATAAATTCCTATTAAGTTCTTTTGTCGATATTTAATTGGGTTGTTTTTTCTTGTTGTTGAGTTATAGGAGTTACTGAGTTGTTTTTGTTGAATTGTAAGGATTTACTGTGAGGTTACGTCCCATTAAACCCATTGAAAGTTGAAAATATTTTAAGTCAAAATGTGTTTAATACACGTACCCTACTGAACATCATAACTTAGCGTAGCCTACCTTAAATATTTTCAGAACTTTTACATTATTTATCAGTTGGGTGAAATCACCTGGAAATGCCATACACTATAGAGTATTGGTTGTTTACCCTTGTGATTGCATGGCTAATGGAGATGTACCTTGCTGCCCCAAATTACACAACAAGAGAGTCTTATACCACTTTCTACTGAATGTATATAGCTTTTGCACCACTGTAAAGCAGAAAAATTTTGAGTTTAGGCTGGGTGCAGTGGCTCACGCCTGTAATCCCAGCACTTTGGGAGGCCAAGGTGGATGTATCACCTGATGTCAGGAGTTTGAGACCAACCTGGCCAACATGGCAAAAACCCATCTCTACTAAAAATAGAAAAATTAGCCGGGCATGGTGTCGCATGCCTGTAGTCCCAGCTACTCGGAGGTTTGAGGCAGGAGAATCACATGAACCCGGGAGGTGGAGGTTGCAGTGAGTGGAGATCATGCCACTGCATTCCAGCCTGGGCAACAGAGGAGATTCTGTCCCTCTCCAAAATAAAAAGAAAATAGAAATTTTAAATTGAACCATTGTAAAACAGGGACTATCTCTATGTCCTAAATATTAACGCTTTGTGAGGTATATATGATTACAAATATTTTCTCCCATTCTGTGAGTTGTCTTTTCACTCTATTGATAGTATCACTTAATGCACAAATGTTTTAAATTTTGATTAAATCCAATTTATTTTTCATTTTGTTGCTTGTGCTTTTGGTACCATTTGAGACCATATTGGTATTATGGTACATCCAAGAAATCATTGCCAAATCCAATGTCATAAAGATTTTTCCCAATTTTCTTCTTAAAGTTTTACAATTCTAGCTCTTACATGTAGGTTTTTTTATCTATTTTGAATTAATTTTTTAATACAATTTAAGGTACAAGTACAACTTAATTCCTTCTCATGTGGATATTCAGTTTTCTAAACATCATTTGTTGAGAAAGGCTGCTTAAATGTTTTTCCTCTTTCTTTACCATTTTCGAAGTAGGTACAAAGATATACTTAATCCTCAGTGTGCATTTATTGTCAATTATTTATAAATCAAGCAAGTTATTAAGGAAAAAAAATTCTGACACGCGGTTATAATTTATTTGCACCAAAGTCGGCACCTATTAAAGAGTATTCTTTGTAGTTGAATTTTTTGTGCATTCAAGATGTAAGGTCTGTTTCCATACAGTAACATAATTGAAGGATGCATATATCTGACTCTGAGACACTGAAGTGAGGTGTTAATCTTTAAAAAGATTTATTGGAGAGGTGGAGAACATTATACATATGAAAACCTCTTCACTATTTTTAGGTTTCTCTTCCCCATCAAATTCCACTCATCAAAATATCTAATCTACTAACCTGCTTTACCTCATCCTATGCTGACTTTCTGACTGTCAGGCCCCTCTTCTCCCATCTACTTCAGAGTAGCTCCATACCTTCTGCTGTGTAATCTAGCCTCTCTTCTCAGGTTTTCCCATTTGCTCCAATTTTCTACCTTTTTCTCAGCAAAACAAAAGAATCTTACTATTAATCTACTTTACAAGAAAATAGTAGAAGAGCAGGAGAATATTAACATAATTACCAATATAATTTTTTTTTTTTTTTTTGAGACAGAGTTTCACTCTTGTCACCTAGGCTGGAGTGCAATGGCGCGATCTCAGCTCACTGCAACCTCCACCTCCCAGGTTCAAGTGATTCTCCTGCCTCAGCCTCCCAAATAACTGGGACTACAGGTGCCCACCACCACGCCTGGCTAATTTTTGTATTTTTAGTAGAGACAAGGTTTCACCATGTTGGCCAGGCTGGCCTCGAACTCGTGACCTCAGGTGATCCACTCGCCTTGGCCTCCCAAAGTGCTGGGATTACAGGCATGAGCCACCGTGCTCAGCCAATTCATTTTTTTCATTATGACATATAGCATACACAAAAAATTATATGTGACATAATTAAATAATGACAAAGCCTTATTTCCTCTAAAGTTCCATGGATACCACTTCTAATTATAGCCCCCACCATTTCCCAAAATTTATCCATAATCATGAGTTTGTGTTCAACATTCTTTTGCTTTCCTTTATAGTTTTTACTACAATGTGTTTTCTAAACACAGTAAGATACAATGTTACCTAGCAGACAGAAAAATGTTAAAGTTTGAAAATACCAAAAATGAACCAAGATTTGAGACATGGGATTTCTCATACACCACTGGAGCATACATTGTTGTACAGGCTATTTGTAAAACAATTTGGTATTATTTTATAAATGAGGCTCTACAGTCCAGCAGTTTTCTTTCACAAAACTCTTACACAGGTACTCCAAGAGAGATGTATTTGAACGTTCAGAGCAGCATTTTAGCAGTATAAATGTTAAATAACTCAAACATTCATCAGCATACCAGTGCACAAAGATGAAGAGATTCCAGTTTTAGGTATCAAAATAAATGATTCTCAAATATTTAATGTTGTATGAAAAAGCAAGTCAGTGTATAAAATATATGATTTAATATTTTATTATATAAAATACTGCATGTAAAAACTCCTTTACCAAGATCATATGGTAGACCTTACTAGTGTTCATTGACCTCTAGTCAATCTCTTTAGGTTATATGATATAGCTTATAAAAGACTATACTTTCTTGCTTTCTTACAGTCAGTTGATGTCATCTGATTAGTAAGGGCCGTGATGAGAAGATCCTGATTTAAATAATCAAAGTGCAGATGTGTGACATCCTTGACTTCTGTTCCACATCCACTGCAATTGAAGGGGCCATGGATTTTAGAGGGTACATCTTCAAGTTGGTGAAACCCCTTTCTGCCTAGCAACCAGAGTTACTTATGGAGTAGAGTCCCTGCTGACCTATAAAAGACATATAGCTTGAACGAGAAATAAGCTTTGATCTGTTAAAATGGTCAGATTTAGGCATTGTGTTTATTATTGCATCAGGTTAGCTTATTCAACTATTGCAGTTGCCATTATTTCCTGTATGTATTATTCTAAAAAATCCAAGTTTTAAGAAGCCACACACAAGAAAGTATATGCTGTGTGATATCAGTCTTATGAAGTTTTAAAGTAGGCAAAACTAATATATTGTGTTAGAAGCCAAGAAAATACCTGCCTTTAGGTTTTATTGATTGGAAAGGCATATGAGGGGGGTTTCTGACGGAGGGGCTGGTACTGTTCTATTCTTGATCTGATTGCAGATTCATTCTTGTTACCTCTGCTAATAATTCATAAGGATTGTAGTGATGTCCTTCTATTTTTTGATATTTATAACTTGTACCTTTTCTCTTTTTTGCTTGTGCAATTTTTTTAGGGTGTATTAAATTTTATTAGTCTTTTTCAAATAAATGAGTTTTGGTTTAGTTAATTTTTTCTATTATATTTTTTGTGTCATATAAATTTCTGTTCTTAATTTTATTATTTCGTTCTATTTTCTTTAGATTCAATTTTTTTTAACTTTGTGGGAGTATAAATGATAAGTTCATTGATCATAAGCCATAAGAATTGAAGAATGCACGTAGGATTATAAATTAACCTGTACTCATGGCTTTATCTGCATTGCACAAGTAGTGTTTTGTTATGTTTTAATTTTCATTTAGTAAAACATTTTCTAATTCCAATTGGTGATTTCTTCTTTCATTCATGATGTTTTACAAGTGCTTGTATAATTTCAAAATATTTAGAAATTGTCTAGTTATCTTTTTATAATAATAAATTATTAAATTTCTAGGTTAAATCTGTAATCAGGTAACAAAATATGTAAATTCAAAAAAATTAGGGTTTTGCATCTCACATTAAGTCATTGATGCATTTGGAATTGAGTTTAGTAATAAGATATAAGGTAATGATCCATTATCATTTTTCCCGGATATTTAGTTATCTTGGCACCATTTATTAAGTAGCAAATTATTTTTCCATTAACTTGCCATGCCAAAGCAATTTGTAATGCCAAACTGTCATACATCAGATTTCCTAAAATCTAATATATGATTTCTGTTTTATTGCTCTTTTTGTCTACCTCTTAGTCAATATCAGCTATTTTAGTTATTAGAACATTAAAATATGTCTTAGGAACTGAAAGAACAAATCTGCCCCCTCCCACCACCTGATTCTTCTCATTTAGGAGGTTTTGTCACCTCTCCAGATGCTGCTTCTAATCAATTTTGAAATCAACCTGTCAAGTTTCTCATATATAAAAATTATATATATATATCAGTTTACACAGAATTAATACCTGTATGATGCCATGCTAATCTTTTAATTCACTCAGATTTTCTTTAATGACCTTTAATGTTTGTAATTTATTACAACATCAACTTGCATATGTTTTATGAAACTTGTTACTAGGTAAAATATATATTTCACTGCTATTGTAAATGGTATCCTGCATGTGTGTGTGTGTTTTCAAATAGTGTATTGCTTTTGTATATAAATATACTGAAGTTTTGAATTTAAATTTTGAACTTATTATCTGGGAAACTTGCTAAATTATCTCATCCAATCAAAGGATTCTCTCTTGATACTTTTAAGCTGTTCTTCCTTTCCTATGTCATATCTTTTTTCTTTTTTTAATGTCCCTTATTGCACTGACTGGAATGTTCTGATTGTAAATGGAATGCTTTTACCACTTAAGACAGTTTTTCTAAATGCTTCTCAGGTCAAATAAGTTCTTATCTATTTCTAATTTGCTAACAATTTCATCATAAATTCTGGTTGATTTTTTAAAGATTATTTTCTTCACTAATTGCGATAATCACTTAGATTATTTTCCCCTTTTATTTGTTATATTTACATATCCTCTCACTTTGAAGCAATCTTGCATTCATAAAGTGAATCCAATATGTTGTGGCATTTTACCTTTTTATAAAGCATTACTGTATTTAGTTTGTAATAATTTGTTTATATCTGTATTTATGTTCAATAAATTTTTATTTTATTTTCTTTCAATTACTGACCTTGTCTGGCCTTGGTTTAAACATAAAAGCAAATTAAGATTGAAACACACCTTCTTTTTCCTAGTCTTTGAAGACACTGCAGAAAGCTTAATATTACCTATTCCTTGGATACTTTCTAGAACAACGATCCGAAATTATTTGGATCTGTTATCTTATATGAATATGGGGAAGGTGTAAAGGAAGATTTTAGTCTATTGAATTAATTTCTTTCTTTGAAATAGGCCCATTTGAGTTTTCAAAATTTTTTTGAATTATTTTTGACAATATTTTTCAAGGAATTTGTTTTTTCATTTCAGATTTTTCATGTCCATTTCTACACATTTTTCTTTCTCCTCATTCTTGAACCAGGAAGTTTAAATATTTATTTTTAGTAATTTTTATGTTTAGGTGTGATTATGTTAGTGTTCATAAACTTGGTGAAAATTTTTTGAAGTTTGTCCAAAAGAACATTTTTTAGACATTATTTGCATTCCAAATCACATCTCAAACAATGTGACCTTGAGTTAACAAACCTCAGAGGAAAATGTTTGGTAGGAAATCCTAGTTAGAAACCTACTCAGACACCTACAGACCTACTCAGACACCTATATCCTCTCAGGCTGTATGTCCCCAGCACCAACATCACATCTTAATCCATGGGGTTTTGTGCTTTTTGGTCTTTTATGGCTTCTGAAAAATTTATATATTTTTCCATAAGTCCAGCCACACAGTAAAATATATTTGAAAAATTACCCATTACTGTGCACTTGTCTGAACATCTATCTAGTTTCCCACACGGAAGGTAACAGATTAATAAACATATTTTCTTTAATTCTGATCATTTCATTTACATTTCACCCTTTCTCATTTAATCTAGAATTTTTCATCTATAACTTGGAGAATGGAAGACATAATAGATAATATAGAACAAAAGAAGATGATTATCTGTTTTTGAACCTTCAAGGCTAAGGACCTCGGACAAACAATAGATTAGAAAATTACTTGGGGATCCAGTTTCTTCTACCCAACTCACCTACTCACCTAAAAAGAAATTAGATTCTCAGCTAAGAATAATTTTGAAAGTAATAAATAAAAACTCATATGAGGCTCTGAGAAGAGAGGACTTGTATCTTGCCCATTTACTTTGCTCAACAGTTGATTAGAAGGGGGATGAAACCTTAGACTAGACATTTTCTGGATTCCCCTGGACAGAAACAGGATATCAGTATATCCCATGCAATATGATGTGAGAAAAATGAAATACAAGTGGATATTTGACATATGGATGCATATGAAAATTTTTTCTCTAGACTATGAGACAGTTTTTCTTCTTCTATCCTTTTGAGAGGAAGGTACAAGCACCTGAGATAAAAAGCCAGATTGAAATCCATCTTGTGTTGAAAGAGGAGCATGCAGAGCACACGCTATTATCAAGCAATGTCAGGGATCATGGTGGTACAGAGATTATTCCTCAGAGTCTAACTACTCAGAGCATGAACCCCACCCACATAAGCACCAGCAGCAGCAGCTTTTCCTAGGAGCTTGTTATAAACACAGAATTTCAGGCCCTACCCCAGGTCTATTTAACCTGAACCTGTATTTTAATAAGATCCTACAGAGGATGACAGCAAGAAGCAATGAAAAGAAAAACAAATAGGTGAGACAAAATGCATCCAAAAAGTGACATCAGATGATGTCACGGTACTCAAGACCTCTCTCTGCGTGATTACTGATTGGCATTATATAAGCTCTCCAAGTAACTAAGGGAAGTAGAGAGAAGATTAAATTGTCAGAGACCCTGATATTATGAGTTTATTCTAAGATTAAATGTCTACCTTCAGAAAGATGTGGTTATGAAAGAGACAAAATATCAGAGAAAATTAACAGAAAAAAAAGTCTGTTTTCTAGCATGGGCTGAAATTTGTTCCTGACATTTAAACTTTATTCCTGCAATGAATGTGTCACTTAAATCTTTGAGGGCAGGGATTATTTTATATAATTTCCAAACCCCTCCCAGCACTTTGCCCAGCACATTTCAAAAAGGATGTTCTCAACATATGTTTATAAATAAATAGAAATAAATTGTGCTGTAAATATTTTATTGATAATTCTAGTATATTGTTTGTATTTTATATATAATTTATATATGATAATATATATTTATGTATATATTATCATTTATAAATAAACAAATATAATATACATACCTAATAGTAAATGAAGAGTATAATTTACAAACTTATTCACAATTGTTCCTTACCTTAAATATCTCAGTGTGGTAGTTCAGTCAGGGAGCCAGGCCCAGCGCTGGAGCTGGCCTGCTGGGGAGGGGCGGGAGGTATGCACAGGAAGGCCCACCGAGCCAGCAGCAGCCAGCGGTGGCAGGAGTAAGGAGGAGTACAGGCAAAAAGTGGCGCAGGCAAAAAGCGGCACCTAGGCGAGCACAACGCAGCTGCCGCCCTGGGACCCAGACTGCTGCCTTGCGACGGAGCACAGCAACATTTCATGTGTTCCTTGTATACAAGTGACATCCCAGATTATAATTCTCTGCTAAGATTTCAGTAAAATTTAAGAATTTGAAAGACTCTTTCTGATAATGGCCACTGTTATTATCTCTTACCCCTAATGTGACTCTCTCCAAATCCAATTTAAGTAAAACAGTAACCCCTGAAAGGAGAGAAATTACAGACAACCCATGAATTAATTGAGGAGTAATTAAAAGCTGGCCATATAGAACCATCAAACAGCCCTTGGAATTCACCCATTTTTGTCATTCCCAAAAAGTCTGATAAATAGAGACTTTTGCATGACTTATGTGCTATTGATGCTAATTTGCAACCTATGGGGCCCCTTCAATAGGGGATGCCTCCCCCGCAGCGATTCCTCAAGATTGGCCTATAATTGTTATTGACTTAAAAGACTGTTTTTATACCACTCCCCTAACAGGTCAGGACAGAGACAAATTTGCATTTACAATACTAGATACCAATAATGAAAGGCCAGCTTGCCGATTTCACAGGAAAATGCTTCCTCAAGGGATGCTAAACAGTCCTACCATGTGTCGATATCATGTAAATCAAGCTTTGCTCCCCAGTAAAAAAGAATTTCCTGATTGCAAAAATGTTCACTTTATGGATGATATTCTACTAGCAGCCCCAATGGAGCCAATACTTTTAAGTTTATATACCTCTGTTGTAAAGAATACAGTTAAGAGTTTTAACCATAGCACCTGAAAAAGTACAGATGTCCTCTCCTTGGAAATATCTTAGGTACATACTAACTTCCTGGTCAGTAAGACCTCAAAAGGTTAAATTGAATACTAGCAACCTACAAACCTTAAATGATTATCAGAAATTACTAGGTGATATTAACTGGCTTGGTCCCACCTTGGGCATTCCTACTTATAAGCTGCAAAACGTGTTTTCTATCTTAAAGGGCAATACAACTCTGGATTCTCCCAGGTATTTAACCCCCACAGTACAAAAGGAGATTGAGGAGATAGAACAAGCAATTTCTCAAAGGCAACTAGATCGCATAGATCCGAAATATTCGGTCCAGTTGTTTATTTTTCCCACTAAACACTTCCCTGCAGGGTTATTAGAACAGATGACCCCAGGGCTGTACTTTCTAGAATGGGTTTTTTGCTCTTATACCAGGACTAAAATACTCTCTTCCTATATCAGTTCCTATATCCAGTTAATCAGTAAAGTCATCTATTCAGGCCACAGATGATGCAGTCAGTTCCTAGGTTATGATCCTGATATCATCAAGATTCCTTTAAGTAAAAAGCAATTTGAAGTAGTTTTGCCCTATGGGTAGATTGGCAAATAGCACTCTCCAATTACACAGGTCAAATGGAGGATGTCTTTCCTGCTGATAAAATCCTTCGGTTCTTATCTCATACTCCTATGATTTTACCTACAAAAATAGTTCACTCCCCCATACCTAAAGCTTTAACACTGTTTACTGATGGTTCAGGTAAACATGGAAAAGCGGCTATTTAATAAAGACCACATAATTCCCTCACTTGATCTGGGTTTACTAGCACTCAAAGAGCTGAGGTTGGGGCCTTAATGTAGGCTCTGGAGACCTTTCCCTCTCAGTCCATCAATACTGTTAGTGACTCTGCCTACTCTGTTTATTTGTTGTAGAACCTTGAGACAGCCCTAATTAAGTCGACTCTGGAGCTCACCCTGTGTGATCTTTTTCTCCGACTTCAGCAATTGCTAGATCAATGTACACATCCTATTTTATTACACACATTCGAGCTCACAGCTAACTGTCTGGCCCTTTGGGTTATGGAAATGATCAAGCAGACTTTCAGGTTATGACATCACTGCTTGACCAAGCCAGTCAATTGCATCAATTCTTCCACCAAAGCTGGAGAAACTTACCTAAACAATTTCAACTTACCCAAAGACTGGCTAAACAAATTATCCTGCAATGCCCAGATTGCCAGCTCACAGGCATGTCCCCTCCTCCAACAGGTGTTAACCCTAGAGGACTAGAACCTAATCAGTTATGGCAAACAGATGTTACACACATCCCTGAATTAGGAGAACTTAGATATGTGCATGTATCCGTTGATACCAACACTTATCTACTTAGTGCACATGCTCTTCCTGGAGAGTCCACTCGATATGTCATTAAACATCTTCTTTTAACTTTTGCATTTAAGGGGCAGCCCACAAAGATTAAAACTGAAAATGGTCCAGCTTATGCCAGCTGACAATTTCAACAATTTTGTCACATGTGGAACATCCAACATTCTACAGGCATCCCACACAACCCCCAAGGACAGGCCATAGTAGAACGTGCCCACTCCACTCTTAAAAATATGCTCAAAAAACAAAAAAGAGGGAATATGACTATGGACCCTGCAACACTATTGGCAAAAGCCTTATTTACCCTTAATTTTTTGAATTTAGATAATAAATTTCAATCAGCTGTAGAAAAGCACTTTGCTAAAACCTCTCAAGACATAAAACCTGCAGTTTTATGGAAAGATGTAAACAGTAATGTATGGTGTGGTCCAAATGAATTGTTAAAGTGGGGAAGAGGATATGCTTGTATTCACATACCCTCAGGTCCTCTTTGGGTTCCAGCACGACACATTAAACCATGCCATGGCATGGCTAGGACCCAACCTGGTACCAGAAATGAAGGAAATGACCCTACAGGACCCACAGCCCTGGACGATGCGACTTCCTTGGATGACACAAGCCCTGGACATCACCTAGGGGATGCTGAAGAAGACAACTCAGGAGGCTGAACGAATCCTGCTCCAGACACAGACACCATTCACTCCAGATAATTTGTTCCTTGCTATGCTCTCTATTGAACACTGCAACTTGCATAGGGTATTGATCCTTTTCATGCTCTCGCTTTGTCTGCAACCTGTACTTGCTACACTGTATTGGGCTCATATCTTAGATCTGCCTTTCTTTTGCCCTGTCACTTGGGCAGACACCCCCTTCCTAGCCTTTAATAACATAACTGCTTGGCTAGGAGGGATAGATTTACCACCAGTGGGGTCCCTTATTCATGGCACACATGGGACTAAGGTGTCAGGTAACACTGCATATCACTCTACTATCCTCCCACTGTGTGTAAGTTATAAAAGTTCTAACCCTTACAGTGTACCTGCCCAAACACAATTATGGCTGCATTATGGCAAAGGAAATGCCTTAACAGTTTTAGCTGCTGGTAGCCTCAAACCGGCAGTGCAATCAATGCCACTTTCCCAAACATTCCTTCCTGTGTTAAAGAACAAAGCAGAGAAAGTAATGGATTCCACTTTAGCTGGGAGGTCTGTCGTGGGGGACAAGCCCGTAGCCTTCAGTTAGGCAGTTATAACATCTTAGACTGGAGCCCCCACAGCCATCTGCAGGGCAGCCTTACTGATGTCCTCATCCATCATGGCATCAATCACAGTTTCGTAGCCACATCCCACTTCCCTATGATTTTGGCTGATGGGGGGATGGAATATCCCAGTGCCTGGGACATCTTAGCATCTCCTTTGACACTTAGCATGGGACATACCATAATTCCAGTCACAACTACACTATAACCTTTATTCATAATCACACTGATCAGTGCCTAATTTGCACTACGCATCCATATGTTTTCCTTATGGGAACCGGTATTTCTATTACACCCCAAAACTCTGCATTTGTGACCCGGGTGCAGGGACAGGTTTGGTTCAACTCATGTATCACTAATTACAAATTATCTAATTTAAATATTACTAGTGTCATCATATTAAGGAGACAATCTGAGGCATTCCTACCAGTCATGGTCTGCAGGACGGATCCCACATCTCAGGAGTCTAGTTGAATAGTTTCCTTCAGTCTAGTTGAAAATGCAAGTCCCAGGATAAAGGAGACACTTTACTACCAAAAAAGTAAACTTTTATTTGTATTTGCTAATTATTGAACATCTGTCCTGGTTTACAAGGGAGACATATTAGTATTAATGCCTGGATGATGCTGTCTTTTTCAGGACAAGTATTTTCTTTCTCAAATTTCTTATCGTCTTTTCTTATCCTCATGTGACTTTAAAGAGGAAGATCAGCTTCTATGATTTTGAGATGGCTATTTGTCACACATGTTTTTCTCCTTCACCATATCTCCAGTAACTTTTAATGTTAAAAACTATAGCTGAGATGAGCATTAACCCCTGAGTGTCAAATGCTACTCGTCATCAAGTGAGAAGGGCACATTAGTGATTTCTGATAAAATGCTTGTAATACTAGCTTTAAAGAGAGCCAAGGAAGTTTGTTAAAGTCAGTATCTCCAAGTTTTGGTGTAAGCCCTGTCACAGCTTCCCTGCTTTTTCAGAGGACAGAAAAGTAATTTCTGAATTACTAGCCACTACTCCACCCTCCCTGTGTCATAAATATCTTAAATTTTACTCACCAACATAACTACAAGGTGCAAACACAGACATCTACGTGTTGATTTGTTACACCTTGTAGACAAATCTGTACTCTATTTTATAAAATTTTATATTTTTTAATGTAACCTTTTTACAAAGCAGGGTGAAATATGGCTCTTTAAATCATGACTAGTAAAAGGACATTAAATTATCTGTGCAAATGTATTAGAGCAAGATGATTTATGAACAATTTTGACTCTTCATATATTTATTTCTGTTTATTATTGCTAATAATAACAATTACTATTTGGAGGTGTACTACAAAAACAAACTTATTCATTACATAATCAAAGTTTGAGCCATGGAGAACATTTTTGTGCTTAAGAAGGTTTGTGTTTAAGAGGATTTATTTTGGGGGGAAATGCTTCCATAGTAAAATATTACATCTTTGCCACAAATGTATTGTATTTGCCATATATGTATTGTATTTGCCACAGATGTATTGTAGCAATAATTTAAACTATAAGTTTGCAAAGATCACATACCATTCTCTAAAAATATGACTAAATATCTTTACAAGTATATGCCTTCCAAACATGAAAACTCAATGCAGCAGAAAATGTCCCCCCAAAAATTTAGAATTGCATATGATGTGTCTAAGGGTGAATCTATTAATGCTCATCATATTCCACTCTGCCATCATTTTATAACATAGTGGAACATTATGCATTGTATTATGCCAAATTTGAATTTATTGGATTTTTTTCCAAACATAAGACTAAGACTGTGAATAATGTTTTTCTTGAAAAACTATTCCATTTTTAAAATATTTTAAAATGTGTGTTATCTAAAATACAGAAGGGCTGCTAAATTTTCAATGTATTTTAAACAAGAGGTATTTTCAAAGCCAAGTAAAAGCTTGTTGAACCCATGATAGCTTTCTTCTCTTGCTGAAAAGACCATAAGTGACTATGATTAAGTTCCCTGAATGTAAGGAAAAAGTTAATTTTACAATCCTACACTGAAAAAAAGTGTCCACTTATATCATTAAGCTTTACTCTTTATGCCTATGTAATTAAAAATAATACAAAAATAAGAGCTTATCATATTGACCTATGTGAAAGTTTTAATAATTCTTAAATTAGCTATTTCAACATTTATAGCAAAATGGAACAATGCATTTAAATTAATGTGTATCAATTTTAATCAAGAATTTAAGAATATGATATAGTACACAAAAATCTTTACTAAGAAGTTTATAATACTAAAGATTCTTAAGACAATAGAATAAAAAATGCTTTAGAGAAAAATCAAGTAATCTTCCAGTATCTCCATGGATTAGATGTAAAGCATTCCAGGAAATTCTGTTTAGCTCTCTTACTTTTAAATATCTCTTGGCAAGGAGATTTCATAAATGTCTTTAATATTATATAGTCTTTACTTAGCTTTTGGGTTTGATACCTAGGATATCTAACTCTAATATGATTCCTAACTATCCTACAGGTATTCTTCTACAGCTTTTGATGTGTTACTCCACATAATTGAATAAAAATCTCTATGTGTGAAGTGACTAAATAACAGATGATATCATAGGATTTCGCAACAGAAGATTCTTTGGCTGGTAATAATTGTAGATCTGGTATATTTTTAAAGAATATTACCTTCTTGTGGAAATAAATCATCTTTTGACCATGTCACTGAGTAACTGGTGATTAAGTACTTTCTACTCATTGTTCTCCATAGTTCAAACTTTCATTATGTAATGAATAAGTATTAAGACTTTACATTGAAATGTGCCTAGATTTGAACCTAATTTCTATTTAACAGTTTAACTGAGCTTGGTTTCAATACATATAAAATGGGGACAATTATTCTTATCTCCCATGACTCCTATAAGTGTTAAATATGTTAATCTTAGTAAAAGTGCCCTGCATATTATTGATATACAAAAAATACTCTGAACATTTTTCTTCCTTCTTGATCTGTTAGGAGTGGAGTTGAGGCCATCTTATCAAAATCAAACTCTCTCCTAAGCTAGAATTATTTACATTTCAAAGAAAAATGACATCAATTCAATTGCCTACCTCTTCCTTGCAGGCCCCTCAGAGTTTGATTGTTAGTCTGCACACTATCTGCCTTAAGCCCACATACACATATTTTAAGTAGTCTCAGTGCTTTGTAGAATACACCTCAGGAATCACATCCTGCTGTCATTGTCAATTGTGAAATGTCTCTGTGAGTGCCCTGATAGGACAGGGAAAGTGTATCCACACATTCACTCCCTTGAGGGAAATTCTCAGTTGTAAATTTCCTTGTGCTCAGATTTGTCTCATCAATATATATAGATCTTTTGCCCTCAGACATCTGGACACTGCAGGATGGCTATGAAGAACAGTTTAATGTGAAATATAGCAAAAGTATTTTGACATAGCTTTTTCCTTTCCAAGTGAACCTCCTGATGAAGAAGAAAAGAGACTTAAGAGTGAGGAATTCTTCTAGCAACCAACTCTATTAGTTCAGCTGGCCTAGAATATGTCTGAGAATAAACAAGACATTTTAAAAGCATATGGGCCAGGCTTGGTGGCTTATGCCTGTAATCCCAGCACTTTGGGAGGCAGAGGTAGGCAGATCACGAGGTCATGAGTTCGAGACCAGTATGGCCAATATGGTGAAACCCTGTCTCTATTAAAAATACAAAAATTAGCCAGGCGTGGTGGCATGCACCTGTAGTGCCAGCTACTTGGGAAGCTGAGGCAAGAGAATCACTTGAACCCAGGAGGCAGAGGTTGCAGTGAGCCGAGATTGCGCCACTGACTCCAGCCTGGGTGAGGCAGTGAAACTCCATCTCAAAAAGAAAAAAAAAAAAAGGATATTGAATATTTATTGCTTTTTATTTGGATTTTGAAAAATAAAGCTGTCTTTGATTATATTTTACTTTACTGTGGTGTGAACTGTTTTTGAAGGCAGCTTTCAGTCTTATTCACCTTTGTGTCACTGGAGGCTAGGACAGTGCATGGCACATAAAAGCATTCAAAAGGTCTCTGTTGGATAAGTAAACAAATAATTGAAGTGCAGAACTGAGGTAGGAGGCAGGGCTCAACTCTGAATGCAGGGCTCAGACACCAGGCCAAGTAAGTGAGGACTAGCTAAAACAGGGTTGTGGGTGGTGGAAACAGCTTTCCATAAGGCACACTCACCAGTTTGCCATGTCAGTTTACCATTGCCATGGCAACACCTTGAAGTTACCTCCCCTTTCGATGGTAACAACCTAGTATTTACTACCCTTTTCCTAGAAATTTCTGCAGAACCTGCCCCTTAATTTGCATGTAATTAAAACTGAGTATAAATATGACAGCAGAACTGCTTTTCAGCTTTGGACACCCTACCTAAGGGGTAACTCTACTCTGTAAGGAGCAGTACCTCTGCTGCTGCTGCACACTGCTGCTTCAATAAAAGTTGCTGTTTAACATCACCGGCTAACTATTGAATCCTTTGCTCAGTGAAGTCAAGAACCCTCCAGGGCTAAGCCCCAGTTTTGAGATTTGTCTTCCCTGCATCGGAACTTATAAGAATATCAAACAAATTCATTTATTGATGTCTTTATTTCTCATCCAACTGTATAATTAAAAGTAATCTACCACCTTGAATCACCTTTTTAATTTTCTTTCAGTTTGTCCAAGTTGAAATTAATATCTCCCCATTGTTCCCACAGCCTGCCTTTTCCTACTAACCAAAATTAGAAAATAATGGCACCTGTTATTGATCTGCATATTTTATCTCTATATACAGCCATTTCCATTTAATTGTACATTTATTTTTACTCTTTGGCTAATACTGTTTTACATATTAATTGAGGAATGTAGGCTTCTTTATGAAGACAGTAACTCTATTTTCTATAACATAATATGTAAGACTTTTCTTTTGACAGAGACAAATTAGTTCCATTCATGGTGACAATGAGTATCAACTATTTCAAAGCACTCTTCTGAATATTTCAGTAGATTAAAATGTAAAGAATGTATAAAAGCTGCTCTTAAGTAACAACAGTTTCATAGAAGTTATAAGAAGCATACATTAGTATATAAATATTCTTGGTGTTGAGATTTGAAGTGACAGAAATCTGAAAATCAGAGGAGATAGTCTAAGCAGAGAAAAGAGGCATTTACAAAGATTCATATTTACGATGCCACATAATAAGTTCAGCAAACTATGATTAACATAGTTTGCCCAAAGAATAAAATGTACACGTTTCAGTAGCTTGAGAATTTGACACACCAAGAGACTGCAAATATTAGCATTAGGTAAGTTATACTTTAACCTTTTGTGTTCATGTCCCAGTCAATAAGTGAAAATCAAACTTCAGTCATTAAAGCTAAGATCAAGATACATAAGAAGAAATCCTGCTAAAATTACTTTCCACCTCCTACTCCTCATTTGTAGGTACTGCGATTTCTCAGTTTAATGTTTTGTTAGCAAATGAATAAAGTTGTCAAAGGGGGATTATGCAATTAATGACACATAAAAAATAAAGCCACACATTTGCATTTTTTACAAATTATCATCTCAAGCATTGGCTGCAGTTGGTAAACACCTCAACATTTTATTTTTTATCTAAGGAATGATATTGACAATGAAATGTAAGTGATGCTGGGGGAGCTCAGCATGACTGGCTCCAATTTTGGATAGAGGTAGGCCAAAGGGACAGATTAATATCAGTTTATATATGAGAAAGGAGGTAATTTTTGAAGAGTTGGAAAATGTTACTCAACTTCAGTGTAATTGGCAGAAAATTGCTACAGGCTTATAGTATTTGCATGAGATTTAGCTTTTTAGAACAAGAAGCATATTGGAAGAGGTGAGCAAATTAGAGGACAAATGAGGTCATTCTACTGTGACTGAGACAATAAAATGAATAGAAGGCAAATGCACCGTGTGATACATTTTCTCTCACACAGACAGCTCCCCAAAGAGCTCATTGATTTAAAAGAGGTGAAACCAAGTAAAAATGTAGAGCTACAATGGCCATGATAGCTGTGGCAGAATATCCTTTATTATCGTGTTTCTTGTAGTTAATCCTCCAATGCATAGCATGAGCTATGTTGCTTATTTAGCCTACTAATTTTCAGTTACTGTATGCAGCTGTATTACAGGAAGAATCCAGATTAAGCAGTAAGGTCATTTCCTAGCTTCAGCTTAGTGAAAGTGTACATGATCAATTACCTTCTGTAATTTAGAGCAGCCAATGTCCCAGGCTGTTTTATTTTATTCTAGAAAGAAAAAGAAGTGATGTGTCACTGGAATAGGCTGCACAAAACAGGTGGAACAAAATAATGTTAGCAATGAATGGGAAATAAAAAGCATAAATTGGTATTTTACATTTTATGATCATACTCTTTCACATAAAAATAGGCCCCGGTATTATTATGATCATTTATTATCAAGACCTTTAGAGAACATCTTCTATGTGCTATACAATTTGTTAGACTTTAGGATGCAAAAATAAACAAGATATAATTTATGCCTGAGGGAAGTCTACTGAATAATGAGAGAGAGAGAACATGATGCTATATGTGCTATGCAATATTAAATGTAAATAAAACAAGCTTTAAAGACAAGTCTTGGTTAAATTTTGACTCTGTCATTTTCTATCTTAAAGAACTTGAGCAAGTTGCTTAGGCTTTCTGGGACATTTTCATCTATACAGTGTGAATAAATAGTATAACTGGTGAAGAGGCCTATTTTGAGAAGACAATGAGATTGAAGATCTGGATGGGTCTCTAGGGAGGACCTGAAGGTAAATACACTGACTTAGAAGATACAGGTACATAAACAGTAAAAAAAAAAAAAAAAAAAGTACGTAGGAGAACACTATAATTAGAAGAGACGAAAATGAAGAATACAGCCAGCTCTGGATAACACCAACATGTGTGGAGTGGGTGAAACAGAAGAAGCCAGTACAGAATAGCTAAGAGAGGGTTAGGTGTAGTGGCTCACACCTGTAAAATCCCAGCACTTTGGGAGGCCAAGACTGGCCAATCACTTAAGCTCAGGAGTTCAAGACAAGCCTGGGCAACATGGTGAAATCCTTTCTCTAAAAAAAATACAAAAATTATCTTGGTGTGGTGGTGTGTGCCTGTGGTCACAGGTATTCAGGTGGCTGAAGCCAGGAGGATCGCTTGAGCCTGGGAGGTCAAGACTGCAGTGAGCTGAGACAGTGCCACTGCACTCCAGCCTGGGTGACAGAGTGAAACCCCATCTCAAAAAGTAATAATAATAAATAAAATGAAACAAAATGGTGAAATCCTTTCTCTAAAAAAAAAATACAAAAATTAGCTGGTTGTGGTGATGCAAGAGAAATCAAGGGAGAATCATTATGTATTACAGGAACAGAAGCTAAAGGAGAATCGATGGCTTTGACTTAAAGGCCAGATCAGTGAGAAGAAACGCTTGATGCCCAATTTCACTGCTATTTATTATTAAAGATGACTATTCAGATGTAACATGGGATAACAGAATGAGCACTGGATTAGGAATCAAGAGTTACTACTCCCTGTTTCACTTGAAACTTATCTCATTCTTAATTTCTCTCATTCTTAATTTTTTAACTTCTCTCATTCTTAATTTCTTTACGTATAACCATGGGATGACAACCATTTCTATAATCAGGCTTAACAGGAAAAATGTCAGATAAAATATGTAAATATGTTCCATAAGTGGTAAAAGACTATAGATTCAAAATATTAATGATATTAAAAATACAGTATAAACAGTAAAATAAAATGTGGCATGTTCCAAAATATTTTTTAAAGAAGTTCATTTTTAGTTCATAACTGAGGACCAACACTATCTGTTGTTTTAGTTTAGGTTATTTTTTCAATTTCCTCTTCTCCACTTGACCCTAAGATAAGACTTCCACTCATGCATGCTCTTTGAACACTGCTGATGCCACTATATTATGAGCAATCAATAAGCCAGTTGCCTTGAAGAGGCAATCTAAAACTAATTTCAGAATTCTTAAAAGATAATTCAATATGTTTGAATCTAAAACAGAGCTATTTGAACCAAATAAAAAAATATGTTATTGTTACACAGAATAAAAGGGAATTTTTAAGTTCCAAAACATCCATTAGGAATTTCAGAGGAATTAAATCAAACAAAAATTACTTATGGGAAATTGACATGTAAATAACATTCAAGTCATTCCATTCAAAAATGTCATCATCTGCCTCATGCGTTATTTCAATTTCCTCTTTATTTCTTAATAAAGTTTAGAAGTTTCTTCACTGGAGTTTTGTTCTGTTCACGAAAGGAGTCTTATTTCCATAAGAGTTCCAAATGGATTACTATTGGTATATATAAGCTATTAATTGTTCTGTATTCATCTGGGAAACAAACATCTTAGTGAACTCTTTTGTTACTTTAAATAGATTTTCATTTTATTCCCTTAAGTTTTCTGTTTAGGCCATCAGAAAGTCTTCAAATAAAGATAACTGGTTTTTGGTTATGAAAGGTTTTAATTCTTAATATTTATTGTCTATGCATTAAAGAAAATTTTATGACAATATGAAATAATTGTAATAAGGTAGTTATCTTCTAATTTTCTTAACTTGTATTTATAAAAGAATCAAGATGTACCACTTTCTGAAGTTGAATGTATTAAGGATCTGCCTTAAATGAATAAAGCCATATATAAGATTAATTAAACCTAAATAATAATTTGAAAGTGGAATTAAACAAGTGCTATGATTTGAATGTTTGTTTCCTCCAAAACTCATGTTGAAATTTTATTGCCATTGTGATGGTATTGGGAGGTGGGGCCTTTAAGAGGTATTTGAGTCATGATGGCTCCATCTTCAGGAATGAACCAATGCCTTTATCCTGGAAGGGGGTTCTCCCTTTCTTGCTCTCTATCTCACTCTCTTTGTTCCCATCCACCATAGAATGATGCAGCAAGAAGGCCCTTGCAAGATACTGGCCTGTTAATCTTAGACTCCCCAGTCTCTGGAACCATGAGCCAAACAATTTGTTTATTATAAATTATTCAATCTGTGGTATCCTCTTATAGTAACACAAAACAAAGACAATGTGCAAGTTTTGATGAAGAATATTTAATAGTGTTTTCCAAATTGTAGGATTAATATAAAAATCATTTTATAGCTAGGTTGTAAGGATAACAGTTGACTGAAGTGATATATAAATGTATAGCTTTCTGATGTTACAGTCTGAGCTTAAGCACAGCGTTATGTCATGCCTTAAGTCTCACCGATACCTGGTTTAGATGAGACTTTGGACTTTTGAGTTGATGCTGGAATGAATTCTTAAGCGGCTATTGGGATGGAATAAATAATATTATTTGTGAGAAGGAGAGGAGGTTTTGGAGCAGTGAGTAGAATGTTGTTGTTGAATGTCTGTCCCTTCTAAAACTCATGTTGAAATGTAATTGCCATTGTGATGTCACTGGGCTGACACAGCAGCTTCTTTTGCTGTGTTGTGCTATTGCCCTCATCTATAAGGTTCCAGATGACTTGCTGTTGTGTCCAGTTTCCAAGCCACAAAATGAAAAACTGAAGGGACAGGAGGAGCACAACCCTTTCCTTAAGGGCTTGCCCTGGCATGTAAATTTACCATTTTATTCATCTCTGATTGACAGAACTTAGTTCCATGGCTGCACTGGCTGCAAAAGGGCTGTGGAATGTATTACTTAGCTAGTCAGACAAGTTCCCAGCTTAATATTCCATTACAATATATAAGAAGGGCAAAACAGGTACTGGGACTCAAGGAAGATAGCTACCAGTATTTGCTAAAATCTTACAGTATTTTGACATATTCACGAGTGCTGATTTTTTTCCTACATTTTCTTGAAACATCTGCTCTCTTCTATGGTCTGAATGTTTTTGTGCCTCTCAAATTCATAGTGAAACCTGACCCTCATTGTGACAGTATTAGAAGGTGGGGCCTTGAGGAAGTCATTAGGTCATTAGGGCTCTGCCCTCATGAATGGAATTAGTGCCATTACACAAGACACTCCTGAGATCTAACTAGTCCCTTTCGCCATGTAAAGACATAGTGAGAAGGTGCCATCTATGAAACAGATAACCCTCATCGACACTGAATCTCCTGGAGTCTTGACTTGGATTTTCTAGTCTCTATAACTCTTAGAAATAATTTTCTCTTGTTTATAAGTACCCAGTTCATGATATTTTTGTTATAGCAGCTTGAATATACTAAGATATTCTCCATGAGCTTCATCTTCAATTTAGTCTGTGGTGGCCATTGTCTCAGAGAAAAGATAACAGTGCCCGAAGTAGGAGGAAATGCATGAGTATGGTTTTTTGAGTTTCAAACACTGAAAGATTCATTGCATTAAGCTTTTTCCTTAAACAATATGTGTAGTGCATATAAATATTTATCAGATTGTGGAGGAGGTAGGAGTTAAAGTGATGTGAAAGAGAAAATAATACACACCCTATTTGTGGAAGGGAGATAGAGAAGAGGAAGCAGACTGACAGCATTTCACATGTCAGCATGTTACTCCTTGGTCCTAAAGAAGCTATCAGATTCTATAGCTGTTTCAAATAATCTCTGGCATAGCACAGAACTATTACAGGTTCTGAAAAATATAATTACATCCACTATCAAATCTTCAACTTTACATTGTCAAAAAAGCCAACTTCCCTCACCCCAGCTTCCATTTAATTTAGTTCTGGACTCTGCAATTTGGTAAACCAAGTGTGTTTTGTTTCTTTTTTTCCACCTTTCTCTTTAGTAACTTGAAGATATGAAAATTCTCATTTACCAGAAAGAGAAAACACAACCACAACCAAAACTTGACAAGTTGCCTGCAAAATGTGTGATAATAGCAGAGAGTAACACTATTGAGGTTTAAAAGAAAACCAAGAATTGGAACAGTTGCCCAGTGCATGTTAATATGCTGTTCTTTTTGCCATAGCTAATTTCTTATTTATGACAAAATCTGTATTGCTTTAGGCAGTTACTTAAAATCGCATTATAGTGATTACTAGGAAGTTTTAGAAACTAAATATAAAGAGTATTAACAATAAATATTGATTGCAGCTGTAAATGAATGTGTGTGAATTTCATTGCCATTTAAGAAAAGAGAGAGATTATATGCTCCAAGAGGTTGGGTGGAAATTATACAGGTGTTAAGTTTTTCATCTGATTTTTGACTGGACTCATGTTGCATCATTTGTTTATCATTGGTCATCTAGTTCTAACTCAAAGTTTAATAAGCATCTAAGGATTAGTCGATTTTTACTCATCTTTTGTTAAATGAGATGAATTTTGCTACTATATTTGTTCCTTCACACTGTGATTTAAAACACTTTTGCTGTATGAATTATTGAATGTTAAAAGATCGGTCACACAAACACAGCATGTTCAAATGACTGCATTAGAAAATATAATATTCTATCTTTTTGATAAGTCTTTTAAATACTATAATGCATTTTTAATTGTGTAATTTATATTTTTATGATTTATTGATTTATTCAAGTTTGGTCAGGTATTAAGAAAAATACTTTGTAAAGAAAAGTATTTAATCCTAAGGAATACCAGTGAGTTCATCATATCTTTCTATTAGTAGTATATTGTATTTCACATCTCCAGTAATGGCACCTCTTCTGTTCACTTTTGTTTCATGCATTTTAAGCTCAGTTATGTCTCTTTCTTCCCTTAACATCCTACTCCCCCATAAGTACCTATACCAGTGTATTTAATATATATCCTTATCTATGAATTTGTCCTATAGTATATGCAGTTTTTGTGGGAAGAGGAAGTATGGTTTCAAATTTACATAAATGTTAATGTTTTCCAAATCTGTTTCTGTTACCTACCTTTATCATTCATCAACATTTTTGAGATTTCTATTGTTCTACAAATAATTAAATTTTTGTTTCCTACTGCAGCTAAGTGTTCAATACTACAGATTTTCAGCACTTTACTGATCCATTACTATAATGATTGATACCCAGGGTCACCCTCAATTCCCAGCCAATATAAATAAGGCTTTAGTGAACATCCTTTCACATGCCACCTTACAGACCTATGTGAAAACATTTCTAAGCTAAATACCCAGGAATGAAATACAGGGCCTTAGAGGATGCAAATACATGGTTTTATTAAATTCAGTCAGGTTGGTCCAGTACAGCCTCACTAATGTACATTTCCCAGTTCAGAGCTCCCATCTATCAACACCTCCAAGAGTAATTATCATTATCCATCTTTCCAATACTTGTCACATTATGAAGTAACTTCTCCTATTGTTTAACTTATTTAATTTGTACTTCTCTAATGAGTTAAAGCAATTCTTTATATACTTGTCAGCCATTCAGGCTTCCTTTTTCGTTTTTCTCTTGGATCTTCATTCTTTTTGGTGATGTGTAAGGTATTTTTTTGTAGTCTACATATTAGTAACTTGTTAGTTTTAAACATTGCAAAAGTCCTTTCTTCATGTCATAACCTGCCAAATTTATCTGTGGAATTTTTGTTCAATATATATTGTTATTTTTGATGTAGCCAAACCCATCATTTTTAAGCCTTAGAAAGTTTACAGCTTTAAAATCTTAAAAAATTTCCCCCAACCTTCAGTCTGCAGGATTATGTTCCTACATTTAAGAGAAGAAACTTCACAAAGAGTCTAAGGTAATCACGTAGGAGTTTACATCTGTTTTCAGATTCCATTTATTTACCCAGTATAAAAAAGTTCACAATAATATTTGTGAATATAATTATATTAAATATATTTTTAAAAATCATGCACTTAACCAGGTAATACAAAATAATTCAATGAGAATAACCATTAAAATATATGAATAAAATTTTCTTTTTTTTTTTTTTTTTTTTTGAGGCGGAGTCTCACTCTGTTGCCAGGCTGGAGTGAAGTGGTTCAATCTCGGCTCAGGGCAACCTCCACTTCCAGGGTTCAAGAAATTCTCCTGCCTCAGCCTCCCAAGTAGCTGGGACTACAGATGAGCACCACCATGCCCAGCTAATTTTTTTGCATTTTTAGTACAGACAGGGTTTCACCATGTTGGCCAGGATGGTCTCAATCTCCTGACTTCGTGATCCACCCACCTAGCCCTCCCAAAGTGCTGGGTTTACAGGCGTGAGCCACCATGCCCAACCAAGACAAAGATTTTCTTTAGGTATCAATGGTAGTTATGAAAAGAAAGTGACTAGAAGAGACCAACAAATGCAAAGCAGTATCTTTAGATGCTTGAATGTGTTCAAATTATGTCCTCTCACTTCAAAATTAACCTGAAACCTAAAAGGATGATTGGAATACAAGCAAACAGTGTGAGGGATATTGCAGAGCCTTTGTAAAAGCAAGTTGAAGAAACAGTAGATGTTCATTTGCACAGAGATAATCATATTCTCACTCCTTACCAATTGTCACAATTTCTTCTCTCCATTAGAATATTGGGTACGTACTTACTCAATAAGTATGCAAAACTACTAACAACATTTAGTGGTGGTCATTTTCCTAGCTATCCATCATTGACTTTCTATCTATTGGTCCAAATTGAGTTCATATTATTTAGAGTAGGGGTCCCCAACCCCTGGGCCATGGACCAGTACCAGTCTGTGGCCTGTTAGGAACCTGGCCGCACAGCAGGAGGTGAGCAGCAGGCTAGGAAGCATTACTGCCTAAGCTCCACCTCCTGTCAGATCAGCAGCAGCATTAGATTCTCTTAGAAGTGCGAACCCTACTGTGAACTGTGCATGGAAGGGATCTAAGTTTCATGCTTCTTATGAGAATCTAATGCCTGATGATGTGTGGTGGGACAGGTTCATCCCAAAACTAAAACTGTCTTCCCCCTGCCATCCATGGAAAAATTGTTTTCCACAAAACCGCTCCCTGGTGCCAAAAAGGTGGGGGACCGCTGATTTAGAGCTTCTAAAATTATTCCTATTTTTTTTTCTTATTCTCATTTCCAACACTCTGCTTGGATGAGCTCCACACCCGTAACTGTCAACAACCACCCATGCATAATCTCCCATTGCCTAAAATCTCTCAGAACAATATATCCAGCATAGGTGCTATTTCCCTTGAAGAACCTCTTTGAATCTCTCTCTTTTGCTCTCCCTCTGGCTCTTTCTCTCTAACACTATATCTCTCTCTCTTCCTTTCCTTTTTTGACCCCCAAAACAATCTCATCCCTATCTGATTGCAGATCCCCTTATAACCCATAACTTACTTCCATAAAAATATTTATAAAAATGAATTGTAAAGATTTTTCTCTCAGAACCTAGATATGAAAAATATTACACAAGTACTACACTTAGTTTGATGGTTGATATGTTTTTTTGTCAGTTGGGGGATGCAGATGGGAAGCAATATGAAGAGATAGAGAGAAATACAAGAAAATTCCATATTTTCACATCTTTGTGTGACTGTGTTTAGCCTGAAGAATAATTTAACTCCAAATTTATTATAAAATGTTATAAAATAACATTTTATTAAAAAGTGCTATTTTGAGACTATATCATTTCAAAAACAAATTTTTACCATAAGCCTTTAGTAACTCAAGATTCTTTTAATTTAATTATCTTAATGTATGTTGTTCAAATTTTGAAAGAAAATTAAAACAGAAAAAAAAGAAAGTGGGCCCCAAACGACAATGCTGCATTTCTTGATACTTTTCTCAATTTTTCTTGCATGATAGTGATTAATGATCCCTGACTTTGGCTGTCTCTTATCAAGTTCCTTCAGGTTCTGATTTAGAAAGTGAAGCTTAACCTTTCTACTCTTGATCAAGGATATGGAGAGCCTTCTGGATAATGACAGACTACAAATGAGAGCTCCTTAAACTGGAAAGAAAAAAGCTGAGAAATAAGATAACGACTTTTAAAATAATGAAGTTTATGGATGGGGTAGACATAAACTTATTCCCAAATTTTAGTCTACTAACATCAGGAGAATTCACTGAGATTTACTTAAAAATAACAATAAAACTGTTAAATTGCAAGTCTTCTATTTATACAGAGCAGTAACAAGTAGTTCATGCACGTAAATAAATTTAAGGAATTTTAGATATATTCATAGAGGATAAATTTAGACTTATTCATAGATGATAAATCTGGATTTAATTAACAAAGTAAGGTAAGAATATTTAGAAATCTATGTCTAAATATAGAGATAAGTAAATTGGGAAAATTTCCACTTCATCTATTCACAAAATATCTGGCTATATAGAACATTTTATTAATCACAGCAAGCATGTTACCCTTTATAAAAATTGTATCTTTGTGCTCTGGATGTTAGATGTGAGGTCTAGAGGTCTGGATATGATAGATTTTTTTCCACCTTGCCCTCACATATCCTTGGCAGAACTCTACACGCTCCTGGAAAGTGTTCCTCCCTGTCCCCAGTAATCCCCTCCCCAACCCCACTCACAACACTCACTGAGTCACCACCATCATTTGTACTACAACCACCAGCGTTAGTCTTCTTAGGCTCTTATCAAAAATAAAAACAAAAAACCCAAGATCCTCAGATCCTATTTAAAAAGTAAAAGACAAGCTGAGCATGGTGGCTCATGCCTGTAATCCCAGTACTTTGAGAGGCCAAGGCGGGCGGATCACTTGAGGTCAGGAGTTCGAGACCAGCCTGGCCAACACAGTGAAAGACCATCTCTACTAAAAATACAAAAAATTGCATGGGCGTGCTGGCCCGCAACTGCAATCCCAATTACTCAGGAGGCTAAGACAGGAAAATCGTTTAAACCCGGGAGGCAGAGGCTGCAGTGAGCCGAGGTCACGCTATGCACTCCAGCCTGGGCAACACAGCAAGACTCCATCTTAAATAAATAAATAAATAAACAATAAAAAGACAATAATACAAGAGTTATTAAGAAATAATTTTTAGGCAGCTAGAAAGGGTGAAAGTTCTCGGTGGAATTTTCCTTTCATAAAAAGCAGCTCAAAACCATTTCCTGTCTAAACAGAAAGCAGCCTGAGAAGTCAGGCATAGACATGCAAAGTAGGAGCTTTTATATGTAAATACTGGCAGCTGTACCTAGAAGCCAGGTACATTCAATATGCCATCTCCTGCCCTCTTTTCCTTACAGGTATCATGGCAGCCTCCAGGTAAAACAACCTGTGCAGGCATTATGGCTGCTGCCAGGTGGAGGCCGTATTTGCATAATAAAAGACTAGGGTGGGAGGGCCAGTCTTTTCCAGGGCTAGGTAAATAGCACACCTGGTCAACCCCTGAGCCCTATGTAAATCAGTCACCACCTCTTCAAGCCTCTGTACAAAACCAATCGTGTTCCCTGGCAAATTGGAGACCCTGTTTTGGGCCACCTGCTTTCGCAGCATCAGGAAGCTTTTTCTCTATCTTTTCTTTTTCTATTAAACTTTCCACTCCTAAACTCACTCCTCATGTGTGTCCCTGTCCTGAATTCTTTCTCGACTGAGACCAAGAGCCAGTGTTTATACTCCAGAAAATTGAGCCCTTTCAGCAATGCTGAGTTTACTTACTTGTCAATCAAGTGAACACACATTAGAAGAAGAAAGGCATTGAGTAGGATAATGAGGGGGAAAGGGTGAGCTTTTTAAGTGCTAGAAAGGTGAGGAGTCTGTGGTGGCTGTGCTTGTTAAGGAATAAAAACTAACCTCTATCAGACAAACCAGCCTACACATCTACACACAGCTGGGCTCAACAACATCTATTTGTTATTTGTCATGAAAAAGCCTCCAGTTAGGGCCACTAAATTTCTGACAAACTTGAAATAACTCAATTCTCTGGTCCTTTAATAACTTTATTTGTTTAGAACCAAGTAACCAAGTATGGAAAAACACAACATTCCATTTGATACCTCCTAAGCAAGGAATACACTGGTCTCCGGAATGAACCTGAAAATCCAGGTTACCCTGATTACCTGGCCTCTAATCTCCTAATCTGATCTCATCTAGCATATCCCCTCAACTCCCAAGACCCTCAGGAAATTATTGTCAATTCTTATCCAAATCTCCTATTCCCTGCAGGTTTTTGTTCATCTGTTTGGAAAGTCCCTCTCTCTTTCTTGTTCAAACTAAAACCTAACTCTGCCCTGATGACTCTGCATCACTCCAGACCCATGAGGAGGTAGCTATCTTTTTCTTAAACAACCTCAGAACATTGGGCTTCAAAGTGTCCTCTATGCTCACATTGCCTCTTCTAGTCCATTCTCCTCGTCCTCCAAAAAACAGCAACAACAACAACAACAACAACAACAGAACCCGCTTTGAATCACATGTCAATAGGCCATGTGATAGATTGAGTGGTCTACCCCCATACTGGCACTGGGTTTGTCCCAGTCATTTGCTTTGCTAATGAAGTAATTACAAACATTATGCAAGTAGGCATTTGCAAATTGCTGACACTTGGGGCTTGCTCTATCTTTGTTTATGGGAATTTTACAACCACTAGAATGTGTAAGAGCCCAGGCAATTATGTTGTTTAACCACAGGCCCTTGGTAAAGTTATCTCATTGCCCACACAGGCCCCCATCAAACTTCTAGATATTTCAGTGAGTTCATCTTCCCCACCTCTAGCCAAATTAATCCAGAGCAAAAAAAAGAATTTCCTAGCTAATCCATAGAATAATGAGACCTAGTAACTGTTTATTGTCTTAAATCTCTAATCATAGAGTGGATTCTTTCATATTGCAAAAGCTAACTAATAAAGATTACATCACCCAATTCTCCTGCTAGACTGTAAACCCTATGAGGACAAAGATAAAATTTTTCTCTCCACTGCTGTAGCTCCATGTCTAGAAAATTTTAGATATTCAACAATGTATTCTTCAATAAATAAAAAGGTTAAATATATTCTTAGATCAATATTGCCCCAAATTAAGTATTCAAATAAAATTAAATATTTACTTTATGGTTCACAGTTCCTAAAAATTAGAATACGTAAATTTCCTAGACAATAATTTTGCTAAAGCTACAGTAAACTTAAATTTTTTCCAACCCTCTCTATTGCAAAATTAAAGTGGTAATGTGATAATGATAACATGGTAATGGTAAATTATAATGATTATAATATTAACATCACATAATTGCTATTATTTATTGAAAATCCCTTGAATCCTCATATTATGTCATCCAATCTTCAAGTGAAACTTCTAAGATAGACAATATTATTATCTCTGTTTTATTGAGGAAAAAACCTGAGCCTTCACAATATTAGCCATTAATCCAAAGTCCCACAGTTAGCAAGTGATCAATTATATATTCAAAACCAGAAATTTCTTATTCCAAGGCATTAGTTATATTCTCTCTCTGAGTGAATCTTATTTATATCCCTGTTCTTAAAATAGTTTTTGAGATAGAAGCAAACTTAGAATAGATCTGATTCCATTTCTCTATTTAGTAGGTGAGGAAACAGAGAGCAATGAGGTCAACTAATGTGTCCAAAAGGACATACAGGATCATTTATTCAATAAATGTGCCATGAATTTAGAGACTAGTAGCAAGTAGGTAACAAATGGAAAGAGAAAAGATGTTTTCATTTATTAAGATTCTACCATGTGCTGAGCACTGGATAGGTGTAGTCATGTGTATAACTTGGTTCATTCCTCACAGGATGTCAGTTAGGTAAGTTCATCATTTCTACTGATGAGGAATCTGGAATTCAGAAGTGACCAGAAGCAAAATAATATGTATGAAATTCAAACGTACTTCTGTCTGAATTCAAATAGCATGCTTTGTCAGTAAATATGCATCAGTTTGGAATTATATTATTTTTTCTGTATTTTTTAGTAGTGTCTTAGGAAGAAAGGCAATTTATCTGAAAAACAATATTCTATTAAAAAGAAATCTCTGTGTAAGAAAATTAGGATCTTCTAATATTTTGCTAGTTAAACTAGTGAACAAGAGGAATAGGGGTTAAGGCAAAAGCCAGGTCAGAGAAGGAAACATGTTGTTTTAAAAAAATTATTCAAAAATATGTTTCTGAAATAGAGCATATGTCAGCTGTGTGCCACACACATACTCTATTTCAGAAACATACACATAAATACACAAACATATACATAAATATATAGAATATATAATAGTGTGTGAGTATATACATATATACTATTAAAACAGAATTCATTAGGATTTCACAATAGGTTTTCCACAAATGTCATTTTTTGTTGTTGTTGTTTTTGTTGTTTGTTTGTTTGTTTGTTTTTGTTTTTGAGATGGAGTCTCATTCTGTAGCCC
Source organism: Homo sapiens (assembly GCF_000001405.40). Classification (NCBI taxonomy): domain Eukaryota; kingdom Metazoa; phylum Chordata; class Mammalia; order Primates; family Hominidae; genus Homo; species Homo sapiens. Next base: position 88,589,163 of record NC_000008.11, on the reverse strand, counting down.
AGGCTGGAGTGCTGTGGCGCAATCTAGGCTCACTGCAAGCTCCGCCTCCCGGGTTCACGCCATTCTCCTGCCTCAGCCTCCCGAGTAGCTGGGACTAGAGGCGCGCGCCACCATGCCCAGATAATTTTTCATATTTTTCAGTAGAGACGGGGTTTCACTGTGTTAGCCAGGATGGTCTCGATCTCCTGACCTCGTGATCCACCTGCCTCGGCCCCCCAAAATGCTGGGATTATAGGCGTGAGCCACCATGCCCGGCCCACAAATGTCATTTTTCTGTTCCAGGATCCATTGTAGGATCCCACATTAATGGTCATGTCCGATAGTCTCATACATGCGCTTTTATTCCCCCAGTGCCTTTAAATGTATTGTTCCTTCCCTCCCTTGACTTTTCCTCCCTTGCCTGCTTGGTGACCCTGTCATTTTTTTTCCGCATAATTTCAACTTTTATTTTAGATTCAGGAAGTACATATGAAAGTTTTTTATATGCTGATGAATATATTAAAACTATAATACAATTCAATCTTTTTTCTTCTGTAATAAAAATTGCTACAGGTTAACAATCTGGAAATTAAATCAAGGTTCTGCTTATACAGTACCCATAAGAGGCACAAGAATATCTTTTAAAATATCAGGAGGCACTTATCTTCAAGACTGTACATGAAGGAGTAATCCACCTAGAAAAACCAGGCTTCAGTGGCCAGGTTCAGCATTCCATGTCAGTGGTGATCATTTTACTGAGAAGGAAGCCATGGGATGGGCAGGTTCTTCTAAAGGTAACTGCAGCATTTTAATTACCTAACTGTCTATCTTCTGAACCAGACTGTGAGTTATTTAAGTGATTGAAATTAATAATTGATGAATGAATTAATTAATGGATGAGGCAAGGGTTGGAATAAGGTTACCAAGTGAAAAATTTAGTGTACTTGTAATATATGATCATCTTAGTCAGAGACAGGTCAGGATGACACAATATAGATGAAAACTTACAAAAATGCATCAATGTGTAACATTTTAAAACATATTTTACACTCAATGAATCTTTGCTCCAGATACTACAAATGACAAAGAAGATCACAAGTTATTTTTAAATTTTTATGTATTAAAATATTGTTAAGAATATTATCAAAGCTTGAAATGCCTCCTATTTCCATGGGTTTAGAGTAGTGAAATATTAAAATGCATTTTAATATACTGATTAAAACAGCCCCAAACTAGATGAGAGTTACCATTTTACATTAACATAATGCCAATTTCAATTTAAATACATCTCCATATCTTTTGATCAGAATCATGTTAATATCCAAGTTTATTACCTCTTAACAGAGACTTATTCCATTTAGAGGTTATATGAATATGTTAGTTGTTAAGCATACTTACAACAGTTGAAATTTCTTAATTAAAAATTTTAATTGAAATACAAAATGTGCAGCATAGCAGTAGGCAAAGCAAGCCAGATACAATTCTTTTTGTGTGTCTTTGGCTGTTGTCTCCTTTCCATTACACTTGAGAACCCAGGAAGATAAGTTAATAACCTTTTCAGCTTAACTTCATTTATTCTAATAATTGTAAATGATATTCAGAAATGCTATTTTTTCTGGGTTTAATTCTAAAAATCTTTCCTCCATACCCTAAAAACCTATCTTCTGTGCTTTCTGAGAAATAGCAAGTGCTTTAATGGGGCAACCACCTTGACTACTTATTGGAAGTGATTTCCTACACAGCCTGGTTGCTATGAATCAGTATTCATGTCATAAAAAATATTAGATTATTTGAGGGAAAAATATCACTATAGAAATCTTTAACTAGGTTACTAATCGTATGCTATTAAAGACATGTACCACACATTCAGGATTTAAAACATTATCTTTTGGGACATACTGACAGGCAGTCAGGAAATAAATTTTTCAGTTAGAATGTGACCACCAAATACTGTCTTATTGACTGACAGTTCCATTATGAATTTAAGCTGGGGATATAAAGTAGTCAATTGAACTACACATTTATCACTACCTGCAGTTGTGGACAAGAGGAAAAGAACTTGTTAACATGGGTAGGTGGAGGTTACAGTTTCCAGGAGCTATTGATTTAGTTCTGTCTGCAACTCAATTACAATTGAAGTGTATGGGGAAGAGGGAGATTGGGAAACTAAGGCTAAAACAAAATGTAAGTAATTATTTAAAATACAGAAAATCATGGGCGAAATGTACAGCATGTGGGAACCTGGATTTAGTCCAAAGTGAACCTTGAAGACCTAGAGCTAGAGTTGCCATTAACAGACATGAAATCAGTGGCAAACTACTTAAATTTTTTAAGCATTAATGTGTTCATCTGAAAAAAAAAAGTGAAGGGGTTTTAGTAGTTTCAGTAATGGCATGAATCAACACTCAAAGTGCTTAATTTTGTAAGGACCATGTTGGAATTCTCGTTTTATTATGGGCTCTTAAAATCTCATGACAAAAAGCATCCATCATTGGTAAAGCCTTAAGTTGGAACTGGAAACAAAGGACATCTTGAAATAAAGTAACATCAATAAATAAGAAAAATTATACAATTACTACATATAATATAGAGAATAAAACCTCAGCATTGAAGGTCATGGCTCAATATATAATCATAAATTAGAATGCTGAATGGAAAACTCACTGGGTGGACTAATCTATTGAAAAGACAATCCAATTGTTTTTAAGTCAAGTTTTCAGATCTTCCAATGATATAAAGGGAAGAGAATACATACTTAGAAAGGTTGTCTTTTCTGCCCTTTAGGCTTAGTGACTACAGTACAATACCATTTCATTTGGTATGCCTCTTAAATTCCAAATGCAAACAGAAACTGCCAAAATGTATTCATCAGAATTGCATCATGAAACATATATGATACCCTATATATTTTTCAGAATTTACTATTAAAAAATAAGTTGGAAATCAAGCATTGAAATTTTGTCACTGTCCTTGCTATTTGATATTATTTATCCTAGGATTATATGGCCTGAAGACCACTGATTATAACCATAAAATATAAAAGAATAACAGAAGGTATTCTCTCTTTCTTTTTCTCTTTCTTAATTAATCACATTGTCCATGATATAAGTCAAAACCCAGAAAACATAAAAATAATCAAGATTAAAGTAAATAAAAACTGAAATAAAAGAGTAGAGGTAGAAAATCATTCTTAACAAGTCCTGGACAATTGATAATGATGAAGTAAAACTATTCCAAGATGTGTATTGTGATTATTTTGTTTGATTTTTTTCACCATCAAAAGAGTCAATAACATAACTTTTATCAGGAGAGGAAAAAATCAACTTTAGAAAGTCAAAAGTAGAGAAAAACTATATTTGAACTATACAATCTTATTGTTGAGATTTTAAGGACTTGTTTGTTCACTAAAATGTAAAACAATTCTATTCATTAAAAATAATTATTTTGATAGAAGGAATATACCTGAACATAATAAAAGCCATATACAACAGACCAACAGCTAGTATTATACTGAATGTGGAAAAATTGAAAGCCTTTCCTCTAAGATCTGGAGCACGACAAGGATGCCCACTGTTACCACTGTTATTCAACATAGTACTGGAAGTCCTTGCTAGAGCAATCAGACAAGAGAAAAAAATAAAGGGCATCCAAATTGGAAAGGAAGAAGTTAAATTATGCTTGGTGACTGCTGATATGATGTTATATTTGGAAAATCCTAAAGACTCCACACACACACACAAAAAAAAACTATTAAAACTGATAAACAAATTCAGGAAAGTTGCAAGTTACAAAACCAACATACAAAAATTAGTAGCATTTATATATGTCAATAGTAAACAACGTGAAAAAGAAAAAAATGTAATCCCATTTATAATAGCCACACATACAATTAAATACCTAAGAATTAACTTAACCAAATACATCAAAGATCTCTGTTATCAAAAGTATAAAACACTGAGGACAAGATGGCTGACTGGAAGCAGCAGCAATCAGAGACTCCCATTGATAAGATCCAAAACTCATGCTAATCCTACACCAGCAACTGAGATATTCAGGTTCTGTCATTAGAACTGACTAGGCCGCTTGTGTGGCCCATAGAAAGAAAGGAACAGCAGTGTGGTGCGGCAGCCCACCTGAAAGCCACATGGGGGAGGGGAGGCCCCACCTCCAGCCAAGGGAGACCATAAGTAAGCATGCTACCCAGCCTGGGAAACCATGCTTTTTCTATGAAACTGTGCAACCCACAGATCGGAATATCCCACTTGTGAGCTCACACCACCAGGGGCACTGGGCTAGAATCTGCCTAAGCCTGCCGAGTTCCCGGAGGGGAGGGTAGCCATCATCACTGTCTGCTGTCTAGGCTGGCTAAACTCCTTGCAGGAGGGGCAGCAGCAAACACTGTGGTTGCAGGGCCTCCTTGCAGGAACCCCAACAACTCCAGCCAGGGGCTCAGGAACAGAACTCTGATCTCCCTGGGCCTGAGCCCCTAGGGAGAGGGGCGGCCATAGTCTCCATGGTCCAGCAGACTTAGTCTTTCTTCCTACTAGCTCTGAGGAATCTGAGCAGCCTAGATAAGAGAGTTTCCCTCCAGCACAGCACACCCTCTCCACCAAGGGACAACCAAAATGTTTCATTAAATGGGGCTTGCTTCCCATGCCACCCAACTGGATGAGACACCCCAACAGGTGTTGTCAGACACTCCATACAGGAGTGTTCCTACTGTTACCAGGTTGATGCCCCATGAGGTTATAGATCCCAGAGGAAGAAGCAGTCACCCATCTTTGCTGTTCTCCAGCCTCCTCAAGTGACATCTCAAGGTGTGGGAGCAAATCTGATGAATAGAGCCTGAAGTGAACCCCCAGAAAACTGCAGCAGCCCTACAGAAGAGGGACCTGACTACTGAAAGAAAAACAAACAGAAAGCAACAACAGTATCAACAAAAAAAGTCCCCACAAAAATGCCATTCAAGGGTCATCAGCCTCAAAGATCAAAACTAGACAAACTCATGAACATAAGGAATCAGTGAAAAAACCACTGAAAACCCATAAGGCCAGAGTGTCTCTTCTCCAAATGATCACACCACCTCTCCAGCAAGGGTGCAGAACTCGATGGAGGATGAGATAGACGAATTGACAGAAGTAGGATTCAGAAGATGGGTAATAAACTTTGCTGAGGTAAAGGAGCATCTTCTAACCCAATGCAAACAAACTGAGAACCTTGATAAAAGGTTAACAGAGCTGCTAACTAAAATAATCAGTGTAGAGAAAAACATAAATGACTTGATGGAGCTGAAAAACACAGCACAAGAACTTCATGAGGCATACACAATTATTAGTAGCCAAATCGATCAACTGGAAAAAGAATATCAGAGATGGAAGACTATCTTGCTGAAAGAAGGTAGACAGACAAGAATAGAGAAAAAAAGAATGAAAGCAAATGAACAAAACTTACAAGAAATATGGGACTATGTGAAAAGTCTGTACCTACGACTGATTGGAATACCTGAAAGAGACGGGGAGAATGGAACCAAGTTGGAAAACACACTTCAGGATATTATCCAGGAGAACTTCCCCAACCTAGCAAGACAGACCAACATTCAAATTTAGGAAATACAGAGAACCCTACTAAGATACTCCACAAGAAGATCAACCCTAAGACAGATAATCATCAGATTCTCCAAGATCGAAATGAAAGAAGAAATGTTAAGGACAGTCAGAGAGAAAGGCAAGGTCACCTACAAGAGAAGCCCATCAGACTAACAGTGGATCTCTCAGCAGAAACTCTACAAGCCAGATGAAAGTGGGGGCCAATATTCAATATTCTTAAAGAAAAGAATTTGCAACCCAGAATTTCATATCCAGCCAAACTAAGCTTCATAAGCAAAGAAAAAATAAAATCCTTTTCACACAAGCAAATGCTGAGGGAATTTGTCACCACCAGGCCTGCCTTGCAAGAGCTCCTGAAGGAAACACTGAATATGAAAAGGAAAAACCTGTTCTTGCCACTGCAAAACACATGAAAGTATAAAGACCAATGACTCTATGAAGCAATGGCATCAACTACTGTGAAAATAACCAGCTAGCATCATGAGGACAGGATCAAATTCACACATAACAATATGAACCTTAAATGTAAATGTGCTAAATGTCCCCAATTAAAAGACACCAACTGGCAAATTGGATAGAGTCAAGATCCATCAGTATGCTCTATTCAAGAGACCCATCTCATGTGCAAAGACACACATAGACTCAAAATAAAGGGATGGAGGAAAATTTACCAAGCAAATGGAAAGCAGAAAAAAGCAGGGGTTGCAATCCTAGTCTCTAACAGAACAGACCTTAAACCAACAAAGATCAAAAAAGACAAAGAAGCACATTACAAAATGGTAAAGGGATCAATTCAACAAGAAGAGCTAACAATCCTAAATATATATGCACCCAATACAGGAGCACACAGATTTATAAAATAAGTTCTTAGAAACTAACAGAGAGACTTCCACTCCCACACAATAATATTGGGAAACTTTAGCACCCCAATGCCAATATTAGATCAATGAGACAGAAAATTAACAAGGATATTCAGGACTGGAACTCAGCTCTGGATCAAGTGGACCTTAATAGACATCTACAGAACTCTCCATTCCAAATCAACAGAACATACATTCTTCTCAGTGCTACATGACACTTATTCTAAAATCAACCACACAGTTAAAAGTAAAACACTGCTAAGCGAATGCAAAAAAAATGAAATCATAACAAGCAATCTCTCAGACCACAGTGCAATGAAATTAGAACTCAGGATTAAGAAACTCACTCAAAACCATACAACTACATGGAAATTGAACAACTTGCTCCTGAATTACTCCTGGGTAAATAATGAAATTAAGGCGATATCAAGAAGTTCTTTGAAACCAATGAGAACAAAGAGAAAACATACCAGAATCTCTGAGATGCAGCTAAAGCCATGTTAAGAGAAAAATTTATAGCACTAAATGCCCACATCAGAAAGTTAGAAACATCTCAAATCACCACCCTACATCAAAATTAAAATCACTAGAGAAGCAAGAGGAAATAAATCCAAAAGCTACCAGAAGACAGAGTGGAACTAAAGTAGATAGAGACACAAAAAAACCCTTCAATAAATCAAGAAGCTGATTTTTGAAAAAAATTGATAAAATAAATATACCACTACCTAGACTAATAAAGAAGAAAAGAGAACAGAATCAAATAGACACAATAAAAATGATAAAAGGGATATCACCACTGACCCCACAGAAATACAAACTACCATCAGAGAATAGTATAAACACCTCTATGCAAATAAAGTAGAAATGCTAGAAGAAATGGGTAACTTCCTGGACACATACACCCTCCCAAGACTAAACCAGGAAGAAGTCCAATCCCTGAATAGACCAATAACAAGTTCTGAAATTGAGGCAGTAATAAATCACCTACCAACAAAAAAAAGCCCAGGACCAAATGGATTCACAGCCAAATTTTACTAGAGGTACAAAGAGGAGCTGGTACCATTCATTCAGAAACTATTTCACACAATTGAAAAGGAGTGATTCCTCTGTAACTCATTTTATGATGCCAGCATCATCCTGATAGCAAAACCTGGCAGAGACACAACAAAAAAAGAAAACTTCAGACCAATATCCCTGATGAACATCGAGGCAAAAATCTTCAATAAACTAGTGGCAAACTGAATCCAGCAGCACCTCAAAAAGCTTATCCACCACGATCAAGTTGGCTTCAACTTTGGGATGCAAGGCTGGTTCAACATGAAAATCAATAAATGTTATCCATCACATAAACAGAACCAATGACAAAAACCACATGATTATTTCAATAGATGAAGGAAAGGCCTTTGATAAAATTCAACATCCATTCATGTTAAAAATTCTTAATAAACTAGGTATTGATGGAACATACCTCAAGATAATAAGAGCTATTTATGACAAACCCACAGCCCATATCATACTGAAAGGGCAAAGCTGGAAGCATTGCCTTTGAAAAACCTTATATATAATAAATGTATAACTGTACATTTGTATTTTGGAAATATTTCGTTACACTATAAGGAAGCCTCATTTTTAATTAAAACGATGAGCCATGGGTGATACTGCAAAACAAAATATCTACATTCATATTCTTATTATTTAAAATGTGATTTAAATGTCTTTTACATATATATATATATATATATATATATATATATATATATATATATATATATATATAAAATTTATGTCAGTGTGGTGGCAAGCAAGATTTCCTACCACAATGGATTCCTTCTACTTGGGCATGTCTCTTAAAATGACTATTACTTTCTTATTATGTTAATATTTTTCTGCATATATAATATTCTCCCTTGGTAGATTTTATATAACGTTTTCAACTCATGCTTTCAGTAAAGGTGACCTTTAAAATATATGTTTCCAAAATAGGAAATGCAAATCTTAATAGAGAATTACATCTCTACAAACTAAGAGTTCCTGAGGACATACAGGTCACTGTACTTTATTTGTACAGGAAATTTTGAAATACAATAAAATAGAAGTAAATTAATTAAATACCATTTTATACTATGCTTACATAAATAATAAAACTAACAAATCCAATTGTTCTCAAACTCTAGCAACCTGATCATCCCTCTAACTGTTGCACTTTGAACAATGCTATAAATTTTCATCATACATTACTTATAATTTTCTAGTATAACCTTGTTTAAATGTTGACTATTAAAATAAGCAATGACGTTATTGATGAAACATAATGAAAAAAACAACAAAAATGCATACGATACATTGTCCTTTCCAAAAAATATAAAGTTTTAATTATTAATTTGTTATTGTGGGGTTGAATACTTAAAAACCTTTTAAATATCAACTACCATATTTTTCATAAAAATGTTTACAGCCACAATCAATATATATGATGGCCTCTATTTCTTTTTTGTTTTTTTTTTATACTTTAAGTTTTAGGGTACATGTGCAAAACATGCAGGTTAGTTACATATGTATACATGTGCCATGTTGGTGTGCTGCACCCATTAACTTGTCATTTAACATTAGGTATATCTCCTAATGCTATCCCTCCCCACTCCCCCCACCCCACAACAGGCCCTGGTGTGTGATGTTCCCCTTCCCATGTCCATGTGTTCTCATTGTTCAATTCCCACCTATGAGTGAGAACATGCGGTGTTTGGTTTTTTGTCCTTGCGATAGTTTGCTGAGAATGATGATTTCCAGCTTCATCCATGTCCCTGCAAAGGACATGAACTCATCATTTTTTATGGCTGCATAGTATTCCATGGTGTATATGTGCCCCATTTTCTTAATCCAGTATATCATTGTAGGACATTTGGCTTGGTTCCAAGTCTTTGCTATTGTGAATAGTGCCACAATAAACATACGTGTGCATGTGTCTTTATAGCAGCATGATTTATAATCCTTTGGGTACATACCCAGTAATGGGATGGCTGGGTCAAACGGTATTTCTAGTTCTAGATCCCTCAGGAATCGCCACACTGAATTCCACAATGGTTGAACTAGTTTCCAGTCCCACCAACAGTGTAAAAGTGTTCCTATTTCTCCACATCCTCTCCAGCATCAATTATTTCTTGACTTTTTAATGATCGCCATTCTAACTGGTGTGAGATGGTATCTCATTGTGGTATTGATTTGCATTTCTCTGATGGCCACTGATGATGAGCATTTTTTCATGTGTCTTTTGGCTGCATAAATGTCTTCTTTTGAGAAGTGTCTGTTCATATCCTTTGCCCATTTGTTGATGGGCTTGTTTTTTTTTTTTTTTTTTCTTGTAAATTTGTTTTGGTTCATTGTAGATTCTGGATATTAGCCCTTTGTCAGTGAGTAGATTGCAAAAATTTTCTCCCATTCTGTAGGTTGCCTGTTCGCTCTGATGGTAGTTTCTTTTGCTGTGCAGAAGCTCTTTAGTTTAATTAGATCCCATTTGTCAATTTTGGCTTTTGTTGCCATTGCTTTTGGTGTTTTAGACATGAAGTCCTTGCCCATGCCTATGTCCTGAATGGTATTGCCTAGGTTTTCTTCTAGGGATTTTATGGTTTCAGGTCTAATATTTAAGTCTTTAATCCATCTTGAATTAATTTTTGTGTAAGGTGTAAGGAAGGGATCCAGTTTCAGCTTTCTACATATGGCTAGCCAGTTTTCCCAGCACCATTTATTAAATAGGGAATCCTTTCCCCATTTCTTGTTTTTGTCAGGTTTGTCAAAGATCAGATGGTTGTAGATATGTGGCATTATTTCTGAGGGCTCTGTTCTGTTCCATTGATCTATATCTCTGTTTTGGTACCAGTACCATGCTGTTTTGGTTACTGTAGCCTTGTAGTATAGTTTGAAGTCAGGTAGCGTGATGCCTCCAGCTTTGTTCTTTTGCCTTAGGATTGACTTGGCAATGCCGGCTCTTTTTGGTTCCATATGAACTTTAAAGTAGTTTTTTCCAATTCTGTGAAGAAAGTCATTGGTAGCTTGATGGGGATGGCATTGAATCTATAAATGACCTTGGGCAGTATGGCCATTTTCATGACGTTGATTCCTCCTACCCATGAGCATGGAATGTTTTTCCGTTTCTTTGTATCCTCTTTTATTTCATTGAGCAGTAGTTTGTAGTTCTCCTTGAAAAGTTCCTTCACATCCCTTGTAAGTTGGATTCCTAGGTATTTTATTCTCTTTGAAGCAATTGTGAACGGGAGTTCACTCATGATTTGGCTCTCTGTTTGTCTGTTATTGGTGTATAAGAATGCTTGTGATTTTTGTACATTGATTTTGTATCCTGAGACTTTGCTGAAGTTGCCTATCAGCTTAAGGAGATTTTGGGCTGAGACGACGGGGTTTTCTAGACATACAATCATGTCATCTGCAAACAGGGACAATTTGACTTCCTCTTTTCCTAATTGAATACCCTTTATTTCCTTCTCCTGCGTGATTGCCCTGGCCAGAACTTCCAACACTATGTTGAATAGGAGTGGTGAGAGAGGGCATCCCTGTCTTGTGCCAGTTTTCAAAGGGAATGCTTCCAGTTTTTGCCCATTCAGTATGATATTGGCTGGGGTTTTGTCATAGATATCTCTTATTATTTTGAGATACGTCCCATCAATACCTAATTTATTGAGAGTTTTTAGCATGAAGCATTGTTGAATTTTGTCAAAGACCTTTTCTGTATCTATTGAGACAATCATATGGTTTTTGTCGTCGGTTCTGTTTATATGCTGGATTACGTTTATTGATTTGCACATGTTGAACCAGCCTTGCCTCCCAGGGATGAAGCCCACTTGATCATGGTGGATAAGCTTTTCGATGTGCTGCTGGATTTGGTTTGCCAGTAGTTTATTGAGGATTTTTGCATCGATGTTCATCAGGGATATTGGTCTAAAATTCTCTTTTTTTGTTGTGTCTCTGCCAGGCTTTGGTATCAGGATGATGCTGGCCTCATAAAATGAGTTAGGGAGGATTCCCTCTTTTTCTATTGATTGGAATAGTTTCAAAAGGAATGGTACCAACTCCTTCTTGTACCTCTGGTAGAATTCAGCTGTGAATCCATCTGGTCCTGGACTTTTTTTGGTTGGTAAGCTATTAATTATTGCCTCAATTTCAGAGCCTGTTATTGGTCTATTCAGAGATTCGACTTCTTCCTGGTTTAGTCTTGGGAGGGTGTATGTGTCGAGGAATTTACCCATTTCTTCTAGATTTTCTAGTTTATTTGCATAGAGGTGTTTATAGTATTCTCTGATGGTAGTTTGTATTTCTGTTGGATCGGTGGTGATATCCCCTTTATCATTTTTTATTGCATCTATTTGATTCTTGTCTCTTTTCTTCTTTATTAGTCTTGCTAGTGGTCTATCAATTTTGTTCATCTTTTCAAAAAACCAGCTCCTGGATTCACTGATTTTTTGAAGGGTTTTTGTGTCTCTATTTCCTTCAGTTCTGCTCTGATCTTAGTTGTTTCTTTCCTTCTGCCAGCTTTTGAATGTGTTTGCTCTTGCTTCTCTAGTTCTTTTAATTGTGATATTAGGGTGTCAATTTTAGATCTTTCCTGCTTTCTCTCGTGGGCATTTAGTGCTATAAATTTCCCTCTACACACTGCTTTGAATGCATCCCAGAGATTATGGTATGTTGTGTCTTTGTTCTCGTTGGTTTCAAAGAACATCTTTATTTCTGCCTTCATTTCGTTATGTACCCAGTAGTCATTCAGGAGCAGGTTGTTCAGTTTCCATGTAGTTGAGTGGTTTTGAGTGAGTTTCTTAATCCTGAGTTCTAGTTTGATTGCATTGTGGTCTGAGAGACAGTTTGTTGTAATTTCTGTTCTTTTACATTTGCTGAGGAGTGCTTTACTTCCAACTATGTGGTCAATTTTGGAATAAGTGCGATGTGGTGATGAGAGGAATGTATATTCTGTTGATTTGGGGTGAAGAGTTCTGTAGATGTCTATTAGGTCCGCTTGGTGTAGAGCTGAATTCAATTCCTGGATATCCTTGTTAACTTTCTGTCTCGTCGATCTGTCTAATGTTCACAGTGGAGTGTTAAAATTTCCCATTATTATTGTGTGGTAGTCTAAGTCTCTTTGTAGGTCTCTAAGGACTTGCTTTATGAATCTGGATGCTCCTGTATTGGGTGCATATATATTTAGGATAGTTAGCTCTTCTTGAATTGACCTCTTTACCATTATGTAATGGCCTTCTTTGTCTCTTTTGATCTTTGTTGGTTTAAAGTCTGTTTTATCTGAGACTAGGATTGCAACCCCTGCCTTTTTTTTGTTTTCCATTTGCTTGGTAGATCTTCCTCCATCCCTTTATTTTGAGCCTATGTGTGTCTCTGCACGTGAGATGGGTTTCCTGAATACAGCACACTGATGGGTCTTGACTCTATCCAATTTGCCAATCTGTGTCTTTTAATTGGAGCACTTAGCCCATTTACATTTAAGGTTAATATTGTTAGGTGTGAATTTGATCCTGTCATTATGATGTTAGCTGGTTATTTTGCTCATTAGTTGATGCAGTTTCTTCTTAACCTCGATGGTCTTTACAATTTGGCATGTTTTGCAGTGGCTGGTACCGGTTGTTCCTTTCCATGTTTAGTGCTTCCATGTTTTAGGGCAGGCCTGGTGGTGACAAAATCTCTCAGCATTTGCTTGTCTGTAAAGGATTTTATTTCTCCTTCACTTATGAAGCTTAGTTTGGCTGGATATGAAATTCTGGGTTGAAAATTCTTTTCTTTAAGAATGTTGAATATTGGCCCCCACTCTCTTCTGGCTTATAGAGTTTCTGCCAAGAGATCGGCTGTTAATCTGATGGGCTTCTGTTTGTGGGTAACCTGACCTTTCTCTCTGGCTGCACTTAACATTTTCTCCTTCATTTCAACTTTAAGGAATCTGAAAATTATATGTCTTGGAGTTGCTCTTCTCGAGGAGTATCTTTGTGGCATTCTCCGTATTTCCTGAATTTGAATGTTGGCTTGCCTTGCTAGATTGGGGAAGTTCTCCTGGATAATATCCTGCAGAGTGTTTTCCAACTTGGTTCCATTCTCCCTGTCACTTTCAGGTACACCAATCAGACGTAGAGTTGGTCTTTTCACATAGTCCCATATTTCTTGGAGGCCTGTTCATTTCTTTTTATTCTTTTTTCTCTAAACTTCTCTTCTTGCTTCATTTCATTCATTTGATCTTCCATCACTGATACCCTTTCTTCCAGTTGATCGAATCGGCTACTGAGGCTTGTGCATTCATCACGTAGTTCTTGTGCCTTGGTTTTCAGCTCCATCAGGTCCTTTAAGGACTACTCTGCATTGGTTATTCTAGTTAGCCATTCATCTAATATTTTTTCAAGGTTTTTAACTTCTTTGCCATGGGTTCAAACTTCCTCCTTTAGCTCAGAGTAGTTTGATCATCTGAAGCCTTCTTCTCCCAACTTGTCAAAGTCATTCTCTATCCAGTTTTGTTCCATTGCTGGTGAGGAGCTGCGTTCCTTTGGAGGAGGAGAAGCACTCTGATTTTTAGAGTTTGCAGTTTTTCTGCTCTGTTTTTTCCCCATGTTTGTGGTTTTATCTACCTTTGGTCTTTGATGATGGTGACGTACAGATGGGGTTTTGGTGTGGATGTCCTTTCTGTTTGTTAGTTTTCCTTCTAACAGTCAGGACCCTCAGCTACAGGTCTGTTGGAGTTTGCTGGAGGTCCACTCCAGACCCTGTTTGCCTGGGTATCGGCAGCGGAGGCTGCAGAACAGCGGATATTGGTGAGCAGTAAATGTTGCTGCCTGATCGTTCCTCTGGAAGTTTTGTCTCAGAGGAGTACCTGGCCGTGTAAGGTGTCAGTCTGCCCCTACTTGGGGGTGCCTCCCAGTTAGGCTACTTGGGGGTCAGGGATTTACTTGAGGAAGCAGTCTGTCCATTCTCAGATCTCCAGCTGTGTGCTGGGAGAACCACTACTCTCTTCAAAGCTGTCAGACAGGGACATTTAAGTCTGCAGAGGATTCTGCTGCCTTTTGTTTGGCTATTCCCTGCCCCCAGAGGTGGAGGCTACAGAGGTGGGCAGGCCTCCTTGAGCTGTGGTGGGTTCTACCCAGTTCGAGCTTCTCAGCTGCTTTGTTTACCTGCTCAAGCCTTGGCAATGGCGGGCACCCCTCCCCTAGCCTCGCTGCTGCATTGCAGTTTGATCTCAGACTGCTGTGCTAGCAATGAGTGAGGCTCCATTGGCATAGGACCCTCCGAGCCATGCTCGGGATATAATCTCCTGATGTGCCATTTGCTAAGACCGTTGGAAAAGCACAGTATTAGGATGGGAGTGACCCGATTTTCCAGATGCCATCTATCACCCCTTTCTTTGACAAGGAAGGGAATTCCCTGACCCCTTGCACTTCCCAGGTGAGGCAATGCCTCACCCTGCTTCGGCTCATGCTGGATGCACTGCACACACTGTCCTGCACCCACTTTCCAACACTCCCCAGTGAGATGAGCCCAGTACCTCAGTTGGAAATGCAGAAATCACCCATCTTCTGCATCGCTCATGCTGGGAGCTCTAGACTGGAGCTATTCCTATTCAGCCATCTTGGCTCCATCTGATGGCCTCTATTTCAAAGTAAAGTTTGATATCACGTTTATAGCTCATTATTGTTTACATTACCTCTGAAGGCAGTGGCTCCAAAATTTTATTAAGTTTATTAATGTATTCATTTATTTTTTCAAATTATAAGTGTGCCTAATCATAGTTGATGCTTGAGTATTTCTTACAGAAAGTTCTAAGCCAGTTGGTGGAAACTTCCCTATTAAGTTACCGAAGGATTTTAGCTCCCTCCATTCTGTGATACAACCATTTGAACATGTCTTCTAAGGTTGTTGAGGCAACAAGGGAATTGCAGGAGGCACAACAGCTTTTAACTGACTTGACTCAAAGGAAGCCACATCACATTTAATCATAGTTCATTGGATAAAAACTAGGTATTGTCCTATCCTAACTGCAAGAGAGTTTGAGAAATGTCAGAACATGATAAGACCTAATTGTCTGTCTCTTCCACTATTATCAAGACCTTACTAGACATTACTAAGGTGCATAGTAGATGTTTAAAAAGCAATTTAAAAATTCTGTGTCTTCTGAGATTACATGTTAGCAAAGTAGGTAAAAATTTTTACCAGTGTTCGTGTTCTATGTGAAGCAAGCATGAGTGAAAGGACTAATTCTACATAAGGATTGTGGAAAATGTAAGTAGAAGAGGTAACATTTAATGTGGTATTTAAAGCACAAGGATTTTGTCAAGTGAAGAAGAGGAAAGAGAATGTTTTAAGTAGGAGCAATAATGCGCACTTTTACTACCCTGACGTGGTTCAAACTAAGTTCTGGTAATGGGACTCATCCCTGTTGGCTGAAGTTTGGCAACCTGCTGAAGATACTGAATGTGATGGATGTGTGGACAGATGGAAAACATATTAAAGCCCCTTCAATATACCTTTATTGGCATCAATCAATATGTTCCACAAAATGGGAACATAGTAAGTCGTATCTGGGTGGCATAGACACAGGTATAAATCAATAATTATAACTTGTATCAATAGGTGATAATATAATTATATTTTACAATATAATGCATACAAAACTTCAAGACTGATAAAAGGGAAATAATTTGTTTTGAATACAGGAAATAGAATTTAAAAAATTATAGTAAACTTGACCTCAGACAGACAAGTGGGGCAAGGCAGTCCAGGCAGAGGAAGCAGCAAGTCAAAGTATGTGGACAAGAAGTTTCAGGATTCATTCAGACCATAACAAATAGGTTGGTATTGCTGGAGATTAAAATGAAAAGAAGATCTCATGGAAGGTAAAATTCTAAGAGCAACCTTTTTGGCAGTAGACTTAGAGTAGGCAGAAAATGAAAGTGATCTGGATGAGAAATTTTGAGATCCAGTGAGACTACCATGGTGACAGTGGAGAACAGTACAAGCTGGTTTTTAGGAGGTGGCTATGTTTTACTAGACAATTTTAAAGAGAAATTTTACTGCACTGTGTAAATGTTAAATGCACAGGAGCTGTATGAGTAAGTAGCAATATTTGCTCTCTAAAGAAAAGAATAAAATAGGCTGGGCATCATGGCTCATGCTTGTGATCCCAGAACTTTGGGAGGCCAAGGTGGGCGGATTACTTGTGGACAGGAGTTTGAGACTATCCTGGTCAACATGATGAAACACTGTCTCTACTAAAAATACAACAATTAGCCAGGTGTGGTGGCGTCGCCTGTAGTCCCAGATACTCAAGAGGCTGAAGCATGAGAATCACTTGAGCTCGGGATATGGAGGAGCCGAGATCACGCCACTGCACTCCAGCCTGAGTGACAGAGTAAGACTCAAGAAAGGAAGAAAGAGAATAATAGAACAGCTGGATATCCTATTTTAACTTATTTATAACATGCTTAGTCTCTAATCACACTTAAATACTTTAAAATGTCTTTTTGGGTGCATTTTAAGAAAAATCTGACTTTTCAAATAGAATAAAGAAAATGGATTTATCCACGCAATAGTAGTGAATAGTGTTGTATACTTAAAAATAAAGTTCATGTAGTTTTCCATAAGCCTATTAACACTATGCAAAGAACAAAAGGATGCATTTTATTATCAGATTCCAGACTAGGATCAAACCTATCTCTCTCTCCAGAAAATCAGACTCCCCAGAGGAACCCTCTGGATGACTTACAAAAAATTTTCTTTTTCAGATTTCTTATATATATATATATACATATATATATATATACACACACACACACACACACATATATATACACACATATATATGTATGTATTTTATTATACTTTAAGTTCTAGGGTACACGTGCACAACGTGCAGGTCTGTTACATATGTATACATCTGCCATGTTGATGTGCTGCACCCATTAACTCATCATTTACATTAGGTATATCTCCTAATACTATCCCTCCCCACTCCCCCCACCCCACAACAGGCCCCGGAGTGTGATGTTCCCCTTCCTGTGTCCAAGGGTTCTCATTGTTCAATTCTCACCTATGAGTGAGAAAATGCAGTGTTTGGTTTTTTGTCCTTGCGATAGTTTGCTGAGAATGATGGTTTCCAGCTTCATCCATGTCCCTACAAAGGACATGAACTCAACCTTTTTTGTGGCTGCATAGTATCACATGGTGTATATGTGCCACATTTTCTTAATCCAGTCTATCATTATAGGACATTTGGCTTGGTTCCAAGTCTTTGCTATTGTGAATAGTGCCACAATAAACATATGTGTGCATGTGTCTTTATAGCAGCATGACTTATAATCCTTTGGGTATATACCCAGTAATGGGATGGCTGGGTCAAACGGTATTTCTAGTTCTAGATCCCTCAGGAATTTCCACACTGTCTTCCACAATGGTTGAACTAGTTTACAGTCCCACCAACAGTGTAAAAGTGTTCCTATTTCTCCACATCCTCTCCAGCATCAATTATTTCTTGACTTTTTAATGATCGCCATTCTAACTGGTGTGAGATGGTATCTCATTGTGGTTTTGATTTGCATTTCTCTGATGGTCACTGATGATAAGCATTTTTTCATGTGTCTTTTGGCTGCATAAATGTCTTCTTTTGAGAAGTGTCTGTTCATATCCTTCGCCCACTTTTTGATGGGCTTGTTTTTTTCTTGCAAATTTGTTTCGGTTCACTGTAGATTCTGGATATTAGCCCTTTGTCAGTGAGTAGATTGCAAAAATTTTCTCCCATTCTGTAGGTTGCCTGTTCACTCTGATGGTAGTTTCTTTTGCTGTGCAGAAGCTCTTTAATTAGATCCCATTTGTCAATTTTGGCTTTTGTTGCCATTGCTTTTGGTGTTTTAGACATGAAGTCCTTGCCCATGCCTATGTCCTGAATGGTATTGCCTAGGTTTTCTTCTAGGGTTTTTAGACTTTCAGAAATTTTGAAGTCACAGCACCCTCATAAAATCCTCAGCATGGCAGATGTGGTCTTCCCTTCCAAAGAAGTGATGCAAATCACTTATGAAGGAAAACTCTTCTGCTGCTTATACACTTTTGCCTAGATAAAAGGCAGGATATCACTTTCATGTATCCAAAATATTTAGAAGGAAGTGTTGTATCTACCTAATAAGTTCAGGGCTTTAAGAATGACAGTTTTCAGATGAACAATAACTCCCGCAAAGCAATTTATAGCCCCAAATCCTACAAGACTTACTCTGGGTGACACTACTTCTGCAACAGTAGAACAAATTCTTCTATTTCATTGCATGTCCTGGCTTAGCTCTTATTATCTTCTCAGACAAGCCTCTACCCAAAACACAAGCGCTTCAGTGCTTTGACCTCAGGATCATCCAGTTAGGTCAACTCAACTCAGATACTTTTTCAATGCTACTTTATAGGCTTTGTATATACAGAGATGAACAAAAACTTGTTACTTCCTTTGAGGCTTTTGGTGAAGCTGAAGGAACAGATATGTTTTTTAAATGACTCTAATATGATGGAAAACACACAGGGTGCTAGGTCTTAAAAGATCAGTGCAGGAAAACTCAGGAAGTTGCAGCGCAGTTCAAAGCAGGGCAGGGCTGGTCGTACCAACCTTTGATGACATTTTATTTTAAAATATACACAGCCTAATTGCTAAAATGCTTGTCTCCTGTCCAACACTAGAAGAACAGTACCCTGGATAAGTTAGAATAATTTCTTTCCCACAGACAGATCTTTTAAAATGATAAGTCAAAGGAGCTTGGTAAAACAATATTTTATGGTTCTAACAAGTTAAAATTCCTTACTGAGCCTGAGCCTTCATATAAATACTTAATGGGAATGAAAAAAAATTGAAGGACCATAGGCCAGATATGAGAAGCCACATAAGACATAGAATACTTCATATCGATTTGCTTTGATTTTCTGCTGCAGGTCACAAGTATATCATCATATAATCATCTAGTTTCCTGGAATAAAGAATAATCTTTCTACTTAATCATTTTATTCAATAGTTAGAGCTTTTTAGCTCCTAGATCTAGAATTTTTGTGACCCATTATTTTTCACAAGACTCCACTCACATTCTATTTTAAATGCCATTAATTTTCTACACATAACATGGGAAATATTAGATAATACTCTTTTTTATTCATCCACTGTATTTAAACAAACCATTTTCCACTTTTACCATCTAATACTAGATTTCATCAGGCTTTAAGCAGTTATTGAACAATTAATCTAAGTGTATATAACACTACTCTATCTTCACTTATCTTTTTTATTGTTATTATTATGATCTCCTATTTTAACATCACGATTTCATTTGAGTCTTTCTTCAATATTTCACTACATGTAATTTCTATAATATTCTTTTTGATATTTACGAACTAATACGTGGTTTTGCCTAACAGCAAGAACAACTTTTTCTTCTATACACTGTATGTTTTCCTTTGTTATTTTATGTATAACTAGCAATTTATTTCCCCTAGAATTAACTAATTATACTTTTCTAATAAAATCTATGCCCTCAAATACATATTTTTTTCAGTTGCTGAAAGCTTTTTATCACACCACATTGCACAGTCCAGATTAAATGATGCACACCGAAGTTGTGCAAAGTTGCTGTTGACAGTAAATTTTTCCACTGACTTTTTTTTCTTTTTTTTTTTATCTCTACTTAGGAGACACACTATAAATCTCATTTTTTTGAATTTTTTAGTAAATATTCAAGTTTTATCATAGTTCATTTTTCCCACAAAGATTCTTGCTAATTTTTCCCCATCTCTGCATATTCTTAGATGCTTATATAAGGGTGTGCACTCTATCTTATGTACAAGATGCCCCCCTTAGCCTCCCTTACACTTTTCTTTTAGTTTCCTGGATAGACTCTGTATTAGTCACCCTTCTTATTGCTGATTTGAGTTTTACCCCAAACATTTTTTCTGCTTTCCATACAAAACTTCCAATTTGTGCTTTTTCCTGGAATATGTTTTTAAATTCGGAAAGTTAGTTTGATTACACTCATTGGGTAGCTTCTGTTTAAAAATAGAAACTGCATCAACATGGGAGAAAGACATTTAGGAGTTGTTTTATTTTGGTGAATATTGCAATATTTTATATTTCCTAGTAATTAACTCACATATTTTAGCTTTCAATATCCTTTTAATTGTACTTTGCCTAGAATCAGATTACTCTGGTTTGAGTTTACATTTATGAACTGTATAACTTTAATCAAGGAGCCTAACATGCTGAGCTACAGTTCCAATAACATGAAATGGGGATTTTAAGAACACCTATGACATAAAATTGGTATGAACACTTACTAACATTATATTTAAAAAGCACTTGACGTAATCCTTGGCACACAGCAAATTTGAGCTGTTTATATTCCAGTATTATTACATTTTCTATGGCAAATATGTGAAAATAAATACATCATTACTCACCATATTGATGTAGATACTGGAAAAACAACACATTCTGTTAATACATAATTTGAAACTGAAATTTTTCCGTCTAAAGGAAAATTAAGTCTTCTTACAAGTTTAAGAAACTTTAGGTAAAAGATAAAGTTCTTGGCTACAAGCCTTCTCAGAACTCTACACGCTTTTGGGGAAAACAGGAAACATTGACCAAACACATTTGCTTACGGCAAAGGGCACTGCAGGTTTGGTTATACATGCTGGAAAATGTTCATTTGATGAATCTGAAGAAGGAAAGATATTTGGTGCAAGGCATTATTTTATTACATATTTTAAAAATCAGACTTGTGTGTTGAGGAAATTGACCTGTCAAAGAAATGTAGAAACCTTTGATTCCTGTAGTTTTCTTTATTATTTTAAGAGGAGAGCAACGAGGTGATACTAGAAGAATGTTTTTCTGACCATAAGTGTCACTTTTTGCATTACGTCATTCTTTCATGAAGTAGTATTTTTCCAGTAAGGACAATATAATACATATCATATCATATTACCAGAAATGATTTCAGAATATTGTGAAGTTGCCTACAGGTGATCATTATATTACCCTTTGGCTTCCTCTGATGACGTCTCAGCCAGATGAGGGGATCCCTAAAATTAGTAGCTTACTTTTTGGTATCATATTAATACATACTTGCTCTGAAGAATAGTAATAAACACATTAGGGAAAAAATCATGACTCAGTGCAAATGCATCTCTGAAAACAAAATAACAAAATCTCTAAATAAATACCTTAGAAAATGCTGGAGCTTATATGGAGACAGACATGTAACCTAGGTAATTAAAAATAAAACCTGAAGTTGTCCGTAATAGTATATCATTTACAGATTAAGCCAACAGCAGAACTTAGTATCTATTGATGCATTCCATTTAAATTTATTTAAAAATATGCTTCAAATTATATTTTGCAAACCATTTTTATTATCTGTGTGTAATACCAATATGTTCACTGGGTCCTAAAACAGTATCTGGCCCTTTGTGGCCTTCAATATATGTTTGTTAAATGAAGCACAAATCAAACTACAGACCATTAGCTTTGGTATGACATTTTTCAGGACATACAAGTGAGTTTTACATAATTTATCTTCAATGGCCTGAGGGTTTTTAGATATTAACTATGAGTTAATAGTAAAATACTTCAGTAGTACACAAGTTACCAATACTGATAGGTGAGGCAAAACCAAAGGGCAACAAAATCAATGACAATCATTCTATTTTAGAAAACAAAACAATGTTTTAATACTTCCCACGTGTAAAAACTGGAATTTCCAAGGATTAAAATATAAGTGTTATTGAAAAGTGATATAGAAAGGGTGGCATATTTTCTAAGAGAAGTTATGATACAGCCAAAATTGTTTCTTTTAATGAATATAATTTTTGCTCATTCTATAATAGAAATATTGCTGAAAAAGCAATCTGATGAAATAGTAAGTACAGTATAAGTTTCTCACTAAACTATATAAGAAATACCCAAGTCAATCTTATTAAATTAGCAGCTAATTAAGAGTATAAATTGACTTCATTGAAATGAATTTTAAAAACCTTTGTTCTTTAGAAACACCATGAAAAGAGAAGGTAAATTACAGATTGGGAGATAATAAATATTTGTAAATCATACATCTAACACATATTTAGAATATAAAAAGAAGGCTTTAAACCATGTAAACAACAACACACATTAAATTAGAAAATGAGAAAAATACATGACAGATGTTTCACTTAAAAAGATATACAGATGGCAAATAAGCACATAAAAGGATTTTCTATATCATTAGCCATCAGGGAAACGCAAATTAAAACTAAAATGAGATAGTACTACACACCTATATTAATGACGAAAATAAATGCTTGTGAAAACTCCCAATGCTGGCAAAGCAGAGACATTAAATCACTCATATATAGAATGTAAAATGATACAGCCACTCTGGAAAACAGTTTGTCAGTTTCTTTTAAAACAAAAAATGACCTAAAATAAGACCCAAAAATTGCACTCTTAGGAATTTATCCCAGAGAAATGACATTTATGTTCACACAGAAACTTGTACATGAATCCTCATAGCAGTTTTATATTTAATATCCAAGACCTGGAAATAATCCAGATTTCATTTCACAGGTGAATGGCTATACAAGCTGTGATACAACCAAACCACAGAATGCCACTTAGAAATATAAAGGAACAGACTACTGATACATAAAACAACTTGGATGAACCTCAGAGCAATTATCCTCAGTGGAAAAAGCCAACCTACAATGATTACCTAGTGAATGATTTCATTTACGTAACATTCTCGAAATGCCAAGACCATAGAAATGGAAAACAGGTTAGTGGTTATCAGGGGTTAAGATGGGTGTGTGTAAGGATGGCTAAAGTTGGGTAGAACGAAGGAGCCATTTGATGATAGGACAGTCTCTATCTTAAATACGGTAAGTTACATGAAGCTACACGTGATAAAATTTCAAAGAAATATATACATTTATAATAATCACTGTATCTATACCTGTGAATTATGAATAAGTTCTGTAGTTTTACCAATGTCAGTTTTCTTGTTTTGGTATTGTGCTATACATAGGCAAGATGCTAATTTAACAATAGGGGAGGCTGCTAAGTCTTCCTTACTAGGGGGTCTGCATGCATGGGACCTCCCTGTAGCCTTCTTTGCAACTTTCTGTGAATCGATAATTACTTCAAAATAAAAAGTTAGAAAAAAAAGTCACTCAAAAGAAAATAAACGATGCATGGTATATAGGCTAACAATATTGTCTGTTTTTTTAATTGCTTTAACAGCATCCAGCATACTGGAGATACTCAAGAAATAGTTAATTACAAAAAAGTTTACTAAATAATAAAAGCAGCATCTTTAAATTCAATCTCACAATTAACATACATATAACATGTTCAGAATGGTTTTAATATTTATTGTCCAGTTCTAACTTTTGTAATGGATATGCAATCAATGCATTTTAGATCTTAGCAAATTAGTTTCAAGACATTGATAAGACTGGGACAATAAATTGTTTTTTATTGATATATCATAGTTGTACATATTTTGGAGGTACATGTGATATTTTCATACATGTGTATAATGTTTAATGATCAAATCAGGATAATTAGGATACCCATTACCTCATTTTTTGTGTGTGTGTTGAGAACATTACAATTCTTCTCTTCTAGCTGTTTTGAATATATAACAAATTATTTTTACCTGTAATATCCTTATTGTACTATTAAATATCTATATGAAGAAGAATTAAACTAAATCTCCATCTCTAAGGGTAGAACTCACATCTTCTAATTTTGCATTTTTACCATTAACTTCTCTTTATTCCTTCCCTACTCACCTTCCCTTCCTAGCCTCTGGTAACCATCATCCTACTCACTACCTTCAAGAGATCCACTTTTTTAGCTCCCATATATAATGAGAACATGCACTAATGAGAACATGCAATATTTGTCTTTCTTTCCCTGGCTTATCTCACTTAACATAATGACCTCTAATGACCTCCCTCCATGTTGCTACAAATGACAGGATTCCATTTTTCTTATGGCCAAATAATATTTCATCATATGTGTGTATATGTATATGATATATATATTGAGTTAATTTTTATATATATTGATTTTATATATATCATATATACTACATTGATTTTATATATTATATATTGATTTTATATATATTCATATATATTGAGTTTTCTACAGTTGAGTTGTGTATATATATAATACACATGTGTATATATAAAATACACATATGTATATATATAATACACATGTGTATTTTTTATATATATATATGTACACATACACACACACAAACACACACACCATGTTTTCTTTATCCATTTATCTGTTGATGGACCCTCAGGTTGATTTCATATTTTGGCTATTGTGAATAGTGCTCAGTAAACATGGGAGTGCAAATATCTCTTTGATATACTAATTTTCTTTCCTTTGGATATATACCTAGAAGCAGAACTGCTGGATCATATTTTTAGTTTCTTTGAGGAACCTCCACAGTTCTTTTCATACTGGCTGCACTACTTTACATTTTCACCAGTGGTGCATCAACATTCCCTTTCTCTGCATCCTCACTGGCATTTGTTATTTTTTGTGTTTTTGGTAATAGGTCTTCTAACTGGGATGAGATGATAACTAATTGTGTTTTTGATTTGCATTTCCTTGATGATTAGTGACTTGAGCATTTTTAAATATATCTGTTGGCCATTTGTGTATCTTCTTGTGAGAAATGTCTATTCAGGTCTTTTGTCCATTTTTTAATTGGATTATTTGTTATTGAGTTGTTTCAGTCCCTTATTATTCTGGTTATTAATCCCTTGCTGAATGGATGGTTTGCAAATATTTTCTCCCATTCTGTAGGTTATCTCTTCACTTTTTAAATGGTGTCTCCTTTGCTGTGAAGAAGGCTTTTACCTTGATGTAATTCCATTTGCCTGTTTTTGCTTTTGTTGTCTGTGCTTTTTGAGGTCTTCCCAAAAATATCTGTGTCCAGACCAATGTCCTTAGTACTTCCCCAAAGTTTTCTTTAGTAGTGTCATAGTATAAGGTCTTACATTTAAATATTTAATCCATTTTGAGCTGATTTGTGTATATGTTCAAAGACGAGATCTAGTTTTATTCTTTTGCATATGGATATCCTGTTTTCCCAGAACCATTTATTCAAAGGCTGTCTTTTCCCCAATGTATGTTCTTGGCACCTTTGTGGAAAATCAATTCTTAATTCTCAGAGTTCTTAAGATAATCAAAGTATAACATACATAAAGCTTACAAAAGTGGATGTCATTTATATAAAATAAGTACAGTAACCAAAGAAAATCTTGATTACATGAACACTGAGGAAAAGACAAATCCCTCACGTTGCCCAATTTTCAAACTTAGATGCAATATTGATTTTTGCATCTTGTTAATCTAAAACTTACTGCCAGGGACCATTTTTTTTTTATTTTCAGGAGACCTTTTAAGATAAGAAAATTGGACTTCATTTTATCTTAATTCACCTGATGAAAGTTTCTCATTGTCTCTCTCATTCTACCCCTTTACGACCTCCCCCATTTTACTCCTTAATAGACAAAGCTTCACTTTGTCTATTAAGAATCAATACAAAACTAAATACAGTGTGCTGCTACCCAACAAGGACTAAATGAAGAATTATATGAAAAGTCTTGAACTTTGAGTAAAATCAGTAAAAACTGCCCTTTTGCTACTTAACCTTTAACTAGTCAAAAGCTTTTTTTACTAGAAATAAGACAAGAGTATTGGATGCATTTTCTCAGATGCTGATTCAGTGATAAAAGTAATATAGACCCCCTCAAAACAGTGACTTAAGCATGACTAGAATTTTTTTCTGAAGTGAAATAAATACTTAAGTAGGGTGCTTAGATTGGTTTCATAGCTCCATGAAGACATCAGCATCAGGGACCAAGTTATCTTCCAGTCCATCTCTCTGCAAACTCTAGGTTATAGCCTTGATTACCCTGCCATAAGATGGCTGCTAGAGTGCCAGCTATCTCAAGGTTCTCAGAAGTTCTACATAGTACCTTCATTCACATATCAATCACAGTAACTTGGTCAACTAGTATTACAAAGGAAGCTGAAAGTTTCTTTTATAAATGTAGGCAATATGCTCCCTAAAATTTATCTTTTTTAAAATCTTAGGGAAGAAAACATACAATGGTTCTTAGGAGGTAAATAAAACCCCGAAAATAGATGCTATATTAAGGTTTTCCAGAGAAATAGAACCAATATTATACATATAATCTATCTATTTATCTATCATCTATCTTTTCTATCAAAAAGCTAGAGATGTAGATAGATGATAGCTAGATAGATAAATAGATAGATAGATGATAGATACATACATACATACATACATACATACATACATACATAGATGATAGATAGGTAGATAGATAGATAGATAGATAGATAGATAGATAGATAGATAGAGATTTATTATAAGGAATTGGCTCATACAGTTATGGAGGCTGAGCAGTCCCAAAATGTATAGTCAGCAATCTGGAGATTCAGGAGAGCTAGTGATGTAGTAGTTCCAGTCCAAATCCAAAGATCTGAAAACCAGGAGAGCTAATAGTGCAAGTTCTAGTCTGAGTTTGAAGATGTGAGAAGCAGGAGAGCTGATGGTTTAAGTTCTAGTCCAACAGCAAGAGAAGACTGGTGTCTCAGCTCAAGAAGTCACACAGGGGAAATTTCTTTTTACTTTGCCTTTTTG
The DNA here is from genome assembly GCF_000001405.40 of Homo sapiens. Taxonomy (NCBI): domain Eukaryota; kingdom Metazoa; phylum Chordata; class Mammalia; order Primates; family Hominidae; genus Homo; species Homo sapiens. Next base: position 88,561,977 of record NC_000008.11, on the reverse strand, counting down.
TTCTACTGATATCTTCAAGTAATTGAAGGAGGCTTACCCACATTAGGGACAGCAATCTGCTTTACTCAGTCTACTGATTTAAATATTAATTATATCCAGAAACACCCTCACAGACACACCCAGAATAATATTTGACGAACTGTCTGTGCACCCAATGGCCCAATCAAGTTGACATTTTAAAATTAGCCCTCACAAACATATTGATAACAAAACAAATAGGAAATACTCAAGAATATTAATCTTTATATCTGTTACCCATCATGTGGTCATAATGGGTATTTATAACTATCTTCGTCCATCACAATTCTGTATTCTCTCTGCATTCATCAAGGTCCTCAGTTGGCTATGGTTCTTTATCTGGCAGGATAACCCAAGTCTGTATTCCTGAAGGATCTGGGCCATTTGTCAACCTGCCTGGATTGGGTTGTTGTAGTTTTCCATTGAGTTTAATCACAGGGTATGATAATACTTACAGACACCCCAGGAAATCTCTTGTATTTCAACTACATTCTCCCTTAACTCCATTGTGAAATAGCAGGCCAACTTCCACTCAGTAGTTAGGCTCAATCACTCGAACCAGCTCAGTAACTCCATTCATTATCTAGTGACTCAGAGACATAAGGAGTCCAAAGTGGCTGAACAGCAGTCTAAACTTCCAGGTCAATGCAATCATTGTTTTGTCTTCTAGCAGAAGCAGTCTCCTTTAGAACAAGACCTCTAAGCCAGCATAAGTTCATGGGAATAGGAAACAAAATTTTTGCTAACGTGTCATAGAGAACATAGGGAGTGGTTCCACCCTTATCTCCACTCCCCAACTCACAGATCCATGAATCTTAGCTATAGGAGAAAGAGCACCACATATTGAATGCTGATTTGGAGCATATGCAGCCTTCTGAAGAACCTTTCCTCTTCCTGGGAAGGTATTGCCATGTAGCTGGTGCTGTAACTCAGTCTTCAAAAGGCCATTCCACCATTCTATCAAGTCAGCTGCTTCAGAATGATGTAGAACGTAATAAGACTGGTGTCTTCCATAAGCATGATCCCATTGCTGCATTTTTTTGGCTGTGAAATGAGTTCACTGATCAGAAGCAATGCTGTGTGGAATTACGATTTTGGATAGGGCATTCCATAAGTCCATGGATGATAGTTTTGGCAAAAGCATTGCATGCATGGGAAGCAAATTCACATCCAGAGTACATATCTATTCCAATAAGAACAAAATGCTGCATATCCCATATAGGAGTGGTCAAATCTAATCAACCTGCTACTACGTAGCAGGCTTATCACCCCAGAAAGGACTCAATCTTCATCTCTACTATTGGTAGACTGGGCATCTAGAGTAGCAGTAGCCAGGTCAGCCTTGAGAGTGGAAGTCCATGTTGCTGAGCCCAGACATAATCTCCATCCTTGCCACCATGACCATTTCATTCATTGTAACCACCCAGTGGTTACCTTGCCTGCTGCCTAGACAGAGCCGATTTCTCAAGACAGGAGAATTGCAATAGAGAAAGAGTAATTCATGCAGAGCCGGCTGTGTGGGAGACTGGAATTTTATTATTACACAAATCAGTCTCCCCCAGCATACGGGGAGCAGAGTTTTTAAAGACAACTTGGTGGGTGGGGGATGCCAGTAGGCCAGGAGTGCTGATTGGTCAGGGATGAAATAATGAGTCAAATCTGTCTTCTTGTGCTGAGTCAGTTCCTGGGTGGGGGTCACAAGATTCAATGAGCCAGTTTTTCGATCTGGGTGGTGCCAGCTGACCCATCAAGTACAGGGTCTGCAAAATATCTCAAGCACTGGTCTTAGGAGCAGTTTAGGGAGGGTCAGAATCTTGTAGTCTCCAGCTGCATGACTCCTAAACCATAATTTCTAATCTTGTTGCTAATGTTAGTCCTACAAAAGCAATCTAGTCTCCAGGCAAGAAGGAGGTCTGCCTTAGGAATGGGCTATTATCTTCTTTGTTTTAAACTATAAACTATAATAGTTTCTTCCAAAGTTAGTTCATCCTATACCCAGGAATGAACAAGGACAGCTTGGAGGTTAGAAGCAAGATGGAGTCGGTTAAATTAGATCTCTTTCTCTGTCTCTGTCATAATTTTGCAAAGGCAGTTTCATCGTGAGCCCATTTGGGTGATGACAGAGGTGGCTGAGAAAAGAGGCTAACTGGTATTTAAAACTGGGCCATTCTATCCACTTGATTAATGAAATTCTGTTCTGTGGACGCCACCCTTTGTTACTTATTCACATGGAAAACAAATATCTTTGTTTTTTTACCCATTTAGATAAGCCTATCAATATACCTCTTCCCCAGACTTACTTGTCACCAATTATGTTTTCTCCAAGTCCTTGATCATCCAAAGAAACCATTGAACATGCCCATGAGTTGGTGTATAATCAAATATCTTCTCATTTCTCTTTCCATGCAAAATGGACAACTAAGTGTAGTGCTTGAAGTTCACTTAGTGCCCTGCCCACTGGAGGGGATTTTTCTTCATTACTATTCATCAGTGATAGCCCAGAAATAGGCTTTAGTGCTGCCCCTGTCCACTTTTAGATGGTGCCTGCATAGTGTTTGGAATCACCTATAAACCCAAGACTTCTATTCCTCTATAAACTGATTATTTATCATGATGAAACTCCTGTGAAATCATAGATGCAGGCTGGGAGAGAGAGCATAGTATAACAGGAGTGGGGGCCATTTCATGTAACTTACTTGGGTCCCTATTTCATGTAACTTACTTGTCCCTTCAGGGCCTGCTCAGACCTGTTCTTGTATATACCACTTTCATTTAATAATAAAGTGCTGCAGTGCATGCCAAATTTTATGATTTGCTGGGTGAGATGACATGCAGTTCATGACAGGCTCAGGCCTCATGGTAACTTGGTGGCCATGGTTAAGTTTTCAGTTCTACTTAATAACAGTCCAAGAGCTGTTTCTCAAAAGGGAAGTAGTTAACTTTAAAGGATGGCAAAGTGTTGCTCCAAAATCCTAAGGGCCTAGAGTTCAATTAACCTATAGAGGCTTGCTAAAGTCTCCAAACAGCATTCCTATCTACCACTGACAATCTACCATTGGATAGGCTGGATCATGTGGCCTAAGTGATAGAACCATTGGATAGGCTGGATCATATGGCCTAAGTGATAGAAGAGATTTCACAGCAGCTTGGATCTGTTATGGAGCCTTTTCTTGTTCCAGGTCTTACTCAAAATCAGCAGCTTTTCAAGTCATTCCATATATGGTTTGGAGTAACACACCCAAATAAGGCATGCATTGCCTCCCAAATCCAAAGAAGCCCACTAGGTGTTGTTCCTCTTTTTTTGGTTATGGGAGGTGGGGGCAGATGCAACAACTTATCCTTCACATTAGAAAGGTTATCACAACATGTCCCACACCATTAGACCCCCAGATATTTCACTGAGGTAGAAAGACTCTGAATATTTTTTTGATAAAAGTTGTCCTATCCTCTGACACACAAATATTTTACCAATAAATGTAGAGTAGTTGCTACTTCTCACTCACGAGGCCCAATTAGCATAATGTCATCAATGCATTGGACCACTGTGATACCTTGTGGAAGGGAAAGGTGATCAAGATCCCTGTAGAGACTAAATTATGTCATAGGGCTGGAGAGTTGTTATACAACTAGGATAGGACTGTGAAGGTGCATTGCTGGCCTTGCCAGCTGAAAGAAAACTGCTTCTGGAGGTACTTATTGACAGATGAGGGTGGGAGGTGGAGCATTAGCCAGATCAATCGCTGGATACCAAATAGTAGGGAATGCATTAATTTGCTCAAGCAATGAAACCACATTTATTACAGTAGCTGTAATTGAAGTTATGACTGGTAAGCTTATGATAATTCACTGTCATTCTCCAAGATCCATCTGTCTTCTGCACAGGCAAGATAGGAGTGTTGAATGGAGATGTAGTGGGAATCACCACTCTTGCATCTTTCAGATCCTTGAAGATGTCACTAGTCTCTGTAATCTCCCCAGGGATAGAGTTTTTCTTTTGATTTACTGTTTTCCTCGATAGAAGCAGCTCTAGTAGCTTCCATTGGGCCTTTTCTACCATAATAACCCTCAATTCATAGATTATAGAACCAATGTGAGGATTCTGTCAGTTACTAAGTGTGTTTATTTCAGTTAAGAACTCTGGAATTAAGGAAATAACCATAAGATGCGTTCAGGGATGCACTGGCCCCACTATGAAACAGACCTGAGCTAAACACTCTATTGATCACCTGATCCCCATAATTCCTTACTGTAACTGGAGGGCCACAACTCCCTGCAGTCTCTGAAACATGTGATTATTTCCTTTTCCCCAGTGTACAGTTAGTAACCCTAATAAAAGGCCATGGGTCCCTTTGGGGAAGGCTGAAAGAAACATTTAACAGTATAAATTTTACTTAGTATACTTCGGTTTTTCATTGAGGAGATCTAGCCTCTCCATTCAAGGAGTTCTCAGTCTACAAAGGCTTAATTATGCAAATTGCTTGAGGGAACATGACTCTCTGTTTTTATAATTTGGGTTGAACTTTTTTTTTCTTTTTCTTTTCCTTTTTTTTTTTTTTTTTTTTTTTTTTTTGAGACAGAGTCTGACTCTCTGTCGCCCAGGCTGGAGTACAGTTGCATGATCTCAGCTCACTGCAACCTCTGTCTTTCAGGTTCATGTGATTCTCATGTCTCAGCCTCCTGACTAGCTGGAATTACAGGCATGTGCCACCATGCCCAGCTAATTTTTTTTTATTTCTACTACAGATAGGGTTTCCCCATGTTAGCCAGGCTGATCTCGAACTCCTGGCCTCAAGTGATCCACCTGCCTCCACCTCCCAAAGTGCTGGATTATAGGCATGAGCCCCTGCACCTGGCCTTGGGTTGAACTTTTATTCATTGACCTAGAACTTTTCTGCTTATATAGGTCAAGTAAGATTTTAGTCAGCTTCCTGTCTTTCACTTCTAGAAACACCCTATGATCAACTAGCAAACACCATAGTTCTAAAAACTCAAATTATTCTTACTGTTGTCTTGACTTTCTGTCCATTACGGTAACCACAGCCACCTTGCCTTTGATGGTTGAGTGTTATTACTCAGCCCTGCCATCCCAGGATCCAATTATTCCATTGCTATTAGGTTTCCCAGTTTAGTGACTGCAGTTCCCACTGTAAGATGTGGCCTGCAGAGAAGATCACAGAGCTTTCTAGGATGCCAAGCCTCCACTCACGAGTTTATTTCTCACAGTGGTGGTAATAGGTATGTCTTCTGGACCCTCCCAGCACAGGTGAGTAGGTCTTAAATGACAAATCCATGCTAACATCCCAATCTCTCTAATCCTCTAAATCCTTTCCTCTATGATAAATCAAGCCAGGTTCAGCATTTTAACATATTTATTGTGGGCCACCTGTTGGTCCATGTTTCAGTAAAGCAATCAAACTGTCTAAGCCTTTTCTAACTCCTCCAACTGTAATATTAAATGCAGAATCTCTGCTTAGTGAATCCATATCAATGAATTCAGCCTGATCCAATTTTGATGTCTCTAACACCATTATTGCATACTCTTAGTATCCAGTCCCACATATGTTCCCTGAATTTGTCTGTATATATTAGGTAAGTAGATAGATTAGATGGATAGATACATGCATGCATACATACATACATACATACATACATACATACATACATACATAGATTTACTATAAGGAATTGAGCCACTGATTATGAAGGCTGAGAAGTCCTAAGATCTGCACTTAGCAAGCTAGAAACCTAGGAGAGCTGATGGTGTAAATTCTGGTCTGATGGATACTTAGCTCTAGAAGTCATACGTGTGTAGTTCCGTCTTACTCTGCCTTTTTGTTCTACACAGGTCTTCAAGTAATTGGATGAGGTCCATCCACATTAGGAAGGGAAATCCACTTTACTCAGTCTGCTGACTCAAATACATCCAGAATCACCCTTACAGACATGCAGAAGAAATTGTTTGATTAAATGTGCAGGCACTCCATGGCCCGGTCACATTGACAACTAAAATTAACCATCACAGGAGTCACGGAGTTTACACCAGGTTGTGAATTCATTACTGAAAAGGGAATGTATTGAACATCAATTCAACAAAAAATATTGGGGATCTGCAATGTGCATATTGCCAGATGCTTAGGGTAATCCACAAATGTAGAGAAAATACTTGCTAATCAAATATCGGATGAGACTTGTATCCAGAATAAAGAACTTCTACAACTGAACATTAAAAGACAAATAGCCCAATTTAAAAATGGACAAAGGATCTTGAATAGTCATTTCTCCAAAGAGGATATATAAATGGTCAATAAGCACATGAAAAGTTGCTCACCAGTATTAGCTATAAAGGAAATGGAAATCAAAACCAAAACAAGGTCCCACTTCGCAAAAACTAAGATGGCTACAATAAAAAAGATAGACAATAATTAGTGTTGGTGAAGATGTAGAGAAATTGGAATTCTCATATATTGATTGATTGTGGAACTCTCCTAAGTTGATGCAGCTTCTTTGAAAACAAGTCTGGCAGTTCCTCAAAATGGTAGACATAGAATACTATATGATACAACAATTCCAATCCTAGGTATATACCCACAAGAAATGAAAACTTAGGTTAACACAAAAACTTACATATGAATGTTTATATAAGCATTATTTATAATTGATAAAAAGTAGAAACAACCCAAATGTCCATCCACTGATGAATGGATAAATCAAATATGGTATATCCATACAATGCAACATTATTTGGCCATAAAAAGAAATGAGGTATTAATATATGCTACAACATGCATGAACCCTGAAAACATGCTAAGTTAAAGAAGTCATAAAAAACACACATTGTATTATTCCAATTATATGATGTAAGCAGTATAGGCAAATCTATAGATACAGAAAGTAGATTAGTAGTTGCCAGGAGCTGTGGGGAGAAAGGTGTAAAAAGTGACTGCTAAAGAACATGGGGTTTCTTTTGGGGATGATGAAAATATTCCACAATTAGATAGTAGGATTAGTTACATAACATTGTGAATTGTCAGTAAAACGACACCAATAAAATAACTCTCCAGAGAAGAAATCTTACTGCATGGGGGATAGCAAAGATCATAACAATGCCAGCCGACAGGAGCGGCAGTCCCAGGATGTCAACCCATTGCGTAGTTTGCAGGTAGGTGTTGAGGCTGCCAAAAAAGACATGGCTCACAGAGGCACTGGAAGGAATAGCACTTTACCCACATAAAGATGAGACAGAGAAAAATCAGCTTCAACAGTGAGCATTGGTCTCCAGTGGCCACTGGGTGTCACCTGATGGCCATCATGGAAAATTGTTTGCACATAATCCTTCTTATACGTCAGGTGAAGGACCCCATTTTCTGCCTATTAGTAACAGATATAGCAGTGGGGTTGGTCAGGTGTCATATGACACACACACTTGAGTAGAACAAAGAAGTACACATCAAACCTGGAAGAGGAAATGATATTGCTAAACAAGGTAATATACCCACTTGTTGGGTATATTTCAGCTTCTTATCTCCACTAAAGAAATATTCCAGGTGTGATGCATGTTCCCGTGCAAGTATGCAAGTGTCTTTAGGCCACATGATCACCTTTCCCAGAATGAATATACAGTACTAAAAAGCACTCAATTGCGCAGTTAGATATCATGCCATGTAAATTATATCTCCCTAAAACTGGTATGACAAATCATGAAAGTGTTTATGAAAAACAAAGGTGGTAAGATATAGTATTGTTCCCTCTCTTCAAAGATATTGCAATGCAATGATCATTAGGTAGGCAAGTAATAGCTATATGTTTCATGTTCTAAAACTATCATGTGCAAGAAGGTGACAATAATAACACATGCAAATATTTTGTAGAAAAATATGAAAACAATGTCAGTCACACATTCAATTGTTAATAGCTCATATGAATTAGAGCATACTAAGAGGAAAATCTTCCAGTAAGTATACAGTTAAATACAATGCATGAGTTTAGGTCGTTTTTTGTCACCCTAACCTCAAATAGAGTACTGCAGGGTTCATTTTAATACATAGCATAGCATTTTGATACATAGCATATCGAGCATTTCCTTTCACTCCCCAATAAATTGTTCACCTAGTGCTTTAATAGAATTAGTATCAATAATATAATATAATAATATCAATATTTGTAATGCATTCTGAGATTATGGAGAGTATTTCTTCAGTACAAAAAACTGTATATGTGAAGAAACGATAATATAGTCTACATTATATTTCTATTTTTATATAGAAAGTAGACCTTTCTTTGGTTCCTAGATTAGACCCAAGGAAATGAAAAGAGGTTAAAAAAAAGATTGAAGATTTTATATCTTATGTTAAAAAGATAATTAAATTTTATAAGTTAAAAAAAAACCTTAAGAAGTGTGAGGTACAAAGTCAATGTCTGTCAAAACATTTACATTCATTAAAACAAAAGAGCCTAAAATATATTATTGTTAATTTAATTATTATTGATGCTTACTAAGACCAAACGCTTTGCTAAATTCTTTGGGCGAATAATGTCATTGTACTACGTAAATACTAATATCAATTTTCCCATTTTAAGTTGAGGGATATAAGACTAAAAAACATCTGTTAACTTATCCAAAGTTACAGCCAGAATTCAGGTACAAGTGAGTCAGGACCCCAGTCTCATATTCAATTTTTACTAAATCATATATATTATATCTTACTTTACTATACTATTCAAAAAAGACCAAAAGAGTAAGAAAAATAGCAATAATAATTACAGCTAATATTTATTTTAAATATACATAGTACTAAACACAATGCTGAGTCTATGGTATCATCTAATTAAATTGAATATGGAGGATATCATATTGAATAGGACATATTAATATTAATGAGTATTATAAAATTAAATTCTATCACTAATGATGTTATGATGATGGTGATAACAAAGTTGAAAGAAAAGATATGTGGAGCATTACAAGAGGAGAATTTCAGGTCTGATTCTTAAACAGTTCAATTGTTAAGGATTTAGCAGGAAGCTTACGGTCTATCAAGTATGTTTTAATGGATATAGAGCATGAGTTTTTTTCTCTAACTGAAAAAGATGAAGTACAGGCTGAGTAGTCTTTTTTACAAGGTTTCTTTTTGCCATTTTATTTCTTGTAGAAAAATCAAGCTTTGTCTGAAGACCAAGTTTATTCCAAGGAGGGATCAATTTCCATCTTTTTAAGGGTATGAAAGGGGTTTAAAATTACATTAAATATTGCTCAAGTAGTTGAAAGTCAGTTTCATTGTGGACCCTATATTTTTCTGTTTCTCCTTGTCATTACTCAAAGCAATGAGCTAATATTTAAGATCCAATTTAGACATCTCATTAGGGTGAAATTAATTACTTTATGTCAATTATATTGAACTCTACCCTCAAATATTTTACAAATATTACAGCTTTGTTTGTTTATTCCTTTGTTTAATTTATTTGCCTGTAGTAAGAACATTACCTGTGATTTGATTCTGTAAGTTAGTTCCATATTGTATATCATGTATTGACTATTTCTTTTTTCAGTTCAATCATGAGCAAAGGTAAGATTTTCTATTATTTATTTAATGTAACCTTAGGAATGACTTGATAAATTTTATAGTATAATTTGACACACATCTGTTGTAATTGTTTTTGAAAGCTTTGATTGTATTTTGATCCATGTTGGTAAGTAAACAAAGTAAATAGACTTGGTGTGGGAGGAGGAGGTACAAACAGACATTAGAATAAGCACAGATTAATTGCACCGAGTGATTAGTTTTAGAATCAGTAACATTTGGTTGAGATATTATCCTTTTACTTGTAAATTTCATTCAATTTCATAAAGGAAAATTATAAAAAGCAAGTGACCATTATCTCTTTTATATGATCAGAACAGAAAAGAGTGTTATGAGGGAAAGAGGTGAGTGGGGATGGGCCCGTGCCACTTTAAGAGTATAAGGATTTAAAACATCATAGTAATTTAGGGATTTCTCCAAGAAGCCATTTGTTTCAGTTCAGTCACTTCCTTTTATAAAAGACAGCAACTCAGCTCAAAACGGCTCAATCAAAGTAGTATTTGGCTTACATTTTCTTACTTCAGGCATGAATGGATCTTGCTGTTCATACCATGTCAGTCCATAAACGGAATGTTATTGGTTCTGAATCACATAACATTATCTTCTATCCATCTTTGATCCAATCACTATGGCTGAAAGAATGATTTGTTCTAATAAACCATCCCTAGACTCTGTGATCATCCCTGGAATCAATGCCATCTGGACCTCATAGGCTAATAGTTGATGAGGTCTGGTTTCTCAAGGAAAATTGGGGTACACCTACCATGAGGAAGATGAATGAATGCCAGGCAGACAAATTAACAGGTGTCTACTAAACCATCTGACAAATAAAAACACTAGACATTAGATATTTATTATCATTGCTAGAGGCCAGGCACAGTTGCTCACACCTGTAATCCCAGCACTTTGGGAGGCCGAGGTGGGCAGATCACTTCAGGTCAGGAGTTTGAGACCAGCCTGGCCAATATGGTGAAACCCCATCTCTACTAAAAATACAAAAGTTAGCCAGGTGTGGTAGCGCATGCCTGTAGTCCCAGCTACTTGGGAGGCTGAGGCAGGAAAATTGCTTGAGCCTGGGAAGCAGAGGTTGCAGTGAGCTGAGACGTGCCATTGCACTCCAGCCTGGGCATCACAGCGAGGCTCCATCTCAAACAAAACAAAACAAAACAAAACAAAACAAAACAAAACAAAACAAAAAAACAATCATTACTAGAGAATGTAAGACAAGACATCCTATTGCAAATCTGGCTAGTGTCATTTTAGCTAAAAATGTATTCTGTTAAATAAACCTCTCTTTATCAGCTTCTAAGATACTGTATAACAGCAACATGGCTTAATTACTCTTCTTTCTTATCACATATCATATTGCACAGCATTCTGTACTTCCTTACTGGATTAAACTATTTTTGGATTGCACTGTTGCAAATTAATTTTGTTAGCTATTGTATATTAAATAACCTGGTTAATTTATTGCTTTTCTGTTAGTTTTATTTCTTAACAGGAAGAATATACTTTGAAAGCAAAAAAGGAACAAAACAGTTGTACTTAAACATGTGGTTTTAATACAGTGGTTTCTAATTCTTTTATGTAGTCAATTATTTTCATTTCAAATGGAATATAACTTAAAAGCAGCTTTGAGAAGCCTAATTAAAAGGAATTACTAAATAATAGTGCAGGCCTTGCTAACAGAGCACTAACAAAAGGAGAAATCATTAATAATTTAAAAAGCTATTCATGATGCTTTGTTCCAAACCACACAACCTTATATGTTTACCTGCTCTGATACCATTTAACAGTTGAAAAATCACTTCCTAATCCCATTCTATTCAAAGGCTCATCAGTGCCCTGCTGGCAGGAACACCGTGCTAACATTCAGTGTGTAATCATCTCTCAGCCTATCATTTTCTTAATTTGTTCCATTTGCAAAGCAAATCTACAAACTGACCTTTTGAATGAATAACTACTCTGAAATGGCCTCAAATAATATAACTGATGAATTACCTCCTTTTCTTCTGTCTCTTTAAACTGATCATTTTTGTTCTGACATCTCCCAATGTTTCCTGCTACTAAAATGTTCATGCTATTCATCCAGTCTTCTGTGGATTTGTATAAATTTACTCCTATGGGTAGCTGGAAGTTCAAAAGGATAATATTTATCTTTGTGAAAGACATGTATGGTGAAAACATCAAGTTAAAATTTGCTCTGTTTGCTTCCAACCTATCCTTCCACCCACATCTCCTGTCGGATTTGAATTATATTCAAGTCATGTTTAACCATCTACCACATTCTTCCAAAGCATTCTGCATAATCCAGCATTTCCTCAGGTAAGTGTTCCTTGATTTCTGGTGGGACTCCATTTCTATGGTTTCTAGCTTTAGAAAATTGCACACTTTTTACTCCTAAAGATATCAATATTTTCCATAATGTATGCCAGGCCATGTTAAGAGACAGAATTAAGCAGATGAATAAAGAGACTTAGGAGTTGAAAGGTTTGGGATAAGTATTTTGGAAAGAAAAAGCTGGCTAAGATCTCAGAAAATGTTTGATTGCCTTGGGGGTACTGATGGATAAGGTAGCTTAGAGACCATGATTTGAGCTGTCACTAGTTTATAAGCCATTATTATTTCCTGGAGCAGTATTCAGCTGCAATATGATGTGAAAAGTCAGCTGGAAAAAATACATCTATTTTCAACTTTAGAGATTATGAGAGAAAAAAATGGAAGAGTCATAGCACATCTAAGTTCCAGAATATGTCCATGTAGTAAGCTGTGGATTGGAGTCTTCAGGCTAGTGCTGAAATTGGATAGCTCTTTAGAACTATATTGTTGGGCATGTTTACCACATGAATGTTAGACTATTTCCCTGATGACAGTTAGAACTAACATCATAAAGATTATAAGCTGGGACTCATTTCTCTCTCTAATACTTGGGGAAAATATAATAATTGGGAGATTAAATATTAGGAGCAGCAGGAGGCAGGCAAATGCCTAGACAGATAGGGGTTGGTCCCCAGTGAAACCCCACCTCCAAGCCAAAGACAGTTTAAAACCTGAAAGCCAACCTACAAGTTAAATCCATAGAACAGATGAAGAACTTTTATTCCTGTTTGGTGTACTTTCCTCTGATTGATCCCCACCCTTTCCTAATTGCTTTTCTACGCTGTTGTGCTCACCTTTGAGTGGTTTGTTAACTTTAACCTTTTTGCATACTCACAAACCAATCAGCACATACTTCCCATTCTGAGTCCATAAAAGGGCTCGGACCCAGCCACATGGGGGACATTCCCACCCTCAGGTAGGGAAAACAGCCTCTGTGTCACCTCTTTGCTGAGAGCTTGCCTTTCACTTAATAAATTCTACTCCACTCACTCTCCCATGTCCACTCACCTAATTCTTCCTGGTTGTGAGACAAGAACTCAGACATAGCTAAGCTAAGGAGCAGAAAGACCTAATAATATGATAGTAAAGGAAGTTTTCAAATTGATTAGTGCTAAATTTCATGAATCTGAATAAATGGGTTCTCTTTCAATTAAAAAAACAATGGTGTTGATTTAATGCCATTGGTACCGGTATTTCTCCCTGGCCTGTAATACATTAGAGTGGGAGGCTGAGCCATTTCCACTCCAGAAGGTAACAGGCTGATTGCGCTCTGAGGGAAAACTGAGTCTTAGTGAAGGCAAAGGAAGAAGGAAATAGTTAATTTAGATCATGAAGCTATATACAAGTTTTAGAGCAGAGTGGTGGGGAAATAAAATCAGACAGAAGAAGTACTGGGCACCAAATGATGAGTGTGCACAAGAGGGTCATTTAAAGCTTGCATTTTCACCACAGTAGAAGACAGAAGTGAAAAATATTGACCGCTTGATAAAAATAGTGATTTTTGCTAAGAATTTTTCTTGTATCTCTTAAGACATCTCTTCCAAAAAGCTAGTTGGGAAGATTACTTAGATTACAATATATCCACCTTCTATTGGAAAAAGTTAGTTAAAATTCGTAGGAGAACCCAGGCTTTAGAAAGTGACAAAAGTGAAGATGGCTGTAGTGAATTTAAAGAAAAATCCTTCGCTCAAAGATTCCCAGGTGATTTATATTCTCATACACTCACTTCCCAATGGAAATGCATTATCTCTCTGTGGCTATAAAGAAAAAGCTTTATTGGAAAAGCTGTATAGCCACTGGGGAAATGGCCCTTGGTTAGAATTTCTTTTACACCACATGGAAGAGATCAATGACTATCCAATGGGTCTTCTGCCAAGAGAATCACAGCAGGTGGCATTTGATCTTTGAGGATATTTATTGTGTTTTCTCACCATGTTATATATCACTAATTCAATAAGCTCATATTATTTAATTTGTTCTTTTTGGATTTTATTTTTCAAAGTTTCTTATAGAACATCATCTTAAATAAACATTGTCCACATTCAAGACTTTGCATTTATCTATCTTGCTAGAAATAAAATGACTAAGAATATAAATTCAAGTAAGAATATGATGGTTTAAAGAACACCTAACATTTCCGCAGTACTAACTAGGTGTGAAAAACTAAAATTTTTTAAGTGCATAATATCATAACAGTCTTTTTATTGTCATGATTGTGTGTGTCCTGTCTTCTATTTAAAGTAAATTCAATTAGTTTACTAGGAACAGTATGTGATGTTTTCCATTTGAGATAGCAATGAGTTTACTGTCCTCCAGACAAAGTATTTGATCTTATGAATGCAGATAAATAAAAATAATTGCTACAGGAAAAGAGATGGGATGATGAGACAACACATGTTATAGTCTCACTGGGCTGCTGACTACAATACTGGTCAACATTAGGCTAGTATGAGACTCCTGTGAATTATAAACTGAAAGATTAGACTGGTGGAGGGCCCGTAAGAGGTCATCCATAAATCAATGAAGGAGTGCTTTCTACAATATTCCTGCCAAATAACCATCTGTTTAAACATTCTAGTGATGAGATAACTATACTTTTTGATTTTTTCTTTATAAATTACTTAAGCCATAGATTTATCTCAAGAAAGCTTTAGTCATCCCCATCATGACAATCTATTAGGATTATTCTTCAATATAATGTAATTATTGAAAATAACTACTATATCTTCTAACTTTGGATTAGGCACACCTTTGATAAGCATATCTTCTATGCTCCCAGGTGGTCTTGAAACTTCCTCCCATTTATTTATGCAACAATATACTTCTGATGTGGTCACAGAATCAGCTCTCAACTTTATTTTTGTTAGGTTTAAATTTGCCCAGAAAATGTAGCTTTTACAATTTGGCAATTAAAGTATACAAAAAGAGTATACAACAGAATTTTAAAATATTGTGTAGTATCAGATAACTATGATAGAAAATAATCTAATAGTTCCAGTAGACAGACCACTAAAATCAAAGAAGTTCAATAGTCAATAACAGAATTAACATGCTAGCAGATTAGTAGATTAAAATAGCAATGGAATAACATTTAGCAATCTTACTAAAATTTATATCTAAATTATAGAAGAAAGTTTTGGTAACCAGATCTCAGGGGAAGGACTCATAGAATTCTAAGAGGAAAGTCTTGGAATTTAGGAATGAGTATTAGAACACAACAGAAAATTTGTCATTTCCTTTAATGATTTAATTGAAATGAGCTGTTAGTAAACATCAGAACATAGTAATTTAAGTGCAGTATAAGTTCAGAGCCACATAGGAAAAAAAATAATTCAGCTAAATCATTGCATTATTGAATCTGCTGTTTTGTTTTGTTTTTTATTCCCTTGATTAGGAAATCAGATTGAATCCCAAGCCTGGGCCAGAACTGTCTGGACCTGCAGGTGGAGCTTCATTTGATGGATTTAGGAACAAGGAACCAGACAGGTCATTACATCAGAATTTAATTTACTGAATTTGGAGCACTAGTACATAAAATGCTTTCCTGAATTACTGAAGAGTTTATTTACAGTAAAATTTTACTTTAGATTACTTCCCTATATCATCTAGTCCACAAAATGGCAGGTCAGAATAGGCCTATTATGTAATACTGAATGGCATTGTAATTCTGGTTCTCTAACACCAACATTTTAATGAAATGCTACCTTTTTTTCTCAGTCTAGAACAGCAACCGCTCAATAATTCCAAAGATGCTAATTATATTATATATTTACATGTAATATATTCATCCGTTTGAGTCTTGTGATGAAGCGTAGTATACTTTGAGCTCTAAACAGTGGTTTTGAAAGAGGAGTTTGCCAAAAGGTAACTGTAAATATTATTCAAGTCACAGTTTCTTTGAGTCTCAGTTCTCTATTAAAAGGAAGTAAAAATAACTGGTCTACCCTCTTCACATAACCTTGTAACAATCACAATAATTGATGAATGTGAAAAGAAACTCTGGAAGGCATGAAGAAACTTTGTTCACTTTCTAGTCTCTAGTCTATGTCAAATGTTAGTAATTGATCAACCCATACCAGGCGCACAAGGATTGTGACTTTATTGTTGCTGGGGTCCACCCAGTTCAGAAATTAATCCTTAACAATACCCAGTAACTTAGTTTTCATATCCCTTCATTTCACAAGAACAGTATAAGCTATTAGTTGAGAAAAATATAACTTCTACTAGGAATTAACTGTACACAGATTACTAAATATTTAACAAGTATATAAGTAGTTATAAAAATAAGGATGATAATGATATTAAGTAACATCAAGTAATAATATCTATCATTCGTTAGGCACCATGATAGAACATTACTATGGATTATTAATTTATTCTCTACAACCTATGCTTGCCATATTCTTATCACCATTTTGCTGATTAAAATGAAACAAAACAAAAGAAAAGTACCATATTTCAGGATGCTAAGTAGTACACTCAAAATGAAAGAATCCCAAATTGGATTCAGGTTGACCTGTCTTTAAACCACTAATAGCCACTATGATTTAGACTGAGTATATAGCAGCAGGTATATTTCTCTGTAAACTATCACGTATCCCTTAGTGCTTTAAAAATAATGATAAGGAATATGAGTTCCTCATACTTGGTGCGGTGCTTGCTATATTGTTGAATCTTGTTTTAATATCAAAAATTATTCTCTTTTCAATGAGATATTTAGGTAAACCCAGACAGGAATGGTTAAGGGAATGCCTTTGTGCTAACATTATATGTAACTTATAATTTCATAATACAGATTCAATGCTTATCTTTTTCCTAGATACTGTCCAATAAAAGGAAGGTATAACTAAAAATAATACATTTTATACTTCAGACAAACCAAACTTTTAGTGTAATATTCTTATAGGTCTGTCTTTCATTATGCTTTTTCCTTTACCTGTATTTATTCCAAAACTTCCATCTCTATGGTGTGAGTCTAAGTTTTCTGCTGATCATATTTATTCAAGTAAAACTCTTCACTATTACAACTCAAAGTTTCTAAAAAATTATACTTGCATTGGATGTAGGTCTCATACACCTTTCCAAACTCCCTCAACTGCCTTCACCTTAATTCTTCCTGGTTGAAGCTCCACTTCTTCTGGATGACCTCTTCATTTCTAGACTTGGAAGAAAGTCAGATGCAGCTTGAAGCTGCAGTGACTAAACTCCCTGTGGGATGAAACTTAATCTGTAAAATATGTGTAGGGAGAGAGGCGGTCAGTAAATTCTCCTGCCATTTGCTCTTCCAGAAATCTGGAGTTCCACTAAACAAGTGATCACCCTGCTGAGTGACCTGCTTTGCCTTTTTGTAGCTCCTTGTGAAGTTAGGAGTCATGCTTCTCATTGTTTTGCATCTTTCTTAGCATCTCTAGTCTTTTGATTTTTTTTTTCCCTAAACATTCTCGCAAGAAAATCTTTAGTATCTTATTCTTGGCTTTCCAGAAAGCTGTAATAACACTTAAAATTCCTTAAGAATTTGTTAATTTTATTTTTAGTGTCCTTAGGTCAGTGATTTTCAAAATTGTATTTTTTTGGTGAAGGAACCATTTCTTCAAATACATTCTAAGAAGGAAAGCAACGTGCTTAAGTATAGGAAGAGCTGCTAAATTGAAGTAACAATGTGTGTGTGTGTGTGTGTGTGTGTGTGTGTGTGTGTGTCTCATCTGGAATCCTACCTTTTCATCTTGTTTTCCCTTGGGGAAATGCTGAAGTACATCTTAGGAAACCATAGAGCTTACTGCTCAGAAGATGATTTGGAAATAAGGGCTCTATTTCTGATGCTCCTTGTTACTTCACATCCTTGTAAACATGCAGGACCTTCTGAGATGTGAGCCTCCTCTAATATAAACTCAGCAGAAAGGCTTGCTAAGGTTTGTGGGAATGAGAATACTGTCTCCTCTTTGTTATTGTAAAGTGAATTATCTTTCTCTCTCTCTCTCTCTCACCCTCTCTCTCTCTCTGTCAGGAAGAGAACAACTTATATTCCAAGTACTCCATAAAAAATAATGTTTTCCCATTTCTTAGAAGATTTTTACTTTTGTTTTTTTTTTCCAAGTTACATTGCACCACCCACTTTTCACCCACTCTAGCTGTAGCAGCTTGAATTTTTTTACTGGACTCTTACATGTGCACATACATATTTATTATATAAGTATTTTCAAACCATAAAGGGATAAGGAAATATAAAGTATTATAAGAATTATAAGAGCTCTACTAGTTTTTAAAATCAAACTATCTGGGTATAATTATACAAAGGCTCTACTGGAATTTGCATTTTATTAATACCCAAAATTCAACTGAATAAGCATTTATTGAGAGCATACTTTCTTTAAGATCCTTTACTAAGAAACAGAGTCACCCAAATATAAATGTCACAATCCGCTAGAAAATATAAACAAGTACACAACAATGACTCAATTCAGATTGTGCTGCCTAATATCAACAGATGGAAACAAAGGCATTTGTTATGGGAATACAAAGGCATTAAGTAATCAGTATTGAATGAGAGGATCAAGGAGGGCTTCATGGAGTAGACGACGGTTGAGCTGAAACCTGAACTATTTCAATAGCCTAAGAAGATAAAAGGTACAGAGAGAGCATCACAAGCAAAATGTGGAGGTGTGATATGCTCAGATTACAAGTATTCTGAGAACGGAGGAGGCTAATTTTCACTTGTAAAGCAATTACCACCAGTAGTCAAAACATTTTGGAAGGCAGAATGCACTATTACAAATCATGCTGGAGCACTGCTCCACAATGGCAAATTTTAAAAATGCTTGACACATGTTCCGTACATTTTGCACTTGTAAACGTTGTGCAATGTCCAATATAGCTTGTAGGGTGTCTTGATTAAGATCTAGAGGAGAAGTGTGAATGAAGTCCCATGTCTAATTTGTGCCTTAGACATTTAAAATTTCCAACCAAAAGCTATCATTCCATTTGTGTAAATAAGTCAGGGGTCCAAAAATATCATAGAAAAGCAGCTAGGATAACACAGAAATTTTAGAAGAGTGTCTATGATAGTTTATGGAAACAAAGGAGGCCCTAATTACTTTGTACCATTTAGAGTCCACGTTAAACCAAGACTCTTCCCAAGGTTTTCACCTCCCATCAATGCTGCCCAGAGAACTTACAAAGGACGTCAGCTGCTCACCCTTTCCAGAGACATCCCTGCTTCTTGACAGCCCTTGTCTCCTTAACATACCTCCAGCCTTCTTCAAGCAGCATCGGGTCGGCTCTGAATCTAGGTCTGTTTAGACTTAAAGTCTCTGCTTCTGTGCTATCCTGAAAGTCAAAGGAGAGATTTCCCAATTAAACCAGAACATGTGCAGCTATGCTTGCAAATGTGTCACATTAGCTTGGATTCAAGTATAAGTCAAAAAACCTGTAGTCAACCTCCTACTTACATCTGTGAATAAGCACATAAGCAACTGCAGGGTTGTTCAGGCTAAACAGATGGAGGGTCCTGTCAGGAACAGATTGTGGTAGAGCTAGGATGTAGGATGAAATGCCACCCCCTCTGAACTGAGAAACATATTCAGCAGCAGGAAAGACGTCCTTTTTCATGTAGACATTCTTTTTTAATTCTTCACATTTAACTGATTCTAAGGAAAGGTTAAATCCTTTTGTCCTCCATACATTTTTTTTCTTTGTTAGTTTCATTTTATTTCATTTCATTCTACTGGATTCAGATTATATTACATCCACTTTAATAACCACCACCATATATATTTTAATGCTGCTGTGTGTATAATCATCAAACATCATTAACTAAGTTTATTAATGTAAATATCATAATATATAAGTAACATATAATACATTTAACATTGAACAAACTAAACATGTGAAGCTATTTTCAGATACATTCGTTAAAAAATCGAAAATTATTTTTATTAAAAATTACTTGAATTTTATATATCTGAGCAATCCTTAAAATGATCATGTACATAATCATGGAATGTACATGAAATTAATGTTAATGTGCTTGAAAATATTGTCTTATTAAATTTAGAGCCTCTATGATAGTTCATTTTAACAATTTTCTCAAGTTACAATTCTATTTTAAGGTAAAGAAAAAGTTTATTTTAAATTAGGTCCATATTCTGTAACTCAATCACTAACAGTTTTATTTACCACATAAGTTCGAATGAAGGGAAAATTTTAAATATGAACAAAATGTGATGGCATCATATGCTCTTGGTTAGGTATGTGTTAAACTATCTTATGCATCACACAAGCTATCCATTTTCTTGAGTAACATGGCTCAACTGTCCAGATATTCAGCATTTCAGTAGCATAAAGAACTTTGGAAGAGTTTCATGTTTATATGATTTTGTTCCTTGGTACTCAAGTAAACAAATATCAATGTTGGTCTGTTTTTGAATGATTATGTTTTACATATAACAGTCCCATATATATTAGTAAATATATTTAGTACCAGCTTTTGAGAGGTTATATTATCGGAAATGGCTCAATTGCCCTTAAGAAGATGACCTCATTCTATATTTAATATAAAATTCATCATTTAAAGAAAGAGAGGGTCTCAGGGAATTATTATAAAGTTTTATTTCACAGTGAATAAAAATAATTCTACTGAGAAAGGGCACTCATTTGCATACTTTTCTTATTCTTTTCTAAATATTAAAAGCCTTTTGGAAATGATGTTAAGAGAAAAGAGAAGAATTCTACTTGGGAATTCATGACTTACTGTAACGGAGACCACTAATATGATTATATTGATCTGAAAGGGTTTTTTTATGAGTATGTAGCATTTTGAAGGAAAACAACTTCAATTTTCATACACTTTTCCATTAACTGAGTAAAGCAATTATAGACTGGACTGTAACTTCAAATTTGAGACATTCATAATTACCTCTCAAATTAGATCATCTTGAAATAGTTTTGTAATATTATAGCCAAGAAGGGAATAGAAGTGGAGAAGAGGTTATTGGATAAATTACTTGTATTTGTTCAATTAACAGGTGTTTATTAAGCAATCATAAGCAGTGATATGTGCTTGGGATGCAAAGATTTCTAGGAGCATTAACTGCTCACAGAGAGATCATTCTTCAGTGGGAGAGGTAAATGTGCAAATAAAAATATGAATGAAATATAACAAGTGCAAAAGTTAAGGAAAATGCCAAGCACAATATTAAAGACGTGAGCTGGTTTCTTCCCACTGCTTAAAATAAATATGATACAAGAAAGATAAATTGAGGGAATAACTTTTAAATATAAACTTTTATCACCCTATTGGCTGTAATATTAGGCAAATATTTCAACTGAAGATAGTTTTAAGATAATCTAAATTTGAGAAGTAATTGTAAATATCCCAAATTTGAAGTCATAGTCCAGAATATGATTGTTTAACTCAACTAATGTAAAGATGAGCTTAATGATTTAGGAAATTTTCTATCCAGAAGGAAAAAAATTCAGTTTAAGAGGTTTGATATCCAGAAAGTATGCCTTAGAGAAATGATTGAGAGTATGGCTATATAATCTTGTGCTGGTTCCCCATAAAGATTAGAAGCTCATAGTATTCAGGAACACAAACCATTTTTTAGCAGATTGAGGGCATGATTCATAGATCTCTTCAATCAAATAACAGGATATCTAGGAAGATTAAGGACATCATCTGAATAATCTCAGCAAAAGCCAAAAATAAAGAGGGGATTATCTAGGGAAAATCTGTGAAATAGCGTCTTGACCATTTGACATAATACATGTGATATACAGAGGAAACTCATGAAGTTCTTGAAAATGTTACATGAGCAGAAAGAGACAGAGAGAGAGAATTTGAAACGAATAGCTATTCAAGACCCCAAAAATTCTACAAGCAGGAAATAGAAAGATAAATATTTAGCTGAAAACACATACTATGTTTTATAATAATAAAAAAAAAAAGAATGGCTCAGAGGATGGAGTTGCCCCAGAAGGCAGAGTCACAAGCCATAGTAAATTATTTTCTGGCCTTGAAACCCAATGGAGTTTATACAACTGGTTTTTGGAATTGGTTGGGACTGTAGCCCTTTTTTATCTTCCATTTTCTTTAATTTAGAACTGAGATGTCTATACATATTATCCTGTGCTTGTCCCATCATTTGGGAACAGACAGTTTGTTTCCTTAGTTTCACAGATCCACAGATAGAGAATTGTGCCCAGAGTGGATATACCCAGAGCCTCACCCATACCTAATTTACATGACATGCATAATAAAGTCTGGGACTTCTGGGCTGATGAAATTTAGACGGGATTTTGAATTTTTGGTTGATAATATAATAGGTTGAGACTTTGAGTGACTTTGAGATGAGGAAAATCTATTTGGGATGGATGCTAAAACTTGGGGGCCAGAGAACAGATTGTAGTGAGCAGAGTGATATCTCCCTAATAATAACCCTCCACTAATCCCTAGAATCTTTGAATATTTTGTTTCACAAGGCAAAAGACATCTTGAAAATTTTATTGAAGATAAGACCTTGAGATCTGGAGATATTTCTGATTGTGAGGGCAGGCCTCATCTAATCATATAAGTCCTTAAAAGCAAATATTTCCTGAATGAGAGAAATGACATTATGAGAAGCATTTGATGCTCCATTGCTGTTTCTGAGATGTAGTGACTATGTTCTAGGACCTGAGAGAGGTCTCTGTGAGCTAAAAGCAGCCCTAAGACAACAGCCAACAAGGAAATAGAGAGTTCAGTTCCACAATTGCATGGAATTGAATTCTACCAACAACCTGAGTGAGTAAGAAAACAGGTCATCCTTAGGGTCTTCAGAAAGAAATGCAGCCACCAACACTTTGATTTTAGCCCAGTGAGGCGAGTTAGATTTCCAACCACAGAACTGCTAGATGATAAATTTGTGTTCTTTAGCTATTAAGTCTGTAGTGATTTGTTATGGCAGCAGTAGATAACTAAGACAGGTGTTATGAAACAGGTAAAAGTAACACAGAGTCTTCAAAGGAATAAGTAAAAATCTACCAGAAAAGAGCAAGGTAGAGAAGCATGGTTTGTCATGGTGTTCCATATGGAGCTGTTGGTATTATAATACTAAGGCAGAAAAATGGGGAACTGATGCTGCTAAAGGTAGAGTAAGTAAAATAGCTTTCAGGGAATACATTCCTATAGTGCATCGAGCACAGTAGTAGATAAGTTTTTTCTTATTAATGTGGAAGATGGAATTGTATAATATTTACAAAAGTTATATATAAAGGTATTGTAAATATTTTAGGTGTTTTGGCATATCCAGGTTCAGATACCAAAAGTAGGTTAGATAGATGAATTTCTCTCTCAGAAAAAAATTGAGAATCATCAGCATATGAATATAGATGATATCATGGATATAGATAAACATACCCAAAGGGGTTGCTTTGAGTGAGAAGAGATGATGGTCAAGGATGAAACCAAGTAAATATTTTGTGTTAAAAGAAGACCCAGGAGAAGAAGCTGGTGATATAATCTTAATGATATAAGCTAGTGATATAATAAAAATAAGTATAATATTCAAAAATATGAGTATTATATGTATGTTGACAAAGAATACAAAAGAAAATAATTTTAACAACAGATTTCTCAATAGCCAAGTCCACCAGAGATGTCAGGTAGACAAAAACTGAAAAACAACCAGTTAGTTGAGCAATTTCACGAGAACATCAATCTTAATAAAAGCATTTCCCATAAAATGGTAAAGTCAGAAGCAAACTTCTCAATATGGTAAAAGATTTCTGGGAGGCAAAGAAGTGGAAAGGGTAGTTTGCAATTTCAAGATGCTTGTTGATGTGTGACAGAGTGGGAAAGTTTTTTTCCTATGTAATTTGATATGCCTATTGGCAGAAAAGAAAATGATGGCAAGGAGGGAGATTTTGAATAGGATTCAAAAGAGAGGCAAATTAACAAATCTGAGATTTTTGAGGAAGGGAATGAGTCCAGGGAAACAGTATGAAAGCTTAGTGTTGGTTGAGAAAGGAAGTTGCCACTTCCTATGAGACCAGAGATAAAAATGAGTGGTGATAAAGTTAATTAAATAGCAGAAGGAAGGAGAGGTCAAAGCCACTTATGCCCAATAACATTTGTTGTATCCTTAAAGTGACATGTGTTTATCTATGGAGAGGAGCATGAGTCTAGGGTACGACTACTGAGGAGACTGAAGATAGCTTGTAATACCCTCTGTTATAATCAGCTGGAGCTGCCATAACAGATGAGTAAACTGAAACACTGATAAATTACGGTACTTGCCACATTTACTTATTAAATAGATAGTATTACATAATGAGCAACATATCTATTTAATGATCACATAATTATAATTTTATTTCAGGAAATATAGCTTTAAAATCTGTGTTTACCTTACACAATACTGGTAATTCAGAGTAATAGAATAATTGAGACTCCAAATTTAGAAGATAATATTAATAAGAGTCAAGTTGAAGTTAAAACCTTAAGATCTGGAGTATATAGTACATATAGGGAAGCCATCAGGAAGATAATGCATGCTGAAAAAAGTGAGGGATTAAAGACAATGCATTTGGAAAATTGTCATTGTTATTATAAAACATGTACAATTCCTAAGAGTGCATGGACTGTCATAGAAAATACATCAATGACCACATTAATTTTACTCCTAATTCTCAATTATGAAATCTCAATTATTCTTGTGCTCTGAATTAGGAGTACCATATAGGGTAGAGCATAGGTTTTAAAGTGTTATTTCTTGGAATCAAATTATAATTGTGTGATATGTATTTAATGAGCAAGCGTGGCAAGTAACATAACTGATCTGTGTTTTAGTTTCTTCATATGTAAAATATCAATAAAATGGATATATAATAATTCCTACTTCACCAATAGTATATTTGTGAGGGATAACTCATAAAAAAACATGTAACATGATTTAGAGCAGTGTCCAACACATACTAAGTGCTCAATAAATTTTATCTCTAGTTGGTGCTGTTAATAGCATCAGTAGTATTGTGTAAATATCTTATCAAACATTGTAAAAAGTGTCTTTTTCCAAGTGAGGGATGATAGCAGGAGCAGTGCTCCCTTTCAAAATTGAAAGTGAGATGTGGGAAGGGAAGCAAAGATGCTCTAAGTCTCAGAATTAGGGGATTGTGAATGCTTCAATTCATTACTTAATTGAACAATGGATAATATTTTCTGTTTTCATAATGGAGGCAATGAAACTTTACAATTAGCTCAAGTCAGCAGCTCTTCCTTGAAATAATTTTTTGAGTAAGCTTCCTTTCTACCTCCTCTACTGTAATTCCTGAAATTGCTTTCTTGAGTTTAATCCTACTGACAGATATGATTGAAAGTGTAACACTTGGGAATCCTTTAAAAATAAATGAGATGAGAAAGATGTAACTAAAAATAGATGGTATTAACTGAGAGAAGTGTCAATCCAATATGTAATTCTGAACACAGACAAACATTAACAACTATAGCTGCCTAATGGCTCGTCCAGCAACCTATCTGTTTAATGAGCAATTAATCAGTGACTACTATATGTCAGTCACTTTGTTGTGCACTTGATAGAAAGGCCCAACACTGGCTCTCCAAAATTAAAAGATCACTTGGATCTCATCATCATCAGAAAAGTCCTCTGGAAATTGGAGGAAGTCATCCTGTGGGCAATAAATTGAGCAGAACAATATTTAACTCTATTCAACTCTAGAAATCTGTTAGCTAAATTGGAGACCATGAAAGGAGAAACATGGGCTGCAATATCCTCAAGGACATTAAAGTTTAATACAAATGAGAGTTATTACGGAGCTGTGAACTTCTTGGGGAAAGAGCATGTTTAGACCCTGAGACCTAAGAGAGTGCCAACAAAGTTTGTTTAGTAAAACTCTGGTGTTCTAAGAGAAAAAACAAAAAAAAACAAACAAAAGGAATCTGTTCCATCTTTTCTCCTGGAATGACCCACATTATATCTACTTTGGTTTTCTCTTCCACCTCCCCAAGGTTTTTGGTTATTATCCACTTTACAATAAAAATCCTCTTACTACCTTTCATTCCACAGTTAGTATTAAAACAAAATAATAATTATTACAATGTAATAGGCCTTCTTTTATAACTCTACAGGCATTTTAATTACACATTATACTTACAATATGTACACAGTTTTTATACAAAAAGATAAATATTTTCATTCCATTATCTTCTCAATTTTGTGGTTACATGCTAATGCTTACTCATTCTTTGTTTTGATTATTTCTCTTTTCATAAAAAAATTTAATAAAGAAAACAGGTCACCTCAGGAACGTTTAATGTGCAATACATTGGCTTCTCCCTGATAAAATTTTGGGCCAATATATTACTCTTACGTTGCAGAAAAACAATGCCAAAATTGAAGGATCAGGATATACTGAAATATTAAAAGACAAGGATATATATTGGCTTTGATCTGTCCATAAATTCATTTAGTACTCTTTTCTAGAATTATGTTCTCTATACTTGCCTCTTACAACAAATCCAGGGGGTGCAGGCAATGACCTAGTAAATAAACTCACAAGAGGGCAGGAAAATATGAGGTCAGTAGATGATGCAACCTCTAAAATGAATCCAATACGTTTTGCTACTGTATCATTCTGATAGCTGACTAGAACATTTAAACACGTGAAGCTTAATAACATCTACTGTTTTCCGGATATCAGCACCAACTAAACTTTTACAATAACCTTTTCTTATGTTCTAATCCTGTTTATTTAAAAATATGAGTGTATGGAAAAAAACCTACAGATTTACAAGCTGTTTATCTGCCACTTTAACAAAATTATCAATTTTTCCTGACTGTCCTATATCTTTAGATGAGAGTTGTACAGAAAAAAATAGCTTTCACAAACTAGAAATATCAGCTTTCACCTCTGGCTATTCTCACAGCATTCTAGAAAAAACAGGCTATGGGTTATTTTCGTAATCATATTTTTCAAATAATTTATGTGCAGAAAAACAACGCTATCTTTCTTCAAAAAATTCAAACAAATACTATATATATATTTTTTTCTTTTTTTTTTTTTTTTTTTTTTTTTTTTCTGAGATGGAGTCTCCCTCTGTCGCCCAGACTGGAGTGCAGTGGCGCGATCTCGCCTCACTGCAAGCTCCGCCTCGCGGGTTCACGCCATTCTCCTGCCTCAGCCTCCCGAGTAGCTGGGACTACAGGCGTCTGCCACCGCACCTGGCTAATTTTTTGTATTTTTAGTAGAGACAGGGTTTCACCATGTTAGCCAGGATGGTCTCGATCTCCTGACCTGGTGATCCGCCCACCTCGGCCTCCCTAAGTGCTGGGATTACAGGCGTGAGCCACCACGCCCAGCCATACATAATATATTTATATAGAACTACTTACAAGAAATTTTTGTGTTGTGGTTTTTCTCTTCCTAACATCTTTCCCTTAATCTTTGACATTTTTCAAGACTCATATTTGAAGACAAATAAATCAAGATGAAATTAGGAACTTCATTAAATGACACCTATTTCAGGACTTCAAAGAAAAATCAAGCACTGAAGAGACAATGTTTGAGGCCAACCAACTCCCAGCTGGCTGCAGCTCAGGCTCTGAATAAGTCAGGGGAAGGAAATATTAGCAAGTGAGAAGAAAGAGTGGATGAACCAATTATGATTTTGAATGGGAAAGAATGTCACCCCTATTTTCTGGTTTTGAAGATAATTCTTAAAACTTTGAAAAAGCAAAACAAACAACCCTTCATGCTAAAAACTCTCAATAAATTAGGTATTGATGGGACATATCTCAAAATAATAAGAGCTATCTATGACAAACCCACAACCAATATCATACCGAATGGGCAAAAACTGGAAGCACTCCCTTTGAAAACTGGCACAAGACAGGGATGCCCTCTCTCACCACTCCTATTCAACATAGTGTTGGAAGTTCTGGCCAGGGCAATTAGGCAGGAGAAGGAAATAAAGGGTATTCAATTAGGAAAAGAGGAAGTCAAATTGTCCCTGTTTGCAGATGACATGATTGTTTATCTAGAAAACCCCATTGTCTCAGCCCAAAATCTCCTTAAGCTGATTCAGCAAAGTCTCAGGATACAAAATCAATGTACAAAAATCACAAGCATTCTTATACACCAATAACAGACAAACAGCCAAATCATGAGTGAACTCCCATTCACAATTGCTTCAAAGAGGATAAAATACCTAGGAATCCACCTTACAAGGGATGTGAAGGACCTCTTCAAGGAGAACTACAAACCACTGCTCAATGAAATTAAAGAGGATACAAACAAATGGAAGAACATTCCATGCTCATGGGTAGGAAGAATCAATATCGTGAAAATGGCCATACTGCCCAGGGTCATTTATAGATTCAATGCCATCCCCATCAAGCTACCAGTGACTTTCTTCACGGAACTGGAAAAAACTACTTTAAAGTTCATATGGAACCAAAAAAGAGCCCACATCGCCAAGTCAATCCTAAGCCAAAAGAACAAAGCTGGAGGCATCACGCTACCTGACTTCAAACTATACTACAAGGCTACAGTAACCAAAACAGCATGGTACTGGTACCAAAACAGAGATATAGATCAATGGAACAGAACAGAGCCCTCAGAAATAATGCCGCATATCTACAACTATCTGATCTTTGACAAACCTGAGAAAAACAAGCAATGGGGAAAGGATTCCCTATTTAATAAATGGTGCTGGGAAAACTGGCTAGCCATATGTAGAAAGCTGAAACTGGATCTCTTCCTTACACCTTATACAAAAATTAACTGAAGATGGATTAAAGACTTAAACGTTAGACCTAAAACCATAAAAACCCTAGAAGAAAACCTAGGCATTACCATTCAGGACATAGGCATGGGCAAGGACTTCATGTCTAAAACACCAAAAGCAATGGCAACAAAAGCCAAAATTGACAAATGGGATCTAATTAAACTAAAGAGCTTCTGCACAGCAAAAGAAACTACCATCAGAGTGAACAGGCAATCCACAAAATGGGAGAAAATTTTCGCAACCTACTCATCTGACAAAGGGCTAATATCCAGAATCTACAATGAACTCAAACAAATTTACATGAAAAAAACTAACAAGCCCATCAAAAAGTGGGCAAAGGACATGAACAGACACTTCTCAAAAGAAGACATTTATGCAGCCAAAAAACACATGAAAAAATGCTCACCATCACTGGCCATCAGAGAAATGCAAATCAAAACCACAATGAGATACCATCTCACACCAGTTAGAATGGCAATCATTAAAAAGTCAGGAAACAACAGATGCTGGAGAGGATGTGGAGAAATAGGAACACTTTTACACTGTTGGTGGGACTGTAAACTAGTTCAATGATTGTGGAAGTCAGTGTGGCGATTCCTCAGGAATCTAGAACTAGAAATACCATTTGACCCAGCCATCCCATTACTGGATATATACCCAAAGGACTATAAATAATGCTACTATAAAGACACATGCACACATATGTTTATTGCGGCACTATTCACAATAGCAAAGACTTGGAACCAACCCAAATGTCCAACAATGATAGACTGGATTAAGAAAATGTGGCACATATACACCATGGAATACTATGCAGCCATAAAAAATGATGAGTTCATGTCCTTTGTAGGGACATGGATGAAATTGGAAATCATCATTCTCAGTAAACTATCGCAAGAACAAAAAACCAAACACTGCATATTCTCACTGATAGGTGGGAATTGAACAATGAGAACACATGGACACAGGAAGGGGAACATCACACTCTGGGGACTGTTGTGGGGTAGGGGGAAGAGGGAGGGATAGCATTGGGAGATATACCTAATGCTAGATGACGAGTTAGTGGGTGCAGCGCACCAGCATGTCACATGTATATACATGTGTAACTAACCTGCACATTGTGCACATTTACCCTAAAACTTAAAGTATAATAATAATAAAAAAAAAAAGAAAAAGAAAAACAGCTAAAGAAAAATTACCCTATGCTTACCTTGTACTTATGATCTTCCTGTTAGATAATATGACTGTGATATTAATTTTGCAGACAATGGTTTCCTCATTGCCTTTATCTTTTCACAGGACCCCTGGAGATGTCAGTGAGGTCTAGATGTGGGATAACTGATTCTAATTGTTAGAATGACACTCTTCTTCTTATATTATTTGCATTTTTGCAAAGCCATAATATTTTTCTATAATTCTAATGAGTTATAGTAAGTTGACAAACTAATCATAGTAAAATGTCAGCTTTTGGATGAAATCTTATATATATCCCAATGATATGCATGTTGCATGAAAACTCAGTGTCTTGCACTAGTAGTGTGCCAGATGGCACCATCTTGCTGTGGGGAAACCATGGTTGTAGTATTATATTTCAAATTAGAATAGGTTGTTCTTATTTTAGACTGTGAAATAGCACTGAAGCTCAGAGATTCTACTGCAATTCAGTTCACCTATGATATTAAAATGGAAATTTATAAGAGATGCTTCAGAAAACTTCTGAGGTTGAAGTGGAACACTTCACTATCTCTATGGAGTTAGAGGGTGGTTCACACTTTAGCCAGGACAAGGAAGTAAGTGTGAGGACAGACTTTTAAAGCCACAGATATGGCAACTTAAGAACAAAAGATTCAGAGGTAAACTAAGAAAAATGGAGCAGGAACAAGTGGATGACAAGTCCTTACCAGATTTTTGTAGACTTGCAGGGCCTGGAAACAGGCCAATGAATAAGGAGCAAAGACGGATGGCAGGTTTGATTCTAAAAACGAAGTAGGTCATGTTCCTTGAATCCTCATGGTATAGGAGTATTCCAAAATGCAAACAAACTGACTTCCCAACTCACTTGCCATAAAAGCCAAAGTCTATGTGACAGCTTCTTGGCCTCCACCTATCTGCCTGGCTCCTTGCTACCTTTCTGACCTCATCTCCTACTACCTCCTCCTACATCTCACCCCGGCAGGCACACAGCTCTGTGTATATTCAAACATCCCATATGTATTCATTTCCTAGGGCTACTATGACAAATTACCACAAACTTGGTGGCTTAAAACAGAGAAATTTATTCTGTCACAGTTCTCAAGGCCAGAAGTCCAAAATCACAGTGACAGCAGGGTGGCACTCCTCCAAGGGTTTAAAGGGAGAATTCTTGCTTGCCTCTTCCAGCACCTGGTGGCTCCAGCTGTTCCTCGGCTCGTGGCTGCATCACTCCAATCTCTGTGTTTGTCTTCACATGGCCTTCTATTCCCCTATGTGTCTGTGTCAAATCTCCCTCTTACTCTCTCTTATAAAGACATTTGTCATTGGATTTAGGGCCCACCGGATAGTCCAGAATTATCTCATCTCAAGATCCTTTACTTAGTTATAGGTACAAAGAACCTTTTTCGAAATAAGGTTGGAATCATAGATTCTGGGGCTTAGGGTGTGGACATATATATTTGAGTGCCACCAGTCAACCCGTTACATCATACATAATTCTTCATCAGGGAAAGCTTGTTCTTTCTGATCCCTCTTCTTGGAACTCCCTGTTTCCATGAATGTGGATAGCTCACTCCCTTACCACGCTCAAACCTTTACTCTCATTTCACCTTCTCTGGGAAGACTTTCCAGAACACCTTATTTAGAATTGCAACGTCTTCTCCTCAATCTACTGACTCTTGGCAAATTTTTCTACATAGCACTTATTTCTACTTATTACCACGTAATGTAATATGTATTCATTAATTTTTCTATGCCTATTCATAAATATCTAGGCTCCATAAGAACATGAATTTTTAACTCATATTCATTATTTTATTTCCATCACCTACAAGAGTGATCAAACTGGAACATAGATGATAATACCTAATTTTTGAATAAATTTAAAAACATGAGCATCAAAAATATAAAACGATGGTTGAGAAATATGATGGCAGTTTAGGAGCTATGGACTTGTAAAAGCTATTTGCAAATTATTTTTCTAACAAATGACCCATATTCAGAATATAGGAGTGCATACAAATTAATATTCTAAAGACAACCCAATAGACAAAAAATGAGCTTAAAAAGGCCCATCACAAATAAGTATATTCTAACGCCATTAGAGATATGAAAAAAAGTCATTTTTCTGTTAGAATGATACAAATAAAGCCATCATGTAATACTAGTACATAACTCAAGAAAAGGACAAGTAATAATAAGTTTTGTCAAGAATATGGAACAATTAGACTCAATACAGTACTGGCCAGAATGTAAGTTGAAACAAAGATTTTGGAAAATGGTTTGGTAGTTTGTACTAGAGCTGAAAATAGGCATGCTAAGTAATTCCAATCTTATATTTCATTCCCAATAAAAGTGAGTGTGTGTGTGTGTGTATGTGTGTGTGTGTGATATTTTCGGATTATGGTTTTTACTTGCAGTCTTGTTTCTGATCTAGACACCCTTATAATTCAGGTATCTTAATGATAACCAAAGAATCCTCAGCAATTCCTATTATTATGAAAGACATGTACAACAGCAATGTTCATAGCAGAACTATTTGTAATGGCAGTTACAAACTGGGAACAACTCAAAGTCAATTAATAGAATAGTGCACAATAATGGCAGTAAACAAACTACTAATGTGTTCCACAATAGTGATGAATCTCACAAATATATGAAGTTAAAGAAACCAGGCAAAAATAGTACATCACATATGAATTTATTTACATAAATTGCAAAAATGGTAGGCTAGCATATATTATCAGGATAATGGCTAACTTTGGGGCTGCAGTGACTACAGGGACTCATGAGGGTACTTCTGGATAATGTTCAATTTCTTTACTTGGGTTCAAGTTACACAGGTGTATTAACTTTATGAGCATACATCAAGCTTTACCCTAATGCTTTTAAACTTTTATGGACAAATATTTTATATTTCCTTTTTTTATACTTTAAGTTCTGGGGTACATGTACAGAATGTGCAGTTTTATTACATAGGTATACACGTGCCATGGTGGTTTGCTGTACCCATCAGCCTCTCATCTACATTAGGTATTTCTAATGCTATCCCTTCCCTAGCCTTCCACCCCCCAACAGGCCCCAGTGTGTAATGTTCCCCTCCCAGCGTCCATGTGTTCTCACTGTTCAACTCCCACTTAGGAGTGAGAACATACAGTGTTTGGTTTTCTGTTCCTGTGTTAGTTTGTTGAGAATGAAGGTTTCCAGCTTCATCCATGTCCCTGCAAAGGACATTTTCTTTATCCAGTCTATCATTGATGGGCATTTGAGTTGGTTCCAAGTCTTTGCTATTGTGAGTAGTGCTGCAATAAACATACCTGTGCATGTGTCTTTATAGTAGAATGATTTATAGTCCTTTGGGTATATACCCGGTAATGGGATTGCTGGGTCAAATGGTATTTTGGGTTCTAGATCCTTGAGGAATCGCCACAATGTCTTCCACAATGATTAACTAATTTATACTCCCACCAACAGTGTAAGAGCATTCCTATTTCTCCACATCCTCTCCAGCATCTGTTGTTTCCTGACTTTTTAATGATCACCATTCTAGCTGGCATGAGATGGTACCTCACTGTTGTTTAGATTTGCATTTCTTTAATGACCAGTGATGATGAACTTTTTTCATATGTTTGTTGGTCACATAAATGTCTTATTTTGAGAACTGTATGTTCATATCCTTTGCCCACTTTTTGATGTGGTTGTTTGTTATTTTCTTGTAAATTTGTTTAAGTTCCTTGCAGATTCTGGATATTAGCCCTTTGTCAGATGGCTAGATTGCAAAAATTTTCTCCCATTCTGTAGGTTGCCTGTTCATTCTGATGATAGTTTCTTTTGCTGTGCAGAAGCTCTTTAGTTCAATTAGATCCCAATTGTCAATTTGGCTTTTGTTGCCATTGCTTTTGGTGTTTTAGTTATGAAGTCTTTGCCCATGCCTATGTCTTGAATGGTATTGCCTAGGGTTTCTTCTAGGGATTTTATGGTTTTGGGTACTATGTTTAAGTCTTTAATCCATCTTGAGTTAATATTTGTATAAGGTGTAAGGGAGGGGTCCAGTTTCAGTTTTCTGCATATGGCTAGACAGTTTTCCCAAAACCATTCATTAAATAGGGAATCCTTTCCCCATTGCTTGTTTTTGTCATGTTTGTCAAAGATCAAATGGTTGTAGATGTGTGGCATTATTTCTGAGGGCTCTGTTCTGTTCCATTGGTCTATATATCTGTTTTGGTACCAGTACCATGCTGTTTTGGTTACTGTAGCCTTGTAGTATAGTTTGAAGTTAAGTAGCATGATGCCTCCAGCTTTTTTCTTTTTGCTTAGGATTTTCTTGGCTATACAGGCTCTTTTTGGTTCCATATGAAATTTAAAGTAGTTTTTTCTAATGATGTGAAGAAAGTCAGTAGTAGCTTGATGAGTATATCATTGAATCTATAAATTACTTTGGGCAGTACTGCCATTTTCACGATATTGATTCTTCCTATCCAGGAACATGTAACGTTTTTCCATTTGTTTATGTCCTCTATTATTTCTTTGAGCAGCGGTTTGTAGTTCTCCTTGAAGAGGTCCTTCACATTTCTTGTAAATTGTATTCCTAGGTATTTTATTCTCTTTGTAGCAATTGTGAATGGGAGTTCACTCCTGATTTGGCTCTCTGTATCTTTTACTTGAGGCATTTAACCCACTTAGATTTAAGGTTAATATTGCTATGCTTGAATTTGATCCTATCATTATGATGCTAGTTGGTTATTTTGACCATTATTTGATGTAGTTTATTCATAGTGTCGACAGTCTTTACAATTTGGTATGTTTTTGCAGTGGCTGGAACCAGTTTTTCCTTTACATATTTAGTGCTTCCTTCTGGAGGTCTTGCAAGGCAGGCCTAGTTGTGACAAAAATCTCTCAGCATTTGCTTGTCTGTAAAGGATTTTATTTATCCTTTGCTTATGAAGCTTAGTTTGGCTGGTTATGAAATTCTGGGTTGAAAATTCTTTTCTTCAAGAGTGTTGAATATTAGCCCCCACTCTCTTCTGGCTTGTAGGGTTTCTGCCAAGAGACCTGCTGTTAGTCTGATGGGCTTCCCTTTGTGGGTAACCTGACCTTTCTCTCTGGCCACCCTTAACATTTTTTCCTCATTTCAACCTTGGTGAATCTGATACTTATGTGTCCTAGGGTTGCTCTCCTCAAGGAGTATCTTTGTGGTGTTCTCTGTGTTTCCTGAATTTGAATGTTGGCCTGTCTTGCTAGGTTGGGGAAGTTCTCCTGGATAATATCCTGAAGAGCGTTTTCCAACTTGGTTCCATTCTCCCCGTCACTTTCAGGTACACCAGTCAAACGTAGGTTTTCACATAGTCCCATATTTCTTGGAGGCTTTGTTCATCCCTTTTTATTCTTTATTCTCTAAACTTCTCTTCATGCTTTATTTCATTAAGTTGATCTTTAATCTCTGATATCCTCTCTTCTGCTTGATTGATTTGGCTATTTATACTTGCATATGCTTCACGAAGTTCTTGTGCTGTGTTTTTCAGGTCCATCAGGTCATTTATGTTCTTCTCTAAACTGGTTATTCCAGTTAGCAATTTCTTTAACCTTTTTCAAGGTTCTTAGCTTCCTTGCATTGGGTTAGAACATGCTCCTTTAGGTCAGAGGGGTTTGTTATTACCCACCTTCTGAAGCCTACTTCTGTCAATTCATTAAACTCATTCTCCATCCAGTTTTGTTCCCTTGCTGGTGAGGAGTTGAGATGCTTCGGAGGAGAGGAGGCGTCCTGGTTTTTGGAGTTTTCAGCCTTTTTGTGCTGGTTTTTCCTCATCTTTGTGGATTGATCTACATTTGGTCTCTGATGTTGGTGAGTTTCAGATGGGATTTCTGTGTGGAAGTCCTTTTCTTTTATGTTGATGCTATTCCTTTCTGTTTGTTAGTTCTCCTTCTAACAGTCAGGCCCCTCTGATGCAGGTCTGCTGGAGTTTGCTGGAGGTCAACTCCAGAACCTGTTTACCTGGGTATCACCAGCAGAGGCTGCAAAACAGCAAAGATTGCTGCCTGTTCCTTCCTCTGGAAGCTTCATCCCAGAGGGGCACCCCCCAGATGCCTGCCAGAGCTCTCCTGTATGAGGTGTCTGTCAAAATCCCTGTTGGGAGGTGTCTGCCAGTCAGGAGGCACGGGGGGCAGGGACCCACTTGAGGAGGCAGTCTGTCCCTTAGCAGAGCTCGAGCGCTGTGCTGGGAGATCTGCTGCTCTCTTCAGAGCTGGCAGACAGGAATGTTTAAGTCTGCTGAAGTTGCACCCACAGCTGCCCCTTCCCCTAGGTGCTCTGTCCCAGGGAGATGGGAGTTTTATTTATAAACTTCTGACTGGGTCTGCTGCCTTTCTTTCAGAGATGCCCTGCCCAGACAGGAGAAATCTAGAGATTCAGTCTTGCTACAGTGGCTTTTCGGAGCTTCAGTGGGCTCGACCCAGTTCCAACTTCCTGTAGGCTTTGCTTACACTGTGAGGGGAAAACTGCTTGCTTACTCAAGCTTCAGTAATGGTGGACGCCCCTCCCCCCACCAAGCTGGAGAGTCCCAGGTCGACTTCAGACTGCTGTGCTGGCAGGGAGGATTTCAAGCCAGTGGATCTTAGCTTGCTGGGCTCCGTGGGGGTGGGATCTGCTGAGCTAGACCACCTGGCTCCCTGGTTTCAGCTCCCTTTCCAGGAGAGTGAACAGTTCGGTTTCGGTGGTGTTCCAGGTACCACCGGTGTATTAAAAAAACTATAGCTAGCTCAGTGTCTACCCAAATGGCCAGCCAGTTTTGTGCTTGAAACCCAGGGCCATGGTGGTGTAGGCACCCAAGGGAATCTCCTGGTCTGTGGGTTGTGAAGACCATGGGAAAAGCATAATATCTGGGCCTGAATGCACCATTCCTCATGGCACAGTCCCTCATGGCTTCCCTTGGCTAGGGGAGGGAGTTCCCTGACTGCTTGCGCTTCCAGGGTGAAGCGATGCCCCACCTTGCTTTGGCTCATCCTCCATGGGCTGCACCCACTGTCTAACCAGTCCCAATGAGATGAGCCGGATACCTCAGTTGGAAATGCAGAAATCACCTGCCTTCTGCATTGATCTCGCTGGGAGCTGCAGACCAGAGTTGTTCCTATTCAGCCATCTTGCCACCCACCTATGTTATACTTTCAAAAGTTTTTTTATATTCATCAATCTTGGCACTACTATTCCAGAAGTCTTTTATCTGTCACCCCACCATATGTATAGAGTCCCTCTTTCAGTTAGTGCCATATGTCCTCTAAAGTGTTAGCAGAGAAAATTCACAAATTATCTCCGAAACCACAAATCAGTCTAGGTTTCACCAAGTTTTTAATGTATGTCTAGCAGTGTTCCAACTGTCCACAAGCATTTCTCTGCACTCTGACACATGGAGAAAAAAAGAGATTTAACATTCTGTTTAAAAAAAAATGAAGGAATTGGGTAGCACC
Organism: Homo sapiens; assembly: GCF_000001405.40. Lineage (NCBI taxonomy): Eukaryota > Metazoa > Chordata > Mammalia > Primates > Hominidae > Homo > Homo sapiens. The sequence continues at coordinate 88,524,573 of NC_000008.11, read as the reverse complement.
TCTCTGGGGAACTGGAATTGTATTGAGAGGCCAAATTTGGGTAATTGATACTTTGTTATTTGTTTCCCTCCCACAGGGCCCTTCTATGCAAAAAGTATCACAAATCTGGACTACTCCACATTCAAGTTCTGTTGTTTTTACTATAATTTGTTTTCTCTTCTCATATTGTCAGTGGATTGCAAATGTTCTTTCTCCTTTTCAAGGACTACTTCTTCTGTCATCTTATTTTTTCCATGCTTATGACTATTATACACAATAATTTTTCTCCTTATTATCTTATTATTTCTCTGAGCAGGAGATACTTCTGGATGATGCTAGAGAAAGCCCGTGTTGAGGCTTCTTTGCCATAATCATGTCCCCATTTAATGTACCAATTAGGACAGTTGAATGAGCCTTTTTCTACTGTTAATGGCTCTGAAGAGGAATTGAAATCCACCTTCTTTCTCCCTTATCTATTTTATCAGATAAGGAATGCGGATTTTAATGAAGTTGAACATTAACTTCATTGGCAGTAAGTGGTAAGATTGTTGAGGATTTTTTTATTATAGTTAATCTGCTCAAATTATAAGAGTTTCTAGACCAGAAGCCAGGATGTAGGTAAAAGCCATAATTTCAGGAAAATGTCTTAAATGTTCTGATAATATTTTATCTTATTCAAAAATTATTCCTATTTCCAGAGCATACTATGAGCTCTCAGCAAGTATAAATAATCAATAATTATAGTGATGGTAATAATAATAGTTAAGTCCTTTATACTGTTGGGACTTTGATGCATTACAAAATGCAAAAATCACATAAGCCCTATGAAATAGGTATGATAATTATCCCTATTCTCTTGCTACGAAAACTGAGGAACAGAGATTTAAAGTAACTTGCCTCAAGGTGACAAAGCTACTGAATGTTGGTCACACAGCTAGTAAATGTTGGAAACAGTACTTAACTAATTGCTAGAGCAAATCCTAATATCCAAATGTTTAAAGAAAGCAAGCAGCTTTCTCTCCAGGAAAACAAATTATAATTGAAATCCATAGTATACAATTGGGATTTAAAACTTTACAATAAGATGTAATTTTATCTTCAAAATGGTGGATGGTTTTTGTTTTGTTTTGTTTTGTTGTTTTTTTGAGAAAGAGTCTCACTCTATCACTCAGGCTGGAGTGAATTGGCTTGATCTCAGCTCACTGCAACCTCATCTTCCCGGGTTTAAGCGATTCTCCTGCCTCAACCTCCGAGTAGCTGGCATTACAGGAGCCCACCACAGCACCCAGCTAATTTTTGTATTTTTAGTAGAGTCGGGGTTTCGCCATGTTGGTCAGGCTGGTCTCGAACACTTGACCTCAAGTAATCCACCAACCTCGGCCTCCGAAAGTGCTGAGATTACAGGCATAAGTCACCACACCTGGCCTATTTTCAAGGAAATATATGATATAACATTATAAGACTTTTGTAGAATTCTGGGAAATAACACTAAACAGTTGAATATTAAAGGATGTATTTGTAGCCTTTGATTGGTTAGATAGGAGGAAAGAGCTTTAGTCATCCATTGCACAGAATAGTGACAATAATAAATAATAATGCATTGTATATTTCAAAATCACTGAATGAATTTTAAATGTTTTCACCACAAAAATATGGTATGAATATGAGGTGATAGATTTATTAGCTTTATTTAATCATTTCACATTTTAAACACATATCAAAAGCTATTTTACCTCATAAATATATAATATATGCAATTATTTGTCAATTAAAAATAAAAATTTTAAATGATTTATTTTTATCTTCTGTTGATCTAAAAGATAGCATGATGACTATTTTAATTAGTAACTGTTAAATATCTACATTAATCAGATAGAGTAATTTGAGATATTAAGAGAGGAATGAAAATATGAACATGAAAATCAAATGATTGATTTTTTGTGTTCTGTGGTGGAGAACACCTAATGCCTACTGACATAAACCTAAATAGATTTTAGAAGAAATTTAAAGAATAGTGTAAGTAATCTTATGACAAGAACTTTTCATTAAATATGACTAAGTTAATGACTCAAGGAATACTGATAAGAATATTGGAAAATGAAGATACAGCAGTGGCTGGCACTGACCAATACAGATTTGAGGCTGGAACTACATTTTTCAGCAGTTTGCATAATGGGTTAGTCACAACAATGTGTCAGAGAAGGGCAGGAGATATTGGAGTTCAGCATCACAGTAAGAAAAATTACTTTGTCAACATGCAAAGGAAAATATTTTGTAGGTTCAGATACAAACAAAATATTTGAACAAATTAGAAAATGTATGTATATATTCTGCAATGTAATCAAAGGAAAATTTTTAACAATACTTCACATTAGTTTCAGTCTGTGACTGTTCCTGTTGAATTTCTGTTACTAATACTAACAAAGAAAACCCTAATACCAATAAACCCTATTTATAATTTATAGTTAGTCCACATGCATCTGTAAAATTCTTTCAAAGTTTGCTCCTCTTTCTCCTCTTCTTCTTCCTCCTCCTTCTGCTGCTCTTTTTCCTCCTCCTCCTTTTTCTTCTCCTCCTCCTCCTCCTCTTTCTCCTCCTTCTCCTTCTTCTTCTTGTCAGGACATTGAAACTTCAAAGCTCAGGTCACATAAGGACAGAAGTTAAACAAGTTGCTCCATTATAGTTGCATCCTAGCAGTTAGCAGGTACACCTACATTTGTTTAATTACCAATAATTTTACTTGATTATGAAACATTTATCTCCTGGAACAATGATTGTTCTGAGTAACCCATAAAGGTCTGTGTATTAGCAGCTGAAAACCTACAAACTCCTCTCTTGATGTTGCAAACTTTCAAGATACCCCAGCAATGTATGTTGTACTTAAAGAATAGAATTAGAAAGTTCATCCTTGTGAGTTTTTTCCGTTGTTAAGCCTAATGCATCTCATTTGGCCTGAGAATTGTTGTTTATTTATTCTCAGTAGGTACAAGTTACCTAATGACAGCCTAAAATTACGGTGCCTGCTACAATGTTCATGCATATAAAATATTTTTGAATACACACACCCACAACCACACGCACACCCTTTGAATATAGTCAGTACTGCAACTGTCACGGTGAAGTCTTTCTAGGATGCTAAACTATTGAACAGAGATGACTAATTTCATTCAACAAAATTTTAGTCAGCACCTACTGTGCATTAGGCACTATTCCAAACCCAGTCACCAAGCAGCTTACAGAATAGAAAGTGAGCCAGCAAACAAAATTTAACATAAATAATTATGCAGTAGTGTTATGGGAATACAGAGTTAGAAAGAAATAACTCTTCTTACTATAATCTGTGTACCGAAAAGATATCACAGCAAAGACAACATTTGGGCTGGATGTTGAACATAACTAGGACTTCACCAGAGGAAGGAGTAGGAGTCAATTCTAGCTAGACGGAACAACTTATGTAAAGACATATAGGCATAAAATATGATAAACATGGCCAAGGGATGGCAAGTGGTGTGATGTGATGAAAGTATAGGATCCATAGGATTGCCTATTGAAACTGTAAATTAGATGGAAATCAGATACTGCAAGGCCCATTCCCATAGACAATGGGAAATGAATATAGTTATTATACAGGTGAATAGGAACATTAGATTACTATGTTACGACAAAAATACAAAGGTAATGAAGGTCAGAAATAAAGAAGTGCCAGTGGAGAAGAAGTAAAGGTAACCCAACTGAGGGAAGGTGCAATTGACAAGGTGCCATAATTATTGACTATCATGATCAAAGCAGATGGAGAAAATTTCATTGATCCTGATATTCTGGGTTTGATAATGGCTGGACCAGGCACAATTAAGCAAGGTAAAGAGAAAGGCAAATGCACAGGGAGGAAGATGCTCTTGAATATTGTAAATTTTGACTTTGAGGAGTTTATAAACAACCAAGTGACTTTATCCTATAAGAAGTTCAAAATACTTGACTGTTTTCTTCTTATCCCTGCCTGGCTTATAATGTCAAAAAAAGATAAGAACTAGACAATCTGAAATTAGCCAATGTAGAAAAAAATGAGACAGTGCAAAGAAAACCTAAAGTCATTGTTTACCTTCCCGCTCATAAATCTTTTCTGCCTTTTTCCTCTCCTTTTAATATGTCTTTCCTACTTGTGTCTCTCTGACTACATTAAGAACCCAAGTATTCCCTTCTCCAGCATTTTTCATGCAACCAATCATCTCTCATTACTTCCTCTTTAACATGAATCAAACTCATTCCATACATGATGTTTCTTAGCTAGAAGAGACAAACAGATTAAATTAATTTATGTGCCAGTAATTGATTGTCATTGCCAATTCCTCTCAGGGATATTTGCTAAGATAATATGATTTGAAATTAATAAAATTTAAAGTATTAAAAAGGTGTATTTTGGGTACAAAGGACTATTAATTTACACACAAAAATATTAATATTGTCAAGTACAAACGGGTCAGGCAGAATGAGAAATGAGAATAGCTTTTTAGATTAAAACAATTAGTAATTCAGTTTTAACAAATCAATTTAGGAGAAAATGAGATAAAAGGTAATCAAATAAAAAAGAAAAGAACCAAATAGTAATTGAATTATGATTCAATTACCAGTTCTTCTGTGAACAAGATGAAGGTAAAATGTACACTCACTATGATGATATGATCAAGAATTACTTTTATAATATTCTTGGTGAGGAACCAAGATAAGAATGACACAATTACTAATGTAAAATATTATTTCTATAGGAGATGAAAGAATTTTTATTTCTAATTTATAAACTAGCTTTTTCTTAACTAGTTAAAAAAGATCAATTTAGTTTTGGTAGAACTTTAAAAAACATAATGGTAACAAGATCTTGTCAATAGAGTTTTTGACAAACACTGATTGGCTGTTGATTGCATGTGTTACAAGCCTGTGGGTTTTGTTCAGAAGTTTAGAGTTGCTAAAGAGGGATGTCTTGGAAAGGTATGAAATGCAAACAATTATAATCAGGATGATTAACCCAAAAAATCATATAAAATTTTTTTAACAAATAGTACCATGATGTCTGCATTAATATAATAAGGTTTTACAACTGAAAGTATATGTTACCTAAGTGAAATAGTTATAATAAATTCTATCTAAGGAAATTTTAAGTGATTAAAGTAATAGCAGTAATGATAACTCTGTTCATATATTATTTCATTTCTTTGTAAGTGTTTTCATATGCATGTCCTCTTTGTCTTGCCCTGGGTTCTTCTAATAGGGAAGACAACTGGTATGGTTGCAATTTTAGAAATGAGAATACAGTTATTATAGCTCTTTCAGGTTACTCAGGCAGTTAGTCACCCAGGTTAGACAGATTATGTTTTGATAGGAAGGATATTAATTTGTTCAACCATTTAAAAATATGTATTTAATTCCTGGTCATGTGCTCAGAGCAGTAGATACAATGATAAAAAAAATGTCCTTGACCTTGTAGATCTAAAACAAAACTAATAATTACTTGTTTAGCATTTCTCCTTTTAGGCTATATGCTATCTGCAAAAGAACCATGCCAGTCATATTTACTTGTGTAGACTTAGAATCTAAAATAGTGCCTGAACATAGGTGAAACTCAAAAACAGTTGTATTCATTTGTTGAAAAATACAGACTGCGTCCTTATCATGTGTGAGACATTGTTCTAGGCAATACACATATCAATTTCCATCTTAAGTGTGTGTTATGGAAGAGATAAGCAATAGTGTGATAAATAAGTAAATACTTAGAGTATATTAAATTGCTACAAGTGGTAAGTAGAAAAAATAGGCTTATAAGAGTTCAGAAATATATATATTTATATATAATTAATATATTTATATATAATTAATATATTTATATATTATATATAAATGTATAAATATATTATATATATTTCTGAACTCTTATAAGCCTATAAATGTATAAATATATATATAATTTTATATATATATAATTTTTTTTTGAGACAGAGTTTTGCTCTTGTTGCCTAGGCTGGAGTGCAATGGTGCAATCTCGGCTCACTGCAACCTCTGCCTTCTGGGTTCAAGTGATTCTCCTGCCTCATCCTTCTAAGTAGCTGGGATTACAGGCATGCACCACCACCCCGGCTAATTTTGTATTTTTAGTAGAGATGGGGTTTCTTCATGTTGGTCAGGCTGGTCTTGAACACTTGACCTCAGGTGATCCGCCCGCCTCAGCCTACCAAAGTGCTGGGATTACAGGTGTGAACCACCATGTCTGGCCAAGACATATTTATATTTTTTAAGAGAGTGTCCACCAAAAGGCTCTCTGAGAATGTTACTTTGAGAAACAGTCTATTGTTGGGAAAGAATGAGGCAGAAGGAAAATAATTACCAAGGCACCGAGGTGCTGAAGCTTCCCTTGCTGGAGAAACAACAAGGAGGCTAGCGTGGTTAGAACAGAGTGAGCAAGGAGGCGAGTTTGAAATGTGACAACTGCATTGCCATGGGCGTAGTGTAGGGTCTTCAGAACAGACAGCAGGGTTGACCCACTCAAGCACAATTAGGGCAGGACTCTGTGCTCAATCTTTTCATTTCAAGTCACAGAAAACACAACTCCAATGTATTTGAAAAAATAAATTTGTTCACATACATAAAACATGCATAGAAGATGCAGGATTCAATTATGGGTGATTCTAAACTAATTTGCACATGGTGGCCCAGTGTCTTCAGGTTTGCATCATCACATCAGGCCAAACCCAACTCTCTGAGTCTTTGCAGACAGCTCAAGCAAAGCACTGAGATATCCTCTGAATGGATTGGCTTGGGTCATGTGTCCATCATACATAAATAATCACATGGCTCAGAGAAGTGGGTTATTCTGGGTGACCTAGGGCCGAATCACATGCTCCTTCCTAATAGCACAAGTACCGAGTGAGCGAAACATTCTGGTCTCATCAAGGAAGGATAAAATGGATGCTAGAAGCTAATAACAGATACACTCAACAGGCTCACAGGGGAAATTATATCTAAGCTGAGAACCATAGAGAGATGGCTCTGGACATGTAGACAGAACAGGGAATAAAGGAAGGGCCTTATATAAGGAGTTTTGACTTTCTTAAAAAGACAATAGGGAAGCATTGAGGGTTTTTAACCAGACAACAATGTAGACATATTTCTGTTTTTGAAACAGGTCATTGAGATAGCAATATTGAGAATGGGTTAGAATGGAGCCATGGTAGATTTGCAAAGACCAGGTTTTAGGCTACTGATATAACAGAAAACAATTGAAATCTGGAGCAAGTAGTAGCAGTGGGAAGGAAAAGCAATGGATACAGCTGAGATGTATTTTGAAGCCAAAATCAACAGGCTTGAAGCTCAGAAGAAAATAGGGGAGAGGGAAGGAAGGATTGTGTTCAGCCAATCTGATAGCTACTGCGTTATGGAAATAGGAAAGGAAGGATTGTGGATGGTCACACAAGGGGCTTCACAAATTTTGGAAATATTTCATTTCTTACAGTGGCTCATGAGTACATGAGTAATCATGTTTTATTTCTTATGACATAAATATATAATGTTTTATTATTTTATATTATATATCATGTTATGCATAGCATTGAGGTTTATCTTCCACTGTGGGTTCAGAGACACCATTACAGGAACAGACTTTTATCCCAAAGAATCTAAATAATTGAAATATGAATGTGACTTTGGGCTAATACTATTTTCTCTTTCTAGCAATTTGTATCATCTCAAATAAATTTTGATTTTTGTTTGATTTTCCTTGGTACAGACTGGATGGTAATACTTACTTTCTTAAATGTTCAGAAGCTTTTAAAAGTATGTTGATTATGATTTAACCCACATATTCTGGATGATTCAGAATTTCTAGCCCAACATTCTGCTAGAAATACATTACTATATGCAGTTTTCAAAGATATCAGTAACAACAGTTTTAATAACATAGTTAAATATCCTGCATCCACTGAGCCAGCAGAAATAACATTTGAGTCTTATAGGGTGGTTCTTCAGCATGACTTTGAGCATTTTCTATGGCCAAGAATTCAGGTCCTTCTGGAAATTGTGTGAGCCACTCAGTCAATACCTTTTATTATACTAATATACTGTTTAAATGAGTCAGAGTTTGTTTCTGATATTTGCAACTGAAAACCCAGTTGATATAAACACCAATATACACATTTTGTAATTTTCTTCATTTCTGCTCAACAATTCAAGCCTAGGTATAGAGAAGGCTACATTGACCTTGGATTGATATAGGGTTAGGTACACTAGAAGAACAGTGAGTACAGAATCAAAGCCAGACATGGAAATAAATTGAGATAGAAAGGGATGAATATAGACAAAGAAAAGGCATCTAGACCAATGAAATAAGGCAATTAAAAGGGGGAGAAGACAAGATAAAACGTTTTATCCAGATTTTAAAAACTCATCTGATTTCAGAGATGAAGTGAATGATGATGATATCATGACTCAGAGTGTTGTCAGGAAAAGGCACTTCAGTAAAGTAAAAGGGAGGTTATTGAAAATGTGGACACAGAGAACCTGAGAGGCTAGTAAGTTCAATAAATGGTCCATATATTGAGTTACAAGGATGACGAGGCAAAGAGTCTAGTGCCAAAGTATTCAGTGTAAAAGTAAGAAATTAGAATTCCTATGGTGTTGAGAATGGAGAGGGGCCCATAGCTGACGGGTATGAACATCAAAGTAAAATATGTGTATAATGTAAGAGTAGAGGAGCACTGCTCTGAGAGTAGCAGCAGAGCAGATGCTGCTGCTACATTCAACTCTACAGACAGGCCAGGATTTACTCTCTCCTAGACACTCCTGTCTTTTCTGCATAATGCAGTTCAAATCACTGTTTGCAAATGTAAAGTGGGCAGGTAATATTACTAAGTGTAAGAAGAAAGAGCTAAAATAAGCAAGGCACTGAAATCTCCACATATGTTGTAGCAAAAGGCTTCCATTTTAACTAGAATTCAGAAATGCTAAGGTCCTTTTATTTTAATAAAAATAGGATTCTGCGTGATTTTTATTTTGGCAAAAAAAGGAAAGATAATAATTCATTTAAAAATAGCTTTTGATTCCTGCGGTAAAATATAAGCCATATTTCTACAGAAAACTTGGGTTTTTTTTTTTTTTTTCAGTGAGAACATTATCTGGCTTTTGTCCAGAATTATATAATAATTAAAAGAGACATAATTCAGAGACGGGTGAAATTATTGGCATCCTTGAACACAAGCTTTAGGCTTTTTAGTACTTTCTTTTTGTAATTTAATTTAGAGGGGAAAGAGCTATAAATGCAGGAAAATCATCATGAGTTCTCAAATTTGGATTTCCATATGAAAGAAAACAGAATAATCAAGTAAGACAGGACATAGACTTGCTGTATTAAATGAATTTCTTGATTTCTGGGGATAAATATCATATTTCAAAATAATGAAAAATTGTATTTTTCCATTAACAAATTATCCATTTGTGTTCTTTGACCCTTTTCCATCTTTGGTGTTAAGGACAGCTAACCTATTATCTTACATACATATTCCAATTATTTTCATCAATATTTATTTTTCCAATAACTTCCTTTTATGCTGTTTGATAAAAGAGATTTTTATTTTATATAGCATCTAATTTTCCCCATAATGTCTGTTGCTTATATTTTTTATTGTCCTGTTTAAGAGCCTTATTCATCCTGAGACCAGATAATCACCTATGTGTTTCTGGTGTTTTTATGAAAGAAGCCACTGTAACCAGTTGTAAATCTTTTAGAAATTGTGTTGGTATGTGGTGAGAGATTCTGTTCTAAACTCCATTTATTTATTTATTTATTTACTTAATTTATATTTCTAAATACTTGTCATAACACTACTTACAAATGCACAAAATCCTGCACTGATCTGAAATGATAATTCAAGACAAACTGAAATGTTTATATGTCTTACAATTGCTATGTGGACTTCTTACTCTGTTCCAATTATCTATCTACTTCTGTGCCAAGGCCACAATGTTTCATTGTTCTAGTTTTATATTAATTTTGACATTTGGAAGAGCATGTTTATATTTTTGTTATTCTCACATATATTTTATGCTAGAAGAACATTTTAAAATCACTTTGCTAATTAAAATGTGATTTTCCTTTCATTGTAATTAAATTAAAAATTAAAAATAGGTAAAAGTTGACTTTTTAAAATTATTGAATCTTCACTTTGAGAAATATAGAGTCCTCATTTATGCCAGTCACTGCAATTTTTAGAGCATTCCTAATAGACCCTAACAACTACTTAATAAAATACTATATATGCAATCTTTTTTTGCTCATTATATTTTCTAAATTTGGGTGGGGCAGTGCTAGAAGAAGCTGTTGAATATTTTAGTAATTATTTATTTTACCCAATATTTTTAGAAGTCCTAATATTTTTCAATGATTCTCTATTTTTAAGCATGTTAAATGTAAATAATTTCAATTTTTTCTTATACTGTGTTTCCCACCTTGTGTGTAAGCTGCATCAGGGAATGATTTTCAAATAAAGTTAATCACTGCAGGACATAATCATCCTTGTCTTAGTCCCAAGTTTAATAGTAACATTCTTAGTGTTTCACTAGTAATTAAGATACTAACTATTGTTTTGAAATAAATATCTTTCATTATATTAAAGGAGAGACTTGTTTCTATTTTACTTTTTTTCAGTTTAGGAGGGAATTTGTATTTATCAAATGCCCTTGAGGCATCTACTCAGGTCATCTTGATTTCAGTTTTTGAACTTGTCGATGTGACAAAATATGTTAATACATTTCTTAATACTAAGACATCATTGAATGCAGAAAGCTAATCGTTCTATATGTATGCCTTCTCTGATCATATCATATAAGTTCTCCTATTTCACATTCCCAAGAAGAGTCTGTGAGACATAGCCATTACCTTTTTCTCAGGTTTCTATAAAACACCAAACCAATACTGAAGATTAAGTTTGACTATTTGTACTTTGTTCATCATTTTCCAGCTTTATTGAGGTAAAATTAACAAATTAAAATTGTACATATTTGAGGTTTACAGTGTGATACTTATGTATATATACACATTGTGAAATGATTACGACAATCCAGCTAATTATCATATCCAAAACCTCATATAGTCACCTTATTTTTTTTGTGGTGAGAACATTTAACATCTACTCTTTAGCAAATTTCAAGTATACAATACGGTATTATTAACTATAGTCACTGTATTAGTTTGTTCTCACGCTGCTAATAAAGACATACCTGAGACTGAGTAATTTATAAAGGAAAGAGGTTTAATTGACTCACAGTTCTACATGGCTGGGGAGGCCTCACAATTACGGTCAAAGGCAAATGAACAGCAAAGTTCCATCTTACACGGCAGCAGGAAAGAGAACTTGTGCAGGGGAACTCCCATTTATAAAACTATCCTATCTCGTGAGACTTATTCAGTACCATGAGAACAGTACGGGGCAGACTGCCCCCATGATTCAATTATCTCCACCAGGCCCTGCCCTTGACACGTGAGGATTATTACAATTCAAGGAGAGATTTGGGTGGGGACACACCAAAACCATATCAGTCAGCATGCTGTAGTGTATCTCCCGAATATATTCATCCTGCATAACTGAAACTGTATCCTTTGACCAAGATCTCCTCATTTCCCCAGTCCCCAAATTCACTGGCAACCACCATTCTACTCTCTGCTTCTATTAGTCTGATATTTCTACATTCCACATATAAGTGACATCGTGTGGTATTTGTCTTTTTGTGCTTGATTAATGTCATTAGCGTAATGTGCTCCAGGTTTATCCATGTTGTCACAAATGACAGAATTTCATTTTTTAAGGCTAAATAATGTTCCATTGTGTATGTATACCACATTTTCTTTATTCATACACTGATGGACACTCGAGTTACTTACATATCTTAGCTATTGTGAATAATGCTGCAATGAACATGGGAATGCAGATATCTCTTCATCATACTGAATTAATTTCTTTCAGATATATACCCAGGAGGCAGATAGCTAGGTCATATGTCATTTTTGTTTGTTTGTTTACATTTTTGAGAAACCTCCATACAGTTTTCTATAATAGCTGTACTAATTTACATTCCCCTTAATAGTCTACAAGGGTTCCCTTTACTGCATGTCTTTGCCAACAATTGTTTTGTCAGTTTAATAATAGCCATTCTAGCAGACGTGAGATGACAACTCATTGCAGTTTTAATTTGCATTTCCCTAATGTTTAGTGACAGTTGAGCACCTTTTAATATAGCTGTTAATAACGGGTATGTCTTCTTTTGAAAAATGTCTTTTAAATTAGTTACTGTTTTTTTCTGTTGAATTATTTGAGTTTTTATTCATTTTGAGTTAAGCCCTATGTATGGTTTATGAATATTTTCTCCCATGCTATGGATTGTCTATTCACTTTTTTGTTTCCTTTGCTCTGCAGAAGCTTTATAATTTGATAAAATTTTGTTTGTCCATTTTTGATATTGTTACTTGTGCTTTTAAGTTCATTTTCAAAAATCATAACCCACACCAACATTAAGGAGCATTTCTCCTATGTTTTCTTAGTAGTTTTATGGTTTCAGGTCCTACATTTAAGTCATGATTTACTTTACATTGATATGCTGTGAAAAAAGGGGGTCAATTTTATTAAGTTTTATATGGCCTTAGATTTTCTGCTGCTATAATATAGTACCACAGCCTGAGTAATTTGTAAAGAAAAAAAAATTATTTAACTCATGCTTCTGGAAGCTAGGAAGTCCTAAGATGTGGTGCTGGCATCTGCTTAGCTATCTGGTGAGGGCTTTCTTGTTGCATCATCCCATGGCTCAAAGAGAAAAAGGCAGGAATTGTGCAGGACAGAGAGAAAATGGGGGGAGCCTACTCTGCCCATAATGGCATTAATCCATTCATGAAAGCGTAAGTCTCTTCACCTAATTACCTCTTAAAATGTTCCACCTTTTGATACTATCACAATGGCAATTAAAATTCAACATGAGTTTTGAAAAAAGGACAAACAATAGCACATGTGAATATCCAGTTTACCTAAAATCATTTATTGAAGAGACTATCCTTTTCCCATTGTATGTTATTGGTATCATTGGTGAAGATAAATTAAACATAAATGTATGGATTTATTTTGGGGCACTCTATTCTCTTCTGTTGGTGTATGTCTGTTTTCATGACAGTACCAAACTGTTTCGATTAATGTAATGTTGTAGTAGAGTTTTAATTCAAGAAGTATGATGAGAAGTATGATGCTTCAGCCTTCTTTTTTGTTTCTAAATTGATTTGGCTCTTTAGGATCTTTTTTGTTTCCAGAAAAAGTTTTCTACTTCTGTAAAAAATGCCACTGAAATGTTGATAAGGATTGCATTAAATCTATAAATCACTTCAGGTAGTACTGACATTTTAATAATATTAACTCTTCCAACTCATGAACGCAGGATATATTTCCATTTATTTGTGCATTACACAATTTATAAGCATTCTATAGTTTTCAGTGTACAGATCTTTCATCTCCGTAGTTAAATTTATTTCTAAGTATTTTATTTTTAAACTATTATAAATGACATAGTTTTCTTGATTTACTTTCAGATGGTTGGTTGTTAGTGTATAAAAAATACAACAGAATATCTGTGTTATTTTATATCCTCCAACTTTACTGAATTCATATTTTATTCTAACAGTTTTTAAGGTAGTCTTTAGAATGTTCTATATTGAGATGTTATCATCTGCAAACAGAGCTAATTTTACTTATTTTCTTATCTGATTGTGATATATATGTTGTAATATATTTTTAATTCAAGAAGTAAAATTTGCCTTTTATTTGTGTGTGTATATATAAAATATGGCATATATAAATATATGTTATATATTTCATATATATCCAAATATATAAGTTAATATATATTTATATATAAATATATAAATCGAGTGGTTTATATAAGTATATGAATCAATGCAAAGTGAATCAAAGTGAATCAAAGACTTACATGTAAGACCTGAAACCATATTTATATATTTATACATACAAATATATACTTATATATAAATATAACATTTATATATAAATGTCTTTTATTTCATTAACCATGAAACATTTTATTGAACATAAATATATGTTTTATATATATAGACAGAGAGAGAGAGAGAGAGACTAATTTCTCCAGCTAGAACTTTCACTACTGTGTTGAACAGTAGTGGTAAAAGTGGGCACCCTTTTCACGTTCCTGATCTTAGAGGAAAAGCTTTCGGCTTTTAACCATTGAGAGTGATGTTAGCTGTGGGCTTGTCATATAATCCAGAAAGCTGTAGGCTTTATTGTGTTGAGGTACTTCCCTTTTCTTCCTAATTTGGGAGTTTTTATTATGAAAGGAGCTGAATTTTGTTAAATGTTTTCCTTCACTTTTATTGCAATTACTATATGATTTTTACCCTTCATTCTTTTAACGTCTTGTATCACATCTATTGGTTTGCATATATTAAGCCATATGTTAGTCCATTCATATTGCTATAAAGGAATACCTAGGGCTGGGTAAGTTAGAGGATTATTTGGCTTACCGTTCTGCAGGCTGTACAAGCACGGTACCAGCATCTGCTTCTGATGAGAGCCTCGGACTACTTCCACTCATGGTGGAAGGTGAAGGGAAGCAGGCATATATAGAGATCACATGGTGAGAGAGGAAGAAAGAGAGGAAGAATAGGGAGATGCCAGGTTCTTTTTAACAACTGTCTCTCATGGGAACTAATAAGAGTGAGAACTCACTCATCCCTCCCCATCCCCCATCAAGGAGGGCATTAAAACTGTTCATGAGGGATCCTCCCCTCGTGACCCACACACTTCTCACTAGGCCCTAACTTCAGCATTGGGACTCAAATTTCAACATGAGGTTTGGAGGATCAAATATCCAAACTATAGCAAGCTATCATTGCATCCTGGGGGTAAATCACATTTGATCATGGTGTATCATCCTTTAAATGTGCTGCTGAATTTTCTTTGCTAGTATTATGTTGAGGATTTTTCCATCAACAGCAATATTAGCCTGTAATTTCCTTTATTTTAGTGTCCTTGTCTGACTTTGAAATCATAATAATGCTTGCCTCATGTGATGGCTAATACTGTGTCAACTTGATTGGATGGAGGGATACAAAGTATTAATCGTGGGTGTGTCTGTGTGGGTGTTGCCAAAAGATATTAACATTGGAGTCAGTGGGCTGGGGAGGCAGATCTACCCTTAATCTGCTGGGCAAATCTAATCAGCTTCCAGCGAATATAAAGCAGGCAGAAAAAGGAGAGATGGGCCTAGACTCCCAGCCTATATCTTTCTCCCATGCTGGATGATCCCTGCCCTCGAACATCTATAATATAAAGGAGAGTTTATTAAGTATTATATATATTACATATTTCATATATATATAGGTGTGTGTGTACATATATATGTATATATATATATATACACCCTATTAGCTCTGTCCCCCTAAGATAACCCTGAGTAATACACCTCATAAAAGGAATTTGGAAGCATTCTCTTCAGTATTGGGGAAGTGTTTGAGGATTGGTGTTAATTCTTTAAATGTTTGGTAGAATTCATCAATAAATTCATCAGGTTCTAGACTTTTCTTTGATGGCAGCTTTTTAATTTCAGATGCAATCTTCTTACCCATTACTGGCTCTTCAAATTTTTCATTTCTTCATGATTTTCTCTTCTTAGGTTTTACGTTTCTAGTAATTTATTTATTTCCTGTAAATTATCCAACTTGTTGTCACATTAATGGTTCATAGTAATCTCTTATGACCCTTTATATTGCTGTGGTATCACTAGTAATGTCTTCTCTTTCATTAACCATGAAATGTTTTATTGAACATAAACATATATTTTGAGACAGAGTCTCCCTCTGCCACCCAGGCTGTAGTGCATTGGTGCACTCTCGGCTCACTGCAACATCTGCCTCCTGAGTTCAAGCAATTCTTGTGCCTCAGCCTCCCAAGTGGTTGGGATTACAGGCATGCACCACCATGTCTGATAAATTTTTGTATTCTTAATAGAGACAGGGTTTCATCATGTTGGCCAGGCTGGCCTCAAAGTCCTGACCTCAAGTGATGTGCTCACCTCGACCTCCGAAAGGGCTGAGATTACAGGCATGAGCCACTGAACCTGGCCAATAATTTTATTTATTTGAATTTTCTTTCATTTTCCAGGTAAATAAAGGTTTTTCTATTTTGTTTATCTTTTCAAAAAACCAATTGTTAGTTTTTTAAACTGTTTTTATTTTTTAAGTCTCCTTATCTTTATTATTTCTTTCCATCTACTAACTTTGGCCTTTGTTTGCTCTTCTTTTTCTAGTTCCTTGAGATATACAGTTAGGTCATTTATTTGAGAGTTTTTTCTTGATGCAGGCATTTATTGTTACAAACGTCCCTCATGGAACTATTTTTGCTACATCCTATCAGTTTCAGTATATGCTGTGTTTCCATTTCTATTTGTGTTAATAAACTTTTTGTTTTCTTTTTTGATTTATTCTTTGTCCCATTAGTTGTTCAGTAGTGTATTGTTTGATTTTCATATATTTGTGAATTTTCTGATTTCATGCCATTGTTGCCAGAAAAGACATTTGATATAACTTCCATTTTTTTTTAATTTATTAAGACTTGTTTTGTGGCATAACATATTATCTATCCTTGAAAATATTTTTATGTGCTCATGAAAAGAATATGTATTATGCTACTATTGATGAAAAGTTATGTATATCTATTATGTTCATTAGGCCAACTATTGTTCAAGTCCACAGTTTCTCTGTGATTTTTTTCTGGATGATCTACTCATTGTGAAGGTGGGCTATAAAATTTTTACTATTATTGCATTGCTCTCTGTTTCCCTTTTTTAGGTCTGTTAGCATTTGTATTATATACATAGGTTCTCCAATATTGGGTGCAAATATATTTATAATTGTTATAGCTTCACAATAAATTGATCCCTTATTATTATATTATGACCTTGTTTGTCTCTTTTGACAGTTTTTGACACAGCATCTATTTTGTCTTAGAAAAGTGTAGCCACCTCATTCTCTCTTCTGGTTACCATTTGCATGAAATATCTTGTTTCTACTCTTTACTTAAAACCTATATATGTCCTTAAAGCTAAAATGAATCTCTTGTAGGCAGCATATAATTTGATCTTGTATTTTTATCCATTCAACATTCTATGTCTTTTAATTGGAGAATATTATCCATTCACATTACATGAATTGTTAGGAATAACTTACTATTGCCATTTTTGTTAATTGGTTTTTGTTTTATAGTTCCTTTGTTCCATCCTTTGTCTCTTATTGTCTTCCTTTGTTATTTGATAATTTTTGTAGTAGTATGCTTTGTTCTTCTGTTTTTTTGTGTATCCATTACAGGAATTTTTTCTTTGTCATTATTATGACTCTTACATAAAACTTATTATAGTCATAATAATCTCTTTTAAGCTGATAAGTTTGATTACATACAGAAACTCCACATTTTAACTCCTCTTCCCGCCACACTTTGTGTTATTGATGCCATTATTTAAGTCTTTTTATATCATGTATCCATTAACAAATTATTGTATCTTTAGTGATTTTTAATATGTTTAAGGCTTTTATAATAGAATTAAATGTGATTTACAAACCACCATTACAGTATTACAGTATTCTGAATTTGGCTGTATTCATACTTTTGCAGTGAGTTTTATACTTTCATAAGATATCAAGTTGTTAATTAGTTTCTTTTCATTTCAACTTGAAGAACTCCTTTTAGCATTTCTTGTAAGGCAGGTCTAGTGATGTTGAATTCTTTTAGTTTTTGTCTAGGAGAGTCTTTATGTCCTCTTCATTTCTCAATGGCAGTTTTCCTGGTACAATAACCTTGGTTGACAGTTTCTTTTCTTGTTTTCTTTTTCTTTTCTTTCTTTCTTTTTTTTTTTTTTTTTTTTTTTTTTACGAGACAGAGTCCTGCTCTGTTGTCCAGAGCTGGAGTGCAATGGCATGATCTCAGCTCACTGCAAACTCTGCCTCCCAGGTTCAAGTAATTTTCCTGCCTCAGCCTCCTGAGTAGGTGGGATTACAGGTGCATGCCGCTACACCCAGCTGATTTTTGTATTTTTATTAGAGACAGGGTTTCACCATGTTGGCCAGGCTGGTCTTGAACTTCTGACCTCCTGATCTGCCAGCCTCAGCCTTCCAAAGTGCTCTGATTACAGGCGTAAGCCACTGCACCCAGCTGACAGTTTCTTTCTTTCAATATTTTAATTGCATAATCCTACTCTCTCCTGGCCTACCAGGTTTCTGCTGAGGAACTTACTGACAGTCTTATGGGATTTCCCTTGCAGGTGATGAGTCATTTTTTCTTTCTGCTTTTAAATCATCTATGTCTTTGGCAGGGAAAGCCATTCACCAAGCAGCCTGCCCAGAGATTACTTGGGCTGTCTGACTGGCAGGATCTGCAAGTGGGCTTACTGCTGAAGTTTTCTGTTGGGTGGGCCTGATGCCTGGGCCATTGAGCAGGCAGGCCTGGTGCTGGGGTGGTCCTGGAACTGTGTCTGCAGGGATTGGCCTGTTACCTGGTGCCTAGGCTTGCCTCATGCAGCTACAAACCTAGAACTTGGGTCTTTAAGGGATGGCCTGAAGCCTGGGGTTAAAAGGGTTGGGTTTTTACTGGGTGGCCAGGACCCTGAATCATGGAGCTTGCCTGGTGCTGAAGTGGACATGGAGCCTGAGGATATGGGGTAGGCCTAGAGCCTGAGTACACAGGGGTAAGGCTTACAGCCTGGGTCTGCAAATACCAGCCTGGCACGAGGGTACACTGGGGTAGGCCTGGTCCTAGAGTCTGTGGCAAAGTTGGGTGCTCATTTTATTTTCTTTTTCTCACACATAGGCTATCTGTCTTCTCACTGTGTTTCATGGGCTTGGGGAAAAGATGACATGGGTAATGTGAATCTGCCCTTCCTACCATCTTCAGTGAGTCTTTTCTTATTCTGTGATCGCCATATGTGTTGCCATCTGTCATCTGGATTCCCTGGCACTTATGAAGTTATTCTCATGCATCAATGTTTATTCAACTTGATGTTTCTGTGAGGGGTTGAGTTCTGGGAAAACTTTATTTTGTCATTTTGTTGGTGTCACTCTGTGTGTTTCTCTTGTTTTCATGTTTGTATTTTTTAAGAAATTGGGTCTTACTCTGTTACCCAGGCTGCAGTGCAATGTCACAATCATAGCTTGCAGCAGCCTCAAACTCCTAGGTACAAGTGATCCTCCCAACTCAGCCTCCTGAGTAGCTTGGACTACAAACATGTGCCAACACACCTGGATAATATTTTTTAAAGTTTTTATAGAGATAGGGTCTCACTATGTTGCCCAAGCTGATCTCAAACTCCTGGCTTCAAGCAATCATCCTGCCTTGGCCTCCCAAAGTGCTGGGATTATAGACCTGAGTCACTGCCCCTGGCCTGTTTTGTTTTGTTTTGTTTTGTTTTGTTTTGTTTAATGGACACCTACACCATTTGCCTTTGGATACAGAAAATTGTTTCTGAATTTTAAAATAAAACTAAATTTTAAGAACAATTTCAAAGATATGGCACTTTTTTGCCCTGTTGTTTATTCACTTTATGTTACTTAAAGACTCAAATGTGTCTTCTATTTTTTTCTACAATTAACAAGAGAATAGTGTGGAGTGTCATTGTAAGAATGGCCATATAACTAAAAGGATGCACCTTTTTAAAATGATGTTATCGAATATCTCAGTGAAATGAGACCCATAAGCAATGATAAATATGTCTATTCTCACAAAATTCCTGCTTCAAGAAATTAACTTGTTTAACCCTGAAACACATGCAGATATTGACTTTATGTGGCAAGGACGCAGATAAAAAGAGACTTGCCAGATTTGCTGACAGATCCTAAATGTCAGATCTCTCATTATTTCCCAAGTGATGCTATTACATGGTATTATATGATAACTTTTATTTAGCAACTGTTGTTAACCCAGCACCTACTAATTAAAATTTTCATGTATAGTTTTCTATAAAATTAGTGTAATCAACTTTACTAATACAAGAGATGGCTTCTCCATCTCTTTCAATAATTTAAGAAACCCAGTCCGAGGAACTCAGTTCTCCTGTGAGTGTACCACAAACTCTTCAGTTAAATATAGACACTGATTCTCACTGCCACGTGAAATTCCTTCTGAAGACTCATCCTCAGAAGTAACTCAGATGTCTTACACTTGTCTTGTGGTTTATCACTCTTTCAGCCCTTCCTCAATAAATTTAATTATTTTTTTCCAAAGAGTGCACTCTATACTAAAATGGCTAAACCCAGATGGCATTTTCATTATCTGTCACTTGCCATGAATCAAAAAGCCTACCATGATCATCATACCATCCCTCCCCATACACACACATTCCTGGGCTTTTATGCCCTTTTCTGGATCTCTGGGACTTATTTTATTTCAAGGGACTCATTGTTATTCTTTTCTGCTCTGATCCATCCCAATAGATCTCCCATAAAAATGAGGTGATAGGACTGGTTTCCACCCTCACAAATGTGTATATTCCTCCTTGTAACTATATCAAGGAGTGACAAAGCTTGTACTAAGCAACTGAAACACACACACAGACTGACACACATGCACGTTTGCCCTCATACACACAAACCTAGGTTACTGTGCTCTTATTCTGGGAAACTTCGTGCTTTTCAACTTACTTTTATGTAATTATGAGAGACCATTCACAAGTATTTAGAAGCATGTATATCAGGATTCTGGAATGGACCAACACTAAACAAGCAGGCCCATTCCAGAATCCTGATATACATGCTTCTACATACCATGACAAATATATATAGATGTGTGTGTGTGTGTCTGTGTGTGTGTGTGTGTGTCCTCATCACTATTTGTAATGAGGTACACAGCGTGGTTAATTATATTTTCTCACAATTGAAGACCCTCCTCTTGCTTTTCAAAATTTGTGAAATACAACATATTACAGTGATGAAAACATAATTCATTATTTCTAATTTCTATCCTAGTCTCTTTCCTAAATCAGTTGGGCAATTTTATTTTAGATCATACGCTTGATGATAGAACAAAGGAATGGCCTTGCAAAAATGTAAAGACAATTTTCTTTATCATTAAAATATTTTTGCTTCAGACTTATTAAAACTATTATATAAGAACTTTTTACATGTAACTAATACAAATTGTTCTTATCTGATGAATAGTTAATATATCATATTTGTTATATAAAATGTCCTTTATATATTCACCATGACCTAAAGATAATAAACAACTAGGCAAAAGTGAAACCAGCTACAACAGTGTACCTGATTTAATGCTGTTTGCTTATAAAAGTGAAGGCACACTTAAGAGGAAATGACAAATCTTCATTGATGAAAATTCTAGCATACTGACACCTATGTAGAAAACCTATTTAGAATTACAATTCTAAGGATACCTGCTCTAGGATATTTTCCACATATTTAGGTCAAGACCTATAAAAATACCTTTGCTCCCTTCAGAGAATTACCTTAATAGCTTGTCTAATTAGCAACAAGAGAGCTCAAAGATTCTTACTACAATAACGTAGTTTACCAACTTGAATTTTAAAAGGCATAACTCCACATTTACAAGTGTTTTCATGCTAGAATTATTAAAAGGGAGAGGTAATTAAGTGGTAGAAAGAAATTATTTTTCTAAATGACTTTTTTTCTACCAATATCTACTACAATGCTTTTCCATTTATATTTTTTGATTAGCAATGAGGTTGAAATCCAATTAATACTAATGCCGTTCTGTATTGCAGGTAACAAAGCACAGCAAAAAAAAAGAAAGTGATATTACTTAAATACTATAAAATATATTGAAATTTTGTATTAAAAAGTCACTCTATATCTATTAGGGTAGTTTTTACCGGAATTATCTTTCTCTCAAATATTATAATTTAATCTTTAAAATGATTATTTTTCTAATGGGTGCTATTTAAGGGCAATAGCTCCTTAAACCAATGAATTTTTTTTTACCAAATTCTGGACAGTTTGTCAACAAAACACAAAAATGTTTTAAACAATAATTTTGTTATTATTATCCCTTTTCAATTGGAATCCAAGCCTACCTTCAATATTATTAATCATTGGTGAGAGTGCAAATTGGGATAACCTATCTGGGATGCAATTAACAAGGTATTCTGAAAAAATAAAATATATGCATATGTTTTAATCATATAATTGTACTCTCACAACTGTGTTTAATATAATATTTTTAAACATACATAAAATGTATGTGTATCAAATTAGTCTTTATAATAGTGAAGCAAGCAATGGGGACAATCTGAATTTCAAATAAGATGTAAACACCTAAATAAATTGAGGTACATCAATATGATGGACAATAATGCAGCCTGTGAAAATAATATGCTAAATCAAACTTGATTGATATAGAAAGATATTTTTGCTAAATGAAAAAGTATGTCTTAAAAGAGACATGATGACATTTTTGGTGATAATGGTATATCTATTTAAAGTATATATAAATAAAGTACCTTTTATACAATATGGGTTTTGAAAATGTATTCTTCATTTTTAATGAAATATATTGGGAAATACGTGAAATATATTTTATAAAGTGAATGTACACACAGTAAAAAACTGTATATTCATACAAATAGCGAAAGGTATAGAACCCTTACTTCTGTGTGGTAAAATTAGCTTATAATTTTTCTAAAATTTTTAACAAAATACTATCTTGCAGC
This sequence comes from Homo sapiens, assembly GCF_000001405.40. NCBI lineage: Eukaryota > Metazoa > Chordata > Mammalia > Primates > Hominidae > Homo > Homo sapiens. Next base: position 88,501,821 of record NC_000008.11, on the reverse strand, counting down.
AGTAAAAAAATACTGTAATTTTAAAAAACAAAAATATATAGAAAATCTACAGAGACAGAATCTGCATCTGCAATTTTAATAATATATGGGAAAGCATCTCTGAAGATCCTGACACACTACTAATCATCAGACACATATCTAGGCAGTTGTGATTGCCATGGTGATTTCAAAGCACTTGTCTGATGCAGAAATGTGAAAACTACCGACTGAACTAAACATGGCTTGAAATATCAAATGTAATGGTGTGCTTCTGCCCAGGTAGATTTTAGTAGTGCCAACCAATTCAAAGCAATGAACACATTTTTGTCTTCTGAAAGAATAACATTCATAGATTTAAAAGTAAAATGGTGGCTTTCTAGTGCTTTTCAAACTTTTTCCCTCTAACAGCAGAACACTGTATCCCAAAGAATTCTTATATGGAATATAAAACATAAAAGAAGTATCTAAATGTATAAAATGAATCAGAACAGAATTGCTTTAAGGGCCAAAGGATGTGGGATACTAGCTGTGAGCCTTCCCCTCTGTCCTCTTTCCTCTCTTCCTGGTAGTTGTCCATCGGGCATCTCCCTAGAACCTACACACTCTGAAGAATTATATTTGACATTGTTGATTTACAACATGGTTATGCAAAAAATATGGAACTACGTTTACATTTCTGCAGCAATACATAAGCAAATGTTATACAGAATCATTCCTTAATGGTAGCAAATTCACTATATAAATATAAACGATATATTATTATATATGATAGTAAGGAAAATATTGATTACATTGACGCTCAAATATTAGTGTGCAAAAGAATTATTTGTATTTCTTATTGAAAATGAAGATTGCTGGAACCAACCCTCAAAGATTGCAATTTCAATGGATTCTAATAAAATTGGACCATAATTTGAGGAATACTCAGAGAAAGTTTTGCAAAAAACATCTACCTCTGCCTCACGTTCAGACCCTTTTAAGTGTCTAAATCACTAGACTAAAATGGTAAATTTCTCACTTGTTCCAAGGGAAGTTTTTTATAACATGGCTCTCTTCAACTGGTTACTGAAGAAGTATGGATGAAACTAGGGGCAACCCAAGGAAAGGAGAAGAGAATACATGCTTCAAATGCTAATCAGTGAAATAAAAAATATATATATTTTTATATACAATGTTAGGAATCAAGTAGATGAATATTCAGTAAAAAAATAGTACTTTTGAGATAGGGCATAGAAGAACTCAATGGTAGTGTGGAATATATTGTCATTAAAATAAGTCAGAATACAAAGCACAAACCCATCTAACTTAAAATCCAACCTGAACTAGCATGGATAAATTTCTATTAAATATCAGTGGACAGAGAATGTTGCCCTGTTGTGGTACTTAAGCTTAAGAGTAAATAATTTCAGACTTTGATATAACAGATTTACCTCTACCATGTTTAAGAGATTTTTGTAATAATAAAAATATTGATTAAACTGGGTAGTCAAAATTAATATATAAAATTGAAGAAACACTTATAGAAGCAATGTATTTATGACAAACCCATAGACAATATCATACTGAATGAGCAAAAGCTGGAAGCATTCCCTTTGTAAACTGGCACAAGGCAAGAATGCCCTCCCTCACCACTCCTATTCAACACAGTATTGGAAGTTCTGGCCAGGGCAATCAGGCAAGAGAAAGAAATAAACTGTGTTCAAATAAAAAGAAAGGAAGTCAAATTTTCTCTGCAGATGAAATTATTGTATATTTAGAAATCCCCATTGTCTTAGCCCAAAAACTCCTTAAGCTGATAAGCAACTTCAGTAAAGTTTCAGGATACAAAATCAATGTGCAAAAATCACAAGCTTTCCTATACATCAACAATAGACAAACAGAGAGCCAAATCATGAATGAACTCTCATTCACAATTGCTACAAAAAGAATAAAATACCTAAGAATACAACTTACAAGGGACACGAAGGACCTCTTCAAGGAGAACTACAAAACACTGCTCAAGAAAATAAGAGAGGACATAAACAAATGGAAAAAAATTCCACGCTCATGGATACGAAGAATCAGTAGCGTGAAAATGGCAATGCTGCCCAAAATTATCTATAGATTCAATGCTATTCCCATCAAACTACCATTGACTTTCTTTGCAGAATTAGAAAAAAACTACTTTCAATTTCATATGGAACCAAAAAAGAGCCCAAATAGCCAAGACAATCCTAAGCAAAAAGAACAAAGCTGGAGGCATCATGCTACCTGACTTTGAACTATACTACAAGGCTACAGTAACTAAAACAGCAAAGTCCTGGTACAAAAACAGATATATAGACCAATGGAACAGAACAGAGGGCTCAGAAATAATACCACACATCTACAACCATCTGATCTCCAACAAACCTGGCAGAAAAAAAGCTCATCATCACTGGTCATTAGAGAAATGCAAATCAAAACCACAATGAGATACCATCTCACGCCAGTTAGAATGGCGATTATTAAAAAGTCAGATGCTGGCAAGGCTGTGGAGAAATAGGAATGCTTTTACACTGTTAGTGGGAGTGTAAATTAGTTTAACCATTGTGGAAGACAGTGTGGAAATTCCTCAAGGATCTAGAACCAGAAATACCATTTCGCCAAGCAATCCCATTATGATTATAAATCATTCTACTATAAAGACACATGCACACGTATGTTTACTGCAGCACTATTTACAATAGCAGAGAGTTGGAACCAACCCAAATGCCCGTCAATGATAGACTGGATAAAGAAAATGTGGCACATATACACTATGGAATACTATGCAGCCATAAAAAAGAATGAGTTCATGTACTTTACAGGGACATGGATGAAGCTGGGAGCCATCATTCTCAGCAAACTAACACAGGAGCAGAAAACCAAACATTGCATGTTCTCACTTATAAGTGGAAGTTGAACAATGAGAACACATGGACACAGGGAGGGGAACATCACACACTGGGGCCTGTTGGGGGCTAGGGGGCAAGAGAAGGGAGAGCAATAGGACAAATACCTAATGCATGTGGGGCTTAAAACCTAGATGATGCGTTGATAGGTGCAGTAAACCACCATGGCACATATATACCTATGTAACAAACCTGCACATTCTGCACGTGTATCCCAGAACTTAAAGTAAAATTTAAAAAAAAAAGAAGTAATGTAGATGAACACATACATAAGAAGTGGAATTGAGCCACATGACAAAGCTTTTCAACTTTCAAATTAGAATGTATATTTTATATATACACACATAAGAATATATACACACACATAAATATATGTATATAATACACACACAGAGACACAGATGCAAACACAAGCATTTTGCCATGGGTATGGGAAAATAGTACTTTTTAAACTTTTCAATTGGGTATGAACATTGACCCTATTTTTACAAATAAGAATGGCACAATATGTTTTAATACCTTACATGTGTGCATAAAATTAGGTTAAGGAAATTATCAAATTAGCTCGAGGATATATTTTTAGTACATGCCATTTTTCCGGTTTATCTTCAGTGCTATCCTGCATTTTAATTTTTGTGATCACAACAGATTAAAACCCACATGACTGTAGGGAGAAACTGAGGTCAGTTAAATAAAGGGTTTCACTTACACTTCACATCCTGATAGTAATCATGCAAGGTATTAATCTTTCTATTCCTACAACTTCCTCATAGTCGGAGACTTCAAGGACATGAATATTAACAGGACCCACAGTTCAAGTAGAACAGTGGTCAGCACACTTTTTAGTAAACGGTCTAACTTTTTAGTAAATAGTAAACCTCTTCAGCTTTGCAGGCCAGTAGGTCCCTGTGGCAGCTACTCAATGGTGAAAAAGCAGCCATAGGCATATGAAAATAAATAAGTGTGGCTGTGTTCCAATAACACTTTATTTATGGACTCTGAAATTTGAATATCATATGATTTTCTTTTTTATTATTTTATTGGCTTTTATTAATTTATTTATTTTTAAATTTATCTTTTATTTCATTAGGTTTCTGTGAAATAGGTGGTGTTTGGTTACATGAATAAAGTTCTTTAATGGTGATTTCTGAGATTTTGGTGCACCCATCACCCAAGCAGCGTACACTGTGCCCAATGTGTAGTCTTTTATTCCTCACCTCCCTCCCACCCTTTCACCCAAGAACCCAAAGTCCATTATATCATTCTTATGCCTTTGCGTCCTCATAGCTTAGCTCCCAATTATGAATGAGAACATATGATGTTTGGTTTTCCATTTCTGAGTTACTTCACTTAGAAGAATAGTCTCATTTTCTTATTTCATGAAATATTATTGTTCTTTGGATTTCTTTCAATCCTGAAAAATTTAAGAATTATTCTTAACTCAGGAGTCCTACAAAAACAAAAAGTAGGTTGGGATTGGCCCACAGCTATAGCTGTGAACCCCTGCTGAAGATTAAGCTACCTCTTGATCATAATGGTGGCAATCAGTAAGGATGGCTGTCAAGGCCTGATGCTTAGTCCCTGTATGAATAGCCATGTGTCAATTCCCAGAGGTATGAAGGTGGGAATCTATATTTTTTCTTTATTTTTTTACTTTGTGAATAAGTAAAATTTATGACTTCTGACCACAACTTGAAAATTTGAAAAAAATAACTTATTTAAGACAGTAAGAAACAAAAATTTTCCTATTTTGTATAAGCAAAATAGATGAGTACACATACATCAGTAAGTCAAGCAAAGATGATTCATAATTGCGATGAGTTCTACTCTCTCATTGCAATTATGTAAACTATTATTTGAAAAATGATACACAGATCCTGGCATACTTCCTCTAAGAACAATGGTAACACCTGCGAATTGCATCTATTTCCATGAGAAGAAAACCATACTTTCAGGTTGGTTACTAGGTAGTCTCAGTTTCCATACAGGAAATATTCTCAGTAGTTTGCATATTTGAAGATGTTCATTATGGCCTTTTTCATAATAGCTAAAGATTGAAAATATTCTAAATTTTCAAAACTAAACAATTGAAATAACGAAGTATTAAAAATAGAATTGAGCATGGTACTTAAGTGATTATAAAATTATGCTTATCATACTTGAAAACACTCACTGTCTTCTGGTTACAGTAATATGGCAGATTAATATTAGGTTGCTGCAAAAGTAATTGTGGTTCTTGCCATTACTTGCAGAAAATAATTACAGCAAAAGCCACAATTACTTTTGCACCAATCAAATAAAACCTGAAAACTATCCCCTAGGTACAACTAATAATCCCAGAAGAAGTACATCTTTTTCAATTGTTTAGGGGTACAATCAAGTATACAAGAAAAAACAATTTGTGCTCCAATAGTAAAGAAAGTATTGAAAAGCAGAGTAATTAATATGAAAACCTAGAAGGGGATTTATTTTTATTTTATTTTATTTTATTTTTGAAATGGAGTTTCACTCTGTTGCCCAGGCTGGAGTGCAGTGGGAGATCTTGGCTCACTGCAACCTCCATCTCCCGGGTTCAATCGATTCTCCTGCCTCAGCCTGCCGAGTAGCTGGGATTACAGGCACCTGCCACCACATCCATCTAATTTTTTTGAATTTTTGGTAGAGATGGGATTTCATCATGTTGGCCAGGCTGGTCTTGAACTCCTGACCTCAGGTGATCAGCCTGCCTTGGCATCCCAAAGTGCTGGGATTACAGGTGTGATCCACCGTGCCCGGCCTGGAAAGGGATTTATTGATCTTGGCACCTAAGGACTTGGGTGTTAACCTTAAGTAGAGGAATAAGAAAAGAAAGAAAGAAAATAACCGCAGATTTTAAAATCACTTAGGTTGTTTTTGAGTTTTTTGGCTTTCTTTAACAGTGATGAAAGTTAAAATTTTCCACACTAAGAGGCATTCTACCATACTGTATGCATTCCAACTCTCCATTAACAGTACTCTAGTAATTCTAAAGTCTTTTCAATCCCTCTTCTGCACTTCGCATTGTATTCATTGCCTTGGCATTGTGTTTATAACCAAAATATTCTCCCTCTTCAACTCTGTAAAGTCTGTTTATATAGCACCAGCCCAATGGTGTCTATTATTGCTGCTTAAAAAAAAAATGTTTCCAATGTGAAGTTCACAGTTTTTTAAAGATTTTAATCTTTGACTCACAATCTTTCAAGCTAATTTAGAAATATTCCACAAACTTTTCAGAAATGTCCTAAACAACATTAGGGAGAAATTTATTAAACTTTCACAGCACTCAGTACTGATTTATTCTTTAGTATTGAATATCCCTGAAACATCTACTCTAAGGAGTTCTACAAAAGGCTTGTCATTTGCCTTGGCAGGTTTTTTTTATTTTATTTATTTATTTATTTATTTATTTATTTATTTATTTATTTATTTTTTTTTGAGGCAGAGTCTTGCTCTGCTGCCCAGACTGGAGTGCAGTGGCGCGATCTCAACTCACTACAACCTCCATCTCCTGGGTTCAAGCAATTCTCCTGCCTCAACCTCCCGAGTAGCTGGGATTACAGGCATGTGCCACCACATGCGGCTAATTTTTGTATTTTCAGTAGTGACGGGGTTTCATCATTTTGGCCAGGCTGGTCTCAAACTCCTGGCCTCAGGTGATCTACCCGCCTCGGCCTCCCAAAGTGCTGTGATTACAGGCGTGAGCTGCTGTGCCGGTCTGCATGTTTTTTTTTTTAAACAAAATATATACTAGGATTGACCTGACTTGCAAAAATGGACTAATTAATGATTAATTTGGAAATGTTCACAAAATATTAAATACCTGATAATTATCAAGATGAAAAGGACCTGATAGCCTCAAATTATCAGCCGTGATTTGTCCTCATAAAACTCCAATAATCATAGGCTTTCACAAAGCTTTTCTTCATTATTGCCAAAAACTAGAGCACAAAATTATAGAGCAATTCTAACCAGATAAAGAATGTTTTCCTCCATTCAAAGTAGATTCTATTAAAGATAAAGAAATAAATGTGTGTTTTGCTAATTATTTTTTCAAAATGAAATATCATGTATCATTAGACAATCAGCCCAATGATAACTGACTAAAATTTCCTAATCAGAAAATATTCAGAATGTTGTATTAGTTGAAATTTAAATACGTAGTATATGGAAAATACAAATTATTTATGTAACAATTGTTTCTATTTATGTCTTTGGTCTTTTGTTAGTTTGAATAGGATGATGATTATGTATGCTGAATTGCCTGGCATTCATAATAGTCTGGTTAAAAATATTGATTGATTTACCAATGGCAGTGTCATCTATCACAAATAACTTCCAGCCGTTTCTAGGTCCTCCTCTCTATTTCAAGTCAGGTCCGTTGGCCTTCTTAATTTTCTCGTCTCATATTCAGTTATAGTTTTTAACTTCACGCCCATCCCTGAGTCTCTCCAACTCTAGCAAAAATTTCCTTGACAAGATTAATGATAAATGCCTACTTTCTGAGTGCAATCAATATTACTTTATGGTCTCTATATTAATTGATTTCTCTGTAGCATTTGATACTTTTGAGTCTTTGTCATTCATTACAGATAGTCGCTGACATAGGATGGTACAACTTAAGATTTTTTGACTTTATTATGGTAAGAAAGTGATACGTATTCAGTAGAAACTGTACTTTGGTGAGTGCCATACCACCATTCTGTTTTTCACTTTCAGTACAGTATTCAGTAAATTACATGAAATAGTCAACACTTAAGTATAAAATTGGCATTGTATTAGATGATTTTGCCCAAATGTAGGTTGATGTAAATCTGAGCACGTTTAACATAGGCTAGGCTAAGTGATGATGTTCAGCAGTTTAGGTGTATTAAATGCATCTTCAACTTATAATATTTTCAAGTTATGTTGAGTTAATCATGATGTAGCCCCATCATAAGTCGAGGAGCATCTGTACTTACTTCTCCCTTATTTAGAAACCACGTCTACATTTTTCTCCTGTTTCCAGGCCCTTTGTCTTGGTGGTCATGGAAGATGTCTCCCCTTTCACTAGCTTATTAGGTGTTGTTATCTCCTCAGCATCTCTTTTTGGCCTTCTTCTTTTATCTCTCTACATATTATCCCTGGGAAACATCCATCTATTGTTATGATTTCAAATGTCAACTACATGTCAGTAACTTGCAGATCTCTATCTGTCCTCAGCTTACTTCCAGGTACCAGAATCCTAATGCTTTACAATACTCAGGGTAGAGATAAAAGAAAACTTTTCATTATCAACAAGGATAATTCAAAAATATATATTTATAATGATGAGAAATTAGTAGTTATCAACTTCCAAAAATATTCAAGTATATATGAGGAGCTAGAAAGAAAAATTGCTGCAATTTACAAGGGATACTTATGAGGTTACAAATTTTTAATTTTCTTAAGATTTTCAGCAATTTTCTAAATTTCCTACAAGGAACATTGATCTTACAAAGGCTTGCTTAATATCAGTTTTGTTTACTGAATAAAATATAGCATTAATTTAACAGCATAAAACTCACAAAGCATTAAAGAAATATAATTAGGATTGAGAACTCTGTATGATCGCCATTCTTAAAAAATATTTTAGCAGCCAAAAAAGGGGTTACAATTTTTAAGTCTGTTGTTTTCTATCCAAGTGTTTATTTTCTCTGCCTGTATTTTCTATCAGCAGATATCATCATTTTAAACCATATGTTTTTGTCACAATGTTTACATAACCTATCTGCTCTACTGGTGACTAGCTATGTAGCCTTAACATATTTCTTAGCAATTTCTGACTCAGTTTCCTCATTTGCAAAGTGGGGCTGGTAATATCACATACCTCACAGGGTTGCAGTGAACATTAAATGAAATATTTGCTGCACATGTAATTCATAGCATTATTATTACTATTATTACACCTTAAGCAGATATACTAATTAAATTTTGATCTACTATCATATATGTATATATATCTTTATTCAATCCAGTTTATATTTTTATTTTTTATCTAAAAATTGAGCATCATAGTTCTATAATCATCATCAATACAACTAATATTGATATTTTACCATTTTTTCATTCAACAAACACATTGAATACATAGCTAATCACTATCAAGGGCACTTTGTTGAGTAAATATTCCAACTCATTTCATTTTTCACATAAAATGATGATTTTATTTATGTCAGCTTCCCCCATAACACTTAATAAGCATGTGCTACATTTACATTGAAGAAAAAAACTACAACTCCATTTTTAAATATAAAAAGTCAACATTGTTTTTAAATTTAGAAAAATCATCAGGGTGATGCTATGGTTGAAATAGAAGGTGAGAGATTCAACATGTTTTCATGTAAAAAATAAAACAAATTTAAACAGTGCATTGTATGCCTCAATTACTTTATTGATTACCTTGCTGAAAAGAATTTCTTTTTTTTTTGTACTTTAAGTTTTAGGGTACATGTGCACAATGTGCAGGTTTGTTACATAGGTATACATGTGTCATGTCGGTTTGCTGCATCCATTAACTCATCATTTACATTAGGTATTTCTCCTAATGCTACCCCTCCCCCTGCCTCCCACCCCACGACAAGCCCCCATGTGTGATGCTCACCGCCCTGTGTCCAAGTGTTCTCATTGTTCAATTCCCACCTATGAGTGAGAACATGCAGTGTTTGGTTTTCTGTCCTTGCGATAGTTTGCTGAAAATAATGGTTTCCAGCTTCATCCATGTCCCTACAAAGGACATAAACTCATTCTTTTTTATGTCTGCATAATATTCCATGGTGTATATGTGCCACATTTTCTTAATCCAGTCTATCATTGATGGAAATTTGGGTTGGTTCCAAGTTTTTGCTATTGTAAATAGTGCTGCAATAGACATACGTGTGCATGTGTCTTTATAGTAGCATGATTTATAATCCTTTGGGTATATACCCAGTAATGGGATTGCTGGGTCAAATGGTATTTCAAGTTCTAGATCCTTGAGGAATTGCCACACTATCTTCTACAATGGTTGAACTAGTTTACACTCCCACCAACAGTGTAAAAGTGTTATTTCTCCACATCCTCTCCAGCACCTGATGTTTCCTGACTTTTTAATGATCGCCATTCTAACTGGTGTGAGATGGTATCTCATTGTGGTTTTGATCCGCATTTCTCTGATGACCAGTGATGATGGGCATTTTTTCATGTGTCTGTTGGCTACATAAATGTCTTCTTTGAGTAGTGTCTGTTCATATTCTTTGCCCACTTTTTGATGGGGTTGTTTGTTTTTTTCTTGTAAATTTGTTTAAGTTCTTTGTAGATTCTGGATATTAGCCCTTTGTCGGATGGGTAGATTGCAAAAATTTTCTCCCATTCTGTAGGTTGTCTGTTCACTCTGATGGTAGTTTCTTTTGCTGTGCAGAAGCTCTTTAGTTTCATTAGATCCCATTTGTCTATTTTGGCTTTTGGCTTTTGTTGGCATTGCTTTTGGTGTTTTAGTCATGAAGTCCTTGACCATGCCTATGTCCTGAATGGTAATGCCTAGGTTTTCTTCTAGGGTTTTTATGGTTTTAGGTCTAACATTTAAGTCTTTAATCCATCTTGAATTAATTTTTGTATAAGATGTAAGGAAGGGAGCATTCCTATACACCAATACCAGACAAACAGACAGCCAAATCATGAGTGAACTCGCATTCACAATTGCTACAAAGAGAATAAAATACCTAGGAATCCAACTTACAAGGGATGTGAAGGACCTCTTCAAGGAGAACTATAAACCACTGCTCAACGAAATAAAAGAGGACACAAACAAGTGGAAGAACATTCTATGTTCATGGATAGGAAGAATCAATATTGTGAAAACAGTTGTACTGCCCAACGTAATTTATAGATTCAATGCTATCTCCCTCAAGCTACCAATGACTTTCTTTACAGAATTGGAAAAAACTACTTTAAAGTTCATATGGAACCAAAAAGAGCCCGCATTGCCAAGACAATCCTCAGCAAAAAGAACAAAGCTGGAGGCATCATGCTACCCAACTGCAAACTATACTACAAGGCTGCAGTAACCAAAACAGCATGGTACTGGTACCAAAACAGAAAGATAGACCAATGGAACAGAACAGAGGCCTCAGAAATAACACCACACATCTACAACAACAATCTTATCTTTGACAAACCTGACAAAAACAAGAAATGGGAAAAAGATTCCCTATTTAAAAAACGGTGTTGGGAAAACTGGCTAGCCATATGTAGAAAGCTGAAAATAACTTCAATAGAATTAGGAAAGTGAAAATGTGACCAGGTGACCAAAGTTATTTAATGAGGAAGTATAAACAATTATAATTAGAAATAAATTTTCCAAAGTTTGTTTACTGAAAATAAGGAGGGACTTAGAAGAGGATACATTGTGAACAGTTTTATGAGAATGCAGAATATGTGTGCATGTCTGTGTGTATGTGTGTGTGTAAGAGAGAAAGCAGGAGAATGTATGTTAGTGAAAGTAACAGACAACAGTTTTATGAGGATGCAGAATACACATGTGTGTGTTATGTGTGTGTATGTAAGAGAGACAGCAGGTGAATCTACGTGTGTGAAAGTAACAGATGTATTGTGTGTAAAAGTTTTTATGGAAGAGACTTGCGTCTCTTCCCCTTACGAGGGGAAGCATCTTCTGAGGAGGACATGTTTACTGATATTGCAGTTATAGGGTATAAATTGAAGTTTCAAAGTCCCAGAGGGTCAGAACAGTATACAACCAAGAGACAGTGTATACTTTGATATTTTAAAGAAGGAAGGGGTAAGAAAAATTGAAAATGTAGATACGCTGATATGAATAGCTGGGTGCTGGATGAACAATAAATTAATAAAATTCCTGACTAATGGCTCTCTGAAGAAGAAAGTAAAGCCACTATTGATCCTCAAGTAGATGTTCATTGCAACGGTCAGCAAAACTTTTATAAATGATTTTTTAGTAAATTAGAAAAAAACTTTGAACATAACATGTAGACAAATTTCTGAATAGCACTGAATGTCTACCTGGAGCTGGAGACCATACCTTTGAAATTGTATAAACCGGCATATTGATGCAATTTCCTTAATACAGCTATCTGGCATAATGCAGAAGTTGGGAAAGAGGAAAAGATAGTTATAAAGGTGGGTGCAGTGGAAGGAGCAACTCAGTGCCCTGTAAAACTGAACTGAGGTAGTAACAACAGAGAAGACAAGAGTTGGGATAAATTCAAAACAAATATATTTTGAACTATAGCGGACTGTGGAAAGGGGAGTTTTCTGGCTATGACTGAATGGATGTTAGAACCACTTACTGAATTGAGGAAGACAGGAGCTATAATGTGCCCATGGGCAAAATATCAAGAGTTCTATTTCAGACCTAATATAAGGAAACTTATGACTATGATTCAGAAAATGCATGGGAGGAAGACAAAATTGAAATCTTTGCAGAGGTTGTAAAATAGTACTGAAAAGTATGAATTGTGTGTTAAGGCAGGGCAGAGGCAATGAAAAGGAAAGATGAATGAGAATATTTAAGAAGTAAATATGACAGAATTTGGTTATTTATTGGGTAAGGTATTTTTAAAAGTGAAAGAATTCAGAATTTCAAGCTTGAGAACATGTGTGTTATATACTGAGTTTAAAACCAGAAAAATTACACATAAGTTGCAGATAATAGTTGGCTAGTCTCACCAATGTTGGTATGTCTAGGGTTCTTTCTTCAGCTCACTGCTCTTGCAACTCTGTATTCTCTATCTGGAGTCAATTATCTAGTCATAAGTTTTTTTTCCAGATAATAATTTTTTAAAATTATGTTACTACATGTTTAAGAACTAAAATAATACATACTCTTTGAACATATCTCCTGTGCCTGATTTTAATAACTTGGTATGTATCCTTCAATAATTTTCTATATGTTTACATATAAACTGACATAATCATAAATGTGTGATTACACTAACACTATATTGTAAAAATTACTTGGCAGATAATGTTTCCTAATAATCATATGTGGCTACTGCTCTTATTCCAATAAACTAAAGGTTTATTTTTTAATCAACCAATATTTATAGAGCACTTAATGTGTGCCAAACACAGTCCTATGCATGAGAAGTAGCACTTAGAATATACCACTGGATTTAGTTTGCTAATATTTCAACCTTTTATCTAACAAATTAATATGTACTTTTCTTATTATACTAAATAAGATTTTATATCAATTAACATAACATAACCAATCATTTTTGTCTTTTCTACAGTCTACATTGTTTTAAAATGCTGAAATACATAGTTTAAGGCCTTATTATATCTCAGTAAAAGATCATATGGCTTCGGTGTATTTAAAATAATATACCTTTTAACCACTTTCTGATTTCTTCTGTGGTTCTTATTCAAGTTTTTATTCATTTGTGGGATCAATTTAATTGTTTATATTTTGCTGGGGAAAATCTGTATTCTCATACTTATTGGCACATTATGTTACAAAACAGTTTTATTCTAAAACATCATTTTGACAGCTATAATTATTTATATCTCTTTTAATATTTAAAAAGTGGTGATCTTCAGGTTTTTAGTATATTTATCTCTTTGCCTTTATATGTATTTCATACTTTATTCCTTCCAGTTGCCTTTTCTTATTTACTATTCATTTTCTAGCTTCATAATTTGAATACTTAATTTAGGATTTTTTTTTTAACTTTTATTTTAAGTTCAGGAGTACGTGCGCAGGTTTGTTACATAGGTAAATTTGTGGCACAGGGTTTTTTTGTACAGATCATTTCATCACTCAGGTATTAAGCCTAGTACCCATAAGTTATTTTTCCTGATCCTCTCCTTCTTCCCACCTTCCACCCTCTGATAGGCCCCAGTGTGTGTTGTTCCCCGCTGTGTGTCAATGTGTTCTCATAATTTAGCTCCCACTTATAAGTGAGAACACCGGTATTTGGTTTTCTGTTCCTGCATTATTTTGCCTAGGATAATGGCCTCCAGCTCCATTCATGTCCTTGCAAAGGACATGATCTCATTTTTTTTTAGGATTAAACAGTAAATTTATTTTTTAATTATAACAAATATATGCCATTAGTATGTTCTTAAGTTTTGGGTCACATTGGCAACAGTGTCTTTAATTTGCTTTGAAATTCTTTTCAGTAATCTTAAGGTTATAGTTCACTTAAAAAATATATTTGCTATGTTTTACCTCCTTGAATACTGCAAACAGGACAAAAAAGCATGGATATAAGCGTTAGCTAGTGATCACTGACTACTCTAAACAGTCACTAAGGCTTGAATTCTCTCTTTACCAGATGCCTAATTGGCAGAAGTCCCAAAGGTTTCCCTGATCATATTAATAACTTTATAAAAAGTTGATCATTATTCATTAAAAATTAGACATTTGTAATGAAAACATAAATTAAGTCTAACCCAAAACTCTTAACCAGACTAACTTCAGTGTTATGAATCACAAAATCTTCTTGATTGATTGCTCTATTGAGAGGATCTTATGTGCTTTTAGAGAAAGATTAAATCCTGTTATAAGAGTTGATAAATTTTAGTCAAAGACTAGAACACAACTTACAAAATAGATAATTGGACTTGACAGTTAACAACTTAGTTATTTACACTGTACAATGGAGCAAACAAAAATCTTAATACTTCTGCCTTTATAGCTGTATCTGACCATTCAGGAATACGTTGGCTTTCATATTTACAGTTAAATCTCTTAGTTCAAGCCTAAAATATGTATATTTCCTATATGCAACTTTTAAAGATAATGTTTCTATTAGGAGGAAATAAAAAAGCTGAAAAAAGAACTCCAAAATTTTGATCCTTCATTTTTCAAAGAAATTGAAGATCTGAAGTATAATTACAAGGAAGAAGTGAAGAACAATATTCTCTTAGAAGAGAAGGTTAAAAAAAAAAAAAAACTTCCAGAACAATTGGGAGTTGAATTAACTAGCCCTGTTGCTGCTTCTGAAGAGTTTGAAGATGAAGAAGAAAGTCTTGTTCATTTCCCCATTTACTAAAGGTCACCTATAAACTTTGTTTCGTTTAAATATTTATTAACTTTATATGTTAAAATCGATCTGGAAATAAGAAATTCTCTGAGCTGTAGTGTTTCCTTCTCACTACCTTGTACCTTTATACTTAGATTGGAATTCTTAATAAATAAAATTATATGAAATTTTCAACCTATTATAAACGTATATATTTGAAGACTTAGAGTAAGTTATGGCCATCAAATAGGCAATGAGCTCTGGTGAATTTCTCTACATTCATAAAGTTTTAAGTTTTTTAAAGAGCATGAGGGTAAATTCAGCAATTTTAATATTTAAAATTGGAGTTTATATATACTTATTTATACATATGGTAAGATTCTCAAATCCTAACTATGATGTACATAAATACAGATGTAGACATACACACATATAGGTTATGAAGTTGAGCCATATGTTTTGTTAAATACCTAGCAAAATCAAATTGAGCTTAAACTATGTAATTTTGAAAATTAGTGACATTAAATTCTTGGTTTAATTGTTGTCTTTAAATTACCACTCAATTATAGTGGAGAGAATCCAGCCTTTGTACAAGCTTAGGAGCTTACTGTTACTTATGTTTTTATGGCTAGAGATTAAAATTAATTTGCTGGTTTTTAATAAAATTTTAAATAGATATTTGAAACTGGAAAATTCATTTCTTCACAAATGGTAGAAGACAAATTGATGTTTCATAATGAACAGGAACCTTGAGATATTCTTAAACATGGTAGAATATTCAAGATTAAAATATAATGATAATAAAATAATTTTATTTGCATTTTATATATCAAATATTATATCTTTGAGTCTAGCAAATTTCTGATTATGTACTTTTGAAAAATGATTAAACAAACACTTAACATCAAGGCAGAGTCACATTTTTTCAGGTACACGTTGATAATAACTGCTCTTGAATTCATGTAAGTATCTTGAATTGACCAGCATAAGCCAAGATGATGACGATGGACCCTGTTTTTTTTTTCATAGCTGTTCTTCTCCTGACATATTACACATTTGTTTATTGTCTACCTTCCCCATCAGAATGTGAGCTTCATGAAGGCAGACACCTTGTTTGGTTGACTGTGTATGTCCAGCACCTTTATTAACAGCCATCACTGCGATGCCATACTATTCCTTCAATTTTACCCACTGCAACCTTCAAACCAGGACATGATATCATTGTGCTTCAACGAAGGTAGATTTCTTATTTGAAACGCTCCATGTGGTATAAGAAGATGTAATGGATGTTTCTTGCTCCCTAACGCATATGGGTTTCCATTGATATTTTTTCCTGTGATCTCCAGTGTTTGTTCTAAGAGATCTGATAGTGGCACTGCAGTAATTTCCAAAAGTCCAGAATCATCAGCATGATGTTTTAGTACCAGGGCAATTTCAAATTCATAATTAACTACAGAGGAATGCTAGCAATACTGTTTGTTGTTTTTCTATACTGGTACCCAATCAGGAATGTATCTATTTTCATTAGGCACTGGGTTCCTATTTATTTGTTCTATTTCCTTTGCCTGGTATCCAGCACTCTAGAGCCGGTTTGAAGTCCTCCTCAACATTCCAAAAAAAATTATTTTGGGTTTTCATTTGAATGTAGAAGATTTTAAAATCTTTTTTCAACTTGTTTGTTGAGCTTTCTATCTAGCTGGGCCCAAAGCTATGGCTGATCTGATGTTCCCTTTTGGCAGAAGGCTCCTCTTTCACCGCCGTCACAAACACACGGCATTTTCCACTGCACAGAGCTCAAGCGCTTCATGAGTGGAGGGCGCGCTTTCGAACAGCGCCTGGTGCAGGCGGGGAGAAGCCCTGGAGCAGTCACCCGTGGGGCTCAGGCCACTCACACTCCATGCCCAGCCACCGCAGCTGCTGATCTCATTCTTTTTTTATGGCTGCATAGTATTCCATGGTGTATATGTACCGCATTTTCTTATCTGCTCTATCACTGATAGGCATTTAGGTTGATTCCAAGTATTTGCTATTGTGAATAGTGCCGCAATGAACATACACGTGCATGTGTCTTTACAATAGAGTGATTTATATTCCTTTGGGTATATACCCAGCAATGGTATGGGTATATACCCAAAGGAATTGCTGGATATATACCCAAAGGAATATAAATCACTCTATTTTATTATAATTGTTATTTCTGTCTTTAGGACTTTGAAAAATCGCCACACTGTCTTCCACAATGGTTGAAATAATTTACAATCCCACTAACAGAGCAAAAGTGCTCCTTTTTCTCCACAGCCTCACAAGCATGTGTTATTTTTTGACTTATTAGTAATAACCATTCTGACTGGTGTGAGATGGTATCTCATTGTGGTTTTGATTTGTATTTCTCTAATGATCAGTGATGTTGAGCTTTTCTTCATATCATTGTTGGTCACATGTATGTCTTCTTTTGAGAAGTGTCTGTTCATAACCTTTGCCTACTTTTTAATAGGGTTATTTGTTTTTTTCTTCTTGTAAATTTGTTTAAGTTCTTTACAGATGCTGGATATTAGGTCTTGTCAGATGCACAGATTGCAAATATTTTCTCCCATTCTGTAGGTTGTCTGTTTACTCTTGATAGTTTCCTTTGCTATGCAGAAGCCCTCTAGTTTAAATAGATACTATTTGTCAATTTTTGCTTTTGTTGCATATGCTTTTGGAGTCTTCATCATGAAATCCTTTCCCATGTGTATGTCTTGGATGGTATTGCCTAGATTGTCTACCAGGGTTTTCATAGTTTTGGGATTTACATTTAAGTCTTTATTCCATCTTGAGTTAATTTTTTGTATGTAGTATAAAGAAGTGGTCCAGCTTCAGTCTTCTGCATACGGCTAGCCAGTTATCCCAGGACCATTTATTGAATAGGGAGTACTTTTCCCATTGCTTGTTTTTGTCAGGTTTGTTGAAGATCAGATACTTGTAGCTGTGCAGTCTTATTTCTGGGTTCTCTACTCTGTTCCATCGGTCTATGTGACTGTTTTGTATCAGTACAATGCTGTTTTGATTACTGTATCCCTGTAGTATTGTTTGAGGTCATGTAGCATGATCCCTCCAACTTTGTTCTTTTTGCTTAGGATTGCCTTGGCTATTTGGACTCTTTTTTGGTTCCATATGAATTTTAAAATAGTTTTTTTTTAAGTTTTGTGAAGAATCTCATTGATAGCTTAATAGGAATAACATTGAATCAATAAATTGCTTTCAGCAGTATGGCCATTTTCACAATATTGATCCTTCCTATCCATGAGCATGGAATGTTTTTTCATTTTTTTATGTTATCTCTAATTTCTTTGAGCAGCTTTTGTATTTCTCCTTGTAGAGATCTTTCACTTCCCTGTATTCCTAGGTATTTTATTCTTTTTGTGGCAATTGTGAATGAGAGTGCATTCTTGATTTGGCTCTCAGCTTGACTGCTGTTGGTGTATAAGTATGCTAGCAATTTTTGTACATTGATTTTGAATCCTGAGACTTTACTGAAGTTGTTTATCAGCTTAAGAAGCTTTCAGGCTGAGACTATGGGGTTTTCTAGAAATAGAATCTTGTCATCTGCAAAAAGAGATAGTTTGACTTCCTCTCTTCCTATTTAGATCTCCTTTTTTTTTTTTTATCTTGCCTAATGGCCCTGGCAAGGACTTCCAGGAGTGGTAAGAGAGGGCATCCTTGTTTTGTGCCGGTTTTCAAGGGGAAGCTTCCGGATTTTGCCCATTTAGTATGATGTTGGCTGTGGGTTTGTCATAGATAGCTCTTATTATTTTGAGGTATGTTCCTTCAATACTTAGTTTATTCAGAGTTTTTAACATGAATGGATGTTGAATTTATCGAAAGGCTTTTCTCCATCTATTGAAATAACCATGTGGTTTTTGTCCTTAGTTCTGTTTATGTGATGAATCACATTTATTGATTAGCCTTTGTTAAACCAATCTTGTATGCCAGGGATAAAATCTACTTGTTCATGCTGGATAAGCTTTTTTATGTACTACAGGATTCAGTTTGCCCATATTTTGTTGAGGATTTTTGCATTGAATCCAGGCTACTGGCCTGAAGTTTTCTTTTTTGTTGTATCTCTGTCAGGCTTTGGTATTAGGATGATGCTGACCTCACAGAATGACTTAGAGAGGAATCCCTTCTCCTGAATTGTTCAGAATAGTTTTAGTAGAAATGATACCAGCTCTTCGTCATACATCTGGTAGAATTCAGCTGTGCATCCATCTGGTATGGGCTTTTTTTAGTTGGTAGGCTATTTATTACTGCCTCAATTTTGGAGCTTGTTATTGATCTTTTCAGGATTTAATTTCTTCCTGGTTTATTCTTGGGAGGGTGTATATGTTCAGGAATTTATCCATGTATTCTAGATTTTATAGTTTATGTGCATAGAGGTATTCATATTTTCTGATGGTTGTATTTCTTGTGTGGTCAGTGGTAATACTTGAATCTTCTCTCTTCTCTTCTTAGTGGTCGTAGCTACTGGCCTATTTTATTTATTTTAAATAACAGCCCCAGGATGTATTGATCTTTTGTATGGTTGTTCATATCTCAATCATCTTCAGTTCAGCTCTCATTTTGGTTATTTCTTGTCTTCTTCTAGCTTTGGAATTCATTTGCTCTTGGTTCTCCAGCTCCTTTAGTTGTGATGTTAGGTTGCTAACTTGAGATATTTCTAATTTTTGATGAGGGCATTTAGTGTTATAAATTTCCCTCTTAACACTCCCTTACCTCTGTCCCAGAGATTCTAGTACATTGTATCTGTGTTCTCATTAGTTTCAAAGAACTTATTGATTTCTGCCTTAATTTCATTATTTACCCAAAAGTCATTCAGGACCAGGTTATTCAATTTCCATGTAATTGTATGGTTTTGAGTGAACTTCTTAGTCTTGAATCTAATTTTGTTGTGCTGTGGTCTGAGAGACTGTTATAAGTTATTTTGCATTTGCTGAGGAGTGTTTTTACTTTCAATTATGGGGTCAGTTTTAGAGAATGTGCCATGTAGCAATGGCAAGAATGTATATTCTTTTGTTTTGGGGTGGAGAGTTCTGTAGATAGCTATCAAATCCATTTGTTCCCATTCTGAGTTCAGGTCCTGAATATCTTTGTTAATTTTCTGTCTCAATGATCTGTCTAATATTGTCAGTGGGGTGTTAAAATCTCCCACTATTATTCTGTGGGAGTCTAATTCTCTTTGAAGGTCTCTAAGAACCTGTTTTATGAATCTGGGTGTTCCTCTCTTGGGTGCATATCTATTTAGGATAGTTAGATCCTCTTGTTTAATTGAACTCTTTAACATTATGAAATGTCCTTCTTTTTCTTTTTTGATCTATGTTCAACGTCTGTTTTGTCAACAACTAGGATTGCAGCCCCTGTTTTTTCTGTTTTCCATTTGCTTGATAGATTTTTCTCCATCCCTTTATTTTGAGACTATTTGTGTCATTGCACGTGAGATGTGTCTCTTGAAGACAGCATACTAATGGGTCTTAGTTCTTTACTGAGGTTGCCCCTCTGTGTCTTTTAAGTGGGGCATGTAGCCCGTTTACATTTAAGGTTAGTATTGATATGTGTGGATTTTATCCTGTCACCATGATGTTAGCTGGTTATTTTGCAGACTTGTTCATGTGATTGCTTTATAGTTACTGGTTTGTGTACTTCAGTGTGTTTTGGTTAGGGCTGGTTACAGTCTTTCCTTTCTATATTTAGTACTTCTTTCTGGAACTCTTGTGAGGCAGGTCAGAGACCAGTGATATTGTAAAGGAACCACATAAACAAGTCTGCAAAATAACCAGCTAACATCATGATGACAGGATCAAATCCACACAAATCAATACTTACCTTCAATGTAAATGGGCTACATGCCCCACTTAAAAGACACAGAGTGGCAAGCTTAATTAAGAACCAAGACCCATTAGTATGCTGTCTTCAAGAGACACATCTTATGTACAGTTACACAAATAATCTCAAAACAAAGTGATGGACTACATGAAAATATGTAAAGAGATTACTCATGCTAACTCTTCAACCATCAAGGATTTCCTTTCTGCCTTTTTCTAAATCAAAATATAGTTATATAGTTATGTGTCACTTCATGACAGGGATACATTCTGATAAATGCATTGTTAGGCTTTTTATTTTTGTTTGAGCATCATAGAGTGCACTTACACAAACCTAGATGGTATAGCCTATTGTACATCTGGGCTATATGGTATAGCCTATTGCACCTAGGCTACAAACCTGTGCAGCATTTTACTATACTGAATACCACAGGCAATTGTAACATAATGGTAAGTTTTTGTGTTTATAAACATATCTAAAGATAGAAAAGGTACTGTATAGATGCAGAATAAAAGGCAAAAATGGTACACCTTTATAGGGAACTTACCATGAATGGAGCTTGCAGAACTGGAAGTTGCTCTGGATGTGTCAGTGAGTGGTGAATGAATGTGAAGGCCTGGTACATTGCTGTACACTACTGTAAACACTGTGCAATAAGGCTACACTAACTTTAATATTGGAATTTTTTTCTTCAAGTTTTATTTTAAGTTCAGGGGTGTATGTGCAGGATGTGCAGGTTTGTTACATAAATAAATGTGTTCCATAATGTTGTGCTGCACAGATCATCCCATCACCTAGGTATTATGCCCAGCATTGATTAGTATTTTTCCTGATGCTCTCCCTCCCCCTACTACTCCCCTCAACAGGCCGCAGTGTGTGTTGTTCCATGAACCATGTGTCCCTGTGTTCTTATTGTTCAGCTCCCACTTGTAAGTGAAAACATTCAGTGTTTGGTTTTCTGTTCCAGAGGATACTGAGGCTAATGGCTTCCAGCTCCATCCATGTCCCTGCATGATCTTGTTCCTGTTATGTCTGCTTTTATTCCTTTTATGTTCCTTTTATTCCATGGTGTATATGTACCACATTTTCTTCATTCAGTCTATCATTGATGGGCATTTGAGTTGATTCCATGTCTTTGCTATTGTGAATATTGCCGCAATGAAGATACCCATACATGTATCTTTATAATAAAATGATTTATCTTTCTCTAGGTATATACCTAGTAATAAGATTGATGGGTTAATTGGTGCTTTTGCCTCTAGATCTTTGAGGAATCACCACACTGTCTTCCACAATGGTTGAACTAATTTACACTCCCACCAAAAATGTAAAAGCATTCATTTTTCTCCACACCTTGCCAGCAACTGTTATATTTTTTACTTTTTAATAATACCCATTCTTACTGGCATAAGATGGTATCTCGTTGTTTTGATTTGCATTTCCCTAATGATCAGTGATATTGAGCTTTTTTCATATTTTTTGGCTGTATATATGCCTTCTTTTGAGAAGCGTATGTTCATGCCCTTTGCCAACTTTTGAATAGGGTTGTTTTTTCTTGTGAATTTAAGTTTCTTGTAGACTGGATATTAAACCTTTGTCAGTTGGATAGATTGCAAAAGTATTCTCCCATTCTGTAGGTTATCTCTTTGCACTGATGATAGTATCTTTTTCTGCACAAAAGCTCTTTAGTTTAATTAAATTCAATTTGTCAATTTTGGTTTTTGTTGCAACTGCTTTTGGCATTTTTGTGATGAAATCTTTTCCTGTACCTATGTCCTGAATGATATTGTCTAGATTTTCTTCTAGGGTTTTTATAGTTTTGGATTTTACATTTAAGTTTTTAATCCATCTTGAGTTAATTTTTGTATAAGGTATAAGGAAGGGGTCCAGTTTCAATTTTCTGAACATGGCTAGCGAATTCTCCCAAAACCATGTACTACATAGGGAATCCTTTCCCCATTCCTTTTGTCAGGTTTGTCAAAGATCAGATGGCTGTAGCTGTGTGGTCTTATTTATGAGTTCCCTATTCTGTTCCATTGGTTTATGCATCTGTTCTTATATGAGTACCATACTGTTTTGGTTACTGTTGCCTTGTATTGCAGTTTGAAGGTAACATGATGCCTCAGCTTTGTTCTTATTGCTTAGTATTGTTTTGGCTATTTGGGCTCTTTCTTGGATCCATAAGAATTTTAAAATAGTTTTTCTAATTCTGTGAAAAATGTCACTGGTAGTTTAATGGGAATAGCATTGAATCTATAAATTACTTTGGGCAGTATGGCCATTTCCATGATATTGATCCTTCCTATTTATAAGTATGGAATGCTTTTCCATTTGTTTGTGTTGTGTTCTTTCTGATTTCTTTGAGCAGTGGTTTGTAGTTCTCCTTGAAGAGGTCCTTCACTTCCCTTGTTAGCTACATTCCTAGGAATTTTAGTCTTTTTGTAGCAATTGTGAATGGGAGTTCATTCATAATTTGGCTCTTGGCTTGTCTGCTCTTGCTGAATAGAAATGTTAGCAATTTTTGCACACTAATTTTGTATCCTGAGACTTTGCTGAGGTTGCTTATCAGCTTAGAAAGCTTTTGAGCTGAAACAATGGGGTTTCCCAGACATAAGATCATGTCATCTGTAAACAAAGATAATTTGACTTCCTCTCTTCCTATTTGAATATCCTTTATTTCTTTTTCTGGCCTGATTGCCCTGGCAAGAATTTCCAATATTGTGCAGAATAGGAGTGATGAGAGAGGGCATTCTTGTCTTGTGCCTTGTCTTGTGCCAGTTTTCAAGGGGAATGCTTCTAGCTTTTGCTCATTCAGTATGATATTGGCTATGGGTTTGTCATATATGGCTCTTATTATTTTGAGGTATGTTCCTTCAATACCTAGTTTATTGAGAGTTTTTAACATGAACTAATGTTGAACTTTATTGAAGGCCTTTTCTGCATATATTGAGATAATCATGTGGTTTTTGTCTTAAGTTCTATTTATATGATGAATCACATTTATTGATTTGTGTATTTTGAACCAACCTTGCATTATGGGGATGAAGCCAACTTGATTGTGGTGCATAAGCTTTTTTATGTGCTGCTGGATCTGGTTTGCCTGTATTTTGTTGAGGATTTTTGCATTGATGTTCATCAGGGATACTGGCCTGAAGTTTTCTTTTTTTGTTGTATCTCTGCCAGGTTTAGGTATCAGGATGATGCTGACATCATAAAATGAGTTAGGGAAAATTCCCTTGTTTTCAATTTTTTGGAATAGTTTTAGTAGAAAGGGTACCAGCTCTTCTTTTTACCACTGGTGGAATTCAACTCTAAATCCATCTTGTCCTGGGGTTTTTTGGGGTTGGTAGGTTATTTATTACTGCCTCAATTTCAGTACTCATTATTGTTCTATTCGGGATTCAATTTCTTCCTGGTTCAGTCTTGGGAGAGTGTCCAGGAATTTAACTATTTCTTCTAGATCTTCTAGTTTATATACATAGAGGTGTTGATAGTCATCTCTGATGGTTCTTTGTATTTCTGTGGGGTCAGTGGTAATATCCCCCTTGTCATTTCTGATTGTTTATTTGATTTGTCTCTTTTTTCTCCTTTGTTATTCAAGCTAGCCATCTATTTTATTAATTTTTTCAAAAAACTGGCTCCTGAATTCATTTTTTTGAAGTGGTTTTCATGGTTCTATCTTCTTTAGGTCCAACTCTGATCTTGGTTATTTCTTGTCTTCTGCTAGCATTGGGGTTTCTTTGCTCTTGGTTCTATAGTTCTTTTAATTGTGATGTTAGGTTGTTAACTTGAGATCTTTCTAGCATTTTGATGTGGGCATTTAGTGCTATAAATTTCCCTTGTAACATCACGTTAGCTGTATTCCACGTATTCTGGTATGTTGTCTCTTTGTTCTCATTAGTTTCAAAGAACTTCTTTATTTCTGCCTGAATTTCATTATTTACTCAGGAGTCATTCAGGAGCATATTGTTCAATTTCCATGTAGTTGTGTGGTTTTGAGTGAATATCTTAATTTTGACTTCTAATTTTGTGCTATGGTCTGAGAGACTGTTTGTTATAATTTCATTTCTTTTGCATTTGCTGAGGTATGTTTTACTTTTAATTATGTTATCAATTTTTGAGTAAGTGCTGTGGCAATGAAAAGAATACATATTCTGTTGTTTTTGTGTAGAGGGCTCTGTAGATATCTATGAGGTCCACTTGATCCAGAGCTTAGTTCAGGTCCTGAATATCTTTGTTAATTTTCTGTCTTAATGATCTGTCTGATATTGTCAGTGGGGTATTAAAATCTCCCACTATTATTGTGTGGGGGTCTAAGTCTCTTTGTAGTTCTCTAAGAACTTGCTTTATGAATCTGAGTGCTCCTATATTGGGTGCATATATATTTAGAATAGTGAACTCTTCTCGTTGAATTGAACCCTTTACCACTATTTAATGCCTTTCTTTTCCCTTTTGATCTTCGTTGGTTTAAATCTGTTGTGTCTGAAACTAGGATTGTGATCCCAGCTTTTTCTGTTTTCCATTTGCTTGATAAATTTTTCTCCATCCCTTTATTTTGAGCTTATGTGTGTCTCTGCACATGACATGGGTCTCTTGAATACAGCAGACCAAGAAGTCTTGGTACTTTATCCAGCTTGCCATTCTGTGCTTTTTAATTTAGGCATTTAGCCCATTTACATTTAAGGTTAGTATTGTTATATGTGAATTTGATCCTATCATCATGATGCTAGCTGGTTATTTTGTAGACTTTTTTATGTAGTTGCTTCATAGTGTTACTGGTTTGTGTACTTCAGTGTGTTTTGGAAGTGGCTGATAATGGTCTTTTCTTTCCATATTTAGTGCTTCCTTCAGGAGCTCCTGTAAAGCAGGTCTGGTGGTAAAAAAATTCCCTCAGCATTTGCTTGTCTGAAAAGGTCATAATTTCTCCTTCGTTTATGAAGCTTAGTTTGGCTGAATATGAAATTCTTGGTTGGAATTTATTTTCTTTACGAATGTTGAATATTGAATGTTGAATGTTGGCCCCTAGTATCTTCTGGCTTTAGGGTTTTAGCTGAAATGTCTGCTGTTAGCCTGATGAGCTTCCCTTTGTAGGTGACCTGATCTTCCTTTCTCCCTAGCTTCCTTTAACACTTTTTCTTTCATTTTGACCTTGAAAAATCTGATGATAATATGTCTTGGGGATGATCTTCTTGTGAAGTATCTTACTTGGGGTCTCTGCATTTTCTAAATTTAAATGTTGGCCTCTCTAGCTAGGTTGGGGAAGTTCTCATGGATGATATCCTAAAATATGTTGTCCAAATTGATTCCATTCTCCACATCTCTTTTGGGTACACTAATCAGTCTTAGATTGGATCTCTTTACATAATCCCAGATTTCTTGAAGGTTTTGTTCATTCCTTTTCACTCTTTTTTTCCCTCTTTTTGTCTGCCTGTGTTATTTCAGAAAGCCAGTCTTCAAGTTCTGAGATTATTTTTTTCTGTTTGGTCTAGTCTCCTATTAATGTTTGTCATTGCATTGTGAAGTTCTTGTAGTGTGTTTTTTTGGCTCTATCAGGTCAGTTACACTCTTTTCAATGCCAGCTAGTTTGTCTGTATTTTTTTTATCATAATTGATAGTTTTCTTGTATTGAGTTACAATGTATTACTGTAGCTCAATGTAGTTCATTTCTATTCACATTCTAAATTATATTTCTGTTATTTCAGCCATCTCAGCATCAGCCCAGTTCTGAACACTTGCTAGAGAGATGATGTGGTCATTTGAGTAAAAAAGGGCACTTAGGCTTATTGATTTTTTGGTGTTCTTGAGCTTATTCTTTCTCATCTTTGGGGGCTTATCTGCCTTCAATCTTTGAGATTGTCATTGCTGACATTTAGATTTTTTTCCCTTTAATCCTATTTGATGACCTGAAGGATTTGATTGTAGATTTAGGTGGAATCAGACAACTGGCTTCATTTCTGGGAAATTTTAGGGGGCCAATGCTAAGCTCCAAACTCCTGGGCTTTTCCCAGTTGGGCAATTTTCCAACTGTGGGAAAATTGTATTGGGCCCTGATGTTCTCTGGCTCCTTGAGGTTTGGCATCCATTGCACTTGGGGAAGGTTGAGATGCAGCAGCGGCAGCAGAGTGCTAGTGGATACAGGGGGGCCTGCCTTCCTGCAGGAATTCACCACAGCAGCTGAGACAAGGCACCTGGAGGGAAAGCAGGGGACCCCTGCTAGAGACTGTGCATGTCGTTGCACTGGGGATTGTGTTGGCTTGGGACAGGGTACTGGCCTATGCAGGTCTGGGTGACTTCACTGTGCCTCACAAGCAGGAGTGATTGCTTGGCATGTTGAGGATACTGTTCTCTCTGCACAGCATTAGCCCAAGGGTAGGGAACTGTCAGGGGCAGGTCTTGCTCACTCTGTGACCCCCAAGGCTGCATCTGCAATGACAGTCTGCAGGGGTTGAGTGGCATATTTCACTTCTACATGCTGGCAGGGCAAGTAAAGCAAACCTGCTAATGCAGACATGCACCGGCAAAGTGATGTGGGGAGTTGCCATGGGCTCAGGAGAAGCTACAGTATGGGGAGGAAATATGTGGGCTGGTGTGCAGCCATAGGGGCCACCTTGCTTCTGCTGGTACAGAAGCTGCCCTGTAAGTAGGCATGACCAGGCTGGGGTCCTGGGGGAGACCAGCAGAACAACAAGTGCTCAGGTCAGACCAGCCCCATCTGATACATGACCATCCTGCAGAGATCAGGCCCAACAGTTCCCTAGGGCTAAAATCTCCCACAGGAGTAAGTCAAGTCTAGAAGGATGGCCGTCCGTGGCCATGCTCTGCTCCGGATGCTCCTGCACCAAACCCTCTGGGCTCCACGTCAGATGGCTTGCTGTCCCACCACTTCTCTAAGCATCTCTCTCTGCCACCTCAAATGTCCATAGTGGTCAAGGGGTTCCCTCCTGCTGGAGGTCCAGAGTCCTGTGGTGAGAGTGGGTTGCTCCTTGTCAGTTCAACTCACCCATACTCCCTGAGCTGTTGTGGTTCAAAAATGAGTCCCAATGCACAATAGCCTGTTGTGTGAGTTTCCCAGCTTTCTCACCCTTCAGCCCAGCTTCTGTGTCTCCCCTCCGTCTACTTGAAGTGCCTTCCCTCTGAAGATCTTTTAAAAGCACACCAGTTGACTCAGTCCCTTCGTGGGAGCTGTTCCACTTGTCTGTGTCTAGTCAGCAATCTTGCCCCCCCAAAAACATATGATTGTTCCTATATTAATAACAAAGCAATGTAAGGAATTTTAGATTTGAGAAATATAATGACTTATAATTAAAAAGCAATACCTCTATAATGCAGCAAAATGCTCTCATATTAAATATTCAAATATCTCTAGGGAAAAGTTGTATTGGTTTACCAGTGTTGACCATTTGAATATAATTGCTATAGCTGGGAATTTTCAGGAATACATTTCTTAGTGGTGTTGTAGATGTTGTCCATGGTTTTTTATTTTGCTATCTTGATGCTCTTTTTCTATGTGGGTAATTAGAGATATTGAAAAACAATGCTGATGCTGTCCTCTTCCCAAAGTCCTCTATAACTTTTATAGTGACTTATCACTTTTATAAGTCACTTGTGGTCATTTTCACTGGGTACAGAATTCTAATTTGTTAGGAATATCTTCCCTACTACATTAAATATATTGTTTTACTGCCTTCTAGCTTTAAACATTTCTATTAAAAGCCAGCTGCCAATATTACTCTTGGAAGCAATGAAAGTAGCAACTGAGTCAAAAATAAGAGAACCTCAAAATGCTAACAGGCACTCATAACAAATTATGGATAGGCAATATGAGAACAGTGATTGAACAGGGAGGAATTTTGCCCTCTCTACCAGAAGGTGAGTACAAGAAACATGACATAGGAAGGTTTAACAGGTTGGAGCATTTTGGCCCATTAACTCTCAAAATTTATCAACCAAATCTCTCTTCCATGACAGAACCATCACACAGAAGAAAATAATGCAAATAGAGTCAAAACTGAGTAAGAGAAGAACAGGATAGATGAAGAAAAGAGAACGTTCAGACCATAATGCAAAAAGATAAAAGTATCAACAAACCTCTGAAAGCAAACTGCCATGTAATATAATATTACCAAAACCACAAAGAGAGAGCTCTATTAAAGTAAATGAAATTTCCTGAACCCAATCCTGATCTGAAATTTAGAATAATATATGTAAAAATAAGCAATATGAGATTATCAAAATATAATCTGTACAAAATTATCATTTTAAAAATATACTAAGAAGCAAAATAAAATTTGCTATGGTCTGGTTCTGTGTCCCCATCCAAATCTCATCTTGAATTGTAATCCCCATGTGTTGGGGAAGGGACCTGGTGGGAGGTAATTGAATCATCAGACTCATTCCCTCATGCTATTCTTATAATAGTGAGTGAGTTTTCATGAGATCTGATTGTTCTATAAGAGGCTTTTCCTCTTTTGCTTGGCACTTCTATCTCCTGCTGCCATGTGAAGAGTGATGTGTTTGCTTCCTCATCTGCCATGATTGTAAGTTTCCTGAGGCCTCCACAGCCATGTGGAACTGTGAGTCAACTAAACCTCTTTCTTTTATAAATTACCCAGTCTCAGGCAGTTCTTTATAGCAGTGTGAGAATGGACTAATACAGTAAATTGGTATGGCAGAGAGTAGGGTCTGCTATAAGGATATCCAAAAATGTGGAAGTGACCTTGGAAATGGCTAACAGGTGGTGGTTGGCATAGTTTAAAGGATGAAGAAGAAGACAGAAAAATGTGGAAAATTTTGCAACTTCCAAGAGACTGGTTAAATGGCTTTGACCAAAATGCTGAGAGTGATATGGGCAATAATGTCCAGACTGAGATGGTCTCAGACGGAGATGAGGAACTTGTAGGGAACTGGAACAAAGGTGACTCTTGCTATGCTTTAGCAAAGGGATTGGTAGCATTTTGCCCCTTCCCTAGAGATCTGTGGAACCTTGAACTTGAGAGAGATGATGTAGGGCATCTGGGAGAAGAAATTTCTAAGCAGCAAAACATTCAAGAGGAAGCATAGCATAAAAGTGAAAAATTGGCAGCCTGATGATACAATAGAAAAAAGAACACCATTAACTTGGGAGAAATTGAAGTTTGCTGCAGAAATTTGTATAAGAAATGAGGACCCAAATGTTAATCACCAAGACAATGGGGGAAAATGTCCCCAGAGCCTGTCAGAGAACTTCCTGGCATCCTTTCCCATCACAGGCTTGGAGCCTAAGAGGGAAAAATGGTTTCGTGGGCTGGGCCCAGGGTCACCCTGCTGTGTGCAGTCTCGGTACATGGTACCCTGCATCCCAGCTGCTTCAGCTCCAACCATGGCTAAAAGGAGCCAAGGTACAACTCAGGCCATTGCTTCATAGGGCTTTGCAGGGTACAGCTGCCCTCCTGGGTGCTTTCCTGAGCTGGCATTTTCCATGTGCACAATGCAGCTATACCCTGCAAAGCCACAGGAGTGGACCTCCCCAAGGCTGTGGGAGCCCACCTGTTACATCAGTGTGCCCCAGATATAAGACCTGGAGTCAAAGGAGATCATTTTGGAACTTTAAGGTTTAATGACTGCCCTATGGGATTTGGACTTGCGTGGAGCCCATAGCGACTTTGTTTTGGCCAATTTCTTTCATTTGAAATAGGAGTTATTTACCAATGCCTGTACCCCCATTGTTTCTTGGAAGTAATTTGGTTTTGATTTTACAGGTTCATAGGCAGAAGGAACTTGCCTTGCCTCGGATGAGACTATGGACTTGGACTTTTGGGTTACTGCTAAAATGAGTTAAGACTAGGGAACTGTTGGGAAGGAGTAATTGTGTTGTGAAATGTGAGAAAGACTAAATTTGGGAGGGATCAGGGGCAGAATGGCATGGTCTGGCTCTGTGTCCCCACGCAAATCTCATCAATTGTAATGTGAATTGTAAACTCCATATGTTGAGGGAGGGACCTCGTGGGATATGATTAGATCATTGGTGTGTTTCCCCCATGCTGTTATGGTGATAGTGATTTAGTTCTCACAAGCTCTGTTGGTTTTTTAAGGGTCTATTCCCACCTTCACTCTGCACTTCTCTCTCCT
Source organism: Homo sapiens (assembly GCF_000001405.40). Lineage (NCBI taxonomy): Eukaryota > Metazoa > Chordata > Mammalia > Primates > Hominidae > Homo > Homo sapiens. Next base: position 88,470,950 of record NC_000008.11, on the reverse strand, counting down.
GCCCCCATGTGAAGAAGGACGTGTTTGCTTCCCCTTCTGCCATGATTGTAAGTTTCCTGAGGCTTCCCCAGCCATGCCTCAGTGTGATCCAATTAAATCTCTTTCCTTTTTAAATTACCCAGTCTCAGGTGTTCTTTTAGCAGCGTGAGAGTAGATTAATGTAACATTCTTACAGACTATGAAAACATGCTAGAAATAGGTGCCCACAGAACAAAACAAAACTATAACTTATTTCAAAACAAAATAAAGAATATTAAGAAAATTATAGAAGATAAGAAAGAATATAAAAAATGGAAAGCACAGAAGTCAATTAAAAAGAGAAAAATTTATTTTAAAAAGGAAGGCTTAAATAGAAGAAGCACACAGCAAATGAACACAAAAAAATGTGTCAAGCAGAATAAAAAATCAAAAGGAAAAGAACTTTAAAAATATAAAATAAGTTTTTAAAAGATGTGAAAACTTCTAGGAAATTGAGGAATGCTAATATTGCCTAAGAATTTTGAACATCTGAATATGTGTAATATCTGGGGAGGAAAATCAAATTGAAGAAATAAGACAATACCAAAAATATAATTCAAAAAAATTTTCTCAAATGGAATTTAAAACTATATTTTGAAAGGGGCCCACAAAACTGAGAATATTAACCTAAATTTTCAACACCAAAGTATATTCTGGTAAAATTATTGCATGCATTTTTTTCTAAAAATCTTTGGTGCTCTAAAAGAAGGAACATGACTTATAAGGGGAAAGAAAATTAGATTATCATCAGATGTTTTAAGAACAAGTTTTTACGCCAGTGAAAATTGGAATATTTAAATAGTAAAAAAATGCAGGTATAAGTAAAGAATTTTATCTTAAAAAATAGAAACTTAATCTAAAGTATAAATATAACAAACTTTTCAACATGCAAAAAATCAGGGAATTGTGTTTGCTTGAAAATTTCATAAAGTATCTTGCCAGGGAATAAGCTTTAGAAAATCAAAATGACTGGAAGGACATCACCATGAAGTGTGATAAGAAAGGTTGGTGAGCATTTATTAATTATTACATATAGAACCACTTAAGATTAAATGAGTTTTGAGAGGAGCAGTATATTTTGTGTAATAAATAGATGTTAGTTATATCAATGTAGATATAGAATAAGTTTTTTAAAATGAGAAGAATGACAGAAGCATATGAAAATTTTTATGTTTTCTATAATTCTATTGGTGATATCATTAGTATTGTTAAGTGTATAAAATATGAAATAAATCTTAGATTGAATTATGGCATATTTTATTTCTATCAATGTCTATGTTCCTTGGAACCAATATACTCAATATGTAATCTTACATTTAATTATGGCTGTATTCTATTTCTATCAATATCTATGTTCCTTAGAACCAATGTACTCAACATGTAAATACAATGTAATAGAGAGTAGAATAATAAAATCTCTGTGGTTTAATTTTGAATTAGAATTTTAATATGAACTCATGAATATATATGTTTGTACCCTAGCTCTGTACACTGAAATTGCCAAGAAAAATGACTAAATCAATGGGAAGTACCATCCTTACCTTACAGATTTTTGTCTTGAAATAATATTTCTTTAAAAGAATGTAGGACTTTTTGTAAAGATGCTAGGAGATGATTAATACAGTTGATAGAATCATTATTTTCTCTAGGAAGAGGAAGGATGTTGGATTGGGTTGAGGCGCATGAACGAGATGTGTAAGATGTTTGGCAAACGTCTATTTCTTCACTTGGGTAAGGTAACACAGGTGTTCATGTTAGCATACTGTATTAAGCCATTTCAGTAGCTGGGACTACAGGCGCCCGCCACCACATCCGGCTAATTTTTTGTATTTTTGAGTAGAGACGGGGTTTCACCGTGTTAGCCAGGATGGTCTCAATCTCTTGACCTCGTGATCCCCCCGCCTCGGCCTCCCCAAGTGGTTTTCTTTGTTTGTTTGTTTTGGGTTTTTTTTTGAGACGGAGTCTCACTCTATTGCCAGGCTGGAGTGCAGTGGCACGATCTTGGCTCGCTGCTATAGTGTACATTTTTAGATGGTGAAGGTGAAATAAAGAATTTTGTATTCAAACCAAAACAAAATTTCTCATCAATGCACCTGCAGTAAACAAGTTATTCACGGAATTCTTCACACAGACAAAAAAATGATCTCAAGCAAAAACCAAGTAATAAAGAAAGAAAAGCCACTGAACAAGCAATCAAATCAAAACCTACTAAGTACTACAATTACAATAATAATGATGATGATGTCTGGTGGGTTTTAATATAGGTAGAGTCAAAATACATGACATGAATTATAAAAACTAGTGGGAGTAAGTTTTCTATGTTTTTGGCAATTTTTATGACTACTTTCTAAAATTATTGATATATGCTAAAATCCAAGGATACATATTTTAGTCTCTAGGAAAATATATTTTAAAAACAACTAAAAAATGTAAAATTAACAAGGTAATCACAGGGAAAATGAATGATAAAATACCCTTAATCCAAAACAAATCAAAAAAGGAGGAAAGGAGAACATAGTACTGTGAAAAAAATAAAAATACAGAAAAATTTAGGATACATCAATAACAATAACTGCATTAAATATACATATAAATTAAAGATTCCATTTGATGACTAAGACTGTCAGACTGCATAGAAAACAAACGCAAACACAACTGCCTTCTCTTTCAAGAGGCAAATCCTTAAGAATATAAAGACATTGAAATTAAAAGAGATATATGGTGCAATACTATAAGAAAAGTTCTAAAGAGTGCAATAAGGCAAATACAATACAATAAAATGTATAGGGATTTGAACTATCATTATTTACAGATGAAATGGTCATATATATAGAGACTTCAAAGAATGCAACTACAAACTGTTAGGATTATTGAGGGAATTTGGCAAGGTTTAAAATTACAAAGTTAACATATAAAAATTATTTGTGTTCTCTATATTATCAACAACTTAAAAATAAAATTTAACAATATTTTAAATGTGGTATTGTACCCTAAAATGAATATATATGTGGTCTCTGTCCCAGTTTCCTGTAATAGAGTTTATAAAAACCTTTGTAGCTTCCTGAGTGATAGGGGGTTGCAGGGACATCTTCTGTTAATAATATTTGGTCTTTGTCCCCAGTTTCTACACAAGAGCGTAAGACTCTTGGAACCTCCAGAATAATAACAGTGATTTTTTATGCTAATGAGACTGGTGGTAGGGGGCAAGGGGGCATCCCTAGATAGCTTCAGGTTGAGTGCTGGCCACCAGAAAGATCCAGGTACCATTAGAGGATTGCAACTACAAAGAAGAAGACACTGATTTCCAAATGAAAAAGGATCTTCTTAATACATGGTGCTGGATACATATACACTGGATCTCTTTATGTGGGTGGAGTGGGGACTGGGGAAAGGAAGAATCTTAATCTCTACCTAACACAAATCTTAAAAATAAATCTCAGATGAATTGTCAATACGAATTTAAAAGCTAAGCAAAGAAAGCTTTTAGAGGAAAACATAGAAGAGGATCTGCAAACCTAAAGGTAGGTAACTATTTTTTAAATAGGACGTTTAAAGCAAGACCCATAAAGAAAGAGTTGATATATTTTGCTACATTAAAATAGGAACTCTCTGTCAAAGACCACATTGAGAAAGTGCAAAGACAAACCAAAGCATGAGCAAAAATATTTTCAGTATATTTATCCAACAAACGACTCTTTCAGAATACATAAAGAAATTCGACAATCAATAAAACAAAAATAAAATGTGATAGAAAAATGGCCAATAACTTGTCCAGGATTTCATAAAAGAAGATATTTATATGACCAATAAATAATGGAAAGGTATTTAATCTGTTTAGCCATTAGAAAAATGCAAAATAAAACCACAAGTTACATTGCACACTCATCAAAACAGTTATAATTAAAAAGTCAGGTAAGTGAGAGTGTGTGAAATCAGGATAGTGGATACTTTCTTTAGAGTTGGGTGTTGAAAAATAGTAATTACTGGAAATAGGCATAAGTGGTTTATGGAGTGAAAGTAATGTGTTTTTCAACCTGTATGCTGTTATAATAATGTGTTCACCTAGTAAAAATTTATAAAGTTATACACTTATTTGTTAAATGAGTAAATTTTTTATTTCCTTGAAAAGAATTCCAGGGAAAATCTACTGTTAAGAGGATGTGCTACAGTATAATCTAAGGCTAATTATATACATTTTAAAATCACTCCCATAAAATTGTGCCAATTTAACTGCACCAAAAACAGAAGCATTTTAAATTTTTGCTAAGTTGATAGAAAATTATACCTTGCTATAATTGTCACTTTCACGTTTATTTCTTTCTAATTTTATTTACACATATTTCCTCCTATAATTTATTTAATGAATTAATTTCTAAAACTATTAATTTTTAAGTTTTGTTGTTCATCTTTTTGCTGTTCATTTGACTATACTGTCTTTGTTACACACATTGCACCTATATATGCAATTTAATTTTTGCAAATATATGCACATTGCTGTGTGATATTATGTGTATTTTCCTTTATTATAGGCAGTTCTTAATTTATATGTATTAAAATTTACAATAGTTCTATTTTGTCTTTCACCATTCTGTGCTTAGTAAAATCTCCCATGTATGAAAACAGATAGATTTTCACCAATGTTACAGTTTTCTAGGTTTTTTTTTTCCTTGGCATTGTGTGACTTATGCATGGCTGGACATCAGTTTACCACAAGCTTTATGGCTTAAAATGACATACATTTATTATTTCAGTTTCTATGGGTCAGAAGCCTAGGCACAGCTTAACTGAGTCCCCTGATTTGAGTAGCTCAGCGTTGTAATAAAGCTGTGGTCTGGTCTGTGTTTGCATATAGCAGCTTGGCCAGGAAGAATCTGCTTACAAGCCCACCCAAGTTGACAGTATCAATTTCCATTTGGTTGTAAGACTGAGCATGCTAACATCCTGCTACTTGTCAGCTTGCAGTCATCCTCAGCTCCTATAAGCTTCTCGCTTTTCCTTGTCACATACACTTTCCCAATATCCCCACTTATTCTATTAAACCAACAAAGAGAGCATCTAGAATGAGTCGGCTAGCAAGATGGAGTCTTTTATATAAAATAACATAATCATGAGCATTTCATCCCATTATCTGTGACATATCCTAATAGTCACAAAGAAGTTATGAGCAAGGATTATATGAACGCATGAATACCAGAAGCCTGGGACCATGAAGTAAAGAACACCTTAGAGTCTGGTCAACAGGTTTATTTACCTCATGCCTGAGATATTGAAGAACTGGAAACTTTCCTCTGTGGCCCACTCATGTAATCGTAGCCGACAGCCGTTCCTCCTCCTCCCTCTTACGTGTGACCTAATCCCCTAAATGCTGCTCTCCACCCCCTTGATACAATCTAAATTGCAAAAACAATGGCGAGTAATTCAAAAGAGCAATTTATTTCTTGAGAGAATTTTCCAGAAACTATGCTATAAATCAGGTGACCATCTTATTTAAAACAACAACAACAACAAAAAAAAACCAGCCCTTTTCCTCAAGTTGGAATACTCCTTTGAAACTTCTGAAGCCCACTAATTTCAAATAAAGAATTATTCTAATAATGAGTTGCTTGATTTCTGTTCCACAGCCCATAGGTGAATTAAGATAACTTCATTTTTATTTTATTTATTTATTTATATTTCTTAGGCAGATTTTGCTGATTTCTTTTAACTTCCTATGATGACTCAGAACTTTCCTTTTATTTATTTTTTATTTTATTTATTTATTGTTTTTTGGAGACGGAGTCTCGCTCTGTAGCCCAGGCTGGAGTGCAGTGGCATGATCTCGGCTCACTGCAAGCTCTGCCTCCTGCGTTCACGCCATTCTCCTGCCTCAGCCTCCCGAGTAGCTGGGACTACAGGCGCCCGCCACCACACCCGGCTAATTTTTTTTTTGTATTTTTAGTAGAGATGGGGTTTCACCATGTTAGCCAGGATGGTCTCCATCTCCTAACCTCGTGATCCGCCCGCCTTGGCCTCCCAGTCACTATTTCCAAATGAAATAATTTAAGACTGGATTTCTCCAGTACGTTTGTCTCTCACTACTTCATATAAGATTTGATGCAATATTCATTATTCTATAAATAATTTAGAAATATATATTTTATGCCCTTTATCCAATATACAGGCACTATTTAATTTCTCATTGGTATTTTTTCCAGAAATTTGTTACTGATTTCTCCTTTTAATTCATAATGGTCAAAAATAAATCTTAAGAAGTTATATGCCTTATTATGTCTTACTGGCACATACTTACATACATACTGGCACATACATACATCAAAGTGGGGGCAGTAAGAGACATTCGCTGTAAAGGAATAAATATAAGAATTATACTTCCTGCCAGAAAACATGCAAGAAAGAAGAGTATGAACAGAAATATTTAATCTTCAACAAAAAAATAATCTATTTAAAATTTTCTAGAACTCCTAGAACTAATAAGCAATTATAGCAAAGTTGCAGGATATAAGGTTGACATATAAAAGTCAATTGCTTTCTCTATTTACAATAGCAAAGACTTGGAACCAACCCAAATGCTCATCAATGATAGACTGGATAAAGAAAATGTGGCACATATACACCATGGAATACTACGCAGTCATAAAAAAAAGAATGAGTTCATGTCCTTTGCAGGGACATGGATGAAGCTGGAAGCTATCATTCTCAGCAAACACAGGAACAGAAAACCAAACACTGCATGTTCTCACTCATAAGTGGGAGTTGAACAATGAGAACACATGGACACAGGGAGGGAAACGTTACATACCAGGGCCTGTTGGGGAGTGGGGAATACAGGGAGGGAGAGCATTAGGACAAACACCTAATGCATGTGGGACTTAAAACCTAGATGATGAGTTGTTAGGTGCAGCAAACCACCATGGCACATATATACCTATGTAACACACCTGCACATTCTGCACATGTATCCCAGAGCTTACAGTAAAAAAAAAAAAAAAAAAAAAAAAAAAAAAATTCAATTGCTTTCTTATATACAAGCAAGGAATATTTATAATTTGAAATTTGAAAACAGGTCATTTATAATATCACTAAAAAGGAAATACTCAGGTATAAATCTAACAAAATATATTTAAAAACCAATATATGAGTAAACTATAAAATACTAATGAAAAAAGTTGAAGAAGCTCTAAATATGGAAAAATAGCTCATGAATTAAAAGACTCAATATTGTTGGCCGGGCACGGTGGCTCATGCCTATAATCCCAGCACTTCGGGAGGCTGAGGTGGGTGGATCACAAGGTCAAGAGATTGAGACCATCCTGGCCAACATGGTGAAACCTCATCTCTACTAAAACTACAAAAATTAGCTGCGTGTGGTGGTGCATGCCTATAGTCTCAGCTACTCAGGAGGCTGAGGCAGGAGAATCACTTGAACCTGGGAGGCGGAGGTTGTAGTGAGCCAAAATCACACCACTGCACTGCACTCTAGCCTGGTGACAGAGCAAGACTCCATCTCAAAAAAAAAAAAAAAAAGAAAAAAAAAAAGAAAAGAAAGGATAAAAAAACTCAATATTGTTAAAAAGTTCATTTTTCTTAACTTGATCTACTGATTCAATGCCACATTAAACAAAATTTATTCTAAAGTTTATACAAAAAGGGAAAAGACCTTGAATAGCCAACAAAAACTTAAGAAGAACCAAGTTTGAGTATATGTGATGTACACAATCTATTTCTAGGCTTACTATATGTCTACTGTTATCGAGACAGCATGGTATTGGTCAAAGAATATAGAAATACATAAATAGAACAAAATATAAATGCCACAAATAGACCCAAACATATATAGTCAACTGATCTTTGACAAAGGCAATTTAAATGTAAAGGATTAGTTTTTCCAACAAATGATGTTGGAATAAGTGGACATTGATATACAAAAATGTACCTCATTGAACTTGCACCTTACACAAATAATTAAGTTAGAATTCATCCTAGACTTATAAAATTTCCAGAAGAAAATATGGGGGATCTTGCTTTTGGCTTGACTTTGTAGATAAAATATCAGAAGTACAAACCATGAAGAAAAACATGATATGAAACTTTTTTAATTAAAAACTTTTACTATGAAAAAGGCACTGCAAAGAGAATAAAAGAAACAAGCCATAGACTCAGAAAAAAAATTTGCAAAACAAATATCTGATATATATGCGACATATACAAGAACACTTGAAACTCAAGAATAAGAAAATAAACAACCCAATTTTAAAAATGAGCAACATTCACTATAGCCACACACAAAAATAAAATACCTAGGAATACAGCTAATGAGGGAGGTGAAAGATCTCTACAATAAGAATTATGAAACACTGATGAAAAACATCAGAGACTACACAAACAAATAGAAAAACATTCTGTGCTTATAGATAGGAAGAATTAATATTATTAAAATGGCCATAATGTCCAAAGCAACGTACAAATTCAGTGTTATTCCTATCAAACTGCCAATGACATTCTTCACAGAATTAGAAAAAAGTATTCTAAAATTAACAAGGAACCAAAAATGAGCACAATAGCCAAAGCATCATAAGCAAAAAGAACAAAGCTGGAGGCATCACATTACCTGTCTTCAAACTATACTACAAGGTTACAGTAACCAAAGCAGCATGATATTAGTACAAAGAGACACATAGAACAATGGAACAGAATAGAGAGCCCAGAAATAAAGTCACATACCTGCAATGATCTGATCTTGACAAAAACAAGCAGTGGATGGTGCTGGGATAACTGGTTAGCCATATGCAGAAGACTGAATCTGGACCCTTTCCTATAAAAATCCTTGAATAAAACCTAATGAACACCATTCTGGACATCAGCCTTAGGGAAGAATTTATGACTAAGTCCTCAAACCCAATTGTAACAAAAATAAATATTGACAAATGAGACCTAATACAACTAAGGAGTTTCTACACAGCAATGGAAACTATCAACAGAGTAAATAAATATCCCACAAAATGGGATAAAATATTTGCAAACTATGCATCTGATAAAGGTCTAATATCCAGAATCAATAAAGAACTTGAACAAATTAACAATCAAAAAGCAAACCACCTAATTAAAAAGTAACGACATTAACAGATACTTTTAAAAAGAAGACATATATGTAGCCAACAAACATATGAAAAGAGGCTCGACATCATTAATCATCAGATAAATGCAAATCCAAATCACAATGAGATAGATACCATCTCACACCAGTCAGAAGGGCTATTATTAAAAAGTCAAAAACCAGTAGATGCTGGCAAAGTTGCAGAGAAAGGAGAACGCTTATACATTGCTGGTGGGAATCTAAACTAGTTCAGCCACTGTGGAAAGAACTTTTGAGATTTATCAAAGAAGGTAGAACTACCATTTAACCCAGCAATACCATTTTGGGTATATACCCAAAGTCATATAAATTATTCTACCATAAAGACACATAAACACATATGTTCATTCCAGCCATTTACAATAGTAAAGACAGGGAATCAACCTAAATGCCCATCAATGGTAGATTGGATAAAGAAAATGTGGTACATATATGCCATGGAATACTATGCAGTCATAAAAAAGAATGAGGTCATGTCATTTGCAGTAACATGGATGGAGCTGGAGGCCATTATCCTAATTGAACTAATTTAGGACAGAAAACCAGACACCACATGTTCTCCCTTACAAGTGAGAGCTCGAAACTGAGCACACAAGGACACAAAGAAGGAAATAATAGACACCAGGGCCTACTTGAGGTTGGTGGGTGAGAGGAAGGTGAGGACTGAAAAACTATCTATTTGGCATTATGCTTATTAACTGGATGACGAAGTAATATGTACAACAAACCACCACAATATACAATTTAATTATGAAACCAATCTGCACATGTACCACTGAAATGAAAATAAATGTTAAAATAAATAAATAAATAAATAAATAGGCAAAAGATCTTGACAGACACCTCAGCAAAGAAGGTATACAGATGATAAATAACTACATGAAAAAAATGCTCAACATAATATGTAATTAAGAAATTGCAAATTTAAGCAAAAATAAGATACCATTATATACCTGTTACAATGGCTTTAATCAAACAAAATTGACAATACAAAATGCTAGCAAGAATGTAGAGCAATAAGAAATCTCTTTCATTGCTGGCAGGAATGCAAAATAATACAGACACTTTGGAAAAGAGCTTGGCAGTTTCTTACAGAGAAGAACAAAATTTTACTACATTTTTCAGAAATTGCACTCCTATCCATTTACCTAACTGATTTGAAAACCCATGTCCACACAAAATTGTGCACGTGTAAGTTTTTAAAAACTTTATTCATAATTACCCAAAATTTGAAGCAACAAGATATAATCCAATATGTGAGTATATAAATTATAACATACCCATATGACAGAATATTCTTTAACAATAAAAAAGAAATGAGCTATTAAGCCATAAAATTACATGGATGAAACTTAAATACATATTACTAAGTTAAAAAAGTTTATAGTCATCTTAGGGTTTATGATTTTCTGGCTAAGAGTTAGACTGTGTTTACCATTCGTTACAACTGTAGTTATCAGGGGCTAAATTTTCCTCTTCTGACCTCATTTTTGTCTCTCACATTACTTTTCAGTTTTCCTAGAGATTCCTTCTTGAAGAAGGTTGAATCTTACATTTGTTTCAGTTTTAATTTTCAGTTATCATACAGGAGGTCTGTAGATACAGGGGCAAGGGTTGAGGGGTCAGAAACATTTTGTATTCCCACATCATATCTCAGTCTTTAAGTGGCCCAGTATCTCTAAGCTGTGACCTTCACAAGAACTCAGCTTCCCTTCAATCCCCTTAGGTGAGACAGGAATCCTGAGGGTTGCTGGAGATGGGTATTTATCTTCCCTTTCTCTGTAGGTAGGTTAGGCTCTGGCAAAACAGTTTCCCTTGAGAACAGGTCTTTGTTATTGAGAACAGAACACAATGAGTGTATTTGAAATGGTTAAATTCTTCTACCGCTTAAGGAAGCAGGGGGAGTTTTTTTTTTCTCATCTTCACCCTAAGTATCTGTGAATATGTGTGCTCCCGTGTTAGGTGCATACATATTTAGGATAGTTAGGTCTTCTTATTGAATTGAACCCTTTTAGCATTATGTAATGCCCTCCCTTGTCTTTTTTGATCATTGTTGGTTTGAAATCTGTTTTGTCTAAAATTAAAATTGAAACCCTGCTTTTTTGCTTTTTTTCATTTGCTTGGAGGCTTTTTTCCATCCCTTTATTTTGAGCCTATGAGTGTCATTACATGGGAGATGGGTCTCTTGAAGACAGCCTACCATTGATTGGGTCTTGCTTTTTTATCCATCTTGCCACTCTGTCTTTTAAGCGGGACATTTAGCCTGTTTACACTCAAGGTTAGTATTGATATGTGTGGATTTGATCCTGTCATTGTGCTTTTAGCTGGCTTGTTGTGCTTATTAGGTTGGCTTGTTTATGTGTGACATTGTTCTGTGTGTTTAAGTGTGTTTTTTTATTAGCTGGTAGCAGTACTTTCTTTCTATATTTAGTACTCCTTGTAAGATCTCTCATAAAGCAGGTCTGATGGTAATAAAGTCCCTCAACATTTGCTTATCTGAAGAGGGTCTTATTTCTCCTTCACTTAGGAAGCTTAGTTTGACTGGATATGAGATTCCTGGTTGAAGATTTCTTTCTTTAAGAATGTTAAATATAAGCACCCAATCTCTTCTGGCTTATAAGGTTTCACTTGAGAGGTCTGTTTTTAGCCTGATGGGGATCACTTCGTAGGTGACCTGCCCTTTCTTTCTAGCTGCCTTTAACATTCTTTCTTTCCTTTCATTGTTGAAAAATCTGACAATTTTGTGTCTCAGAGATACTCTTCTTGTGTAGAATTTTCCAGGAGTTCTCTGTATTTCCTGAATTTGACTGTTGGCCTCTCTAGAAAGGTTGGAGAAGTTTTCATGGATGATATCCTGAAACATATTTTCCAAGTTGTTTGCTGCCTCCCCCTCCCTTCCAGGGATACCAATGATTTGTAGACTTGGCCTCTTTACATAATTCCATACTTCTCGGAGGTTTCCTTCATTCTTTTTTATTCTTTTTCCTTTATTTTTGTGTGACTGTCTTATTTCAGAGAACCATTCTTCAAGTTCTGAGATTATTTCCTCAGTTTGATTTATTCTGCTGTTAATACTTGCAATTGCATTGTGAAATTCCTGTATTTTGTTTTCAGCTCTGTCAGACTCCTTAGGTTCTCTTTTACTCCAGCTATTTCATCCTTCAGCTCCTGTATCACTTTATTGTGTTTCTTATTTTCCTTGGATTGGGTTTCCCCATCCTTCTGAATCTCAATGATCTTTGTTCCTATTCATATTCTGAATTCTATTTCTGTCAATCCAGCCAGTTCGACCTGGCTAAGAACTCTTGTTGGAGAACTGGTGTGGTCATTTGGAGGACATATGACACCCTGGACATTTGAGTTACCAGAGTTCTTGCATTGTTTTTTTCTCACATCAGCATGTGGGTGATCCTTTAACTGCCGTGGGGATTGAGTACAGTCAGTAGGCTTCTTTTCTGAATGTTTTCATTTGGCTGAGGCTATGTGTACAGTCTTAATTTGAAGCTGACCTCTTGTTTCTGGTTTCAGAGCGGGGTATGTTAGTGAGGTATTTTTGATGTTGAAGCTTTGAGGTGTTATCCAGCAGGTGACACTTAGGCTTATAGGTCAGCTGGTAGACTCTTGTTTGGTTGTGTGGCTCCCCTTTGTTTCCTCTCAGTTGCAGCCTTGTTCCCTCTTGGTGCTCTGAAAGTGTGGGTTTCTCTCCCCCTTGATTGCTGGCTATAGTTCGCAACTTGGCACTCCTGGGCTGCCCATTGCAGCGCTGGGGTGATTACAGTATTTATGTTCCCTTTCCAGCTTAGAGGTAGCAGAGGAAGAAATTTTAGCAGTAGTTGTGGCCAAAGGTAGTTTGCTTGACTCCGGGGGTTCCACCTCAGAGATATGCAGGTCAGCAGTCACTCAGTGCAGTCAGCCCAAGATGGAGGGTTTGTGCTGTGGGCCCAAGCAAGGAGAAACCTGTCTGGTGGTGAGCCATGGGGTGTGTGTGGGACCCATGGGAAATAACTGGCCTTCTCTCCTTGGGTCAACTGCAGCTTGTTGGAGGTGTGGAGAAGGGCCTTTGCTCCTTCATTAGTCTGAGGGTGGCAAGAGCAGTTCCACTGCAGAGGCAGTGGCTGAGAAGCTTTCAGTTGACATTGGAGGCTCTTTCCAGGGAGTTGCTGAGTTGGTACTGGCTCAATAGCTCTGGTGGGGATGGGGGGTGGCTGGAGGCCCAGGCGTAGAGGACCTGCCCAGTGAGGAGATATGGGGGTGGCTGGAGGCCCAAGACTAGAGGACTGCCCAGTGAGTCTGGCCACTTTTCCGTATGGCTACTGTGGTTTGCTTAGGGCCCACTACAGTCCCTAGTCACCTCAGATTTTCCAGAACCTTGAGGTGCCACCAGTGAAGATTGCAAAACAGGAAAGATGGCCGCCTGTCCCTCCCTCTGGAAGCTTTGTCCCAGGGAGGTACAGACCTGTTGCCAGCCCAAAGGCACTTGTAAGAAGTGGCTGGAGGCCTCAGCTGGGAAGTTCCACCCTGTGAGGAGGAACAGGATGGGGATCCACTTAAAAAAGCATTTGGACACATTTTGTTAGAGCAGCTGTACTGTGCTGGGGGTCCACTTCAGCCCTCGATCACCTCAGACACTCTGAAGCCCAAAGACTGGAACAGCTAAGTTGCCCAACAGCAAAGATGGTGGCTTGCTCCTCCCTCTGGGAGCGCCATTCCAGGGGGAATTCAGATCTCTGTTGGCTAGAGAGCTTGGGTGGGGGTGGCTGGATGCCGCAGTTGGGAGGTCCCACCGGGTGAGAAGGAATGGAATTAGGCACCGGCTTAAAGCAGCAGTCTGGCCACAAGTTTTGGTAGAGCAGCTGTGCTGTGCTTGGGGATCCCTTCCACCCCAGGTTGGCTCAGACTCTCCAAAGCCTGAAGGCTGGAATTGCTAAGGTGCCCAAACAGCAAAGATGGTGGCCCATCCCTTGCCTCAGGAGCTCCTTTTTAGGAAGTGTAATGCCACTACTGGTAGCTGGCTGGAATTGCAATCCAGTGTGGCTTCTATTGTGAGGTGCCATGGGAGTGGGGCCTGGGGGCCATTGCTGCTCAGCCCCCTGGATTCAGCCTCTTTCCTAGGGGAACATACAAAAGCCTAAGCTTCCACTTTGCTGAAGCTGCCGCTACTTTTGCCAGAAAGCCCAATTATCTAAGGCTCCAGTGTCTCCATGCATGCCTGAGCGGCTGCTGTGCCAAGACTCCATGTAGCTCTGTCAGACTGAAGGCTGAAGGCCCCAGTGGAGTGGGTTCACAAGGAGATCTCCTGACCTGAGGGTTGTAAAGATCTGTGGGAGAAGCATGGTTTCCTGGGGTCACTCATTTACTCACCACTTCCCTGGGTTGGGGAGGGTCCCCTGGCTCCGTGTTGCTCCTAGTTGGGCTGTTGTCCTGTCTTGCTTTTCTTCATTCTGTGTGGGTCAATTTGTTTCCTTGATTAATCCCAATGAGAGCACTTGGATGTTTCAGTTGAAGATGTTGTTTTTATTCACCCCTTCTGTTCCTTTCTGTGACAGCCACACACTCTGGCTGCTTCTAGTTGGCCAGCTTGGCCACTCCCCTTCTATCCTTTTCTTAAATAAGAGAAAATAAACTTAGCAATTGACCTGCTGATGTTATACAGCTGGGTGTCATCTATGGCAAAGATCAAACTCAGGACTCTTCTGATCCCAAAGTAGGGGCTTGTCCCTATTAAGAATATCCAATTTAAAAAAACACACATATGCTTGAAATTCTGTTTTTTACAGTCTCAAAAAAAAAAAAAGAATTTAAAAAGCCTAAAATTACTACAGATGCTTTGCCTTCATTTTGAGTAAATCATTTCTTTTTTGAAACTAAATCCATGTATGTACAAACTCTTCCAGGTTAAAGACTACCTTGCCATTCTCTGTAATTTTCTATTTAACTAATTATCTTAATTAATTAACATATTAACTTATTTTAAAAATCTAATTTTAAGACTTTGGAGATGCTAAATAACTATAGGTTGAGTAGCTCTTATCCAAAATGCCTTAGACCAGAAGTGTTTTGGATCTTGGATTTTGGAAAATTTGCATATACATTATGAAATGTCTTGGGAATGGAACTCAAATTTAAACATGAAATTCATCTATGTTTTATATACACCTTATACACATAGCCTAAAGGTAATCTTATACAATATTTTAAATAATTTTATGCATAAGACAAAATTTGTGTACATTGAACCATCAGAAAGCAAAGGTGACACTATCTCAGCCACCTTTGTGAAGAGTGTGGTTGTTTGGCATTGCCATCATTCTTGACTGAATTTATATGCTACCAATTTTATTACTTACAAATAAGAACTTAATAGTAAAAATATGGCATACCATTAATACAGTGAGAAAAACAGTATGTTCAGTGTAACTAAGGACAATAGCATCACCAGAATACCTGGATCTGCTGTTAAACAACTGGAACAACAAACAATAAAAGGCCTTCCGTCTCTATCTATGATGCTGTATTTTGACTAAAAGGTTACTGTGCACATTATTTTATTTTTTGGGTGAGAAGAAACAGCAGAAGCTGTTTAGGGACCAGGAAGTGGATCCTCCATGGATGAGGAGGCATTCTTCATGATGGCTTTTTAAAATGTTTCTACCAGAGTTAACTTTCTCATTAATAACAACTTTTGTCTTAGAATTCTCTCTTCGATTTTATAAACTGACATGATCTCTTGTTCTTTTATGAATGCATGCTACTGTAGTCCTTTAATAAGCCCATCACACATTTTCACCATGTTGTCTATAGGCACTTTTTCTACAGTGTTAACATCACCTTTATAGTCACTAGATCACAATAACCTGGATTTAGAACCATTTCAGCTATTTCACCACCAGCCAGTGAAGAAAGTATTGTAGCCTCATTATCAGTGTTAAAACTTCTTCTATATCTACTTCTTCCAGCTTACTTAAGAGCTGTGAAGGTACATTTTTTTTGCATGTGTGATTAGGTCAATCATCTTTTTCCTCACTTGGTGGACAGAATCCTCCAAAATCACCACCTTGTTCATCATTATCATTGTACATAGTGACAAGCCAGAGGTTGTGCCAGACATGCATGCACAACTGTTTCTTTAGTCACTGTGTTCTAAGCATTGACAACAGCACATACACCATTCTTTATGCTAAACTCCTTCTGAAAACTTTCATACCCATGCCTCTGTTCACTATTACTAGTATGCTATTCAAGAAGGTGTTTTTATATTTACTCTTCATTAATCTAATGATATTCCAGTCATATGGCTAAATTAATGGAGTCACATTTGATAAAAAGTACATGGCATAAACTTTATTTTTATGAGAATTTCAGCTGAAAGATGAGCAGAACAGTTGTTGAGGAATAATAAAATCTTGCAGTTGTCATCCAGTCCGGCTTCTCTGCAGTGAGCACAAGCCACTGGTAACAACGTTTGTGAAACTAACCAAAAAGATGTCCCTGGTGACCCATATCTATTTATTTATTTAGAGACAGAGTCTCGCTCTGTCCCCCAGGCTGGAGTGCAGTGGTGCAATCTCAGCTCACTGCAAGCTCCGCCTGCCAGGTTCACACCATTCTCCTGCCTCAGCCTCCCACATAGCTGGGTCTGCAGGTGCCCGCCACCACGCCTGGCTAATTTTTTTGTATTTTTATTACAGACAGGGTTTCACCATGTTAGCCATGATGGTCTAGATCTCCTGACCTCGTGATCCACCTGCTTTGGCCTCCCAAAGTGCTGGGATTACAGGTGTGAGCCATTGTGCCCGGCCCACCCATGTCTTTTTGTTAGCATAATAAAACACTGATAAGAATTCATTTTTTTGTTTTTGAAAACTGTGAGGACAGAAACTTGCTTATCACAGCAAATTTCCATTTAGGTGTGCCTGCTGCATTAGCACATACCAGCGCAGTTATTCTGTCCTTGACATCTTTAATTCCTGTAGGGGCTGTCTCATCAGCTGTAGTCAGTGTCTTTCTGGAACAATAATATCAAAACAGTGATATTTAATCAGCAGTATAGACTGTTCTGGCATCAAATTTTTATCAGTGATGACCCTGGCCAACTCATCAATGAATTTCTCCACTGCTTCATGATCCGCAGATACTTTTTCAACACAAATCTTTAAAAATTTAATGCTGTGTCTTTTCTTAAAGTTTTAAAACCAGCCTGTCCAATATTCAAAGTTTCTTGTAATTTTCAGTTTATCGTAATTTGTCTCTGCTTGTCTCATGATCAGCATACCATCAAGTGGCATGTTCTCACTGACAAGCTGATAGACCCACTGATATGATTTGGCTGTGTCCCCACCAAAATCTCATCTTGAATTGTAGCTCCTATAATTCCCACATGTCATGGGAGGGATCCAGGGGCAGGTAATTGAATCATGGAGGTGGGTCTTTACCATGCTGTTCTAGTGATAGTGAGTAAGTCTCATGAGATCTGATAGTTTTATATAGGGGAGTTCTCCTACACAAGCCCTCTTGCCTGCCTCCATGTAAGATGTCCCTTTGCACTTCCCTTGTCTTCCATGATTTTGAGGCCTCCCCAGCCATGTGGACCTGTGAGTCCATTAAGCTTCATTCTTTTATAAGTTACTCAGTATTGGGTATATCTTTATTTGCAGTGTGATAACAGACTAATACAGTAAACTGGTTCCAGAGTGGGGCACTGCTATAAAGATACCAGAAAATGTGGAACAACTTTGAAACTGTGTAACAAGCAGAGGTTGGAACAGCTTGGAGGGTTTAAAAGAAGACAAGAAGTTGTGGGAAAGTTTGGAAATTCCTAGAGACATGTTGAATGACTTTGACCAAAATGCTGATAGTGATATGGACAATAAAGTTCAGGCTGAGGTGGTCTCAGATGGAAATGACAAACATGTTGGGAACTGGAGCAAAGGTGACTCTTGTTATTCTTTAGCAAAGAGACTGGTGGCATTTGCCCCTGCCCTAGAGATCTGTGGAACATTGACTTGAGAGAGATGATTTAGGGGATCTGGTGGAGGAAATTTCTAACCAGCAAAACATTTAAGAGGTGATTGGAATGCTGTTAAAAACATTCAGTTTTACATATTCACAATTGTAACTTATTTTGGAATTGGAACTTATTTTTTAAAAGGAAGTGGAGCATAAAAGTTCAGAAAATTTGTAGCCTTGTGATGTGATAGAAAAGAAAAACCCATTTTCTGAGGAGAAAGTCAAGCCACCTGCACAAATCTGCGTAAGTAATGAGGAGCCAAATGTTAACCACCAAGACAATGGGAAAATGTCTCCAGGGCACATCAGAGGTCTTCACAGCAGCCCCTCCCATCAGAGGCCCAGAGGCCTAGGAGGAAAAAATAGTTTTGTGGTCCAGATTGAGGGCCTTGCTGCTTTGTGTGGTCTCAGGACTTGGTGCCTGGATCCCAGCCATGGCTAAAAAGGACCAACATAGAGCTCAGGCCATGGCTTCAGATGGTGCAATCCCCATACCTTGGTGGCTTACATGTGGTTTTAGGCCTGTAGGTGCACAGAAGTCAAGAATTTAGGTTTGGGAACCTTTGCCTAGATTTCAGAGAATGTACAGAAATGCCTGGATGGCCAGGAAGATGTGTGTTGCAGGGGTGGAACCCTCATGGAGAATTTCTGCTAGGGCAGTGTGGAAGGAAAATGTGGGATGTGATCCCTCACACAGAGTCTCCATGGTAGCACTGCCTAGCGGAGCTGTGAGAAGAGAGCCACCATCCTCCAGACCCCAGAATGTTAGATCCACGGACAGCTTATATCATGTGCCTGGAAAAGCCACACACACTCAACACCAGTCATGAAGGCATACGGGAGCAGGGCTGTACCCTGTAAAGCCACAGGGGCAGAGTTGCCCCAGGTCATGGGAGCCCACCTCTTGCATCAGCATGACCTGGATATGAGACATGGAGTCAAAGAAGATCATTTTGAAACTTTAACATTTGACTGCTCCACAATATTCTAGACTTGCATGGGGCCTATAGCCCCACAGTATTTCCAACTTGCATGGGACCCATAGCCCCTTTGTTTTGGCCAATTTCTCCCATTTGGAATGGCTATATTTATCCAATGCCTGTATCCTCATTGTATTTAGGAAGTAACAAATTTGCTTTTGATTTTAGATGCTTATAGGCAGAAAGCACTCATCTTGTCTCAGATGAGACTTTGGAATGTGGACTTTTGAGGTAATGCTGTAATGAGTTAAGACTTTTGGGGACTATTGGGAAGGCATAATTGGTTTCGAAATGTGAGGATGAGATTTGGAAGGGGCCAGGGGTAGGATGATACGGTTTGGCTGTGTCCCTATTCAAATCTCATTTTGAATTGTAGCTCCCATAATTCCCATGTGTCATGGGAGAGACCTGGTGGGAGGTAATCAATCATAGAGTGGGTCTTTCCCTTGCTGTTTTCATTATTGTGAATAAGTCTCACAAGATCTGATGGTTTCATAAAGGGGAGTTCCCCTACACAAGGCCCCTTGCCTGCCACCATGTAAGATGTGCCTTTGCTCTTTCTTTATCTTCTGCCCACCTAGATGATTGTGAGGCCTCCCCAGCCATGTGGATCTGTGAGATCATTAAATCTCTTTCCTTTATAAATTACTCAGTCTTGGGTAAGTCTTCATTAGCAGTGTGATAACAGATTAATACACCCACTCTTTAAATATACTCTCAAGTTATTCACTTTTAGCTTTATGTAGTGCTTTTCTAGTCTTACTTAATATGTGTTCATCAGTATCAGCATAGAACTTCAACAGTTTGTTCTTTTGTTTCTTCAGGTCATACATGGTGGTTATTCCAACACCATACTGATTTTCTTCAATAGCTTGACTTTCTGTGCTATAGATAAACATAAATGCTTCCTCTTTTTTTTATCATTGTTACCCATAGGAGTATCTTTATGCCTTTTTGACATTATCCACATTTTTACACCACAGAAAGAGAATCATCAATAATACACAGTGAGTAATACAAGTAGGTCATGGCCTCATGTGGAGCATCATAGGGAACCTACCTTTGACACATCCAAACTTACATATGTGCCATTGTAATTCCCTTTGTGGGCATGGTTGTAGGGAGGAATCTGGGCATGCTCAGAAAAGATATATTGCAGATGAAGGGGGCTAGGAGGGTCTTTTCTTCCTTGCAGGTACTGAATAAACTGTGTGTTCTGCACTGAATTTTGACTGAATCCTGGCAGATGAGGTCACATGTGGAATTTTCCACTTGCGGTGTCATATCAGTGCCCACAAAGTTTCAGATTTTGGAGCATTTTGGGTTTCAGATTTTTGGATTAGAGATGTTAAGCCTTTATTAGCTTTCTTTTTTCAAATTAGTAGACTTTATTTTTTGAGCAGTTTTAAGTTTACGAAAAAATTGAGTAGAAGGAACAGAGTTTCCATGTGATCCTTTTTCCCCAACATATCCTCTACTATTAATATATTGGATCAGTGTGGCACATTTGTTATAATTGATGAGCCAATAGATACATTATTATTAAAGTTTATAGTTTACATCAGGGTTCACATTTTGTATTGTATGGTTCTGTAGGATTTGGCAAATATATAATTACATGTATACACCATATCATACAAAACATTTTCACTGATATACCTGTGTTCCACCTATTTATATCTCCCCTGTTTCCCCCTGCACTCTTGGAAACCACAGATCATGTTATAGTTTCCATATGTTTGCCATTTTTGGAACGTCATAAAGTTGGAGCCACACAGTATGAAGGCTTTTCCAATGGGCTTCTTTCACTTAGCAATATTTATTTAAAATTCTTCATGTGTTTTCATGGTTTGATAATGGATTACTTTTTATAGATGAATACTATTCCATTGTATGGATATACCATAATTTGTTTATCTATACATCTATTAAAGAACATCTTGGTTAAGCTCATGTTTTGGCAGTTATGAATAATGCTGTTATAAACATTTATGTGCAGGTTTTTGTGTAGATATAAGTCTTCCTCTTATTTGGGAAGACACTGAGATAAGATTGCTGGATCTTATGGTATAAGTATGTTTATTCTTAGAAGAAACTACAAAGCTATCTTCCAAAATGGCTGTATCATTTTGCATTCCTACTAACAAAGAATAATTTTTCTTTTGCTTCACCTCTTAGCCAGCATTTGCATTGTTCATGTTTTGGTTTTCAGCCATTCTAAGAGTGGTATAGTGGTATCCCATTGTTGTTTTAATTTGCAGTTCCCAAATGTCATATGATGCTATCTTTTCATATGTCTATTTGTTATTTGTGTATCTTCTAGGATGGAGTATCTATTTAGATCTATTTCTCATTTTTTTTAATTGGTTATTTGCTTTTCTTGTGCATTATTTTATATCTTTATACATCATTTTATATTGTACATTGCATATTGTTTTAATGAACAATTCTTATTGTACATTCTTATTGTACATTATTTTAAAGACTCAAAGATATTTAAACTATCAGTTAAGTCAAATATTTTCGTACAGATTTAAAAAATAAATAAAATATTGTATTTTAGCATACTATAAAGTTCAACTTGGCAGAAATATTAGCCATCACAATCAACATAATCCTGAGACTCATTTGATATTTAATAAATTGTGATGATTATGATCAAAAATAAAATATGTATAAAATAGGAAAAACATGACATTTTACTACTCATGAACCTCTATTTGCCTTTTGTTTTTTGAGATGGAGCTTCACGCTTGTTGCCCAGGCTGGAGTGCAAGGGCGCGATCTTGGCTCACTGCAACCTCTGCCTCCCGGGTTCCAGTGATTCTCCTGCCTCAGCCTCCCGAGTAGCTGGGATTACAGGCGCATGCCACCACACCCGGCTAATTTTGTATTTTTAGTACAGATGGGGTTTCTCCATGTTGGTCAGGCTGGTCTCGAATTCCTGACCTCAGCTGATCCACCCGCCTCGGCTTCCCAAAGTGATGGTATTACAGGCGTGAGCCACTGCGCCCAGCCAAACCTCTGTTATAAAATATTCTAATTTTAGAAATTGAAAATATTGAATAAACAATAGCATTTTTAATTTTTATTCTAATTGGTTAACATTTTAATGTAGACTTTTTTCAGAAATGAAGACACAAGTTCTATTTGTCTGAAATAATGAGAGGGCCCACTTTAACCAGTAATAGGCTTGCATTTGGGTTAAATCAACTTATAGCACAATTTGGCAATCATTTGACAACTAATTGTGAAAATTCTATTCTTTAACTTGCACAGTACAGTATAAGTTACAGTGAGACATTCAAAATTACCTTTTTATTTTCATTTGGGTAGTCAAACAAACTTTTATATTCCAAGGTGACATTTTGAGTAAATTGTGCAGCTAGATTCAGATACAAGGCTATTTTTTACATAACAGGAAAATCAATTTTGTAGTCTAAAATAACTTTTCTTGAACTTGGAACATAGCTATGTAAATTTTTAAAATAAGTATCAGTCTACTTCTTTACAGAGAAGTTATTTGTGGAATATTAAGTCTATTTTTATCTATTTTCAGTAAGGTCATTTCTCCCTTCACTGTACATTGATAACAGAAAAAAATTATATGTCCTGTTTCTAGTATTTTAGCGGATGGCATTGGTGGGACATGTGTTTGTATGAGGAACTGACATCTCATATGTAATAATAGTTACTCTGTATTTATTGTTTTCTAGGAGTAATGCACTATGCTAAAGAGTTTACACAAATTATTTCATTTAACATCATGATAAAACAATACCATAGATTTTTGTATCAGTATCAAAATTTCGAAGTACTTATATAATCTCTAATCAGTGATTGAATCAGAATCTTTCATCTACATTATCTTTACTCATGCCTTTATTTTCTACATACATACACACACACACACACACACACATCTTCATCTGTAAGATTTAACTACCATAAGGTACAACAGAAGTAAACAATAAAACACTGTAAAAGCCTGAGCCACCATAAGAAATAATTGTGAGTTTCTTTTAAATCTGGAGGCCAAAAAAGCTTTCTTAGAGAAAAGTAGAAGCTTGGACCCAACCATGCCAGTCCTGTTTACAGTGGTATATATTATTTTATCACTGCTTTTTATTTTAAAAATATATAACTTTACAGAATTGAACATTATCCATTAGATAATTATAAAAATTTTTCATGTAATTTTATCTATTTATTATCTCAATTTAATCTTTTCATATTAAAATACATAGTTCAAATTACTATTTAAATATTATTTTTTAATTAAAAATGCTCCACATCACTAATCCTCAAAGAAATGCATATAAAAACCACAATAAAATACCATCTCACACCAGTCAGAATGGCTATTATTAAAAAGTCAAAAAATAACAGATACTGGCAAGGCTGTGAAAAAAAGACAATGCTTATACACGGTTGGTAAGAATGTAAACTAGTTCGGCCATTGTGGAAAGTAGTTTGGAGACTTCTCAAAGAACTTAAAAGCAGAACCACCACTCAACCCAGCAATCTCATTACTGAATTAATATCCAAAAGAAAACAACCCATTCTACCAAAAAGACACATGCACTTACATGTTTACATGGAAACAACCTAGGTGCCCATTAATGGTGAATTAGATAAATAAAATGTGGTATATATACAGAATGGAATACTATGCAGTCATAAAAAAGAATAAAATTATGTCCCTTCAAGCAACGTGGATTCAGCTGGAGGCCATTATCTCAAGAGAATTAATGCAGTAACAGAAAACCAAATACCATATATTCTCACTTATAAGTGAGAACTAAACAATGGGATCTCAGGGACATAAAGGAACTAAACAAGAGGTACTCAGGGACATAAAGATGGCAACAGTCAAAACTGGGGACTTCTAGAGGAGAGAGTGAGAGGGGGCAAGGGTTGGAAAACTAACTATTGGGTACTATGCTCAATACCCAGGTGATAGGATCATTTGTACCTCAAACATCAGCATCATGCAATATATGCAGGCAACAATCCTGCACATGTATACCTTGAATCTAAAAACTTCAAAAAGAAAAACATAAAATTCTTTCTTAAGATAATTTGTCTTAATCTAATTATTTCTAGTAGAATTAAAAAGATGAGAGTAGAATGAGTCCTAAAAATGTTTATTCACATAAAATTCAAAACCACTTCAAAGGTTAAATTATAGAACACTGTCTTTATTTTCTACATATACACTCACACATACATACACACCTTCATCTATAAGATTTAACTACCATAAGGTACAAAAGAAGTAAACAATAAAACACTGTAAAAGCCTGAGCCACCATAAGAAATAATTGTGAGTTTCTTTTAAATACAAGAAAATGCATTTCCATTCTACAGCTATAAATAATTATTTTTCAATCTGAGTTTGTTTTTCTTTATTCGATTTGAAATGTTAAAAATCGGTGCCTTTGTAATTTTTTTGCTGTATTTCTGAAATGCCATTAAATGAAGAGCATTTTAGTCTTCGTGGCCTGAATATGTAAAATTCAATACTTTGTTCAATTGTTGCAGTAGTATAAGCAATTTGAATGAAAGGAAGTACATTCATATTCTAATAACATGAATTTTTTTTTAAATGTTGATATGTCAAAAAGCTAAATGTTAGTCCATGTTCCAAAATTATCTTCAGAATATCCGAATTACTTCAGGATTCTGATTTTCTAAATGTTGTATTTAACTTATTCTAAAAGCATTGAAGATTATATGAATTGATATGTTTCAAACAGTAGATCCTAGAGCTACTTGTATTTCTTTTTCCCAGCTAATGTGGTAAAACACAGCAATTTGCCTTCCTTGTGTCTTTAATTATCAGAAGTGTAAAATAATCATTGCTAATTTATATGTGCCACCTGGAAATATCTCAATTCTTTCCTAAGAATTATATGAAGCCATTCATATATATTCATGGTAATTGAAATACTTGTATTAATTCTGATTAATGACTTAGAGTATCTTATATAAAATTGAGGACACCATTAATTTGGTGTTTAGAAAGTTTTGGTACACAGTCCAGCTACACTGACTATTCAGTTTCTTCACTGCTGAGAAGAGGCAAAAAAAAAATAGGTTAGTGTTCCTCAACATTTGTATAATTTAAGTATGGTTCAAGGCAATCTCTCTTAGAGGTTTAAGCAAATTTAGCTGAAGACTTAACTGCTTCTACTTAACTTTATGTGCCAAAGTAGTAAATTGTCTTTTAAAATTATTATCAAGTTTTGCTGTAGGACAAACAGGTGAAATCACTCACAAATTAACCATTTTTAATTTCTGATATGGCCCAAGAATAGGTCAGATTTTTACCAGCTCCTTCTGTCTCTTTGCATCGTATTGTCACTATTTTTGCTAATTAGGTGACAAATCTTTAAAACAGTGATTTAAAATTTTCCACCTTTAAATTTCATTACTTTGGGGAAAACTTACAGTCTTTTTGCCCTCTATTGTCTGTCCCTTTGATTCAAAAATATACATACTCAAGTTGTCTGCCTTCAGTCATGAAGACTATATGTTTTTTAGTATTCTGAGTAAAGACCGATATGTCATTTCTACTATATATTTTCCATCTGATACAGATTAAAAATGAATTGTAACATATGGCTAACCAATCTTAAATTTGATTTCCTATGTGAAGTAAGAACTCCCTAAAGAGAAAAGAAAAAAAGTGTAGTCATGTTATAAACAGTTTAACATAAAAACAGAACTGTATTTTCTGGGAAAGTAGGTGTTAGCCTCTCATAGATATTCAGACTTTCAATTACTTGAATTAAACTTACATAGGAGCCTACAAACAATTTTCAAATTTGTCACAAAAATAAATTTAAAATTTAATAATTTACCAGACAATTTTAAAAATATTGTAGTAATTAATATTTTCTAGTCTCAGAATTTATTGTTTATATTTCCCGAAGGAAAAGAATAATTGCATTACTCCACTTTACCTTGATTAATACTTCTTCTATCAAACAATCTTCATCAAAACAGACATTTTCTGCATTAATGAGAAGTAAAATTTATGTAAAATTTAAATCTTACAATAATTAAGCCAATTGTTTTACTTTCCAATACTTTTGAGTAAGTATTGAGTACATGAAAACTCTCTATATAATTTAACTTTAAAGAGGAGCATATTTTATGCCTCTTCAGTACAGAAAATTCCTGTTTTGTTAATTGGCTTTAATTTGCTGCTAATTAGATGTTTGTGGAATAGCCCTCATTTCTGGCAACTTCTAAAATCTAAAACTTTTACAACTTGTATTTAACAAGAAATGCTTTTTGAAAGATATTTTTATTATCCCTAATCATACTATAATATAAAATTTGTTTTTATACAGAAATTTCATATGTTCTAACAATGAAAAAGGGAGAACACTGTTGTATAATTTTAGTACAGTGCCTCAGTCTGTTTGGATGGCTATAACAATATACCATAAACAGGGCAGCTCATAAACAATATAAATTTATTCCCCAAAGTTCTGAAAGGTGAGAAGTTCAAAATTAAGGTGCCAGCAGATTAGGTGTCTGGTAAGAACTTGCTTTCTTACAGAAGACACTGACAGTCTCCACCATGTGAGGACACAGAAAAAAGCTCCCCTGGGACTATTTTATAAGGGCACTAAATGCAATGGTGAGGGCTTCATCTTAATGACATAATTGCCTCCCCAAATGCCCCACCTCTTAATACCATCAGCTTGGGGGTTAGGATTTCAATAAATGAATTTTGGGGGAACACAAACATTCATACCATAACATGCAGCAATAAAATAATTTCTGCTCCTAAGATGTAATCATAATAATGCAGCTGAAATAACATAAAAATAATATACTTAAAGTACTTGATTTCACTGATTGAATCCTTACATAGCAAATTATTTCTTGATAAATAATAAAACATTACCTTAGTATAACTTCTGCATACCAACCAATATATAAATACTAAATAGTATATGAATTAAGTTTTGCTCTACAATGAAACCAGCATTCCGCTAAGTTGTAAATGGACTTAGCCATCCAGAAAATTTATAAAAAATTAAATAAAGTTAGCTTTGGAATTCTCATAAGAGTATTTCATCAGAACTGATTCGTGATAGTTCTCTTTCTATAACAGCTCTTTCATGTTTAGTTACATTTCTAACGTATGAGTAAATTTTTAGTTTTAAAATTTTTTGATCATACCTGTGTATTCTTTCATGGCTATTTTAAAGATAATATTATTGTTCTGATTATTTTCTTATGAAGTGTGATATAAAAGCGAAAAGTTAATCTCATATTATACAATCTCATATAATGTCAAAAGTCAAGAAACTGTCATTTTGATTTTTGTAGCAGTTCTAATGGAATTGTCAAAAAAAAGTAGTAATAATCTAGCAGCATAGTTATCTCAGTCTGTGAGCCTGCTTTTTCATTTTCTTCATCCAATCCTACATTTCATTTTCTCTTCATCCTAAATAAAATAATTCAGTTTACTAATTAATGAGCTAGCTGCCTACAACCAATTTTGTTCAATTCCTCCATCATGAGTACATTTAAGTCTTGAATTTAAATTTATATGTCACTTTTTTTCAGAAATCTTTCTTTTATCTCATTCCTGTTTTGGTCCATGGCAGAGCTAATTATCCTTTGGCAATAGCTTTAAAAATCTTAACAAGTTTAAGATTTTTATATCAAAGATGGAAACCAAGTTCTCTTAGTTTTCTATTAGGTATTTTTTCCATTAAATAAAAGAATGTATAGTATGTTTCAACAGCAGTGATTAAAACTTATTAAAATTTTTAAGTGATATGGTAAATTTTAAATCATTGACACTTTTAACTGAAATATAAACACATTTTAATAACGGGAAATCTATAAAAATAGGAAAAACAGTCTACTGGCAAGATTTATACATCTCAGCATCTTTAAGTCGTATCTATTTTATGCAAGCATATCCAAAAACAAGTTTGGACTCCAGCGGTTTTATTATTTGTCTTCATGATGCATAGTTAAATGTTACAAAAAACGATTTCTTTAAAAAATTATTTGACAAAGATAATAATTCTTTGTGAGAGCTAACTGGTTAGGTCACCATATAATTAAACCACCATGAGTTAGTCACAAACTATAATAATATGTTTATTATTGTTGGGGGATGGGGAATAGCAGATATACCAAAGAGTACTCACACCACCAACTTTATAATGTAATTAAATAAATTTTCACAGGCTGATGGGTACAAGAGAAGACAGTGTAGGCAATTCATGGTAATGCATGTAATGGGAAGTAATAATCTAGCTAGAAACCTCTTCACAATATATCTATTAGTTTAGCATTAACACATCAAAAATATTTAATCAGACAAAACTAGTTTGGGAGACAAAATTTCTGCTTACATTCATTGGGTGTAATTAGGACAGCATTAATCTTAAATTAGAATTATGAACATGTGTGCGATTTTTCATCTCCAAATTAGAGCTACATTTTTTGTTTTTCTTTAAGTATAATCACTAATCTATGTATGTGAAACTAAATAAAAATTACAGAATTAGACCTGAAATCTGTATTATCATATTTTCATACTAACTAAATGTATCCCATTCATTTACTTTCATGTCTGCTCCCTTCATATTGTCTTGAAATATAATGATTATAAAGATGTATAACTGGCTTTTCACCTGCCCTTTCAAAAACTTTTTTTTAACATTACAATCAAAATAGAGAAAATATTTAATGACTAATATCATCCTTTGAAGCTGACACTTCCGGCATTTTTATAGTGAAATTGCTATACCTTCCAAGAAAGTGTACTACATTTGTTTACTCTTACTATGAAAAGCCTTGAGGTAGGAAAAGGATGAAGACATGGCAATTCAAAAGCTCTTTCTTTTTGTAAACAGTACTGACCAGGAAATTACCAGCCACATAACATTCTGAGGAAGGTTGTTCCAGAAAAAAAACTATTTGAAAATGACAAAGTATGTTGAATGGATATGCAATTTTATGTACCAATTCGTTCTGAAATTATAGTAACACATCAAAACCTGTATCTGAATTGAGTCCTTACTGATATGTTCTATGATTCGAAGTATGAACATTTGCCAAAATATGCAAGAATGACTCCTTCTGGATGTCACTTTATACTGATGTAAACTTTATATTTCTCCTTTCTATCAAACGTCTGTTAGACACAATGTCATTTAAAGTAGTAAGGAAAAGTGTTTCTCTACTCACAACACTTCTAACACTAAATGTGGTTTTTTCATATCAAGCAATTCTCCAGTTGTCTACAGTCACCAATTGAGTATCCAACTATTTAATTTAATTCTAGCATTAACAAATCAGCCTTAGTGCAAACCCCACAGGTTAAGGGCTCATTCTCACAAGTCTGTCCCCACTTCAGACACCAGCCATAAGTATTTGGTGCCAAGGATACCTACACTTGTCCAACTAGCCTATAATTAGGGGGTTCCCACAACTCTCTTCTCAAGTTCCATTATTTGCTTAATGGTCACAGAACTCAGGGGAACACTACCTACACTTACAAGTTGATTATAAAGCATATTATAAAAGATACAAATGAACAGTCAGATGAAGAGGTACATAGAGCAAGGCCTAGCAGGGTTCAGAGGAGAGGAGCTTCTGTCCCTGTGGAGTTAGAATGTGCTACCCTTTCAGCGCATGTTTGTGTTCACCAACTGAGAAGCTCCCCAAACCCTGTAGTTTAGGGAGTTTTATGAAAGCATTATCATGTATGAATGGTGGATTATTCATTTACTTCCCGCCCACTCTTCCCTCCCCAGAGGATGAGGGTATGGGGCTGAAAATTCTACCCGTCTAATCATGGCTTCATATCTCTGGTGACCAGTGCTTCTCAAGAAGCTATCCAGGAGCCCACCAAGAGCCTTATTAGACTAAAAGACCCTCCCATCACCCAGAAAATTTCAAGAGATTTAGGAACTCTATGTAGGATGCTGCTATCAGCCCCATTACTCAGGAAATAAGAATTTTTAAATCTCTGGGTCAGAAACCAGAGGCAGAGACCAAATACATATTTATTTTTATATCATAGTTACTATATAAAACAATGTAGCAATATCTTTCTTTTAAGAATTGTTAGCTAAATACAAGCTGCATGAGGGCAAGAAATTTGTCTGGTTTGTTTATCGTTGTATCTCAGTGATTAGCACTGTGCTTAGCACAAGGTAGATACTCCATGTTTTAATTAAATACTTGCTGAAGAGATCAGGATTGAGAATTGTGCTAAAAATGATGAAAGTCAATTCAAATAGGATTTCTTTGTGGTAATCATCTTTGCCAGTATGTTCTATTATTTTATTATTCTCTTTCACTTTCTTCTTATAGTTTTCTCTGAGATTTTTCTTCCAAATTCTGAACTTGTAACTGTTCGGTTGTATAATGTACAGATTGAAGAGGTTTGTCATATATAGCCTTTATTATGTTGAGATATGTTCCTTCTATATCAAATATTTGAAGGTTTTTATCATAAAGGGATGTTGAATTTTATCAACTTTTTTAGCATCAATTGAAATAATTATATGGTTTTTGTCCTTTATTCTATTGATACAATGTATGACATTGATTGGTCTGTGTATATTGAACCATCCTTTCATTCCTGGGATAGATCCCACTTTGTCATGGTGAATGCTACTTTTAATATGTTGTTGAATTCGGCTTGCTAGTATTTTGTTGAGGATTTTTATATCAATGTTCTTCAGGGATATTAACCTGTAGTTTTCTTTATGTGTCTTTGTCTGTTTTGGTATCAGGGTTATTCTGGCCTCATTGAAGGAGTTTGGGAAGTATGCATTCCACCTCTATATTTCAGATAGATTGAGTAAGATTAGTTATTAGTTCTTTAAATGTTTGCTAAAATTCAGCATTGAAGCCATTAGGTCCCAGGCTTTTCTTTGCTGGGAGACATTTTGTTACAGCTTTAACTCTATAATTTGTTATTGGTCTATTCAGGTTTTGGATTCCTTTGTGGTTCTACATTGGTAGGTTGTATGTTCTAGAAATTTATCAATTTCTTCTAGATTTTCCAATATATTCACATATAATTGCTCATTGTAGTCTCTAATGATGCTTTGAATTTCTGTGGTATCAGTTATAATGTCTCCCTTTCACCTCTGATTTTATTTTTCAGAGGGGATTGTCTCTCTTTTTTCTTAGTCTAGCTAAAGATTTATGAATTTTATTTACCTTTTTAAACAACCAACTTTTTATTTTGTTGATATTTTGTGTTTTTTTTAAATTTAGATTTCATTTATTTCTGCTTTTATCTTTACTATTTTCTGTCTTCTACTAATTTTGGGTTTGGTTTGCTCTTGCTCTTCTTATTCTTTATGACCCAATGTTAGGTTGTTTATCCGATCAGATAAATTGACTGTAATGCATACTTCAGTATGTCAATTGCATTTTTAGCTCCAAAATTTTTGCTTGATTTTAAAAAATATTTTTCTCTCTTTGTTAAATTTATCTGATCAGATTCTGAGTTCCTTCTCTGTGTTATCTTAAATTTCATTGAGCTTTCCCAATTCAAGCTATTTTTGAATTCTCTGTCTGAAAGATCACATATTCTGTCACTCTAGGATTAGTCACTGGTGCCTTAGGTTGTTCGTTTGGTGAGGTCTGTTTTCCTGGATGGTCTTGATATTTGTGGATGTTTGTTGATACCTGGACATTGAAGAGTTAGGTGTTTATTTTCATCTTTGCAGTCTGGACTTATTTGTACCCATCCTTCTTGGAAAGGCTGTCCAAGAGTTCAAAGGGAATTGTGTTTTGATCAAAATGTTTGGTCACTGCAGCTGAATCTACGTTGAGGGCACCCCAAGCCGAGTAAGTATGTGGCCCTTGCAAATTCATAGAGGTACTGCCTTGGTGATCTCCGGTAAGATCAGAGGGGATTCACTGGATTAACATGGAGAGACTCGTTTTTTCCCTTACTTTCTCCCAAACAAAGTCTCTTTCTCCATACTGAGCTGCTGGGAGCTGGGGGAGGGGTGACACAACACTCCTGTGGCCACCATCACTGGGACCGTACTGGGTCAGACCTGAAGCCAGGACAGCACTCGGTCTGATCCAAGGCCCATGGCAAACACTGCCTCATTACTGCCAATGTTCACTCAAGGCCCAATGGCTCTTCTATCAGCATATGGTGAATCTAGCCAGACTTGTGTCCTTCCTTGAGGGTAAGAAGCTCCCCCTGGCCCAGTGTCTGTCCAGAGATGCTGTCTGGGAGCCTGGGCCTAAAGTCAGGAACCTTGAGATTCTACTGGTGCTCTATTCTACTGTGACTGAGCTGGCACCCATGCTACAAGACAAAGTCCTTCCCACTCTTCTCTTTCCTTTCCTCAGGCAGAAGAAATCTCTCCCCATGGCCACTGCTACCACAGGCTTACAGTGAGTACTGCCTGGCTACCATCAATGTTCACTCAAGTCCCAAGTACTCTTCAATAACCTTGTGGCAAATACTTCCATGCTTGGGTCTCTCTCTTCAGTAAGCTTGTGGCAAATACTTCCATGCCTGTTCTCTCCTCTATTCCAGGGTGGGCCCAGAAAAGCCCATAGATGAGACAAGGCCTGGAATTGGTGACCGCAGGAGCCCACTTTGTGCTCTACCCCACTGTGGCTGATCTGGTACCCAACCTGTGAGACAAAGTCCTCTTTACTCTTCCTTTCCTTTTCCTCAAGCAGAAGGAGTCTCCCCACATTGTCACTACAGTTGGGAATGTGCTAGGTCACACCTTAAGCCAGAAAAGCACTGTATCTCATCCATGGCAAGTACTGCACGGCTACTGCTTATGTTCATTCAAGGCACAAAGTCTCTTTAGTCAGCAGGTGATGGATCATACCAGAACTAGTCCTTACTTTCAAGGCAGTGGATTCCTTTCTGGCCTAGGGTGTGTCTAGAATTGCCATGTGAGAGATAAGACTTGAAAGGAGGACCTCAGGAGTCTGCCTGTTGCCCTATTCTACTATGGCTGAGCTGGTATCCAAGTTGTAAGACAAAGTTCTATTTACCCTTCCCTTTCCTCTTGTTAAGCAGAAGGAAAGAGTCTCCCAAGGGTTGCAAACTGCACAGCCTGGGGTTGGGGGACGGATGACACAAGCACTCCCTTGGCTGCCCCAGCTGGAGGCTCACTATGTCATATGTACGCCAAATCCACTGACTCTTAGCAAGTCGCCACCAGGACTTGCCCGGGAATCACAGTCTTTGTGATCTAGATTGCCTTTCAAGTTTATCTAGGACTCCAGGGCATTTTAACCTGTGGTGATGGTGCTAGCTGGAACTAAGGTTCTGATCACTGGGATGAACAATTCCCCTCTGGCTAAGGATGGTCTGCATGCTCTTTCTGTGAGTGCCAGCTGAATTCTGTCCAGTGCTGCTTTTGACTATAACAGGAAGCACTGAGTTCCAATGGAAAGTCCCAGAATCGCTGGGCTCTCCCTCCCCTAAGTGCACAGATTCTCTCTTAATGCCATGCAGCCACTGCCAGAAAATGGGGGACGGGTGGTGTTGCCAATTCAAGACTGCCTTTCCTATACTCTTCGGTGCCTCTTTCCTTGCTGTGATGTTAAAACCAATTATTGTGATCATTAACTTGATTTTTTGTTCTTATGAAGGTGATTTTTGCATATATCGTTGTTCCACTGGGTATTCCAGTGCAGGGGTTGGGGAGATAAGGTATTGCAGGAGAGTTTTTTCAGCTATCTTGCTCTGCCTCCCCCTCCCTTTACCCATTTTTTCTTTCATTCTTTTTTTTTTTTTTTAATAAAAATGGGGTTTTGCTATGTTAGCCAGGCTGGTCTCAAACTCTTGGCCTCAAGCAATCCATCCACTTCAGCCTCCCAAAGTGCTGGGATTACGTGTGTGGGCTACTGCACCTGGCCTGCCCATTTTTTTTTTTTTTTTTGAGATGGAGTCTCGCTCTGTTGCCCAGGCTGGAGTGCAGTGGCGCAATCAAGCTCTGCCCCCCAGGTTCACGCCATTCTCCTGCCTCAGCCTCCAGAGTAGCTGGGACTACAGGCGCCCGCCACCATGCCCGGATAATTTTTCGTATTTTTTCAATAGAGACGGGGTTTCACCATGTTAGCAAGGATGGTCTTGATCTCCTGACTTCGTGATCCACCCGCCTCTGCCTCTCAAAGTGCGGGGATTACAGGCGTGAGCCACCACACCCGGCCCTGCCCACTTTTTAATAGGATTGTGTAGTTTTTGCTGTTGAGTTGTTTGAGTTCTTTGTATATTTTCAATATTAGTCCTTTATTGGACGGATAGTTTGCAAATATTTTCTCTTATTCACCAGGTTGTCTCTTCATGCTGTTGACTGTTTTCTTTGCTAGACAGAAGCCTTCTAGTTCAATATGCTATCATTTTTCTTCTGGTCTTCTTGTTGTCTGTGACTTTGAGGTCTTGGCCATAAAATCTTTGATACACTAATGATCTGAAGCATTTTCCCTGTGAGTTCTTCTAGTAGTTTTATAGTTTTGAGTATTACTTTTAAGTTTTTCTTAATCCATTTTTAGATAATTTCTTGAAAAATAGTGGTAGAGTTTTACATTTCCATATATGGGTATCTAGTTTGCCCAGCATGATTTATTGATTAGACTATCCATTCCCTAATATATGTTATTGGCATCTTTGTCAAAAATCAGTTGGTTCAAAATACACGGATTTATTTCTAGGTTCTCCATTCTCTTTTATTGGTCTATGTATCTGGTTTTGTACCAATATGATGCTGTTTTCATTATTATAGCTATGTAGTATATTTTGAACTCAGGTAATGTGATGACTCCAGCTTTGTTCTTTGTGCTCAGGATTGCTTATTGCTTTAGCTATTTGGGTCTTTTCTGGTTTCATACAAATTTGATAATACTTTTCTCCTATTTCTATGAAGAATGCCATTGGTATTTTGATAAATATTGCATTGAATCTATAGATTGCTTTGGACTGTATGATTACTGCAGCAATATTATTATTAACAATGAGCATTGAGATGTCTCTTTGTGTGATCTTCAATTTCTCTTATCAGTGTTTTGTAATATTCTTTGTAGATATCTTCCACTTCCTTGTTCAAATTTATTCCTAGACATTTTAGATTTTTTGTAGCTATTACAAACAGAATTGCATTAAATTTATTTTTCAGCTAGTTCATTATTGGTGTATAGAAAGCTATTAATTTTGTATATTTATTTGATGTTCTGCAAATTTACTGACTTTGTTAATCAGTTCTATGAGTTTTTTGATAGAATCTTTAAGATTTTGTATGCATAAGGTCATATCATCTGCAAAGAGAGACAATTTGACTTTCTTTTTAAATAACTTGTACACATTTTATTTATTTCTTTTGCCTGTTTGTGATGGCTAGAACTTCTGCTATTATGTTAAATAGGAGTGGTCAAAGTGGTCATCCTTGTCTTGATCCAATTCTTAGGTTTCAGATTTTCCCCATTCAGTATAATGGTCTCTGTGGCTTTGGCATATATTGCCTTTATTATGTTAAGGTGTGGTCCTTCTATGCCTAATTTGTTCAGAATTTTTATCATGAAGCAATGTTGAATTTTATCCAATGTTTTTTCTACATCTGTTGAGATGCTGACCTGATTTTGTCCCTCATGCTGTTTATGTAATGTATCACATAAATTAACCTGCATATATATTAGTTTATTTTGCATTGCTATAAAGGAATATCTGATGCTGGGTAATTTATAAAGAAGAGGGTTATTTGGTTAATAGTTCTGCAGGCTGTTCAAAAAGCATAACACAAAAATCTGCTTGGATTAGATGCCAATATAGCAAGAACCAGTAGAGCAAGTATTCACTTATTACCTCAAGGCATTCATGAGGGATACACCCCCATGACAGCTCCCACTGGACCCGAACTCTGACACTGATAATCAAATTTCAATATGAGATTTAGAGGTGATAAACATTCAAACTAGATCAACATATGCTGAACTATTTTTGCATCCCTAGAATAAATCTTACCTGATCATGCTGTATTATATTTTGATGTGTTATTGGATTTAACTTGCTAGTAATTTTTTGAGGATTTGTCTGTCAGTGTTCATCAGGTATATTGGCCAGTAATTTTCTTGTTTTCTTATGTGGTTTTGATATCAGGGTAGTATTGTCCTTGTAGAGTGAGTTAGGAAGAATATCCTGTGCTTCAATTCTTCAGAATAGTTTGAGAAGGATTGGTGTCAGTTCTTTAAAGTTTGGTAGAATTCAGAATTTAGCAGTAAAGCCATAGAGTTCTAAGCATTTTCTCCACCTTAGGAGAGTTTTTATTACCGTTTCAAACTTGTTACTTGTAATTGGTCTGTTTGTTCAGGTTGTCTATTTGTTTTTGTTTCAATTATGTTAGGTTGCCTGTGTCTAGGAATTTATCCATTTCCTCTAGTTTTTCCAGATAGTTAGCATATAGTTGTTCAGAGCAGTCTCTTGTGGTCTTTATGTTTCTGTGCAATCACTTGTAACGTCTCCTTCTTCATTTATGATTTTGTTTAAATTATTCTTTTTTTATTGGTTTGTTTAGCTAGTGGTTTATCAGTTTTGTATGTCTTTTTGAAAAATCCAACTTGTTTTGTTGATCCTTTGTATTTTTTTTTAGTCACAATTTCCTTTAGTTCTATTCTGATCATTATGATTTTTATTCTACCAATTTTGAGTTTGGTTTGCTCTCGGTTGTCTAGTTTTTATGGTGCATCATTAGGTTTATTTGAAACCATTCTACTTTTGTGATGTAGGCATTTATTGGTATAAAATTCCCTTGGTACTCCTTTTGTTGTATTTTATACATTTTGGTATGTTTTGTTTCCATTTTCATTTACAGCAAAAAATTATTTCATTTTATTTTTAACTTACTTAGTGACCCATTGTTATTTTAGGAGCGTATTGTTTAATTTCCATGTATTTGTACAGTTTCCAAAGTTTTCTTTATATTGACTTGATTTCTACTTTTATTCCATTGTAGGCTAAGAATATACTTGACAAGATTTTGAATTTTAAAAATTGCTGAGCACACATATGGTCTATCTTGAAGAATGTTCCATGTGCTGATGAGAAGGATGTGTATTCTGCAGTTGCTGAACACGATGATCTGTAAATGCCTGTTGAGTCCATTTGGACTAAAGTACACTTTATATCCAATTTTTTTTAACTTTCTGTTTAGATCATCTGTCTAACGCTGAGAGTGTGGTGTTAAAATCCCACATCTTTTTTACTGGACTCTATTTCCCTTTAAATCTAATAGTATTTGTGGCCAGGCACAGTGGCTCATGCCTGTAATCCCAGCACTTTGGGAGACTGAGGCAGCTGGACAATGAAGTCAGGAGATCGAGACCATCCTGGCCAATATGGTGAAATCCCATATCTACTAAAAATACAAAAATTAGCTGGGTGTGGTGGCGTGCACTTGTAATCCCAGCTACTTGGGAGGTTGAGGCAGGAAAATCACTTGAACCTGGGAGGCGGAGGTTGCAGTGAGCCGAGATTGTGCCACTGCACTCCAGCCTGGTGACAGAGTGAGACTCCATCTCAAAAAAAAAAAATAATAATATTTGTTTAATATATCTGGGTGTTTCACAGTGTTGGGTGTATATATATTTGGAATTGTTATATCCTCTTGCTGAATTGATCCCTTTATCATTCTATAATGACCTTTGCCTCATTTTACTGTTGCTGACTTCAAGCTTGTATATCTGATATAACTATAGGTATTCGTGCTCATTTTTGGTTTCCATTTGTGTGTAATATTTGTTTCCATCCCTTTACTTTTTGTCTATATGTAAACACATATACACTTTACAGGTAAAGTGCGTTTCTTGTAAGCAACATATATTTGGGCAAATTTTTAAGCCTACTCATCCAGTATATATATTTTAAACAACTAAATTAATCCATTTAAATTCAATATTATTATTGTTAGGTGAGGATTATTTCTGTCATTTTGTTCATTGTTCTCTGGTTGTTTTGTATATCCTTTACTGCTTTCTTCCTGTCCCATTGTTTACTATTGTAGTTTGGTGGTTTTCTATAGTGGTAACATTTCAGTCCTTTGTTTTTCTCATTTGTGTATCTATTCTATCCTGTTTAACATTAAGTTTCATACATTAGTGTGTTTTCATTATGGTATATATTTTCCTTTCATTTCCTGTTGTAGAAATCCCTTAAGGCTTTCTTGTAGGTGGAGTCTACTGACGATGAATTCCCTCCGTTTTTGCTTCTCTGGGAAAGATTTTATTTCTCCTTCATTTTTGAAGAGTAGCTTTGTTGAACATAGCATTCTTGGCTGACATTTCTTTTCTTTCTGCATTTTGAACATATTATCCCATTTTATCCTAGCCTTAAGGTTTCTCCTGAGAAACTTGTTAGTCTGATGGGGTTTTCTTTATGTGTCTTGATGCTTTTCTCTTGCTTTTTTAACAATTTTATCTCTGTATTTGACTTTTGAATATTTGACTGTAATATTTCTCAGAACTTTTAAGGTTGAATCTATTTGGGAATATTAATATTTCCTGTACCTTGATTTCTATATATCTTGCAAGACATGAAAAATTTTTAGCTATTATTTTGTTAAATAGGTTTTTTGTGACTTTTTCCATCTCTTCTTCTTTCAGAACACTCAAAATCTGAATATGTGTTCACATTATGGTGCTGCATATGTCCCATAGGCTTTCTTTATTCTTTTTTTATTCTTTTCTTTTTATCCTTTTCTTTTCTTTGGGACAGGGGGTTGACTCGGTTATTTCAAAAGAATGATTCTCGAGATTACAAATTCTTTCTTCTGCTTCATCTAGATGATTGTTAAGTATCTCAGTTGTATTTTTTATTTCATTCATTAAATTCTTCACTTCCAGAATTTCTGTTTAGTTCTTCTTTATGGTATCTATCTCTTTGTTGAATTTCTCATTTCTATCCTGAATCGTTTTTCTGATGTCTTTGTATTGTGTGTATGTGTATGTTCTCTTGTATCTCACTCAATTTCTTTGGTCACATTATTTTTAATTATTTTTCAGGCATTTCATAGATATGTTTTTTTGGAATCTATTGGTGGATAATTATTGTGTCCTTTGGAGGTGTCACGTTTCTTTGCTTTTTCATATTTCTTGTGTCCTTACATTGATATCTGGTGTAATAATAACTTTCAATTTTTTGGGATTGGTTTTCATATGAAAATACTTTTTCCTTTAAATGTATCTATAGAGTTCGTTGGATAGGATACTTTAATAGTTTTCATTCTGAGTGCATACTCAGTCTAGCCTTCACATGATTTCTTCAGCTTTAATCAGTTTCAATGGTGTCTGAGTGCACTCTGATGGAGCCTGGATTCTCAAAATGACACCATGCTGCAGCTGCTTGGGTCTTAGAGGTGTTTGAGTATGAGTTTTCTCTCTGCAACAATTTCATTATGCAGACTCCAGGCAGCAAGCACCCTGCACCAGTATCAGGGCCTATAATGGCTGGCCAAGGGGTTCTCTGGTGGCTAGGACTGCAAAAGTCTACAGTGAAAATGTGGACCACTCAGGATTTCTCTCTTGCCTTTCCCCCACACTAGACAGCCTCTTCTAGCTCCCAGCTGATCCTAGCCAGGCTGGCTGCCTCACTTAGTTCTCTAGACTAACTTCATTGTTTCTCTGTCCTTCCATGCCTTAGATGTTTCTTGTCATTTCCCTGCTGAATGGTCCTTATTAGATGCTCCATTTCATCTGTGATTATCTACTTGTTGTTTTGTTTCCTTTTTGTTGACTCAACTACCTCTGGTCAGCCATCTAGAAGGGCTCCTCCCATCAGAATTTATGTTTCTGTAAGCAGTTTTAATGATTCTTTGCATGGAAATTCATGAAAAAGAATGTATATTATTCATGTTGGAAACACAATAAACTGTTATTTATGCAAAGACGGTATCAAGAATTAGGAAAGACATTCCACATTGTTACTTTAGAAAGAACAAAGGAGGAAAAATGCTTTATTTGACACTTAAGCATTTACATGTTATTTGACACTTAAGCACTAAAATTGGATCATCAACCATAGTTACATAACTCTGCACTTCTTATAACAAGGCACTGTACATGAATTAATCATGTAATCTTTAAGTCTTGCAAAGTGTTAATATTGGTCAAATACTGAATGGGTGAGTATGAAAAGTAATAGTATTTACTAGAAGCAGAGACTTAGTTGTAGTTATGAAATAAATCTCTCTATTAAAAGAATAAATTTGAAATATCAGACTATAATTATTATATTTACTAAAATATTTAAGTAGCCAAGTTTTAAACCTATGAAATTATACTGTGAGAAGAATAGTGTCTCTTCACACTAGCTGCTAGATTGCTCCTGCATTTATAATAGCACACAATAAATGCTTATTTTCAGCTGTGATTGGTAGAGGAATGATTTATTTCCTAGGTACTTAATTTTTCTTTAACCATATTTCCCATTCTCCATAAATCTTTACATTTTCATTAAAATGTAATGAATCAAAGATGGATTCATCCACTGGATCAAAGATGATTTATCATGGATATGATTTAACATCATTTGGAAGTTTTCTATTTTCAGGAAATTGATGTAGCACTTTTAATTTAGTTATACTGGATGGGAAGAATTTGAAAATACAATTTTACTTTTCAAAAATTCTAACGGCCTCAATGGAATTAAACAACTAGAAAAAGATAGAATTCTTAACGTTTATTTAATACTGTGATTCCTTTTTGTAATTATACTTAAGTTCTAGGGTACATGTGCACAACGTGCAGGTTTGTTACATATGTATACATGTGCCATGTTGGTGTGCTGCACTCATTAACTCATCATTTACATTAGGTATATCTCCTAATGCTACCCCTGCCTCCTACCTCCACCCCACAACAGGCCCCGGTGTGTGATGTTTCCCACCCTGTGTGCAAGTGTTCTCATTGTTCAATTCCCACCTATGAGTGAGAACACTGATTCCTCTATGCTTAACTACATGCAGAAGAATAAAACTTATCTCTCAGTATACAAAAAAATGAAATAAACACTTAAATCTGAGATCTGAAACTGCTAGAAAAAAATGGAAAAATGCTGCAAGAATTTGGTCTCAGCAAAGACTTTTTGTGTAAAACCTCAAAAGCACAGGCAACTGAAGCAAAAATAGACAACTGAGATTGTCTCAAGCTAAAAAGCCTCTGCACAGCCAAGGAGTTAATCAACAAAATAAAGAGACAAGCCACAGAACGGGAGAAAATATGTGCAAACTATCCATCTGACAAGGCATTAGTAACTAGAATATATAAGAAGCTCAAACTACTGAATAGCAAAAAATATATAATCTAATGAAAAATGGGCAAAAGCTCTGAACAGACATTTCTCAAATGAGGATATACAAATGCTCAATGATACATGAAAAAATGCTCAGTATCACTAATCATCAGGGAAATGCAAATCAAAACTGCAATGAAGTATAATCTAACCCCAGTTAAAATGGCTTTTATGAGAAAGACAGGCAGTAATTGATACTGGTAAGGATGCAGAGAAAAAATAACCCTTGTATACTGCTGGTGGGAATGTAAATTAGTACAACCACTATTACAACCTCCAGTATGGAGGTTCCTCATAAAACTAAAAATTGAACTCCAATATGATCCAGGAATTCCATTACTGGGCATATATCCAAAAGAAAGGAAATGAATATTTTGAAGAGTTTTCTGCACTCCCATGTTTATTGCAGCACTATTCGCAATATCCAAAATATGAAATCAACTTAAGGGCCTATTAATGAATGAATGGACAAAGAAAATGTGGTATATATACACCATGAAATATTATTCAGCCATGTAAAACAATGAAATCCTTTCATTTGCAGCAACATGGATAGAGTTGGAGGTTATTAAGTGAAGTAAGCCAAGTACATAATGGCAAATATCTCATCTTCTCATTCATGTGTGGGAGCTAAAAAAATGGAATCTCAAAAAAAAAATTAGAGTAGATTGGTGGTTACCAAAGGCTGAGAAGGGGAGGTGGGAGAGGAGATAAAGAGAAGGTGATTAATGGATATAAATACAGTTTGATAGAAGAAATAATAAGATCTAGTGTTAGATAGTAGGGTGACTACAGTTTACAATAATCTATTGTATATTTCAAAATAACTAGAAAAGAAGAATTTGAATGGTTTTAGAATAAAGAAAAGACTAATATTTAAGATGATAAATATTCCAAGTCCACTGATTCGATCTGTAATAATTATATAAATGTATAACACATGTATCCTGAAACTATATATGTCTATTATGATTTAAT
The DNA here is from genome assembly GCF_000001405.40 of Homo sapiens. Lineage (NCBI taxonomy): Eukaryota > Metazoa > Chordata > Mammalia > Primates > Hominidae > Homo > Homo sapiens. The sequence goes on along the minus strand of NC_000008.11, from coordinate 88,428,505 downwards.
AAAAGGACTCCTAGTGCTCTATATAGTTCTACACTTATTAAGATTATATCTGACATTATTGTTCTGTCTTATTAACATGTTTCTAAGAATGTGTATGTTTATATACAAATGACTAAGGATTGCAGTATTTTTCTAAAATTATGTAACATATATGTTCTTAATATTGTCAGTCTATTTTTGTTTGCTTATTTTAAAATTCTTCATAATTTGTAAGAACAATTAATTATTGAAATAATTTTTGCAATAACTGATAACATTAATAAATTTCAACATACAAAGCACGTAATGAAATTTTGTTTTTGTTTTTTTTCCATGTGGATTTATCTAGAATGCTTATCCTTCCAAGATAGTAAATATGCAGATATTAACAATAAATACAAATGACGCATCTTATATATACCAGTAATATTATAATGGTAATTAATATGACAGTCACACACTTATTGATTATGGTTACCTGAAGTTCAGGAATGGCAGGAATGTGTTTAACTGGATATCCAATAATTCATCCTTCCAAAGGTCAGATTTATATCTCACACCAAAGAGAATTTTTTTGCAAAATTCAAGAGTCAAATATAGACTTTGTAATATCTCTAGTAGGTATTATTATTTCTTTTTTACAGATAAGGAAATCAAAGTTTAGTAAATGGCAAATTAAGAGTAAAATTAAGAAAATAAAAATTTTCTTCCTTTTGTATAAATTTAGTGAGTATGGGTAGCCTGATAAAAATTCCTTTTTCTTTACCCAGCAGGCAATGAAGTATAAACCTATTTATACTTCTTTCAGGCCAAAATATCCAAGGTCATTCATTCACTTAATAAAATTGTTTGCATACTTTTTAAGGTTAAGGCAGTATTCATGTTACTAGGAATATTGCATTGAACAAAAACAGTGTTCCTATTTTCATGAAACAAATATTTTGTTAAGGAGTGACAGGCAATAAATTGTAAGCCAATAAATGTGTAATTAATTAAGAAGAAAATAAAGCAATGGTTCATGGGCAAGAAAGGCTGCTTTTTTATATTATTGGTTATGAAATATTTGATAAAGTGACCTTTTAATAGAGACCTGAATAATACAAGGTTCAACTTTTCAATCTTTAATATAGAAGTTGTCTCTAAAGGTGAAAATGGAATATGTTCTACTCATTTATTTATGAACTGCTTTAGGAAAGACACAGTGAGAAGGATGCCATTGAGGCAAGATTGTTGTGGTTTACTTTAATTTAGTTTAGTTTTGTTCAGAGCACTAGATCCCTTGGGCTGAAATTTACATAAGCACAATAAATATGTAATATTTTTGGTTCTTTGAAATTTCTAGGTATTTTTACAGTGAGGCATAAATAGTAACCATTCTATTTCTTCTCCAAGGCAAAACACAATCCAAATTTATCAACTAATTAATGACATCTAGATTTGAACTCTCAGTTTCAGAGTTTAAAATTTGAATCAAACACATGGATGTCAGGGTACATAGGAATTCCACTAACACAAACAGAAAAATATTGAATCAGAAGCTCTTGAACTAATAAATGTCTGACATAAGCCTAAGGCAAAATGTAAACATCACAGAATCCCAGCTCTTTCTGGAGACATACGCAGACATATAAAATCCAGACTACATCACAAAAATATTGTTAAAATATTTATAATCTTCTCCTTCTTTTATGTCTTTCTCTTTCTATGGTCTCCAAAAATAATAAAATTAAATTCTGGCCAATATTGTTCCTATGAATTAGCTCATCTATCACTCTGTGTTTATTGAGCAATTATAAATGTTGACTATATAGTCAGCTCTAAGCAACTTTAAGAGCCAATATTTCAGGCACTGTACTTATTTTTTAAATGTACAGGAAATTTAATAGAATTTCTATTTTCAAGAGGGCTTATAGTCTCTCCTGGGTAAGATAATATTTAAATTAAGTAAAATAGAAATGTAATAATGTTATGACTCTTAAAAAGTAAGAGTTTCTATACAGTGCTACGGTCGCACACAAAGGGGAATTTCTAACCCTCCATGGAGATGTTACGGATGAATTTCCAGAGAAGTTCATACATGAAGAATTAGGTATTCTTTATATAAATAAAAATGAGAATAAAGATATCAGCGGAGGGAAGATTGCCAAGGCATAGAGATAAGGGTCTTCACCTGAAAGTCAAGGTGTGTGCATAATATCATGTGGCCAGTATCAAATTAAGACAAACAGTTATAACATGCTAATACATGCAAATTTTATTCTAAAAGGGTTAGGGAAACATTTAAGTTTTTTAAGCAATTAAGTTTCATGTGACACATACTTGCCAACACTTGATATTGCCAATCTTTTTTTTTTTAACTTTAGCCTTTCCAAAGGGTATATAGTGATATCTAATTCTGACTTTTCTTTTTTATTTTCTTAGCAACTGTTAAGCATTTTTTTTTCATGTTCTTATTGGGCATGTATATCACTTTCCTTTGTGAAATGTGCATTTTTACAATTGGAGGGTTTTTTAAATTCCTTTTGAGGCAGAGTCACTCTGTCACCCAGGCAGGAGTGCAGTGGCACAATCACACCTCATTGTACCTTGACCTCCTGGGCTCACGTGATCTTCCCACCTCATTTTTAAATTTTTTTGTAGAGACAAGGTCTCCCTGTGTTGCCCAGGCTGGTCTTGTACTTCTGGGCTCAAGCAATCCTCTCACCTCAGACTCCCAAAGTGCTGGGATTACAGGCATGAGCCATCGTACTTTGTTTGTCCTCTTCTTATTAAGATGTAGGAATTCTTTACATATTCTTGACACAAGTCAAACTGTTACTGGTGGAAGTCATCTAAGTTACCGGCAGTGAATCCGTACGAGTTTACAGCAACCTCAATTCTTACCTCCTCAGAAGAAAGAATTTAACTGAGGGGCATAAGGCAGAAAAGGAGACTGAGGCAAGTTTCAGAGCAGGAATGGAAGTTTGTTAAAAAGCTTTAGAGCAGAAACAAAGAAAGGAAAGTACACTTGGAAGGGACTCAAGAAGTCATCTTGAAGGTCAAGTGCCCCACGGGACCTTGAACCTAGGATTCCATATGATAACTGACTTCCAGTGTTTTGTGTCCCCTTTCCCTTGATTCTTTTCTTAGACTCAGCTGCCTGCATGCATGGGGACCTAATAGCTTCTAGGAGGCGAGCATGCACAGTGTGTTTACTGGAATCGTATACATGCTCACCTGAGGCTTTCTTCCCTTTTTCAGTGGAATGTCCCCCAAAGATCATATTCCAGCATTTTGCCTTTTAAAGTGTATGCTCAAGCCCACGCGCCCAATTCCTGAAAGCTGCTGATTACCAATTTCAGGTGCTTTTATCTCTTGGGAAACTGGCTCTCCCTGGGTGCTGGCTGTGACCAATTACTGTTTTAGAGAGGCAGTGTAGCAACTGCCTGACCATCACCTGATGGCAGCCTGACATTCCTGATGGGTTGGAGGAGCCCTCTCCTCCCCCGCTCAGCCTGACTCACTACCTACTGTAAAAGAAATGACTCAATTATGCTCTCTCTGTATATGGTTTTATTTAAATGTATGCTGTTTTGGGTTTTCTAAACCTCTTAAATTTGTGTATTTATGTCTTCCAAAAAATATGAGAAGTTTTTAATGATTATTTCTACAGTCATTTCTCATGCCTTATCCTCTCCATCATATCTATTGTAAAATTAATATTTTCCCCTTGGTAATTTTGTGCGAATATACTTTGAGACCATATAAATATCTTGTGTTTCACCCACTAATTTTAGCATCTATTAACGATTCTTGCTTGCAACAAGTATTACTGAGGTGTTAGCCAAGTAGTGTTAACCAAATGGTAATTCTAGTTTTCCAATATTTTTATACATTTACAAATTGTAAATGTAATTGAAATGCAAACAAATTTACTGTGACAGAAAGTATTATCAGTTGTTTCAGGGAAATAAGGCAGAGGGGGCAGGATTATCAAGGGCAGAGGAAACTTATAAAGGAGATAGATGTGTTCATTATCTTGATTTTGGTGATGGTTTCCTGGGTGAATATATATTTCACAAGTTATCAAAGTACATTGTACACTGTAAATATGTGTAAATATTCACAACTATACTGTAAATATTTGAAGCTTACTGTATGCTAATTATACCTACATAAATTTGATTTTTTTAAGTGAGGTTGAATTTTTTATGTATTTTAATTCTCCTTCACCCAGTCCTGGTTCACAAAAATAGTTCTTTATAAAAAAAATCTTCATTTTATCAAAGTTATATTAAATCATTAGTATTTTATATTTATTTTTATTAGACAAAAGTATAACAATTGCTAGCATTTGGGGAGGATTAAATGAGGGTATAAAAGGGGGGAAGAAAAGGAAAAGGAATTATTAAAATTGAGATTTGAGGGGAGCAAGAACTAAGAATACACTTTGTTGTTTGAAAAACTGAGTCTTGGCTGGGTGCAGTCACTCATGCCTGTAATCACAGTGCTTTGGGAGAGTGAGGTAGGTGAATCACTTGAGGTCAGGAGTTTGAGACCAGCCTGGCCAACATGGCAAAACCCCATCTCTACTAAAAATACAAAAAATTAGCTGGGCATGGTGGTGCATGCCTGTAATCCCACCTACTCAGGAGGCTGAGGAACGAGAATCGGTTGGGCCTGGGAGGCAGAGGTTGCAGTGAACCGAGGTTGTGCCACTGCACTCCAGCCTGGGTGACAGAGCAAGACAGTGTCTCAAAAAAAAAGGAAGAAAAGGAAAGAAAAATTGAGTCTTTTCATTTAATATTTGAATATGCATAATTCTAAGAGAAAAAGATGGAATGGGGCCTGGGAACTGAGGAAACTGGATTCCCAACCTGAAGGTGACAAAAATTAAGTCTTCATACTCAAGCCTACTAATTTTATCCTCTCTATAAAATGAGATTAAATCTGATGATCTCAAATGATTTTTTTTTTCTTTACTCTAAGGCTATATGATGCATGACTCTTTAAAAGAATTTGTAATGGCCAGGAGCTGAAAAATAATTTCATGAATCTCTAACGTAAACACTTTATTTATGTCCAGCCAACTAAATTGCATAATCCTTTATGAATATCATGCTGAAGAAAACCACTTACTGGCTCATTATAATAAATAATAGTTTTTCTTTAAAATGTCCTACTAAAACTATGATGTACATTGTAAAAGAATGATAAATTTTAGTTGCTCCAAGTTGTGAATAGAAAATGTTTGTTAAGCATAATACTCTTAATTTATCAACTCAACTTGGTTGTATTAAATATGCATTCACATATATGAAAGGAAAATAATCAATTTAAATTCATATTAAATATCAGAAAATATAAATGTACATTATATTTCAAAGCAGATAACTATATTCATAAATTATAGAATATTGCTATAAAATAAAACACGAGGGTTTTGTTCATTAAAAAGAACACATAGATAGACAATGTAAGTGTCTTTGTTTCTTTCACTAGGAATGATATTGTGTGTTAAAGAAAAATTATTTAGTGATACTTGTTAAAGCAAAACAAGGAAGACTATTCAGGACCATCACAATAAGTATAGGGATAACTGAAATGGTATTTTGCAATGGGGAAGAGAGATTGGGCTCAACTCGGAATAAAGCCCCCTGGGTAAGGATTTATAGGGAAGAAGCAGGGTGAGAACCAGTGGATGGAAAATTACTAAAAGGAAACATCAAGGGGAAGGGAGATTCTGGCTAGCTCCATCTAACAGGATTTTTGCTAAAGATAGGCATCACCTGGCGGATGGAGGATGAGAAACCTGAGCAAATGTCTAGGGTGATCACATATCCAGGGTGGAGGTTCTTGCTAAACTAACTTTGCAGGGTTCTTTGCTAAAACTGGGTTTACAAGAAAGTGCATATATGGGATGAGGAGAAGATTCAGGAGCCTAACTAAATTTTGGTCAAGCAAAGAATCTTTGTCCTAAGCAAAAATTAGTGTTGTGAAAGCATATGCAGAAGGAAATGAAATCAAGGTTTTGTTTTTGTGTGTGTGTGTGTGTGTGTGCCTAAAACTTACCTCTTAGCTATGGAAATACTAACAGAATGATTACCTTTAACAATTTTTTGGTGAAATCATTTTGAAATAACTAAGTTTAATTTAGGAAATGAGTCATTACTATTATTCAAAAAGAGAAAATAATTCTTCATAATGAGACTGCATTAAGAAGCTAAAAAGTAATTATTGCATGCAAACGGTGCACAGCTTGCACTTTGGCAAATTTGTAAGAGTTAAATGCTAGACTGTTCAACTACTTCCAAAAATCAATGAGAAAGGGGGGTCAAAGAAGAAGAGCACAGAAATTCTTTTGCATTCATAAACAATTATATGCTAAGGGAAATGTTTAAATGTTCCACTCTCCTTGGGGGAAATTTCTGCCTCAGAATTCTCACTACCTTTAAAAGAAAATTATTTCCTTTGAAAGACAACACTTTCAAAGACTTTCGTGACTGTGAACTGGCATTAGAAGAAACCGGCTTCATTCTATGGATATTTACATAACACTACATAATAGGAAAATAAACAGGGTAAAAACAAGGAGGGAAAGGAAGTGAAAAATAAAGAGATAATAATAAAAGGAAAAACAAAGTGGATACCAAAAAAAGTATCTGGGCTTGTAAATAACTATTATCTATTGCTTCAGACAAAAGTTTTTGAAATGTAAATGATTCCATAGTGAGTATTTTCTTTTACAATAACTGACTCTCAGTTATCTTACAGATAATTATGTTTTTCTTAGATAAATCAGTCCTTAAAGTTTTTACATCAACTGTTTAAAAAAGATGAGAAAAGTAAATTAATTAAATATGTTATATACATTCTGAAAAATCTACTTAGACCCATCTTTCCCAAGAATTGGCTCAATTAATTGATTCCACAAATGCCTAGACATAAATTGCTATCATTCTACTGTCAATAATTTTGGTCATTTTGGAGCTGCTTAACATTCAGAATGTTGAACAGAAGTTGGGGTGAGACCAGAATAGAAATGAAATCCAAACTAGTCAATTTTATTTTATTTGACATCTCTGGTAAAAACGGTTTAGTAGATGGAGATTCTGAGTTAAAACAGCACTTTATGTTTTCCTGGAGTCTTAGTATTTATACTATAATTTTCTTCAGTAAGCAGGGAAAATTTGTAATTGCAGTGGTCTTGATAGCAAGCAGTACAGTTGCTCCCCCTTATCTGCAGTTTTGTTTTTGCCTTTCAGTTTCTCCTATCAATCGAAGTCTGAAAATAGGCAAGTACAGTAACAATAAGTCATTTTGACAGAGAGAGGCCAAATTCACATAAAACTGCTATCTTTTATTAGTAGCAGTTAGCATTGTTAATCTCTTAGTGTACCTAATTTATAAGTTAAACTTTATCATAGATGTGTATATATAGGAAAAAAAATAGTATATATAGGGTATACATACTCACTAGTACATATATTCACTAGATGTCTTGGAATGTATCCCCTGCAGATAAAAGGGAAGCACTATACTCAAAATATATGTGTCATTTATGCTATAATTGTATCCACAATAAACATGGAACAGATTTACATTTATAATATGTGAAACCATTTATTGAGTTTTCAGAATTGTATTTTATAATATTTATTGTCTAGATATATACCAACATTAGAACACACACACACACACACACACACACACACACACATACATTGGTCTACTATTTCATGACCATTAAGAAGTCCTGGTGCTTTCCACAATTATTCCACTGATCTCGGCAAACACCCTCATTCATGCATTTTTAGGTAACCTAATTTCCCTAATTCCAAAGCCTCTTCTAGTCTTCTTCACAACTCCCAATGAAGTGTTTCAGCACAGTTTCTGCTCTTAACAAATTCCAAAGCATGTCTGTCATAGCTACTAGTCAGCAAAATGTTCATTAAGCACTCAACCACTGTGTAGAATGGATTGCCCCACTACATAAGGAAAGACCTAGAATTAAGTCATGAAAACCAGCACAATGTTAACAAAAAAAGAACCTTTTCAGTGGGTGCTTGTATTTCCTCTCTTCTTTTTAAAGAGCAGTATAGACATGTACTTACAAGAAGGGCAATTTCCCTTCCTTGAAACTGACATACGTATGAACCACCTATTTACAATTTACTTCATATCCTGGTGTTCTATTTCTCCTTTAAAATATTTTCCAGAACATTTGAAGTAGACAGTCATGGCCGGTCCAACTACAAGAAGATGTTTTTACTCTACTTCTCAATTTACTGCTTTATCTTATGAGCATTAAAAATGTGAAATGATGGCTGGGCATGGTGGCTCATGCCTGTAATTACAGCACTTTGATAGGCCGAGGCGGGTGGATCACCTGAGGTCAGGAGTTCGAGACCAGCCTGACCAACATGGAGAAACCCCGTCTCTACTAAAAACACAAAATTAGCCGGACGTGGTGGCAGATCCCTGTAATCCCAGCTACTCAGGAGGCTGAGGCAGGAGAATTGCTTGAACTCGGGAGGCAGAGGTTGTGGTGAGCCAAGATCGTGCCATTGCACTCCAGCCTGGGCAACAAGAGTGAAACTCCATCTCAAAAAAAAAAAAAAAAAAAAAAAAAAGTGAAATGACAAGACTCCAGGTGTACATAACTGTAGCTCAAATTTTAAGTAACTCAAAATGAATGATACTGTGAACTGAGGTAGTTAGAGATTCAAACTGAAACATAGTTCTCAAATGTGCAAAAGCCACTTCAAATAGGCATGTTACATTCAACAGTAACTCTTATGTCATGTAGACATTATTAAACTTTTAAAATTAATACTTCTCAAGGTTTTCTTATAGCTATACAGAAAATAGTGTTATCATATACATATCTTCATCTCCCAAGATGAGTATGTATCTTCATATTTTATGTAAGAAACAAAAGGAAAACAATGAAGTTACATGAACTTGAGGTAGATACATCTCTTTGTTACCATTGTCTCAGATTGTCAGAATGGATTTGATGGGCTTTTAAAAATAAAACAGGCCGGGCGCAGTGGCTCACGCCAGCACTTTGGGAGACTGAGATGGGTGGATTACCTGAGGTTAGGAGTTCGAGACTAGCCTGGCCAACATGGTGAAACCCCATCTCTTCTAAAAATACAAAAACTAGTTGGGCATGGTGGCACACACCTGTAATCCCAGCTACTCGGGAGGCTGAGGCAGGAGAATTGCTTGAGCCTGGGAGATGGAGGTTGCAGTGAGCCAAGATCATGCCACTGCACTCCAGCCTGGCTGACAGAGGGAGACTCTCAAAAAAAAAAAAATAAAATAAAAAATAAAACAATGTGAAAGTTGTCGCTTTTATTTTTTTAGTTCTTATGTTATGTTTTCTACCCAACAAAAGCAATCTAACAAAAACTAAAAGAAACCCAATACACAGAAAAATACTGTAGAAGTGCCTAAGGAAGAGCTTCAGCTCTCAAACAATCATGGGAGTAACTAAAGTGCATCTCCTGTTGAGAAGGACCATCTGGGGCTTTGGCCAAGAGGTTGATTAAGGAGACTTGCGCTACCGACCTACAGCTCAGAGAGTACTGGATGTATTTAATAACAAGTCAGCTGTGAGTCTTTCAGAATCCAGATGGCAGTGATTGTTTGCCTATATATTATAACATGTAAAGCACATTAAGAAACGTATAGCCAATTGCATAGTTACACAAGACAGGCGCATTTGTTTGCGAGGGCAGCTGTAACAAAGTACCACACACAGAGTGGCTTAAAACATAACTTACTGTCTCACAGTTCTGGAGCTTAAAGTTTGAAATCAACGCATTGATAGGGCCATCCTCCCTCTGAAGTCACTAGAAAAGGGTCTGTTCCATAAGTCTCTCCTAACTTTTAGTAATTCCTTGGTTTATGGCAATATAACTACAATCTTCAAATGGCATTCTTCCTCTGTTTGTGTTTGTCCATGGCCCAAATTTCTTGCTCTCATAAGGATACTAGACATGTTGGAATCCACTTAAGTATGACCTCATCTTAACTAATCAGATCTGCAAAGAACTCAATACCAAACAAGGTCAGGCTCTGAGGTAGCAGGGGTTAGGACTTCAACATAAAAATCTTTGGAGGACATAATTCAGCCTGCAACAAAATACAAATAAATGTCTTCCTACAAGCAAAAATTACAGATAGATAAAAATTAATATAGGACCAGGTGCAGTGCTCACGCCTGTAATCCCAGCACTTTGGGAGGCCGAGGCAGGCGGGTCACATGAGGTCAGGAGTTCCAGACCAGCCTGGCCAACACGGTGAAACCTCATCTCTACTAAAAATACAAAAATTTGTTGAGCTTGGTGGCACATGTCTGTAATCCCAGTTACTTGGGAGTCTGCGGCAGGAGAATCGCTTGAACCGGAGAGGTGGAGGTTGCAGTGAACCAAGATCACACCACACATTCCAGTGAGCTGAGACTGCACTACTACACTCTAGCCTGAGCAACAGAGCAAGACTCCATCTCAAAAAAAAAAAAAAAAAAAAAAGCAAATTAACACATTATCACACCCAGACATTGGAATAGTATCTGTAAGTCTTATATCATTCAGGCATGAACTAAGTTGTACTAAATTCTATGTATGGTAAGCAAAATGAAGGCCAATTATTTGGCTCTAATAAAGTTCCATTTTTTTTTTAAATATCTGTTTACTGGGACAGTTACTCAATATTTTGAGGCCAGAAAGACAACTAATCTAAAATTGGCTAAAAGCTAATGCTTTTAGAACAAAAATGGTATAATTAACTCATTTTCACTTATCTGATGATTTCCTAACTGACAAATCTCTGTAAAAGCACTTTTATCAGGACAGAAAAAACCCAAAACCAAAAATATCTTCCTTTTATAAAAAATTTTAGCAAATAATTGTAGATAGTCTTTAAAGTTTACACCTGTGATGTATATTTTACACCTAGTCAAACATTAAAGGGAAAATAAAATGCTACTGACTTTCAGTTTTATTGTTCCTGTATATTATTTCCTATGTCATTAGTTTTAAAAAGCTTAGAGAACAAAGTTACTAGTTGTACAGATTAAGAGGGATGTTTAAAAATATGTATGATCAGATTTTCAATAAATTTAAATTGTCAGAGACTCTCAATTCATTTTAATACAACAAACATTTGTGAATTGCCAACAACTTGAAATACATTATAGCAAGCACTGTGGAAATTAGACAGAAAAATAAGATACAGTTCTTTCTCCCTGAAGGGGAAGTTACAGTTCAGTTACAGAAACTGAAAATAAGTAACTGAAATAGAAAATTAAAGTTAAGCAGTACCACTATAGAATTAATTTTAAAGTATAATAATAATAGCAATAGCAACAATAATATAACATTTAACAATGATATGGTACTTCTATGCCAGGTACTAGTCTAAATTATATATATATATTATATATATATATGTGTGTGTGTGTGTGTGTGTGTGTGTGTGTCTATGTCTGCATGTATATTTAATTTCTACAACAATATTATAATACAGATACTCTCATTATACTTTTACATGTATAAGAAACTGAGGCAAAGAGAGACAATATAAGTTGGTTTCTGAGACTGCAGAGTTAAAGGTTGCTGTTATGACCGAAACCCAGGCAGTCTGTCTCTGCAGAATCTTTTTTCTTGACCATTACCCTGTACTATGTCCCTACTCTTAGAATCTCTGGCAGATGATATTTTTGGTCTACATACTAATCTGGAACCCATCAAATACAACAAAAATTGTCAAAAGTATTGGAATGAGGAAAGATTCATGTCACCAACTTAAAAAGAAAATGTTTTTCAAATTTGGTGGGCTTTCGACCAGATGATGAGGAGTTGGTAAAACTATCAGAAGTTATAGATATGGAGTAGAAGAGACATTGCTAGTCTTCCTTCCACCAAATACATGCTCAGATCTCACTTAAGGGACAGATTTCATCAAACGTCTGTAAAGCTACTCAAGGAATGCTTCTTACGTGGAATAATGATTCTGACACAATTGGTGGATCATGGGAGAAGCAGAGGACATGCTTGAAAAGACCAAGTTCCAGCTTCAGAATAGCAGAAGAGCAGGGCTAAAGCAGAAATGCTATACAAGCTATCTTTGCTTTCCACATTCCCTCCTCTGACTCTGGAGAAACACCTGGAGGAGATTGGGTAAAAGGCTAAGGGAAGAAGTAATCACTCAGGCAGTTGTGATTCAGAGTCAGAGGGGCAGAAATAAGTATAACAAGGAGAATCTGCTATGTGGGGGTTCACCCACTGATTTTTTTTTCCTGAAGGAGGAAACACCAATAATTATGGAAGATTTGTTTAAAAATTCATTTACTCCAGATTTATAAATTTAAATTGCTAAGTGCCATGGCTTACATCCCTGTCTCATTTCAAAAATGAGGAATAAGCAGCATGGGGCCTATGCCAAAATACATATTTTTTTAAATTAAGAGAAAACAACAGGCAAAAAATGACCCCTACTGCCATGATCAGCTCCACCCAATTCTTGTAAGAAACAAAGAAAACACCCCTTTATATGTGCTTTAAAAATAGCATTAGTACTCCTACACCTTTAAGACTAAAGGAAGGAGTAGTACCTTCCAGAGAGCCCATCGCAAAGTGACCCTTGCAGCCAAGTTAATTAATAAGAATATGGCCTGAATAACCCACACCTTTGTTGGCCTGACTAATCAGGATGAATGCTGGCTTTGCTGTTCATCTCTGTCAAAGTCAGAAACCTTGGGTTCCCTGGACATTCATTTTCACTAGGACTTTAATTTAATTCTCAGTTTGTTGTCTCCATCCTTTTATCTGACTTATTCCCTTAACCTTTTTCTTCTTTTACTGTGCCCTCAGGTACTGCAGGTCTGAGCCAGCAAACTCCTCTATCTGTACAATCTTTTATTTGACTTTCTCCAAGCTTTCTTATTTAAGCTGAAATGGCATTCCCCTAAAGGCACCATGTCCCCTTTTCCAAGGGAGACTATTTATCTCTCATTTCCCAGGTACATTAAGCTCTCTCTATCTCTTCTCCCTCCGCTCCTTAGTCTTCAGCTAGAGCAGCCAGAAGATGAGACAGGAAAAAATAAATGTCTTAAAATGCATTGATGAATGCAAAGTAAACAAAAGCCAGCAAACTAAACTTAAATAATTATAAACTCATTTTAACAACAACATCAGGAAATACATGTTTTGATTTTTGCTTCTTTAAAAAAACACTGACCCCTATATAGATGAAAATGTGGCGAACAAGTTCCTCTTTACAGTGGCCTATTATCGATTAATATTTAACATGTACTATCACCTTTAAATCTAGAGCCATGGTATACTAAAAGCTTAGAAAATTGAAGTAATCTGATGAATTTAAATAACTAAAAGGAATGACTTAATTTTCTACATTTGCTGTTTGAGACAGTGACGGGAATTTGCCTATTTCCCAGTTTGGCTTAATTCAAGAGTCGATCCTGAGCCTTCTCTTCCTTGTTCCCTTCTCTTCCCAGTTCCCTTCTCTTCCCAGATGAGCTCATCTATTCCCATAAATACCATTTCTGTGCTGACAACTCAAATATTCATATCTCAAGCTAAGTCATTTCCCATAAGCTAAACTCATATAACCAACCACCTACTTAAAATTTCCACCTCATGGCCTTTGTACATTACCTCCAAATTAAAACTTTTGTTTTTCCCTACCCACTACTCAAACCAAACCAAGGTTCATCTGTGATTCCTCCCATTCTTTCATCCACCTACGTTTAATCCATCTTAAGTTCTATGGTTTCTATTTCTAACACATCTCAAATCTCTGTCAATGTCCACTCAGCCCCTCTCCCACAGCCCTCTTATACATCACAATCATCTCTCATTTACAAGTACTGCTTTACTGCATTTGCACCCTATTTATTCTCCCAGCATCTACTTTCTCCAGCTCCTTCAACTGCAATCCACTTTGTACATCAGCAAATCAGATCACTATTTTCCTACTTTAAATCCTCTAAAAACTTTCCATTTAATTTAAAATTAAGTCCATTCTCCCTAGTGACCTGAGAATGCCCTAAATCAGGAGTCAGCAGACTTTTTATTTCTGGAAAATGCCAAACAGTAAATAGAGGCTTTGCAGGCCCTGTGGTTGTATCATGGTAGCACAAAAGCAGGCATAGATGATGTGCAAACAAATGGGCATGGCTGTCTTCCAATACAGTTTTATTGATGAACAATGAAATTTGAATTTTATAAAATTTTTACATTTCACAAAATATTCTTCTTTTTATTTTCTCCATCATTAAAAAATATAAAAACTATTCTTACTTGACAGACAGCCATATAACATCAGGTAGTGGGCCAGACTTGGTCTATAGGCTATAGTTTGCTAAACTTTCCTGAATAATTACCTCAGACCACCTTTCTGACATCTCCTTGTACCTGTTATTCTCCAAATCAGTATGTCCTAGCCATACCAGCCTTCTTTCTGTTCTTAAAATACTCCAGTCTCCCAACTCAGATCCGGTGCCACACTTACCTCAACTTAGAACATGGCTTTGCTTCTGGTATGAAATGGCTTGCTCCTTATCCTTTATCCGTCCACAAAAATACAGTCTCTTCATAATCTAGTCTATTATTTGCCCATTCTAAAGTAAAATTTTAACCCCGCTCTATTAGCCTATTTTCATAGCACTTACAACTCTAGGAAATAACCTGCATAGTGCCAAGCATATATGTAGTAGTCACTCAATGAAAGGCTGACTGAAGTAAAATCATAATTGTATATATTTGCATATAGAACAATAAGAATTTTTGAAAGAAAGAGTCATACATTGATACGTATAAATACTATAGAAGAATTATCCTTAACATACTCATTGGCAAAGTTAATATATTTCAAGGAAAAGAAAAGAAATTTATAAGCATCAATGCAAAGAACAAAGTCACATACAAAAGAGAAAGTAATAAAATTCCAGGTTGGCTTCACAATACATTGCAACTTCCAAGATTACAAAAAAAAAAAAAAAGCACAGCAATGTTAAATTATAGGAGAAAGAGAATCTACCTCAAGTAATCATTCAAGAATATAGGAGACTACAGGACAGGAATGGCAGTGTGAGGAGCTCGACAGGTCTAATCCCCAGCAAATCAACCATAATTGATAAAAATTATTTGAAAATAATTTAAAAAACAGGCCAGTCATGCTGGCTCACACCTGTAATCTCAGTGCTTTGCAAAGTCGAGGCAAAAAGATTGCTTGAGACAAGGAGTTCTAGATAAGCCTAGGCAACATAGTGAGACCCTGTCTCTAAAAAAAATAAAATTATATATATATATATAAATTTTTAAAAAAGGCTCTCAAATATTTCCTATGGACAAACATTTAATGAAGAAACACTAATTTGAGGCAATCTCCCCAATCTCAGTAAAAAAGTCTATGGCATTTGAAAAGTGAGCCACCCACCTCTTCGCACCCTCTTACCTACTCAACATGACAGAAATCACTCCTGGTGGATGTGGATGAGAAGATGAGGCTCCCTCTTGGCCCAGCCTCCAGGCAAGGCCTATAGTGTCTCTCCAGGAGGGACAAGCTGCTAGCATTTCTCATCGCCCATGTTCCATGTTGCAAAGGTTAAATTCCAGGTGAAAGCAACTGAGTGGTTGGGGGATTCCTTCAACCACCCAGTCCCACTTACAGGGTGGAGGCTATATTCTAGGTACACCTGGCCAAGAATACCAAAGCTCTAATCACCATCACTTCAGCTTGCTCATAGAGCAGAAGTTCAACTCTAGACAGGAAAAGTCAGAAAGATCAGAGGCTAGCACCCCAACCCAATGTCCAACTCATAAAGCAGAAGGGTCACTCTAAGACAACTGGGACACTGATTATGCCCCCTACCCCCCACTTCTTAGAAGGGTAAAACTACCTATTTATTATAATAGTAGACTCTAAATATTACTCATTTATTTTATTTTATTTTTGAGACGGATTCTCACTCTGTCGCCGAGGCTGTAGTGCAGTGGCATCATGTTGGCTCACTGCTACCTCCGTCTCCTGGGTTCAAGCAACTCTCCTGACTCAGCCTCCCCAGTAGCTGATATTACAGGGGCTCACCACCATGCCCAGCTAGTTTTTATATTTTTAGTAGAGACAGGGTTTCACCATGTTGGCCAGGCTGGTCTCCCAACCTCCTGACCTCAGGTGGAACTCCTGACCTCAGGTGATCCACCCACCTCGGCCTCCCAAAGTGCTGAGATTACAGGCGTGAGCTACCACACCTGGCCAGTACTATGCATTTTTTTAAAGTTACAGTGCTGTAAGTTTAAAAATCAAAGATATGGCTATCAATTTGTAAATCCTTAATGATATTTCTAAGGATATATAACTGAGAAAAATTACTTGATTTTACTCTAAGTCTTATATGTAGAGAGAGAGAGATCTTTTCAACCAAAAATTATGTATTCTTAATTATCTCATTGTGTATTGCAGATGTATTTGAAATTCAAATGTGCTTTTCTTTTAATCCATTCCTATGGATAAAATAATGTCAGATGTTAGATCAAGAGGATATCAAGACTAGATATCCCTGAGTTCAATGGATATAGTTGATTTACAAATATGGCAGAAGCCTTCAGCTACAGGGTTAATTATGGGGGGGGTGGGGGAATTGCCTGTAGCCAGGTGATTATTTCCAAAGGTTAAGTGTTCATCTCTATTTCCTCCTCTGGGCAAAACAATTACCTCTCTAAAACAGCTACCAGGTGCATCACTTTGAAGAGCACTTTGAGGAAAACATTTTTCCTCACTTCCACCTGAAACAAAAGCATGCCTCACTAATGTTTCAGGTGAGCTAAACTCCAATGTATTCAACGGGCTGTCATAGCTGTCCGGCCTTCAGCATCAGCTACACAGCACTGAAAACAAACATGGTCACACTGCTCAGCAGGAAAATTCAAGGCGTTCTCTTAGTTCTCCCAATACTCGTCTCGATGAATTGTGTTATAGTTTTACTGACTTTGGCTATGCCAATGCCTAGATATTTGGTCTGCCAGTTGCAAAATTAGACTGGCAGATTAAAGAAATCCCTCTTGGGGTCCATGAAATGTAGAAACAAACTACAGCTGCTGTTCAAACCGTCTGGGTCACTCATGGAAATGCCCATGGTAATGAGCTGTTCTCTGATAAGACTGACTGGAATGAAGCTACTGAATGAGCCTCCAATACCCAGATTGCCACCATTCCTGCCTGAATCCATCATCATACTAAGTATGACAACACATCCACCATCACAGCCTGTGTATGAAATGAAGGACTATATGTTTCTGAAGCAAAAGCTGTCACTGAATGCTAGATGCCTCATTCCTCCCAATAATTAACCTAATTGTTTCATAATGAGAAAGGCTATATGGCACAGGGTATGGAGTATTGATTGACCTCATTCACTCCTGGAAGACTGACCACATCAGACCTTTGAATCCTTTAATGGGCTATTGATAGTATCTCATTAATGTTGACACTTTTTCAGTATATGGTGCTTCTGTTTCTGTCCAATAAGATGATTCCACCCACATCATTGTGAGCCTTGAAACCAATCTGCACCTTGATTTTGGGCCATTTGTAATAAGTGTGTTTTATTTACAAAAGCCACTCAACAATGAGCTGATTGTCAAGGTATTCCATCCACCTTCTGTGTTTCCTCTATCCACATATCAATTATTGTCAAGTGTTGAAAAGATGTCCTCAAAAATCAACTGAAAAATATTTCCAACACTACATTTCTCACCTCACCTTGTCTTGGTCTACACAACTCATAAAGGGACTATGTTAGGCCATTTTTGCTTTGCTGTAAAGAAATACCTGAGGCTAGGTATTTAAAAATGTGTAAAGAAAAGAGGTTTAACCAGATTAGTTTTGCAAGTTTTACAGGAAGTATGTCACCAACATCTGCTAAGCTTCTGGTGAAGAACTCATGGAGCTTCCCGTCATGGCAGAAGGTGAAGTGGGAGCAGGTACGTCACATGGTGAGAGGAGGAGCAAGAGAGAGAGAGAGGAAGTCCCAGACTTTTAAACAACCAGATCTCACATGAACTAATGGAGTGAGAATTCACTTGTCAACAAGGGAGTGGTGCTAAACCATTCGTGAGGGGCCGACCGCCGTGTTCTAATCACCTCCCACGATACTCCGCCTCAAACAATGGGAATCACATTTCCACATGAGATTTGGAAGGGACAAACATCCAAACCGTATCAGAGACTTCGGTTAATAAATGCAGCTCTCTCCAGAAACAGTTAATCCCCTCTTCGAAATGTCCAAGATGATCATGAGAATGAAAATGTTGGGTGAGTATATGAACTTATTTTGGCCATAACCAGTTTCAGGAAAACGCATTTGGGTTTGCTTGTTGTTACATCCTCCAGGTGACAACCTAGACAAAAAAAAATGGTCTAAGGACCTCAGACTTAATTCTCATTCCATAGCTTAGAATCTCTTGTATTAAAATGATCCTAGAACATAAAGATAATAACCGCTTAGTTAAATCTCCTGCTCAACAATGCTCCCTAGAGTGGCCCACATGAGCCAGACTGGGGAATATAATGGGTCTTTGAAAGTTTTGTAAAATTCTTTAGCACGTGATCCAGGAGTATCATGTCTTCTACAAGCATACTTGAAATTTTGGCAGGCTAATTCTGTTAGTTTGCAAGTAGAGTAAACCTCAGAATCTACAGAGTGCTTGACATTTGCCTTCTTTGAACCATATGTTTTATCAAGCCTTCTTTACTTTGTTACATTTGCATAATTTCTCATTGAAATTGTTAACTGAAGTCAATATATTGTTAACCAATATGGAATGATATCATTCCAATCTGAAGTTTTATACTAGTAATCATATTTTCAAATGTTAAACCAATCTTTTATTCCCAGGATAAACTCCAGCTGATCATGGTATAATACTCTTCTTATGTATTGTTGCATTTAATTTACTAATATAGTTTAAATATTTTTGTGTCTTTATATTAACCTACCATTTTTTTTCCTGTAATGTCTTTATCAGATTGTGTATCAAGGTTATGTTGACTTAATAAAATTCATTAGCAATTTTTTCTTACTCCTATATATTCTAAAAGAGTTTGTGTAAGTTTGGTATTATTTCTTCCTTAAATATTTGATGGAATTCTCCTGTGAAAAAGTCAGGACCTGCAATTGTCTTTGTTTAGAAATTATTTAACAAATTCAAGTACTTTAATAGATATGGGGTTATTCTGATTTATTTATGTGTATTATTTGGGGTAAGTTATGTATCTTAAGGAATTAATCTATTTCATCTAAGTTATTGGATTTGCTGCCATCATGTCTCCATATTATTTTTTCGATGTCTGTAGGATTTGTAGTGACATATGCTCCCTTATTTCAGTTGTGTCTCAGATCTCTTTGCACTACCACTCATCTTCCATTCTTACATCTAGACTTTAATTTCTGTAGTGATTCATTTAGTCAGCAGTTTTCTTTTCTTTTTTAAAAACAGATACTCCAAAATTTAACCATTTATGAACAAATTTGTATCTTTGGTCATATTTTCTGGGGATGCTCAACAATCATTGTGGAGGTATATATTAGCTTTTTCTGTATAGAACCATGAATGCTATTCCAAAATTCTTTTCTGAAAAGAAGTGAAACATAAAACTATGCATTGCAATATTGTTCCCTTTTCTTGTTGCCTATGTTATCTTAACACCATTGGCAGCCCTTATAACTTTATGAGCATTTGCTGCTAAGGCTGGTCTTGAACTCCTGGACTTAAGTAATCCCCCACCTTGGCCTCCCAAAGTGTTGGGATTATATCCTTGAGCCACCATGCCTGACTGAAGCAGTTTTCTTAAAAATATTGAGGATTCCAGAAGGCTTTTACGTGAGTTACATTTATTGATATTGTAGTGTAAATAACTAAAACTGAGGCACTATTAAGCATAAAAATATGCTTTTCTCAGTTTTCTGTCAGTGAATTGAAGAGTTTAACACAAAAATAAAGTTTGTATGCACACATTGCATACCACAAGTGGCTATGTTATCATAAGAAAATGCTGCCTCCAAATACCATTAGCCATCTGAGTGGCTTGAATGAATACTCAATAAAAGTATCATTAGTAGTTATATTTTAGTGAATGGGACATTTTAAAACAAAAATTCTTCATAAGCACCAAGGAGAATTAGTTATTCAAAGAAGATTCTTTCACCAAATGTGCTTATAGGCCCACATACAAATGCAGCCCGAATACTAAATGAAAGATTGTTTTCAGAATGGCTCATTATTACCACATTTCTTTAAGTAAATGAAAAAGTTTAACTTAAAAATAGCTTATAAACACACAGCGAATAAAAGATATTGGAAGAAATTTCTTTTGCCACACCTGCATATAGACCCATAGAAACATCTTGCCCTGAAAATTTAAGTGGAAGCTTGCTTTCAGCATGGCTCACCATTCTCAGTTTTCTGTCAGTGAATGGAAGAGTTTAACACAAAAATTAAGTGTGTCTGCACACATTGCATACAATGAGTGGCTAAGTTATCATGATAATGTAGCCTCCAGATAACTCCATGGTAGATTATGAGAGAATTAAAATAAAAAAAAGAAATCATACCTTAGTGTCATTATGAAAATAGTTTTAATATTATGCATCTCCTTAAAAGGTCTCAGGAACAAACAAGAGTTTCCAGACAATACTTTAAGAACCACAGACCTAGGCCATAAAGGCCCTTCTAAAGTTGCTGCATGTCAGAAACATACTTTTTAAAGTTGTATTGAAGTGGATATCATCATCTTTGGTTTGCACATTTTTTATTTAAATTTTTAACTATAAAATAACTTGAAGTACTTGAAATCTGATACACCTTATAGGGATATACTACTCATTTGTCAATATTTCCTCCAATGTGTACATCTTGTCTCTTCAAATATACTTTACTGACTACAGAAGAGCATCTCATATCTTCTTAATAAAAAGCTTTCTGTAGATAACATACTCCAAAATGTAACAATTTATGAACTAATTTGAATTCTGGGTCATAATTTTTGGAAACACCCAACAATGGTTGTGGAAGTGCTTATCAGCTTTTTCCATGGAGATCCATGAATACTATCAGAAAGTTATTTTCTGAAAAGAAGTGAAATATAAAACTATACTTTACATTATTGTTCCCTTTTCTTCTTGCCTATGTTACCTTAACACCTTTGACAGCCCTTATAACTTTATGAAACAAAAACTTCATGCCATATGCGGTTTGCAGATTTTTGGGAAAAAAATGGTGGTATGATTTTTTACTTAAGAATATTAATGGCTTTAATTAGACTTTAAAAATAAATGTGTCCCTTGATTGCAATGAGCAAACCTAGTGTCTATATTTTGGTTTGTAACATTATTTCTTCCAAAAACAAAAGAGTTTCTTAAAGAAATTGCTGATTCTGAGGCTGGAAGTAGAGATGTCCAAGAAGAAGCTGGGAAACCTTATAGTACCAGAAAGTTAGGAAGTGCTCCAATGTGCACACATGCACACATATACAAATGGGAGTATGTAAAAGGGACATACTTAAAAGAGCTCTTTTTAACACTACTGAGACTATTTGAGTGACAAATAAATAATGAAACATTAAATTATAGCCTAAGATATAAAATTAATATCAATGATTCTATATGCCACAAAAAAGTGGAACATAATTTTCCCCCATTAAGTGTGGTCTTTACACAGTGATTTCCTTTCCAAAAGTGCAGTACAGAAAGGTGGCGGTAAGAATAACTTTACAGTGGAGGAATTCAAAAACCACTACCCCCACCAGGCTATCAAGGTTAACATCAACAGTCATGCTGATACCACCTACACTTGATATGATATGAGAAGAATGGTACTCTTCCCTTGTGATCCTCCTCCCAAGCATCCATAAACCACGTAATTCCATGAGAAAACCATCACATGAAGCCCAACCAAAAGGCAGTCTATAAAATGCCTGATCAATACTCTTCAAAACTGCCAGGTCATCAACAGCAAGGATAGTCTAAGAAACTGTCACTGTCTACAGAGGCCTAAGGAGACATGAGGACCAAGTGTAATATGGCATCTTGCATGGGATCCTGGATAGAAAAAGAACAAACATTAGGAAACACTAAGAAAATCTGAATAAAGTATTGTCTTTAGTTAATAGCAGTATATCAGTATTGGTTTATTAGTTGTGACAAACGTACCATACTGATTTACTATGTTAACATTAAGAAACTCTGAGGGTGGAGTATACGGGAACTTTATACCATTTTCACAACTTTTCTGCAAATCTTAAAAGCATCCTAAAATATTCTGCCCAATTTCAATATTTTTATTTCTTTTACTCTTGACTGATTAGATGTGTTTTTTCTCATGGTTATTAATATAATTAAATGCCTATCTACAATACCCAATCTCCTCAAAGGACACTGAATATGTAATTCAAAGAAAATATACCCAGAATTTTAACATTATTTCCTCTGGAGAAGAATTATACATAGGGCTCTTCTTAAAAGTCACTGAGTATAGTTGAGAGTTTATAACTTTATTTTTTTCTATGTAATCTAATTTTTAATTCTTATGCTTTTATAACTTCTGTGTGTCACAATTTTACTTTTGTATGTATAAAGACACAAATTTACTTTTATATGCACAGAGTAACATGTGCAGGTAACTGTGCAATGGGTGGAAGTAAGTTTCTTTCTATTCATCCTTTTCAAAAGCAAAGAGCATACAAGGTATTTGGCTGAGCCCCAGGTCTTATTTTTCCATTTCCACTTCACCTTCCTTTTATTTATGAGTTCCAGTCTTTAAATATTTTTCATTTCAAAGTGAATTCTGTTTTTTTATTTATTCTTAGGATTCATAGAATACAAACACCAACAATTTCTGTACATTGCAAATGGGGCTTTATGATGAGCAACAAATCTCTTCAGCTAGGAACATTTTAAATTTGAGTTAATTCTGACTAACAGCAAAAGTGTGTTACAAAAGTTTTCACTGGAGGAACTCACACATTGACATTAGAGTAATGGATGAAAATCCAATCATCACAATCATATCCTCCTTTTAAAATTGTTATGAGGGTTAATTTTCACAATGCACTTAGAATTATGATGGAACACGAATAGATGTTAGCTAATATCATGATTAGGATGCCTTAGTAAATATTATTTCTTTCTAGGCATATATCCATTATATATACCAACCAGTACAAGTCCTGTTCTCTTCAGAAAATATGAAGAAGGTGAAGACATCATGAGACATCTGCTTAATATTCCCTGTCTATCTTCTAGATTCAGCAGTTCAGAAAATAGTCCTTTAATAGATTTTTAGTTATCACAATTAATGTTGAACAAGTGTTTCTTAAAGCTAAAGAGTGAAAAAAGCACTTCTTCAATGTTGGAAAATGTATCAATTATTTATTAGCATTTACTCATTCTTTTAATTAGGTCAATTATTATTTGCCAACCATATGTCTGACATTATTTCCAAATTGTGTTTGGTGAGGATAATTCCATTAGAAAGATGTGTTCCTTTTCTTTGGTTTATTATCTAGCCAGTAACAAAGGCCATGAACACTTAATTTTAAATGACTGTGTAAGCAGGTTGATATTTGAATCTGGAGTTAAAAAAAGAATGTAATGTAAATGTAAACTGAGTTGGCATATAATTTGGCAGATGGATTGGTAATAGCCCCTATGGAAATAGATAAAATTACTAGCAAAATAATACTTGAGAAAGAAAAATGTATGGAATGAAGTCCTCAGGAACTTTAATACTTAATGCTTTTGCAGAGGAAGGGAAAGGAATAGCCAGAAAGATTATGGTTAAATCAAGTGTATGTGGGTAATAGGACTCAAGGAAAGAGCTTATTTCAAAAAGAAAGTATTAAACTCCGTTGAGTGTAGCTGCAAAGTAAAATAAATGAAAGCAAAAGTCCACTGGAGGACTTTACTGACCCTATTAAGAATAATATTGATGAAATAACAGGGTAGAGTATAGATTAAGGTTAATGAGGGAGGGTGGTAAAAATGGAGCTCATGAATGTAGTTTTGCTTTGTTTTTAAATAAAATTTGGTTGAGAAAGGTAAGAAATGATTAAGACAGAGTTTTTGTTTTAAGGTGGTGAAGACTTGAATATGTTCAATGGCTTATAAAATGTAGGAGAGAGGCAATTAATCAATAGTACAAATTTTCTGTGAATTTAGGAGACAGCATATAGAGTTTAATTGATTAAAGATAAGAGAAGCAGGCTGGGAGCGGTGGCTCACACATGTAATCCCAGCACTTTGAGAGGCCAACGTGGGTGGATCACTCGAGGTCAGGAATTCAAGACCAGCCTGGCCAACATGGTGAAACCCCATCTCTACTAAAAATACAAAAATTAGCCAGGCGTGGTGGTGGGCACCTGTAGTCCCAGCTACTTGGTAGGCTGAGGTGGGGGAATCTCTTGAACCCAAAAGGCAGAGGTTGCAGTGAGCCCAGATCACACCACTGGAGTCTCGCCTGACAACAGAGCAAGACTCCATCTTTAAAAATAAAAATAAAAAAAGAAAAAGAGAAGTAGTTCTAGATTTTAGTAAGAGGTAAGATAAGGAGTACTCTAGATATAGATAGGTTTGGAAATTTGGTGATGAAAAATTGATGGAATACTTGCCTAATGGTTTCCATTTGTGTCCTAATTAGAAGCATAATCGTATGCTTAACATGCTAGCCTGGGGTTTTAAGACAGTCAGAAGTTAGAAGAATGACTGGACCTACACATAGATTGAAGAGAATAGAAGAATAGTCTCCCTGGAGAAATATAACCAAAATAAAAATTGTGATGATGGCTCAGTTGAAGTCAGACAGATGAAGGTTAACATGTGAGGGGGAAATAACAAAAATGAACCTTTCAGATATGAGAAGAGATCGACTCATTTACATCTTGTAAATCTTTGGAAAAAGCTGGGCATAGTGGTAAATATTGCCCCAGCTTCTTGGGAGGCTGAAGTGGGAGGATTGCTTGAGCCCAGGAGTCCAGCCTGGGCAACACAGGAGAAGAGAGGATGGGTTTGAAAGATACCTAGAAATTAGAATCAATGGTAGGAGTTTGTGGAGGTTAAAATAGGTGCATTTTACTCAATAAAACAGTAAGTATTGAGGAGAAACTCTACAGACAAATTTTTAGCAGTAATATGATAGTTTGCAATGGTTACTGGATACAAAATTAATAACAAAAAGTCAGTTATATCTAAACATTAAGAAATAACTAAATAATGTAAAAGAAAAATGCAACTTACAGTAGCATCATAGAATAAAGAAAAATCTGAAAAAAGATGCATGGTTTTCCAGATTGCATTTCTTGGTGGATGTAGCTCCATCCACAGGTGCAGAATAATGAGGAAGAGGGGCATGCATGTGTACATAACATAATGGGATAAATGTTGACTGTAGAACTTGATATATTTATTCATTTAGCCAACATTTCTTCAATTCCTGCTCTCTGCTGGGCACTGTGGAAGAGTGTGGGGATACATTAAGAAAAAAATATTGATGAGACATCCATGCTTTCTGAGAAACTGCATGAGCTATCTCTAAGTGGATGTCTAGAATATGGCTGCATAAAGAAGGCTGGGCACTGGAAGATGGAAAACAGATTTTGGCTAGAAATAGAAAACTGGTAGATATTTTTGTACATATGAGAATAACCAAAGATAATACATTGTTCCAAAGGTCAAAACTTGGGGCATGCCAGTATGTTGAAAAACTGTTAAAAAAAACTTAAAAACACAAAAATGAGATTAAATTATTCAAAATAGTAAGTTGTTTCTTATTCTAAAAACAAGTCTTTAAAGTAATAATTCAAAATAAACAGGTTTTATATGTTTAGTTCACTGGCTTATATATTTAGTTGTCATCTGAGAAAATATCCTGAGGGAGATAAATTTAAAAAGAAGGAAAGAGAAAGTACAAGAAGCCAAACTGAAGCTATATTACATTAATCACCTAACCTCAAAAGTCATGCACCATCGTTTCTGCTGAATTCCTTTTGTCAATACCGGATTTTTGAGAGGAAAGGAAATAAACTTCATAACATGATGAAAGAATACACAGTTCTGAAAATCATGCCGGATGAGAAATATTATAATGATCATATTTTAAAAGTACAATCTTTCACATCAAATTTTACACACATTTTCTGAATTGTATTTTAAATTTCTATGTATCTAAGTCACAACCTGAGGGAAACTGGCATCACTAAAATATTAAGTATTTCTAGCCGTAAATAAACTTTACTTTATTTAGGTTTTGTTAAATAGCTCTTTTCACCACATTAGATTTTTTCCCTATTCTGTGATGCTACTGTAAATGTTGGTTTTCCTTTATATTAGTTAGTCATTTCTTAATGTTTAGATATAACTGACTTTTGGATATTAATCTTATATCCAGTAACCATTGCAAACTATCATATTAGTGCCAACAATATGTCTATAGATTTTCTTCCCAATATGTTTTGTTTCATTGAGTAAAATGAGCATATTTTAAGAGTTCAGTTTGGTGAGTTTTGGCAAATATGTATTTCCATGTAAACCACTATCGCAGTAAATAATATTTTAATCACTTTTTATAAGATAGTTTTGTGTGCCTCTTTCTGGCAAATCCAGTGCACTCAGGTACAATTAGCATTCTGATTACAACAGAAATAAGTAAGTTTTGCACATTTCGAACATCATATAAATGGAATCACACAGCATGACCTCTTTCTTGTCTGGCTTATTTTTCTCAACCATAATGTTTTTTTTCTTTTATTTTCAGTGTTTTATGTATCAGTACTCTGTTCCTTTTATTGTTTAGTATTAACCTATTGTATGAATATGCTACAATTTGTTTAGCCACTCTCCTATTGATGGACTGAAGAAATCTGGGTCTAGTAAGGAGGGTGAAACCACATAGCAATTTTAGCAGACAAAGTTAATATTAAGAATAATTAACTCTAAAAGTAAATTAGACTAGCAAAGTACTGGCTAGTAAGAAGTGGAGAGAATAAAGAATAAACAATACTTATAAGGAGCAACCACTACCCTTAGGGCTGAACTAGAGTGCCCAAGGAAGACGTTCCTCCTGGGCCAAGATACAGACCTTGTTGGAGAAGGCATGGATGTGGCTTACCAAATGGCAGAGCTTTCTGGAACTACGCTTGCCAAAACTTGTTGGTAATCTGACCTGTAAGATGCTAGGGAGCACTATTCACAAGGAGGTACTATATATAGCAGAAGCACCCTGTTACAAAACCATCCAACATGGATACTGGGAGAAGCTGAGTGCTACTGGCCACTGAGGTCTACAGAAACTGCACTGAAGAAGCCTGGGTCCTTGCAGGACCCAGCTGAGCAAGCTGACAGGAACCAATAAGCAAAACTTTCTTTTTTCTCCTGTAATGTCTCCCTGCACTCTAATTCTGTGCCAGCTGGAATAAGGGCTGGCAAAAATGTTTAAAGGGCCCAGATTCAACTTCAGAAATTAGTCTAAAAGGGTGAGCCAAGAGGCAATAAAGCTATAACCAACATTTAGACCTTTGGATAGTTTTGGATAAAGCTGTAATGAATATATTTTAAAATTATTTGTGGAGTTTTTTTTTTTTTCTCTCTCTCTCTCTCTCTGGTAAATGCCTAGGATTCATAGAGTAGACTGGATCATAGAGTAGACCCTTATTAACTGTATAAGAAACTATCAAAGAGTGGCAGCATTCTGAGATCAGCTTGTCAATATCTACAAATAAGCCAACGAAGATTTTGATTGGGATTATATTAAAACTATCAATTTCAAGAGAATTAATATCAAAATAATATTGAGTCGTCTAATTTATAAATATGATATATATATTTTATTAAAGTTTTCTTTAGTATCTCCAATACTGTTTTACTTTACCCTCCAATCTCAGGGTAAGGTCTTACATAGCTTTTGCTAATTTATTCCCAAATATTTTGTAAATGTTATTTTAAATAGTATTTTAAAAAATTTATTTTCTAATTGCTCGTTACTAATATAAAGAAATATATTCAGTTTTTATATTGATCTTGTATCTTAAAACAATGATACTTTCTTTTATTAGTTCTAGTAATGTTTTTGGTAGATAACATGGGATTTTCTGCTTACACAATCATAAAATTTGTAAATAAACAGCTTTACTTTTTCTTACAAACTTTGTCTATTATGTCCCTCTTGTCTTTTTCCTCTACCAAGGACTAGTACAATAGAGAAGTAGTGTAGTGTATGCAAACATTTTTTTTTGCCTTCTTTCCAATCTTACAGGAAAATATTCAATATTTCATTATTAAGCATAATATCAAAGTCAGATTTTGCTACCAAAACTATACTGGCCTCATAAAATAAATTGGAAAGTCTTCCTTGTTTCTGAAAGTTTAAGATTAGTATAATTTCATAAATGTTTGGATGCAGTTAACATTAAAGTCATCAGGGCCTGGACGTTCCTTTGTAGAAAAATTTTAATTATAAATTAAATTTTAAATAGATATAAGTCTCCTCATATACTCATATTTTCTATTTCTTCTTGTTATAAATTATGTACTTCATGTCAATGACTATTCAATGACTATCCTGGCTTTGTGGGTTTTTTGTTTTGTTTTTGTTTTTTTTTTTTTTTGAGACAAGGTCTTATTCTGTCACCCAGGCTACAGTACAGTGGCACAGTCACAGCTCACTGCAGTGTTGCAGTGTTGACCTCCTGGGCTCAAGCAATCCTCCCACCTCAACCTCCCAAGTGGCTAGGACTAGAGATATGTGCCATTATACCCAGATAGTTTTTGTCTTTTTGTTTTAGTTTTTGTAGATACTAGGTTTCATTATGTTGCTAAGGCTGATCTCAAACTCTGAAGCCAATTGCCCTGCCTCGGCCTCCCAAAGTGCTGAGATTACAGGCGTGGGGCACTGAGCCTGGCCCAATAACTATCCTTTTAATTTCTAATAATACTGCTTTATTAATGGTTTCTCAGTCACGTTTTATATTGGTAATATCTTCCTTTATCTCTTTGAAGTATGTTTTAAATTGTAATTTTAAATGTTTAAGTTGTTCTGCTTTAATATTTATGCTTTGTAATAGACTGTATAAATCTTTGTTGTGTTGTCTTGATAAAAATTGTGCTTTTCAAATAATTTGTTTTATTGGACTACAAGGTCATTTTTTTTCCCCAGAAGTACCAGCTACTCTGACAGGCACTGTCAGGTTGGTCCAAGTTAGCCCCAGAGAGCTTAGGGGATGGGCAACGGATGAGTCCTTTGTTTAAGGGTCCCTGGCTCTAGACAACCACAGTCAAGACAGTTTTTAACCTAACAAACAAGTCTGCCAGCCAAAGCTTCATGCCTTGTAACTCTCCCTTGTCCTGGCATTAGGAAAAAACAAAAAAACACTACTAGATGTTAATTTGCCAGCCCTGAGGGTTTGGAGGGCTAGAAGGGGTTAAAAACAACTGTCCAAGTTTAAGTAGTCATTATCCGTTTTCCTCAGTTCTTCTCAAGCACAGGGTTTCTATAGTGAGGACATCTGAGTGAGAGCTTTGAGTATCTGTTATTGTCTCAGGACAATGGGTGTGGAAAAGCATGAATAGAACTTGACATTTTTTCCCCTACTTTATCCTTTTTTTTTTTTTTTTTTTTTTTTTTGAGACGGAATTTCTCTCTGTCGCCTAGGCTGGAGTACAGTGGTGCCATCTCAGCTCACTGCAAGCTCTGCCTCCCAGGTTCACACCATTCTCCTGCTTCAGACTCCCGAGTAGCTGGGACTACAGGTGCCTGCCACCACACCTGGCTAATTTTTTGTATTTTTAGTTGAGACGGGGTTTCACCATGTTAGCCAGGATGGTCTCGATCTCCTGACCTTGTGATCCGCCTGCCGTGGCCTCCCGAAGTGCTGGGATTACAGGTGTGAGCCACCGCACCTGGTCTCTCTCCCCTACTTTAATAGAACCATGCTGGATTTTCTCCTAAGGCCAAGGCCACAAGTTCAAAAGCTCTGCCATTGAAGAGTTGTAAATTTTCTATATGTTTTTTAACCATAGTAAGATGTAACTTTGGCTAGGGACCCAGCTAAGATATAAATTTTTTAAGTTTGAAGCTTTTAATTTGAATTTAGATATTAAAAATATTAAGGAAATTCTTATCTTGGGTTCATATATATTTATTTTACATACTGAAAGCATTCAAACATCACTGATATCTGAACAACACAAATAAATGGCCAAAAAGATTAAATTTTTCAGCTAACATTAAATGCATGTTATAAAAATTTTAAATTACTCTGTGCACTTTTATAATATATTGGCTTTAAATTCATTTTTTTAATGAAAACATTTTCAGAGGTTTGTTGTTCTAATTATAAATAAGTGAGCTACGTTTCAAAAGCATTTTGCATGAACATGTTTTATGGTATTTAATAAGGCAACACAAAAAGAGAAAGTTCAGAGGCCATGTTAGTTAGCCAACCACTATATAAGACAGAGAATGAAGAACTTTAGCAGCTACACTGCTACATTATGATAGATAATAATTATGAAGACTCTCACACCAATTGACAATCCTTGCCTGAGTTCATGAGTACCTAAAATGGGACTTACTGAATCATAGAGTAGGAGAATCCACAGATTTAATACCTTGTTTTTTGTTTGCTTTGTTTGGTTTGGTAACTTTAGCTATGCATTTAACCATTACTCATCTTGGTGTTCTCTCAATTTACTGATTGCCCTTGAAGTATGTTATAATTCATCTTTAGCCATCCATAATTTGGTATTTCTATTGCATCTTCAAGTCAAATCTTCTTGACAGAGCCAAATCATAACACTGTGAATGACATAACAGATTTTAATCATTTTGGTCTCCAGCAAATGAACTAGTAACCTGCTGTTGATGTGTGAGGTGGAAGGATGTGCTCCATAATTATTGATACTGTTAAGTAGCTCTTTCCAATTACATGGATTAGAAGAAGTTCCCTTCAAGAGCAGTACCTACATGTCTGGACCAGACACTTACGTTAGACCTATGGTGGCAACACAAGTAGACATGTGCATTGTTTTCCTCAACACATTCCTTGCTCATGCCTAGAAACACAGGGAGCAGTATTTTTCCCCAGAAATTCTGAAGCTCTCAGATGAATATGGGTTTCAAATGCAAACTTCAGCAGGCACTCTTTGGTGGAGGGAAAGTTGGAAGAGAGGTTCAGTAATTTACGATTACATTATTACCCACACAAAATACCTCTCCTAAGCCATAAATTTCCTTTCCAAAGAGCTAATTCTGAATAATTATATTTTCTACTGTCACATCTATTTAATATAAGAGCTACCTTCAAACATCAGAAATCTAGCTGACAGCAGGAAAATAAAAGGTTAACTTAACCTTCCTTGTAAAATCAGAATAAACAAAAAATCAAACTGAAAATATTTTGGGTAAAGATCCATAAGAAATGGATTGTATGTAATGATGTCCCTATTTCTGATTATACTCATGTTTTTATTACTGAAAGCTTAAGGATAGGCATAACTGCAGTGCTAAAATAGAGGTGTTATCTTTTCCCTGCAGTATATTTCTCAGACTGAGTAAAGTTTTGATTAAAGAATTACTCCAGTGAAGCTTTTTACACATTCATATGTCAATAAACTTTACCTCATTATGTCTCTTACAATAACTATTACTGGGCTTATAGGACAGGACTGAAATGTTCTTGGACAGCATTAATGAATTCACCAAAGTCTCAACATAGTTGGACCTGATATCAAATTATGAATTCTTGACAAGCAAGGCAAAAATGGTACAGAACAAAGAGAAGAACTTGACACTTAAGACTAGATTTCTATCCTTAAGTCTATAATTAAAATTATCAGTGCATTTTTCCAAAATACCATCTCTCTTGGCCCTAGATCCACCATGGGTAAAAGGATGGTGTAGAATTAGATTAATCATCAGGTCTATGGTCATACCTGAATGTTCCTGATCTCATCTGATCTCCCAAGCTAAGCAGAGTCAGGCTTGGTTAGTAATTGGATGGGAGATTAATCATCACATCAGTTTCAGTTTTAATATTTCACTATCTAGTCCAAGATATATGATATTCTATGACTATTGCAGGTACTTTATATCAAATCTCTAGGTATATAATCCCAGGTAATAGATGCTTTGCGGGATAAGAAACTTTCCTGCCACTCTTGAAATCACACCATATATTTAGTCTCCCAGTCCTCTAAAAGGTAATTCATAAACAAGATTCTTTGGAACTAAACAGTATTCTTAATGATGTAAAACATTATAAAAAGGAAAGAAATATGCTATGGGCTCTAAATATGTGCAAATTATGTGCATGTGAATCTTTTTAAATAGCTGTTTCAACTCTGACAAATCACTTAATCTATCTAAGCCTCAATTTTCTCATCTGTAAAGTGGAGATTACACCACATATATCTTGACATTAAACTGAGAATTAAAAGGATGAATACACTTTACATTTCGTAAATGTGCAGATGCCATCTTTATGCATTTTTACCTACTCCGTTCATCGAAATAAAATTTTCTAATTTTCAGTTTTTTCAGGTTGGTTTTCAAGAGTATTTTAGTGCTTTAGGATGCTCATTTTTCAGTTGAAAGTGCAGCATATAATTTAATATAATATATCATTTCATCTCAAATAGCCTGTTTGCAGTTGCTGTGTACTTTTGGCACAACTGAAAGGAGCTCTCCACTATAAATGTCACCTATGATAGATACTATTGGCTATCAGGCCACTGGCATCTCTGGCCCATGGAGTAGGTCAGCAGGCAATTTTGCAGAGTGTCTGAGAGATCTACAGGAAGAACTTACTCAGCAGCAATACCAATTGCTTTTACGTAAAATTTAATTTGTATGATGAGTGCTTAAAGCAAGTTTTGTTCTCTTACCACCACATCAGTAGCTTCCAAGAAGAAACTTCAGAGGAATAAACAAAAAGGAAATGAAGGGGCAGAAACTTAATAGGAAACAGACAGTTTGGATGTGAAAAGCCAATTCCTTATTTAACTTCTGTGACTGTCTGAGGCAGCCCACGTACAAGATTGACTATGGCAGTGAATATGTCATAGGTTCTTTTTTCTTTATCTTTTACCTTAAAAACTACACCCTTCCTTAAAGTTGACAAGAAATACTCTCTCTGATGCTGAAAGCGTAAGGAAACAGAACAAACAGCCGAGTTTAGCGACTAATTCAACGATTCAGTCTATAAATCAGAAGACTGGGTAATCTTCACAAGGAATGGCATATACTATTTACTCAGAGCTTTAAAAGATGTAATTGAGCAGTATAGAATTAGTGGGGGGACAACTTTGGAGCATTGAAAAGGATAAAGGAGGAAGAATTGATTGAAAAATGGACAAGTTATTGAAAGAGAAGCAGTCAATAAAAGTGTCTATTTTGTGATCTTAGCCATGGCTTTTAAAAGTGTGGTTCACAAGCACCATGTTGGCTTTTGTTTGACCAAATTTCAAGTTTGACCAAATGTATTCTTTGAAAAGTTCATTTTGCTACTTGAGAATTTAACCTGAATTTTAAAGGGCTACAAATAACATCTTTATTTTGTTACAATAATATTTCCTTCATTATTTTCATAACCCTTCAAAGCAAACAGAGATCTCTGTTTATAAGTCAAGCATTAAAATTCCGATCAGGCAGACTGACATGAAATAAAATATAGAATTTTAATTAATTTCCCAAGTCATTTTCTAACATCCAAGATTTTATATTGCTTCTTTGCATCCAGTACTTACATTCTAAACCAGGGAATTGGTTTCATTAACCCTCTACACATAATACATCTATCCCAATGTCTGTAACAGACAGTGATGTTGTTTTGATGTGCTTGTGGAATTCATTAGTGATTTTATATTTCTGTTGAAAAAGTTGGAAAATCTTTTGCCTTTAATTTAGCAGATATACATTTTTTTCTTTTAAATATTTTATGTGTTAATTATGTTTAATGTTCAGAAAAAAATGAATGCTTTATTTTTAAATTAAATTTTCTAATTTTTATTTAAGCCTTATATAAAATACAATAAGTGCTATGTGGCTTATTTTTCCTTTTTATTTCTTTAAAATCTAGATTCCCAAAACATCATACTTTGAATATTGATTGTAGCACTAAGATAAAAAGTACCTCTTTAGAATACATGACTTTTAGCTATTAGGTTTTTAAAATTTATTAATTAATATCTGTTATCTATCCTCAATATAAGCTTTCCTAGCTCACATGTAAATTAATGCTGATTCTACTTATACCACATACATTTTCCAACTTCTTTTTAAAATTAGTTTAATAAAACTGATTAAGTTATTACATTGAAATCTACTGGAACCAATTCATGACTTGAAACATAGTCTCTACATTAATTTCACATTACTACATTAAAACTTTGATTAGCTGAATATCTGAGGGGACAGAGAAAATAGTAGATAAACCAGAAAAAACACTTTGATCTTAATATTTGATATTAAAAAGTATTCTTAAATATAGTCCAGTTACAGCTTTAGGCAATACTTGTACTAAAAATCATCTCTTTCTTAGTTTTTTTAGAGCCTTGGGTGTTTTTCCCCCAGATACTATTGATTTTGTTATGGAATAATACCATAATTGTAGAATTTAAATAATTAAATGAGTATTGACACTAAGAATCTTTTTAAAAACTATTTTATTACTGATAGGAACAAATTGTCCTATATGAAGCTGAGTCCTTGAGGTGGTTGAGTGGTAGGTTGGAATCTGGGAATTATCATGGTAAAATTTAGACTTACATATTCAGAAAAGTAATAGAACATGAGTCATTTGGTCATCCAAAGGTGATACAACAGGTAATAAGGAGGCCAAAGGAAACTTGAAGCTGTTAAGCAAAGGCCTGGAACTAAACTGAGGCTTGCGAGAGTAGTAGATAAGATGGTTAAGCTCTGTTCCATTTGCTCTTGAGGAGCTTTACAATTCTAAAGGGATCAGAATGCTTCCTCATCAGTGGAGATTCTGTCACAGTTGGGGAAGAAGATGCTTATTCAATGATTTGGAGAGAAAACTGCTGATTTTGGCAAAGAATCACCACACACATTTTTTGAGATACAGTGGCTTGTAGTAATCTGCTGAGTAACTTATTGATGGCTTGTGGTTTCCAAGCCTCTTTTACCTTTGAGGCATTTTCCTATTTGCAGGTACTTCATTAATGATCTGTACTCATTTGTTAAGATCTGTCGTCTCCATACTTAGCTTCATGGTGTCAAGTGCTTTTGTTCATTTTGTCTTTCCCTCTTTCTCTGTTTCTAGAATAATGCCCAGCCTTTAGAAGGTGTTTAACAAAGGCTATTGACTGCATGAAAGAAAGACTGATTGACCCGAAGGCTTCCTTGTGTTAGATTTGGTGTTGGACATAATAGAATATATTTCTAAATTCCTATGGAATCATGTCCAGAGCACGGATTCCCTTAATTTCAGGTTCTGCTAATAGAAAATGTAAAATATTTTTCTATTATTATGTTATTTCAGCAAGTGTGAATTGTAGGTTAAAAAGAAAATTCTACTCAGTTGGAGGCTGATTAATTGAAGTTTTCTCTAACTGCTACAGTCATATCTTTAAAAGTGAGGGTATTATCCTAAAATTTAATGACAGTGATAATCATTCACGTTTATTAAGCAATATCAATGTTTGGGTACTCTCAGAAAACTTTTCAAGCATTATCTCCTTTAAGAGGACCACATAAATGCATTTAAAACTTGACATATGAAAGAAGTGAATGGGAAATAATGGCAATATATTATGTATATCTCACTCTTCAGTGGGTTCACAATGCCTGGAAAACTGTGCAAATATGCTGGTCATTGTTAAAAATAAAATGGATATTATTTAACCACTGATTATGAGCACATACTGCATCCAAAATGTGGTGTAAAATATTTCCTTGCTGTTGTTATCAAATCACTTTTCTGTCCATAGAATCCTGTTTGAAAGGGTACCCGAGAATCTGTTTTATTGTCTCAATCTCTATTCATTACTGCAGGTTCACCTAAATCTTTTCCTGCTCTCTGTATTTTTTTACCCTTGCTCAACCCTAGATATATTCCTGCATCCTTTCTGGAAGGAAACAAATAGAGTTGGATAAGCAAAGGGGAAAGAAGCTTGGAATGCCAAAGTCCTCTCCCCAGAGCAAGACAAGTTCCTCATGTTTATGTAGTTAATAGTAACTATTTTTTGATGCATTACTATGCTGAAAGCTTCTCCCTAATGTCCTACCAAAAACTCCTTTTCCATGAGGGTGAAAAAAAGAGAGAAAAGAATGACAGGAAATGAAAAAAATTTCTCATCCTATACACCCATTATGTAATTCTTAAAAGAATCATAAGAAGTAGAATAGAATGGCAATCATTAAAAAGTCTGGGAAAAAAACAGATGCTGGCAAGGATGCGAAGCAATAGAAACGCTTTTACACTGTTGGTGGGAGTGTAAATTAGTTCAACCATTTGGAAGACAGTGTGGTAATTCCTCAAGGATATAGAACCAGAAATACCATTTGACCCAGCGATCCGATTATGGGTATGTACCCAAAGGATTATACATCATTCTACTATAAAGACACATGCACATGTATGTTTATTGCAGCACTGTTCACAATAGCAAAGACTTGGAACCAACCCAAATGGCCATCAATGATAGACTAGATAAAGAAAATGTGGCACATATACACCATGGAATACTATGCAACCATAAAAAAGAATGAGTTCATGTCCTTTTCAGGAACATGAATGAAGCTGGAAACTATCATCCTCAGCAAACTAACACAGGAAGAGAAAAGCAAACACTGCATGTTCTCACTCATAAGTGGTTGCTGAACAATGAGAACAAATGGACTCCTAGGGGAGGGAGAGCATTAGGACAAATACCTAAAGCATGCAGAGTTTAAAACCTAGATGACAGGTTGATAGGTGCAGCAAACCACCATGGCACATGTATATCTATGTAAAAACCTGCACGTTCTGCACATGTATCCCAGAACTTAAAGTAAAATTTTAAAAAAGAAGTAGAATAAACTTGAGATTTAAAAAATACTTTAGTGAGCTCCACGGTTGTTCTTCAGAACATTGTTGCTTCTGGAAAAGCAGGCTCAACCTAAATGCACATTTTCGCGAAGTAAATAAGCTTTCACACAATCAGTATATGAGGGATGATGTCAATACAATGCAAAGATGCACAGGAGCATTTGTGACTTTCCCACCCTACATCTAGTGATTTGTTCATCAAATAGCAACACTTGAATGCAATGCACACTAATACAAGCTATG
Source organism: Homo sapiens (assembly GCF_000001405.40). NCBI lineage: Eukaryota > Metazoa > Chordata > Mammalia > Primates > Hominidae > Homo > Homo sapiens. The sequence goes on along the minus strand of NC_000008.11, from coordinate 88,391,176 downwards.
CAGAAACACATTGTCGTACAATGTGCCTATTTAACAAGTTTTTCCTCTTAAAATAACAAACTTTAAGCAATGCTTTAATAAATAAAAATTGTATTTGTTTATTGGGTACAGTGTAATGTTTTTAAATATGTATATATTATGGAACAGCCGAATCAAGCTAATTAACTTATGCATTACCTCACATACTTACATTTTTTGTGTGGTGAGAACACTTAAAATCTATTCTCTTAGTGATTTTCAAGAAGACAATATATAATTATTAACTATAGTCAGTACGTCGTACAATAGAACTCTTGAACTTATTCCTTCTATCTAACTGAAATATTGTATTCTTTGACCAACACATTTATCCTACCCCCAGCGCCTGGTAACCACCATTGTACTCTAAGTTCATCTTGTTGAGATACCACAAAGAAGTGAAATCATGTGGTGTCTGTGGTTCTGTGCCCAACTTATTTCACATGGGTAATGTCCTCCAGGTTCATCCATGTTGTCAAAAACAATAGGATTTCCTTTTTTTTGAGAAGCAGTCTCACTTTGTCACGCAGACTGGAGTGCAGTGGTGTGATCTCGGCTCACTGCAACCCCCACCTCCCAGGTTCAAGCGATTCTCCTGCCTCATCCTCCTGAGTAGCTGTGAATACAGGCACACACCACCACACCCGGCTAATTTTTGTATTTTTAGTAGAGACAGGGTTTCACCATGTTGGCCAGGATGGTCTCGATCTCTTGACCTTGTGATCCACCCGCCTCGGCCTCCCAAATATTTCCTTCTTTTTATAGGTTGGATAGTACTCCATTGTATATATTTACCCCATTTTCTTTATCCATTCATCCTTTGATGGACACTTAGGTTAATTCCATATCAGGAACTCAAGCAATTTGATAGCAAGAAAACAAATAATACAGTTAAAACATAGGCAAAATAACAAAAATAGATGTTTTTCAAAGGATACATACAAATGAACAAGTGTTTGAAAAAATGTTCAAGATATGTAATAATCAGGTGAGTGAAAATTAAAACCACAAGGAGATGTTACCTCATACCTGTTAGAATGGCTATTATCAAAAAGACAAAAGATAACAAGTGTTGATGAAGATGTGGAGAAAGGGAACCCTAGTATACTGTTGGTGGAAATATAAATTAGTGCAGCCATTATGGAAAACAGTACGGAGTGTCCTCAACCGAAAGCAGGATTACCAAATGATCTAGCAATCCTCCTTCTGAGTGTGCATGTAAAGGAAATAAAATCAGTATGTCAAAGAGATAAATGGTCTGCAGTCAAATCATCAGCTGTAACTGCAATCATCTGGAATCACCTGAGGGGGGACATTTATTTCCAAACTCACTTCATTGGCTGTTGGAAGGTTTCAGTAATAACCAGAATCATACATCCAGAGAAACTGGAATAGACCAAAGAGAGGTGGCCAAAATTTATAAATGATCTTCAGCAAAGAAAAGGATGTTCTGTCTCTTTGATTATTCTTCCTGGATTAGAAAATTTAGAATTATAGTGAAATTTATTTTAACTTTTTCATGTTATAGGGATACAAAAGAAAAGTTTTCTATCTACTCTATTTTTCCAGATTTAAATGTCCAAAGAAAACAAAGTAAGATAACTAAACAAGGGATTAGTGGCTTTTTCTAATTTAATCTTAGTAAAGACCTGCAGGATGTCTGTCAGGGAAAGGCCTCAGAGATGTTTGGTTACTTTCTTAAGGGCAACAATTATCATTTATGAGTATTCTCTATTTCTATGAAATTTTTATAATAAAATTTAAATGGCCAGTGTCTGGAGTTCTGGGCCACCTTAGGGTACTTTTCCAGATATCTTCAATAACATAATCATGTTTGTCTTTTCTTTCCATTCTTCTATTGTAATCTATAATTTTACTGTCTCTGAATTTACTTGCAGCTCCCCACTTCCACAGTTTTACTACACGAATGTTTTCAAATTGTACTTTTATAAGGTACTTCTAGCCTTGAAATCCTTCAGTACCTCTGATTTTCCTATATTCTTAGATCAGCAATCAGAACTCTCTAGGCTGTGGGCCTTTTTTGAGATTTTATCTCTTTTTTCCTATGCTCTCAACTTTCACCAACGCAGCCAATTTTCCTTCCTAGCATATTCATTGCATATTCTTCTATAATTTTATCCATGTTTTTGCTTCACTTAGAATTTTCTGCCTCTATCTTTCAAATTATCAAAGCCTATATTTCAAGGTTCATCTGAAATGCACCTTCTCTATGAGGACATTTCTAATCTAGTTGATATATATCTATCCCTTCTTCCTATCATGCTGTTGTCTTTATTCATTTGACTATTAATTTATTAGGATGCAAAATGTATGAAAGTTAAGTGCTTCAACTAATCTTTAAGCTACTGGACAACAGGAAATATGTTTTAGACATTCTGGTGTTTTCAAAAATGACAAAAACAGCATGCTTGATTCTTGGCTAATATTTGCTTATTAGTTGATCAGTATTTTGAAAAATTACAGATGGCTTCTCCTCAGGAATAGAAAATTAAAGGACATTTTATTCCTGCTGTGTTTATTGTATGTTTATCTTTATAATAAACACAAAAAGAACTAGGAAAAAGTACATTTTTAAATATCCCGTAATTAGGTATCTTTTCAATTAACAATTTATGAGTAAATTTGCATTCTCTGCTTGTGACAATGCAAAGACATTTGCTTAAATTTTATCTCTATATGCTTGATAATTTAAAGGTATTTATAAACAGTATGATTGCATCCTTGTCTTCTTATACATATCATGTTTGTCTCTTTGTTTTTGGAAATGTGTTTCATAACTTTGCTCTCCCAGTTAGCAAGCATGTGAGTTTTTTCTTCCTGCTTCAGCTATCAATTGAGTGGGTGAGTCGGCCTCTACCTTACATAGACCCTAAAAACAAAATATTGCAATTATTTTTTCTTATCTACCAAAATAAACATGAAAGATTTTAAACTTTGATCATACTCTCTTTCTGGTTTATGTGATATAAATTTAAAAGTGATATTAGCTTTTTTTGTCCTTTATAGATAAATACCTAAAATAAAATAAAAATCTCAATCTAAACCATATTCATATGTGCTATATCCTCATTTGTTACTTAGAGTATGTATGTCCAAGGCTGAAAACATTTTACCTATGAACAAAGAGGTCTTTTACTAGGTTAAATAAAGGTAATCACAGGAAATATTTTGGATAATTCAAGCAAATGCAAAGACTTAGGTTTGGCTGTTTAGAAGATTGGGATCAGCTTCATTATTTAATTTAAAGGGCACCAAAACAGTAATGTGAGCTCACTTTTAAGATTATGTGGGAAGACCCCAGCAATATGCCATTATTGAAACTAACAAATTTCTAAGGTTATGTTGTCTATAAGATTTTATTTTAATTGTTTAAAAAAGAAGTATGTGGGCTGGGCACGGTGGCTCACACGTGTAATCCCAGCACTTTGGGAGGCCGAGGTGGGCAGATCACAGGGTCAGGAGATCAAGACCATCCTGGTCAAGATGGTGAAACCCTGTCTCTACTAAAACACAAAAAATTAGCTGGGCATGGTGGCACGCACCTGTAGACCCAGCTACTCGGGAGGCTGAGGCAGGGGAATCGCTTGAACCCAGGAGGTGGAGGTTGCAATGAGCTGAGATGGGGTCACTGCACTCCAGCCTGGCAACAGAGCAAGACTCCGTCTCAAAAAAAAAAAAAACAACAACAAAAAACAAAAAAACAAAAAAGGCCTGGCGCAGTGGCTCATGCCTGTAAATCCCAGCACTTTGGGAGGCCAAGGTGGGCAGATCACTTGAGGTCAGGAGTTTGAGACCAGCCTGACCAACATGGTTAAACCCCGTCTTTATTAAAAACACAAAAATTAGCTAGGCATGATGGCGCACGCCTGTAATCCCAGCTACTCGGGACACTGAGGCAGGAGAACCGCTTGAACCCAGGAGGTGGAGGTGAAAGTGAGCCGAGATTGCACCACTACACTCCAGCCTAGGCGACAGAGTGAGACCTTGTCAGAAAAAAAAGAAAAGAAAGAAAGGAAAAAGATTCATGAAACTCATCCAAGAACTTTTGAACATAATATCTTGAGATGAAAATTGGCAATATGGCATCTGGCTTTTTAAGAAATAATCTAGGCCGGGCGTGGTGGCTCACTCCTGTAATCCCAGCACTTTGGGATGCCCAGGCGGGCGGATCACAAAATCAGGAGATCAAGACCATCCGGGCTAACACAGTGAAACCCCGTCTCTACTAAAAATACAAAAAATTAGCCGGGCGTGGTGGCGGGCGCCCCTGTAGTCCCAGCTACTCAGGAGGCTGAGGCAGGAGAATGGCATGAACCCGGGAGGCGGAGCTTGCAGTGAGCTGAGACTGTGCCACTGCACTCCAGCCTGGAGGACAGAGGGAGACTCTGTCTCAAAAAAAAAAAAAAAAGAAAAGAAAAAAAGAAATAATCCAGATGATTCCTTTGCACACTGCAGTTTGAGAGTTATTCGGTTAGTGATTAAAACACTGGGTCATTTGAATCACACCAACTTGATGGGACTCCCAGCCATTTTACTTATAAACTGGTCATTTTTTATTCTTTTGAAAAAACAATTAGTGTCTCTATGCTTCAGTTTCCTTGGTACCCATAATCTCAGTGAAAAAGAAAACAATATAATCCAGGTTACGTTGTTTTTATGAGGATTAAGGAGGCAGCACAATGTAGTGCTAAATATAGTTTCTCGAATACTTTGATACTTATTAGGTCTTAAGATCCATACTAACTAGCAAGAATATAATGATCAATTAAATATACTAATATCTTTTTATCTGGATTTTAAAATCTAGTGGAATTTTAAAGTCTAGAAGTAATTAAACAAATATTACCTGTTCTGGTTTTGATGGTGATGATGAAAACTGAGACCTAAAAGGCTAGAAAAAAATATAAAAACAAAAGTAGGACAAAATGCTGTCAGAAAACTACTTTCTAAAGGAGAAGAATGACATAGGCAGACAGAAGAAAATGTCTATGCTCCGTTTCCTCTGTGCTTTATACTTTGTGGGCTTCTGGCAATCCCCTTTTCCCTGTAACTTGTTGTTTTTGTTAAAAGGCTGCTGCATCTCATTATAGTGGTCTAGAAATGATATACTTTAAGCATGCATTCATCCTTTAGGAAGAAAGTATGTATACATCCAAAGAGTTTTAAGTCTAATAATTACATGGCTGTTATTTTTCTCAAAAGAAATGATGCTTTATCTTTTTTTAGTTTTCATCATTTCCTCTTTATTACCTTTCTACTCCAATGTTTGGGAAGAACCAGGAGCTGTCCACTGAATACAGTCATCAGTAATGGAAACAAAATCACAATATCTTGAGATTTATATTCCAGTGTCAGAGAATCGGATGACACAGATGGTAAGTAAATACACACACAAATAAACGAATATGTAAGCAAAGAGAACAATTTCAGATAGTGATAAATACAAGAACAAAATGAAACAAGGTGAGGCCATTGAAAGTGATGGCATGGTCAACGTTAGAATAGACCATCAGGAAAAGACTCTGAGTAGGTGACATGCTCAAAGGAATAAATTCCTTGACAGTGTTATTAGTCATTCAAAGAAATGGGAAAGTATATTTCAGGGATGAAATAAAATATTTCTGCGGAAACAAATTTGTCTTGTGTGGAAAAAAGCAAGGGTAACAACAGCAGAACGAACAAGTGGTTCCAAAACTGGTCTAAGGGGTAACTCAGTACCATGTTATGTGTGGTCTTGAAGGTTATGATGAGGAGTTTTCTATTATTCTAAGGATAAGGGGATTTCCACAGTGAAGTGACGTAATCTGATCTTTGCTTTTTAAAGTAGAGTCTGGCTGCTATGTACATGGTAGAACATAGTGAAGTGAGAATGGAGGTGAATGTACCCTTAAGATACTATTTCAATAGACTAGGTGAAAGATGTTAGGTGTTAGGAATTTAACAGTGATGGTTGAATTGCAAAAATATTTTTGAGGTGAATCCAAGGAGATTAACTAATGAATTGTGTGTGTCATGTGAGGGGATGTGAGGAATCAAAGACAATGTTTTGTGTGGAGAATAAACAAACAATTCAATAGAATGGTGCATTTGTTGATATGATGAATATTTGGGAGAGTAGCTTTGACAAATTAAACCAAAAAAGTCTAAAACTCAGTAATGAGGGAAAAGATAAAATTTGAATGTCATCCATGCATAGGTTGTAATTAAAGTTCTGAGAGTTGATGAGATTCTCTAGCTGAAGAGTATACTAGAGGAGCACTAGGATGTTTACATGTCTGGTAGAGGAGGAGCCACCAAAGGAGACTTTGAAAGGAAGATAATGAAGGAAGAAGAAAATCAAGCATCTTGGGTATACTTGAAGGTAAGAAAAAAAAGTCTGTTTCAAGAAAAAAAACAGTGTTCTATTAAATGCTGCTAAAAAGTGAAGTAAAATAGGGCAGTGAATTGACCACTTGCTTTGATCATTTGTAACCCTGCAAATAGCTTTTTCATTGGAGTTGCATGGAGAAAAGCCCCCTTGGAGTAGGCTGAAGAGAGGATGGGAAGACAGAGCAATAAAAAAAGACAACTCTTCTATTGGAGTTTTGCTTGATTGAGGAATAGAAAAACAAGGCAGTGATTATGCCCCGTAATAGATTATGGAGCTTAATGTGGAGTTATGTGATGATTTTTTTTAAAAAAAGATCTTATTAAGGCATGTTGTGTGCCAACTGGAATGATCCAGTAGAAAGAGAAAGAGAAATTGCTGATGCAACAGAGAGAAAACTATATTGCAGAACCAATTTCCCTGAAAAAATGAATGGAAATGGAATCCAGTGCACAGATGGAAGGACTGACTAATTGAGACCACAGACTTGTCTCCTACCAGAACAAGAATTATATGGGATAGAAGCAGGTAGGTTGGTGGAACTGGTGCAGGTTTTATCCAGATGTTCACTGTAAAGATACATTAGCACATGTAGTGTGAGGGAACACAGACAAGAAATCATCCCTGGCTTAGAGCTTACAATCAAGCAAATATACATCATCATTCTTTATATTTTTTATTGTACACTATCCTTGTCAATACTCTTTTAAGTACAAATTTTGACAATGGTACCTACTTTCATTATGTAGTGAGATGTTATTTTTTGGTCTCTGCACTTTTATGGTGCAGAGGCATAGATGTAAGTTTGCCTCGTTGCACTCACCCATTCTTGTAGTCATACGTTTGCAAGCTGTTGGAATAGACTGATACTGCCTGTCATTTTTTCTGACACCATTTAAATCATAGCAATGGTTTAATAGTTTCCTTAAAGTGATGCTATCATTAATTCACTTTCTCAGTGAGCAAGTTTTACTCTAGAGAATATATTGTGTTCAAAAGATATGGAATATTTGTGTATGAATAAATGAGAGTTGTGTCTCCTTATATGACACTCAGTACTCTATTTTAACTCAAATAAAAACATACGTAAAAAAATACCCTGGATTGTGGTGAATAGCATAGTCTTGACAATAGGCAGATCTGACTTTATATCCTGGCTTTCCCAAGCCAGCTGAACCTGGAAAAGTTTCTTAACCACTGTTTCTTTACTTGCTCATCTGAAAATATGGATACTATCTCCCTCTCTCATTAAGGCAGTATTTGATGATTAAATAATATTTGTAAAGCATCAAATTTGGCCAGTGCATGGTATATTATATGGCAACCATTTCATTTTTATTTCTGTGATTATTAGCATCATTACTGCTACTAGCAAATATCAGGGCTTATTGCTTATTATATTGTTTAAATTTTTTTTTTGAGACAGAGTTTCACTCTTGTCACCAAGGCTGGAGTGCAATGGTGTGATCTTGGCTCACTGCAACCTCTGCCTCCTGGGTTCAAGCTATTCTCCCATCTCAGCCTCCTGAGTAGCTGGTATTACAGGTGCCTGCTACCTGGCTAATTTTTGTATTTTTAGTAGAGACAGGGTTTCACCATGTTGGCCAGGCTGGTCTCTAACTCCTGACCTCAGGTGATCCGTCTGCCTCGGCCACCCAAAGTGCTGGGATTACAGGCATGAGCCACTGCGCCTGGCCTAATTGTTTAATTAAATCTCATGACCACATATAGATAGGATTTTGAAAAAGAAAGAAAGAAAAGAAAGAAGGAAAGAAGGAAGGAAGGAAGGAAACAAGTGTAGGGTTAGCCGAGAGAAAGGATGAGATAGACCCAAGGTCAGGCAAGTATGTTTATTAACCTGCCGGGCTGCTCCACCAGTCAGAGGAGGAAGCCGTGAGCTTAAAAAATGAGGGGTTCATATGGGGGAGAGAGACTCTGGAGTTGTTTGTCAGTTAACTTTACTACATATCATCTCGTGACCGGAGGAATTTACAAGAGGGTATAACTTAGGTTTATCCACATTTCTCGTGACCTCCTCCATGCTGTAATCAGGGTTTGCTCAGCGTAGCAAGTCTGGTGACCTTGCTGTGGTGCCTAGATAAGGGTTCAGGAATGCAGCTGTAGAGCATCTGGGGAAGGGTCAGCTGTAGAGCATTTGAGGGAAGGGTCAGATGCACTGAGAAGCTTCCTGGGGCAGCTTGTTCCTAACAAGGAAGGAAAGAAGGGAAGGGGAGGGGAGGGGAGAGGAGGGAAATGGAGGGAAGAGGGAGGAAGGGAGGGAAGAGGGAGGGAGGAAGGAAGGAAGGAAGGAAGGAAGGAAGGAAGGAAGGAAGGAAGGAAGGAAGAAGGAAGGAAAGAAGGAAGGAAGGAAGGATGGATGGATGGATGGAAGGAAGGAAGGAAGGAAGGGAGAGAGAGGGAGGGAGGGAGGAAAGAAGGAAGGAAGCAAAGTTTTCCTAAAGATCACCCAGATAGTAAGTGGCGGAACACATGCAGAATTCAAACCCTGGAAGTCTGGCTCCAAAGCACAATCTCTACCTCTATACTCTACTGGATCTCACCACTACTACTCATGAATAAAGATATTCCTTGTTCTTTCTTCTGTTAAAATGAGATATTTTCAGTCACTGTTGTTCCCTATACAACTCTCACTAAAGATGACTGTAGCAATGAGGATGTTAGCTACTGCTGTATTCTGACTGTATCTTTCCCATTTCTGGTGGAAGGAGGGATGTTTCTGTATCCCAGGTACCATCCACATTCCATAGGAAATGATGATAGAAGTCATGATTCCAATTCTACCAGAAATTATTCAAAAGGTTATTAAATTATATAGTATAAAGAATAAAATATAAAGAATAGATCTTATCTTTCTGAGAGAATATTTCATCTTCCCATGTGAAGGAATGTAGTCTCAGTTACCTAAAAGAGTCTCATTTCATTGGTATTTCATTCATTCTTGTGGCTAACAAAAAGACAACACCTTATGCTTTCTGCATGACATTAGTTACATAGATTATGTGTTTCTTTCTATTCTTATTTCATTACGGTAATTCCAAGAGCCCAGATTTATCAATAAGAGAGCAGTCTTGATTCTCCTCTGAGCATTTCCCTATGCCTAAGGCACTCCAACTGTCTCAATGATACAGTTTACATAAATACTTCAACTCAAAGGGCTCTGAATCAATGTGCCACCTTAGCAACATGTGATTAAAAGTGTTGTGTGGTACAAATGCACAGAATTTTATTTTAATATCAATTAGAATTAGAGAAATGCTCTTTTCTCTTCCAGACAGAAATGACTATGCCCCTGAAATGATATTTCATATTATCCACAGTCCAAAAGTACTCACATAGGCATTCCCTTTAAATTTCCTGAAAAGATACTAATATACTGATTATTGAATAGTGTTGAGGCAAAATAGCTTTGCAGAATTTGGGGTCAGATTTTGGCTTGAATCCTTGCTCTACCACTCATCACCTATGTGATTCTGGGCTGTATCTTTAAAATTGAACCTATAACCATACTTCATATTGATGACTATCAGGTGAAATATCACATATAACATATTTGGCATCCTCTTTAGAATACTGTGCCCAATCAATAGTAATAATAGTCATATGTATCAGTTAGAAAACTTTCATCTACAAATAACATAAAACCTAAACTGGACCAAGATCAAAGGAAATGTATTTCCCAAGAAATACATTTCCTTAGAAACGGATATAACCAGAGGACCTAGAGGAGGGTTTTCACTGGGACTAACTCTAATGCCTCTCATGCTGTGCTATGTCTAGGCGATATTTTCCAACTGTGTCCTTCTCTCTTATTTGGCTTTATCAGGAGGTGGATTATTGGAGAAAAAAAAAAACCTGTTGTAATTCACACTTCACATTTTCACACTACAATGTCCAGAGAAAGAAAGAATGTGTTTTGTCTCTTTTTAGAAGTCCCAGTAAACCTATCGTGCAACTTTTTTTGCCTGAATTAAGTAACTAATCTGCTCATTTATGAATCATTCCTGGTAACAAGATAAATGTCATGTACTGATTGGGTCAGGTCTACAATGCTGTGCCAATCATTGTAGGAAGAGGAATGAGAGATACCTTTAGACCAAAAAGTCAGTCAGTGATGGAAATCTGAAACCAAAAGAAGGTGATTTGGGAGAGGGAGGCAGACAGGAATGGGTACCGGTAAGGTGAGAAATAATGTCACCTTTCATAGTGAGCGGTTTTTTTCTCCAAAGTAATTAATGAGAATCTTAATTTTTTGAATGAATTCTTTACTTATGTAAAATTATATCGAAATGCTATGCTATTTATCAGCCTAGTGATGGATAACATGGCAAAAAGGATTTAAGGGCTCAGGATCATGAAAATTTAAATATAGTTGTTTGAATATATGCCTGTCTTAAGGTCAATAACAGGAGGATACTTGCTGATTTTTTTCACACAAGTTCTGCTTTATATTATTAAAAAAAATTGGCCGGGCGCGGTGGCTCACGCCTGTAATCCCAGCACTTTGGGAGGCCGAGGCGGGCGGATCACGAGGTCAGGAGATCGAGACCATCCTGGCTAAAACGGTGAAACCCCGTCTCTACTAAAAATACAAAAAATTAGCCGGGCGTAGTGGCGGGCGCCTGTAGTCCCAGCTACTTGGGAGGCTGAGGCAGGAGAATGGCGTGAACCCGGGAGGCGGAGCTTGCAGTGAGCCGAGATCCCGCCACTGCACTCCAGCCTGGGCGACAGAGCGAGACTCCGTCTCAAAAAAAAAAAAAAAAAAAAAAAATTGACAGTGACATTTGACAATTCCATAAAACATGCAACAATTTAGTGGCATGTGAAGTGCTCTAAAATAAGAATAGACGCATAGCAAAAACGTTATATTGCATGAAAAATTATATATATGTAAACTAAATATAAATTATATTACATTGTTTCTTGGAGTTACTTGAATAATTTTCCCATTATTTCTTGAGAGGAATACTGATACATTAATTAATTAATGAATATGAAATATAATCCAGTCTTAATAAATCTAGTTACAGTACAAATGCATAATAATTCTAATAATCACCTCTTGGTATTAATATGACTCCTGTGCTTACAGGTCTTCTTTGGATTGCACTTTTGAAACCTGATGAAGCCCCACTTTCCTATGGGGTAATGAAGTCTAACATGATATTAGAAAGGATACTTTCATCTGTTGGGATTGCTACCCAACCTTCCATATTGGTTTTCATAATACGGGATGATATCTAGACACCCAAATAAAAGAAATATTATGTTTCTTAGTTTGTTTCAGTTTTTTGCTATGTTATTTGAATTCCATCCATCAGTATAATTCATAAAAGTGTCGAAATTAAATTAGAACAAAAGGTTAAATTAAGGTAGCATTTGGGAATTGTTAAATTTATTTCTGGAACTTTTATAAAAAGAACAGATTCTTGATAAGTAGGAAGAATCTCTAATAGAGAATGTTTTCAGTTAATGTAATATTTGAATATCATATGTTAGAGTATTTGTAGTAATTTGACAGAGGAAGAATGTGTATACTTTTTTATTTGGATAGAATCAAGCTTAATTTTCCCTATTTGCAAAAAGAGTTAATAATACTTTTAATTGTCTCAGAGTTGTACAAAATCGAAGGTAATTTTTAACCTGGCCTCTGTCATTTACTAATGGGTACAAAAAGCATATTCAATTTAGTCAGATCACTCCTTTCCACTCTACTTTTCCTGATATTCACCCCAAGGTGTTAAGAGTAGCTAGAAAATCTGCATTTACCCTGCAGCTACCAGAGGATAAAACCTCTTCCAAAACTGCAGTTCAATTTCACAAACAGGTATTAGAGCTGTGAAGATGAAAGACAGCATTCTCCACTAAAATCTGAACCAGGTAAACAAATAGCATTTTCTACTCCAGATTGTCCAACAAAGCTGGAGGTCGGTTTCCCAGAAGCAGATAATGATGATATGCATTTGGTTAGTGTAACAAGCCATGCCCCTTTTCTGTTGGTCCAAGGAAGCAAAAGACTGCTTGAAATAATGTTATAGTCACTTGAGGAAGATTAAAACATTTCACATCATCTGCTTGCTTCTTTTATACAGAAAGATCCAACACATTGAAATCCCTTCGCTCAGACAGAATAGTCATCCATGAAATAGCTGAAGAGTAGTGAGCAATATTTACTCTCTTGAAAACTGCAAGGTAAAGATGCTACATTGTGTTCTATTAAAATTAAATAGATGAGTGCCCCCACACAACCAGGGTGCACATGTTGGGCACTGACAATCAGGCTTGAAGCCGGGGCTGCCAGTGGCGATTCCAGAAACACAGCAAGAGATTGATTAAAGTGAGCTTTATACCATCTGTGGTCACATTATGCTTGGGATAGTTCATATATCTGCAAGGGCAGCAGTAAATATGCCAGCAGAGTCAACAGGTTTCCTTGGGGCAAAAAAGAAAGTGGAGTCAATCAAGTTAAAGCTATATCTTAAACCTGATAGTACAGGATTCATGGAAAAGAGCTGACTTTGGCATTATGTGTGAAAAGACCATCCACCATTAAAAGATTATGCTAGAAAGGTGATTCCTACTTGGAGGATTTATTATTAAATTTTTAATTTGTTCTAAGATTTGTCCAATTAAATCAGTTACAGGCATTTTGGCTGAAAATCAACCTTTACGTTAGGGAGCAATATTTTTTAAATGGGTTTGGCTGGATATGGTTATGTATTATTTGGATGAGAGGAAGAAATAGAGGAGGAAAAGATGGAGGAGAAGATAAATAATTGGACAAAAGGAGGCTCTTCCCCCAAAATCCAATGTTGCAATTCACTGAATAGTCTCTTGATCATATAAAAGCCTTTTGTAAGAGTCAGAATTGCTCATTCATTAACACATTCATTCATTCAACAAATATGTGTTGTGTGCTTACTTTGCACCTAGTGTCAGCAATGAAGCCCTAAGGGATACAAACATTCCTGGCTTCCAGGGGTTTATATTCTAGATATGTTAGAATTTAAGCAATGTACACAAATAATTATATAACTACATTTAACAATGTTTCATCTTTTCTTTTTTCTTTTTTTCTTTTTTTTTTTTTTTTGAGATGGAGTCTCATTCTCATCACCCAGGCTGGAGTGCAATGGCGTGATCTCGGCTCACTGCAACCTCTGCCTCCTGGGTTCGAGCGATTCTCCTGCCTCAGCTTCCTGAGTAGCTGAGATTACAGGTATCTGCCACCATGCCCAGCTAATTTTTGTATTTTTAGTAGAGATGGGGTTTCACCATGTTGGTCAGGCTGGTCACGAACTCCTGACTTCAGAGGTGATCCGCCCACCTTAGCCTCCCAAAGTGCTGGGATTACAGGCATAAGCCACCATGCTGGGCCGAATGTTACATCTCTGATCAGAATAGCTGAGCAAGATGCAGCACCTCAAATGGACATAAAACCATTCTCTCAAGTAACATTGTTCTTTCTCTTTGAAATAACTATTCCACATCTCCTCCATGCTCTGCAAATGCCCTACCTTTTTCCTCCTCACTTGCACATGCAATCTTGCCTTACATTTTACATGGAGAATGGAAATCATTCAAAGAAATGCCCATTATGTTCTCAGGACCAAATCTATACACCTACCTGCATCTGCCAGGAACAACTTCTCTCCTTTTTCCTGAAAATATTGGGGTGGCATTGGTGGTGTTTCTATCTCTCGGCAAAGGTGAATCATTCTACATGTGCTGCCTTCTCCATGACTTTACTTTCATCATTTATCTTCTTCCTGTGTCATTAAGCTCTGTCTACCTCTCTCTGTTGGATGCTTTCTATACTCCAGAAGTCATGGTTCACATGTTTTACAACATAACACATATAAAGTTCTAATCATTTGAAATCATACTAGGGAAAGCTGATGAGACTGCTGAAGGACTAAGGCAAGTGGCTCACTTGTCTCAGGCCATCGAGAACATTACAGGCACAACAGTGGACCCAAGCGCTTATGTCAGAAGCTTTATGTATTAAGAAGTAATGTCTTCCATTTTATAATCAAACAAATAAGCACACTTAAATATCCTCCTTTATCCTATATCCATTCAGTTCCTTTCTCATCTCTCTCGTATATAAAATTTCTATAATAATTTTAAATACATATTTTTCCCAACTACTTCCTTATCTCATATTTACACTTAGAAATACTCCAATCTAACTTGCCTTTCTGCTTTTCTGAAATAGCCATTTTCAGAGTAAACAATGATCTTTGCATTACCGAATCAAATGCATACCTCTCTGCCTCTCATTTGAAAGCTGCCTTCCTTGAACTCTCCTTTCTCGTGACTTCCCAGATATAGAAATTTCTGGCTTATTTCTGGCTTTCTGCCTATCTCCCCTTCCCATATCTTTTTTTGTGTGTTTTGTTTTTAAGAGAGAGACAGGGTCTCATTCTGTCATCTAGGCAACCAGGCAGGCTGGAGTCCACTGGCATGATCACAGCTTACTGCAGCCTTGACCTCCAGGGCTCAAGCAATCCACCTGCCTAAGCCTCCCCAAGTAGCTGGGACTACAGGAGCACATCACTATGTTCAGCTAATTTTGTGTTTTTTTGTAGAGACGGGTTTTCCCATATTGACCATGTTGGTCTCAAACTAGGCTCAAGCAATCTGCCAGCCTTGGCCTCCCAAAGTTCTGGGATTAGAGGTATAAGCCCCCGTGCCCCACCACCCATGTCTTCCTGATTATATTCTTCTTCAGTCTTTTTTGCTGGCTCTTCTGTCTGTATCTAACCTGAGAACTTGGTTATAACCCCTCTTTTTATCCCTTTTTCTTTATCTTTAGGTCATTTTACTGAGTCACATAGTTTTCATTCCTACATCTATGCCAATAAAACAAAATTTAAATCTTCAGTCTCACCTTCTCATCTTGGCATTTGTATTTGAATGTTTTAAACTTAATGAGTCCAAAATTAAATTTTTCATTCCTTTCTTGGTCATTCTTCTCCATCTCAATAAACATTTCACAAGACAATCAGGTTTGCAGTAAAAAATTCAAGTCATCTGAATGTTTTCCTCACCTCCAAAAACCATTCCATCACTAAGTATCAGCAATTCAATCTTTCTCACCCATACGGAATCTATTCTCATTCTTTTCTCTTCTGCTAGCATCATCTCAAGCCACCACCATCTCTCTCTTAATACTTGGGATAAGTTCCTGATTTTTAGACACACCTCCCACCTTTCCTCTCCAACTTGTTCCTACTCAGAAGAGCAAAATGATCTTTCTAAAACATAAATTATTTCATAAAACATCTCAAAGTACATAAAATAACATCTATACTCTTGTGTCTTACAGTGTCCTAAATAGTTTGGGCTCTGCCTCTGTCTCTAAACTCTTTTTGATCTACTTCCTCAGTAGCAGACTCTGGCTTTCTTTCAGCCACTCACTTTTGCTTCCTAAAATGTCTTTTCAAACAGAGATCCTTTTGTCTGTAAGATTCTACCCACCCTCTCTTTGCATGTTTGGCTCTCCTTTATCTTTTAGAGCTGGACTTGTTTTCTAATCAGTGTTTTGTTGTTGTTGTTTTCCTTGGCAATAAATCTACGGTTTGTTTCTTCTATCATTACCTCTCACAGAGTACTGTCTTTTCTCTAAATATTATACTCATCTTATCTTTTAATTATATTGTAAATGTTTGTTTACTTAGTCATTGTCACTAGAAGGTAACATTTACAAGGCTAGAGACCATTTCTTTTCTGTTCATAAAAATATGGCAGAATGATGCCACACAGTAGGTGCTCAATAAATAGTTGTTGAATGTGTGTTTCCACTTCAATGTGGCAAACTAAGGCACTTCAATATGGCAGACCAAGGCACCAGCAGTAAATACATGTTACTGGCAGTGAATCCATATGGGTCCTGCAGCAACCTCAATTCATGCCTCCTCAGAAGAAAGAACTTGACTGAGGGTCATAGGCAGAAGGAGAGATCAAGGCAAGTTTTAGAACAGGAGTAAAAGTTTATTAAAAGCTTTAGAGCAGGAATGAAAGGAAATAAAGTACAGTTGGAAGATGGCCAAGCAGGTGACTTGAGAGATCAAGTGCATGGTTTGACCTTTGACTTTAGGTTTCATACGTTGGTATGCTTCCAGGGTCTTGCATTCTTGCTCCCCTGATTCTTCCCTTGGGGTGGGCTGTCTACATGTGCAGTGGCCTGCTAGCACTTGGGAGGTGAGCATCTGCAGTGTGTTTACTGGAGTTGTACACATGCTCATTTGAGGTGTTCTTCCTTTAGCAGTCAAATGTCTCTAGGAGGTCATATACCAGTTAACTCCAGCCATTTTGCCTCATAATGCGTATGCTTGAGCCCACTTGCTCAGCTCCTGGGATCTTATCAGGAAGCTGCTAATCACAAGTTTCAGGTGTGTCTGTTTATCAGGACACAGCCTTTCCCTGGCGCTGGCTGGGACCAATCATTATTTTAGAGAGACAGTTTAACAACTGCATGACCATCACCTGCTGGTCACCTGGCATTCCTGGTTGGGGGGCCTCTCCTGCCCTGCTCATGTCTGACTAGCTGCCTACTGTAACAGCATGTCCCATCTTTGTTTCTTTTCTTTCTAAACACTCTATTTAAAAATATGTAAAGGTTTTTTCTTAATGAGGATATTCTGTTCCTGAACACATTTCTCAACAAATATTTGAGAAAACCAAAGAGAAATAACTATTATATAGATTGATTAGGGAGAGCAGAGGAAGCCACAGTCTGGAACATAAACTAATGCTGTATGGCTGCATTCAGGGAGAACACCAACTTAATTAAGCAGCAAGTTCAGCCAACAGAGAAGCAGAGGTGCATGGCTGAAGCAGAGACACTAATAGAAAGTTTATATATGAAACAGTTCATTTACCCATTCCTTGTCTCTATACCTTGTGTGGATACAGAAAGGCTTTCAGCGAGGCGATTAAGCCTAGATAAAAATATCAGAGATTTATTTTCTACTGAAATGATAAAAACTATCTCTAAAGTTAAAGCTCATACTGGGAGTTTTATCACATCAAATTAAAACTTCATTGTTTTGGCACTTAGGAGTTTTCGTGGTAATGAGTAGGACTTCAGCCTCGTCTTGTCACCTTAAAGCAAAGCCAGTTGACTGTATTTACCTAAGTATACAGAGGTCGTCTTTACTGACTTAAGATATAAATAAATAATCAAATATTACCTAACAATTAACATATAAGAGAAAAGCCAAGGCATGTAGAAAAGAATGTCCCAGAGGAATCAAAAACTTTTTCAGAAATATTAACAATTAAGTGACATTTATACTAGTATTCTTAGAAAAATTTAATCAAAATTATTAGAGACAAGAAAGAGTTTAAAAAATTAAAAATATAATTACAAATGTAAAAGTAGGAACTACAAAAAATGGAAGATAATTTTGAGGCACTCTCTAAAATGTTGTAGGAAAAAAAGATAAATAGCTAGGGAATAATGATATAAAAGGAAATAAAAGCCATTCAGAATTAATATGTGATGTCATATTTAATTACTTAATATTCTAGAATGTAGAAAATGAGAACTGATATTATCAGAAAACACAATAATAGATATTATCAGAAAATATCATAAGAAAAAGACAGTCTCTTCAATAAATGGTGCTAGGAAACCTGGATATCCACATGCAGAAGAATGAAACAAGACATCGATCTCTTACCATATACAAAAATCGATGTAAGATGATTTAAGATCTGAAAATGTAAAACTAGTAGGATAAATCATAGAAAAAATAAATAAAATGACATTGGTTTGGGCCAGGGTTCTTTAGTTTTGACCCAAAGCAACAAAAGCAAAAATAGACAAATGTAATTACATAAAAATAGAAAGCTTTGGCACAACAAAGAAAATAACAGGGTGATGAGACAACCTAAGGATTGAGATAAAATATTTTCAAGCCATACAACTGATAAGGGGTTAACATCCAAAATAGATATGCAACTCAATCCTATAGAAGGAAAACAAATAACCCAATTTAAAATGGGCAAGGGACCTGAATAGACATGTCTGAAAAGGATACATACAAATAACCAACAGATATATATGAAAATAGTTGTTCAACTTCACTACATCAGACAACCATGAATTAAAACCACAATAAGATATCACTCCACACCTGTTAGAATGGCTATTATCAAAAAGACAAGACAACAGGTGCTGGTGAGGATGTGGAGAAAAGGGAAGCTAGGCACACTGCTGGTAGAAATGTAAATTAGTACAGCTGCTATAGCAAACCAGGGAGGTTCCTGAGAAAACTAAAAATAGAATTAGCATATGATCCAGCAATCCCACTTCTGGGTATTTAGCCAAAAGACTTGAAATTAGTGTGCCAAAGAGATGTCTGCATGCCATGTTCCTCATAGCACTATTCACAGCAGTCAAGTTATGAAATCAAACAAAGTGTCCATCAAAAGAGAAGCAGATAAATAAAATGTAGTATATGTGCACAACAGAACACCATTCAGCCTTTAAAAAGAAAAAAATTCTGTCATTTGCAACAACATGAATGGAATTGGAGAACATTATGATAAGTGAAATAAGCCAGGCACAGAAAGACAAATGTTGCATGTTTTCACTTACAGGTAGAATCTAAAACTATTGAACTTACAGAAGCAGAGACAAGAATGATGGTTACCAGGAACTGGTGTAGTACAGGGGAATGGGACAATGATGGTCGAAGGGTAAAAAACCTCAATTAGGGAAAATGAGTTTTTTTTTCTTCAGTATATTAATATATTTCACAGAGTGGTGAATGTGGTAAATAATAATATATTGCACACTCCAAAATTGCTGACAGCAAATTTCAAATGTTTTCACCACAAAAATGGTAAGTATTTTGAGATGATGAATATGGTAATCAATTTGCTTTAATTTTTTGACATTGTATTCATAAATCATGACATCACTTTGTACCCCATAAACATATACAACTATAATTTGTCAATTTACAATTTAAAAATTAGAATTTAAAAAAGAAAAGTTAGCAGAGACAAGCAAACCAAAATTTTCTTATTAAAAGGGTTTACAGAGTTCTGAATAGAATAAAAATGAGATATCCAGACCTAGATGTATAATGGTAATATGTCAGCATTACAACTATTTGAAATATATGGAATATAATAGATTGAAAATATCATAATAAAATGTCCATTAATAAGTGATAATTTAAACGACAACAAATTATAAGGTCTACTAAAAGCTAAAAGATTATGGGGAAAAACCTTCAAAGTAATGAAAAAAAAATTTCAATCTAGATTTTTATACTCAGTCAAAAATATTATCAAATGTCAGGACAAAACAAAGATATTTTCAGAACCCACAAATGTTACCTCCCAAGGACCCTATCTTAGGAATTTAGTGAATTAATAGTCTAGAAAAACAAGGTTAATAAACATAGGACATGGCGGACAGGCAGACAAACGGGTTCAATTTCTCTTAGAGTTCACTATGACAACTGTGTTGCAAGGCTAGGGGCAAAAATTCAAATTGATAAAAGAGGATGCAATGATTGGCAGCCAGATGAAGGGCTTTAAGAAAAATTGGAGGACATGATGAAACAAATATCACAATGAAAACTTGGAAGATCCAGAGAGAAGGATAAAGATGCAGAATTAAAAAAAAAAAAGTAGAGAAAACAAAGAAAGTCCAGTAAAAATTAGAAAGTCACAATTCAAATTAGAAAGAAAAAAACCCTTTGATCTTAACATTTTTTTGAGCTGTGTGAGGTATGCAAAATTTATCATGCCCAGAGAGACACGAGTGTGGGACTTCAGTCATGCACCCCGCACACACACCCACCCATGGCCAGGGGCAATGGTTTAAAGATATTCTGCTTAGTGGGGGTTGATTTGTGATAAGTGTTTATTGCTGATATGTCATAAGATTTTACATATTTTACCTTAGAAAATGTCTTTTCACACAAGTAAATACTGTTAAATATTGATATCAATCCAAGAGCTTATAATTTTAATTGAATATAGTCACCTCTTGGAAGTCATATATTGAATTCTATTGGGCTCTTCTCTTGATATTCACCTTGTATTGTGTCATTATGTTGTGGTTTAATCATTTATATTTGAAGATTTGGTGGAAACTCCTTAATTGTACAGTAAAGTGGATTTTAAAATACAAAAATTTTCTTCCGACTTGCATCAAGGTGCAAAAACCACTGCTGGACCTGTAGTTTGAGTTTAGGAAATATTTCCACTGCAAATCAGCATGGGAATAAGATCTTATTTCTTGCTGCAACTTTAGACAGCATGTAAAGTGTTTAAAGCAA
Organism: Homo sapiens; assembly: GCF_000001405.40. Lineage (NCBI taxonomy): Eukaryota > Metazoa > Chordata > Mammalia > Primates > Hominidae > Homo > Homo sapiens. The sequence continues at coordinate 88,370,443 of NC_000008.11, read as the reverse complement.
CTTGACATTACCAGTGATTCAAATGTTGATTGTTGAAATTACTGCAGCAAACGCTCCACGTTAGCACTGTTTTTCATTTTCATTTTAGATTGAAATAATTAAGAAATATTATTTCTGCCTCCTGCTAACATCAAAAGCCATTCAGTTTTCAGTTAATAGTGGCTGAGGTAATTTTTCTCATTCATTCAGTAAAACTTCATTTTTGGTTATGTGCTCAAAAAATCCCATTGAAAATTTACCACTGCTAATTCATCAAATAAGTAGGGCAAGTCAGATTATTCAGCTTGTATTTCTAACAAATATTGACAGAACTGGCAATAGTTCTATATTTACAACTATAACAAGTGATAGAAGTCAAATATTTTCCACGAATTCCATGAATAATAAATAAATAGCCATAGGCTTTAAGCACATTACATTTCCTTAAGCTTTGTATATTTGTTCAATTTTTTTCTTTTTCTACTACACACACATTTTTAGCACCAACCTCTGTAATACATCTTAACAGATTCCACATCACATTGTACTGAATTCATATTTTCTCTACTTCTTTGTAAGTATTTTTGCCTGTTCACATAGAATATTAATGTAAATTGATTCTTTAGTCACTTTAAACTTGGCATTGACTCTTCTAAGAGACAACATCTGAGCAGTCTTCTACTTAGACAGCCATTCAATAATAGTGGGATCCTTCAACACCCCATTGTCACATTAGACAGATCATCAAGGCCAAAAAGTAACAAATTCTGAACTTAAACTTGACACGTGACCAATGGCACTTAATAGATATATATAGAATACTGCACCCATCAATCACAAAATATACATTCTTCTCACTTACACACAGAATATACGCCAAGATCAACCACATGCTTGGCCTCAATAAATTTTAAAAAATCAAAATAATATCAACCATAATTTCAGACCACAGTGAAATAAAAATAGAAATCATAACCAAGAAGATCTCTGAAAACCAATCAATTACATGGAAAGTAAGCAACTTGCCCTTGAATGACTTCTGTGTAAACGATGTAATTAAGGAAGAAATCAAAAAAGTATTTGAAATAAGTGAAAAGAGAGACACAATATACCAATATCTCTGGAATGCAGCAAAAGCAGTGTTAAGAGGAAAGTTCATAGCACTAAACACCTACTTCAAAAACTTAGAAAGATCTCAAATTAACAGTCTAACATTACACCTAAAGAAACTAGAAAAACAAGAACAAAATAACCCCAAAGCTAACAGAAGAAATGAAACAACTAAAACAGAGCAGAACTAAATGAAATTGAGACCCAAAAATCCATACAAAGAACCAATGAAACCAAAGAATCTTTGAAAGGATAAACAAGATCGATAGACCACTATCCATATTAACAAAGAAAACAAGAGACAAGATCCAAATTAGCACAATCAGAAACAACAAAGCTGACATTGCAACCAATCCCACAGAAATATAAAATATCCTCAGAGACTGTTAGGAACACCTCTATGCACATAAACTAGAAAATCTAGAGAAAATGGATAAATTCTGGGAAACATACAATCTCCCAAGATCGATTCAGAAAGAAAAATACTCATTCAACAAACATCTATTACACATCTACTATGTGTCTGGCTCCATATTGGGTGTTGAGAGTATAAGACATTGCTCCCTTAAAGAGACTGCAGTTTTATAAAAATACAATTAAGCAGAATATAGAACATGGTGTGTCATGGGAGCTTATGGCTTAAAAGATCAGGGAAAATTTCTTGAAAGAAGCAATTTCTAAAAGGATGAAAAAAGGATGATTAACGCTAGCCCCAGTAAGGGGGCATGCCTTAGAAAAAAGAGCATCAGAATAGTTCGGAAAGAAATGAAGTCTCCAAAAGAAAACACTAAAAGATGAGAAATGAGTCAAGTTTAGAAGGATCCTTTATCAAATAAAACATAAATCCAGACTTTATTTTAATTTATCTGATTTTACTTACAGGAGAGATTTTATTCTAAAGGATTATTGCAAGAGGGTGGGGAATGGGACCAATGAAAAAGGGAGAGAACAATTATTGCAATAAGGAAAACACTGCTACCATGAGATTCTCGCAGGTCTTCAGAGCTATGCAAAAGGATTTTTCTTTTACAGTGAGGAGTAAACAAGGCTAGAGAAAACCCAGTGTGGGGACGTGGGGTGAAAGAGTGGCATGATTGGATGAATCAGTGAATGTTTTGCCCAGATGTCAGTCTATGCTCAGGATGGGCCATTGGAGCTGGAAGCTGATTCAGGCTGAGGGTGAGCCTAAGTTCAGATGCCTGGGAGGAGAGAAGCTTAACCCAAGTTTGGTTCACAAGAAGTTTGTTCCCACTGATCAGTGGGGCAAACATTTCAGCTAACCATTGATGAGCAAAGAATGGAAATTTGGAGGGTCTATGTCTGGCCTTGTCATTAGCTAAACAGGGTTGTCATCCGTGAGTCTTATCTAACTCATATGGGGAAGAGTGTGTTCCTTGCCATAAGCATTTTCTGAAACATGGAGGGGGTTGGGGGGTTGTCTTTAGCCAACCCTGTATTTTAGGATCAAAGGGCTCACTTCAGGATAACAATACTTTCAACATTGTCACTTTAATGCACTGGGTTGTAGAGGAGTGGCAGTTTTATCATTAACTTCATGTGTACAGAATGTCACAGATCAGTCATTGTAAATAAGAGATGATTCTGCATGAGATCAGCAGAACCAAACTCAAATATATGACAGGAGCTAGAAAATGAACAATTTGTTAAAAGCATCCATCTCGAGCTATATCGTTGTCATCTATTGATTTAAGTGCTTATGCACCACTACAGAGTTACCTTTACTCAGCAGGCCTTTTGACAACATGTGTTACCTGTGGGGCCACACTCTCTAGAATACAAAGTGTTATACTAGCAATTACCCCTATTTCCTGCCTGTGACTTTTTGAGATCTGGAGGCTCCAAATGTCTGTGTGTGAGGTGAGAGAGTAGGATGGGAAAACAATGTTCTCAATATTAAGAACACTGGGAAGTATCAAACAGGGATACTTCCCCATAAGGGAAAGCTATTGAATTTTGTTATGGACCTTGGGTTTTGGGGCCATGTGACAGTTACTGAAGTAGGAACCCATGACATTTAATCCTCTATCAGCTGCTATGTTTCAATAAGGGGACACAAGGTGAGAACACTAATTGTTTTCACCAATTCCTGCCAGATTCTATCAATGGATCGGTTCTGTTTCCCTCTCTTTAGCGGGAGTTGTCGGGGATTTTCACCTTTTCAGTGTCTTCTCAGGAATTTTATGTGAAATCAGGAGAGGTTGTATTAGTGGGGGCTCCTTGCCAAATGTTATTCTTAACCAAAAATAATAAACTAAAATATTCCTTAAAGAGGGAATTTAGGCTTAAATCAACAAATGAGCAGGCACTATAAGTAAACAACAGAATTGTGACATAGTTCAAAACAATCTATAATTTAATAGGGACAGTTAGGTCAGCATTAGAATTAAACAATCAGCATACACCCATAATATTTAGATGAAATAGTTTTGACTAATGTGACTCAATGTCTAATACAATGGATTCATGTGTATAAAAGTTCTTCCCAGCCTGGGCAACACGGCAAGACCCCATCTCTATAAAAATTTTCAAAAATTAGCTGGGTGTGCTGGTGCACACATGTAGTCTCAGCTACTAGGAATGCTGAGACAGGAGGATCACTTGAGCCCAGGAACTCCAGGCTACAATGAGCTGTGTTTGTGCCATTGCACTCCAGCCTGGGTGACACAGTGAGATCTTGTCTCAAAAAACAAATCAATAAATAAAAATAAAAATTATTCATCATCTGAAAGACTGAAAAAAGGCAATTGATTAAGATGGCCTTAATGGCCCCTTCAGCATAACTAAACTTTAGACAGGTTTCTTCCTGCCAGTAGGCCCTTGACCTCTCTTTTCTTAAAGCATTTCCTTTAGAACACTTGGGATTGCTCATTCTTTCTGTGCCCCTTTAAGATATAAATCCTCTCCCAGCCTCTTTACAGTGCTACAACTCAGGAATGTCTCTCACAAGGACCTAGGAGCCATCTCTTTGAAATGTAATCATGAATAAAAATAGTGCCCCTATCTTCCAGCCTCTGTGGGCAGGTATGAGCCTAACTTCTTCAAGTGCAAATTAGCAAACACAGATGGCCAAATCACATTGACAATCTCCTCTACCCCCAACTTCCTCCTGTAATTTTCCACTAGCTCACTCCCTCACTTAAAAATTCCCCACCTTGAACATCACACACCGGGGCCTGTCGGGGGGTGGGTGACTGGGGGAGGGATAGCATTAGGAGAAATACCTAATGTAAATGACGACTTGATGGGTGCAGAAAACCAACATGGCACACGTATACCTATGTAACAAACCTGTACGTTGTGCACATGTACCCTAGAACTTAAAGCATTAAAAAAAAATTCCCCACATTTTATTTCAACAGATTGAGTTTAATCTCTCTCCTCTATTGCAATAGTCTTGACCTCTATTGCAATACTCTTGAATAAAATCTTCCTGTCTGTTTAACTGTGAGTGGTGCCCATTTTACTTGACACAAATGATGGTACATTTGATTTTTAATAGAAATTATGGAGACTGTGTTTTTAGATAAACATGGGCTTATTTGTTTCTGTTTGTATTTGCCAAATTGAGTCATTCCATTGATGTTCAAAAACACTGTGGAGTTTGAGAAATTTTTCTTTCAAGATGAAAACAATAAAATTTTGTGAAAGGAGAGTCCATGTAATATAAAGAGAAATTATCTAATTAAGTAACGTTTGAAAGGAAAATATTTGATTTTCTGAATCTGAAGTTTACCCACTTTCTTCTTTCCTTCCTTGCTTCCTTCCTGCCTGCCTCCCTCCCTCTCTTCCTCCCTCCCTTCCTTCCTTCCTTCCCTCCTTCCCTCCTTCCTTTCTTCCTTTTTCCTTCCTGCTTTTCTTCCATTCTTCCTCTTTTCTTTTAATAGGTCTCTCTTCTCAGGTAATCTTAAAGCTTAAATCAGGTAGCTTAAAGAACACGATTTGCTTTCCAATCTGTTTCAATCATCATTTATAAGTAGAAAAAAATTCAGTGAACTTTGAGAAATTTCACACTATTCATAGCATTTACACTAAACACAATTTCCATTAAATTTATAAAATGTCTTGATAATATTTTTTAAAAATGTGTGTCTTCAGCTGATTTTCTTTCTTCATACCTTATTCTGAGTCAAAGATGAGGGGGTGATAGTGAACATTTGGGAACCCAGAGGTCTCCCAGACTCTTAATTCTGCTATATTGTAGAGTTATTCATTTTGGGCTAATTCAAATTCAACCTTTTTGTTTTCTTTATTGCTATTACAGTTTTTGCCCAGGTCAAGGCTAACTTATGATGTGGAAGATGTTGCCGTTATTGCAAATGGCCCTGCTGCTTCATCCAAAGACCAATAGACTCAAGTATTTGTAAGAATCACAGCAGGTACTTGTTAGAAGTGAAAATATCTGGACCCACTCCCAGCAATTCTCATTCAGATACTCTCTGGAGGTGGGTGGGTGTGAGCTCAGAATTTATATTTTGGAAAAACATCTTAGGTCATTTGATTTAGGTAGGTAGAAGGATCAAATTTTCAGAAATATCAGTGTGGAATAAAATATATGAAACTGAAAAAATTGGAGAAGTGACAACGTTAATTGTGGGAGAGTAATAGAGTTGGAGAAACAATATGTCTGTGTGTGTTTATTAAAGGAGAAGAATAGATGAAAAGGAGGTAAATGCCTGGCCCTGGCCTTGGCCCTGGTGCTGTAGCCTCCCATATGACTTCATTTTCAAACCCTGCTGCCTGTGTCGGCCTTGCATCAGAGGGGAACACTGCTTCAACCATTCTATTCTTTTAAGATAAAATTGATTAAAATTGGGATAACTTAATAAGTTAATTATCTATAAATGAAATGAACCCCCTATCTTTCTTTGCCAGACGTACATTTGCACTCTCACTTGGTCATATGCTGCTGATATCCCAGGATTTTCATTCTGTTTGCCCAAAAACAAACAAACAAAACAAAACAAAAAAAAACAAAACTATTAAACATGTTTTTAGCAAATTCTTCTTCAAGCCCCTTTCTAGAATGTTGGTAGACTTTTAATAATATTTCAAATGAAGGAATATATTCTACATATTTCCTTTATTTCTCTTAGGAGAGGGAGAGTCAATTGGGAGAGCTAAGTGATAAATGAGTTGCTAATGTAGTGTCAGGAAACATATATAATTGACTTTCTGGTCACTCTTCAAAAGAACAAAACAAAATAGTCATGAGCAGAAATAGGAAAAACTTTCTAAACAGCTCTTTAAGGCAAGGCAATTCCAAAGTCTAACATTCCCTTGGAGATTGTTCATGACCTCTACTTGAAAGAATCAGATCTACAGCTACTCCTTCCCACATGAATATGAAACAGCATTTGAAATGGCATTCTTCAAAAAAAAACTATGAAATTTGTTTCCCAAAAACAATTATGTGAAAAAAAGTATTTAACCTTAAATTGTACACAAAGTTTTGGAGTAGGTTACCATCTCATCTTCAGCAGTTATTCGATGCCATAGTGGGCGTGTCTTTGTAACTGATATTGGCATTATGCCCATTAAGAGTTATTAATAACCCGATTAAGAGTAAATAGATGAAACTGGGGACTGACTTTAAAAATAGGACATTGATATTTTAAAATAACATAAAAATTATTTTCGTTGTGTGTCAGATTTTACTGATTTTCTTCATTTTTCACTTCTAGGCTATTATAAAAATTAAGCATAAGTGTGTACCTACTTTCATAACTGGTTTTCATGAAAAGCAAACTAAAAGCAAGTACATAGAAAAGGCATATCATGTTTTTAGAACTTTAGCTAAACTTTTGTTGGCTACATTCCTCTTACACGTCATGTGGGTAAGGTCAACCTAAGTGAATACTGGATTAGGTCCCTAACTATTGTCACTACTTCTACCCCATATAATGAATTTCCCCACTCCCAGGCCACCCATCTCAAAGTCAGAACCAAATCCTATCTATCTTTCATTGGGAGTTTGAGTAGGATTTACTGACCTTCTCAGGAACACTTTTTCAGTATCTAGAAATCAAAGATAGCAACATAGTACTATAAAGTATATAATAAAATATGTTTACTTCTCGGTGGTTCTCTGTCTCTGTACACCTAGATAGATATTTTTAATTAGTACACTTTGGCATTTAGTGAGTGAGGTAAAGTGGAGCCATATGAGTGGGGAATCAAACTTAGCAAGATTTGTGACAATTGGCCAATGCTCATGCATCCTTATTATTTTGCAATTACAGCTTTCCAACACAATTTTCAAGGTTTGCTTATCTTAAATTCTTAATGTAGGCTGTCTTCCAACATTTCTTCTTCATTATGTGCAGTATGATATGTTTACTAGTAAGGGTTTATCATTCTTAGACCTAACGCTTTGTGCTTTGAATACTTTCTAGATATTAAAAGTGCCACATACAGGAAAGTACAGTTTTATACATGCTGAGTTTCATTCAATTTATTTTGTAAAGCTTTCCTACTGCCTACCCTACAATTCTTACTGGCAATGCAGAATAATTATCATAAAGTTATTCAATTAACTTTTATTTTTCATACTACTCAGCAAAGTTCTATGTAATTTTCATGCTAAAATCACTATTTAAACACCAAAATTACTAATACATGCATATTCTTATCTCAGACTCCTCTTTTTCCTTAATTAACTGGAGGCATGCATTGTGTTGATTTTTTTTTTTTTTTTGGAGGCTGCATTAACTAGCTAGTTAGTTAGCCCTGGTTCTCCCTTTTTAAAAAATTTATTACATTTTATTTTATCTTAGAATAGGGTCTCACTCTGTCACCAAGATTGGAGTGTGGTGTTGTGATCATAGCTCATTTCAGCCTCAAATTCCTAGGCTAAAGCAATCCTCCTGTAGCTCGTCTAGTTCTCTTCATGCACTTATATTTTAACACAGATAATAAAAGTCTTTCATTCAAGGAACATGAACCAAGAACCTACTATGGACTAAACACCAAATGTGCTGAAGCTGAATTGTACTGCAGCTGAATTATACTGCCTCATGAAAGCTAATTGTGTGCATCTCTTTACAACTCTATATTCACTGACATTAATTGGCAGTTTGCAAGTGGCCATGATGAAATATTTACACCATAGTAATGGGCAAATGTTAGATATCAGGAATTGTTTCCCATGAAAGCTGATTTACCAGCACAATACTTACTAACTGCCAGATGTCATCCTTGTGCTTAAGAAATGTACTGACAAGTAATTGGAACAGACAAATAAACCTTTAGATTTTCTTTTCTTTCTTTCTTTTTTTTTTTTTTTTTTTTTTTGACACAGTCTTGCTCTGTCGCCCAGGATGGAGTGCAGTGGTGCGATCTTGGCTCACTGCAACCTCCGCCTCCCAGGTTCAAGCTATTCTCTGCCTCAGCCTCCCGAGTAGCTGGGATTACATGCACCTACCACCACGCCTAGCTAATTTTTTTTTTTTTTTGTATTTTTAGTAGAGACGGGGTTTCACCATCTTGGCCAGGCTGGTCTTGAACTCCTGACCTCGTGATCCACCTGCCTCAGCCTCCCAAAGTGCTGGGATTACAGGCGTGAGCCACCACGCCCAGCAAACCTTTAGATTTTCATCTTAAAAAGATAATTCTGCTACCGTGGGGAAGTGACTAATATAAGAATGAGACGAATTATCATCAGAACAATCTCCTAGAAGTGCCTGTGGAATTTAAATGAATAGTGATGGAGACCTAAGTTAGGAAAATAACAGTGGAAAGGTAAAGGTGGACATAGATTTTTTGCAGGAGCGATTGAGGAGAGAAAAAAAACCCTCAGACCTGAGAAAAGAACTACTAGAAAGCTGTAGATACACAATTCTCAGTGCTCATACAAGGATAAAACAGTTCATGTTCTACTAGTCAGAGTAGAGAGACTTAGACCAGGCATTAATGTCTTCAGAAGCCTTAAACTTTAGTATTGGGCTTAAATTAGTGCCAGAATAAAGGCTGCTCTTGACACATCATAACAAAGTTAAGGAATGCTTAGAAAGGATCAAGTTGAAAGCCAGAGAAAAAAGCCTACATTTTATTTTTTTTTAATTAAACAAAATTCAACATCCATCAATGGCAGTATCCAACTAAAACTAACCACATATGCAAACAATCAGGAAAACATAACCAAAAACCGGGAGAAAAGTTAACCAAAAGAAAAATCAGTCAATAGAAATGGAAAAAGAAATTGATCATAAAGGATGTTAAAACAACTGTTCTCTCTCTATATATAAATATGTTAATGGAAAAGATGAACATAATAATGGGAAAATAGAAGAAATAGAAAAAAAATAAAGCTCTAAATGGAATTTTTATTGATGAAAAACATGTGAAATAAAAAATACATAGCAAGGGATTAACTATAGATTAAATACTACAGAAGAAAAGATCAGTTAACCCGATGACATAACCATATAAACAATTCCAAATATAGCACAGAAAAAAATACTGAAAAAGAATGATAAACAGAACCTCAACAAAGAGAGAAAAGATAGCTAATGGTCTAACCTAGGTATAATTAGAGACCCAGGAAGAGAAGGTGGGGAAGAGGGTAAAAATACTTGAATAAATAATGTCCAAAACTTTTTCAAATGTGATGAAAACTCAAATTCACAGCTATAAGATCCTTGGACCCCAAGCAAAAACAAAACTGAACAACAACAACAACAAAAAAAGAAAATCACCCTAAGCCAGAAATTAGATGAAACTATTGTAAGCTGCCAGTTTATAGGACAAAGACAAGAGAATTCTTCTCAGAACAATGCAGCAAGAAAACAATGAAATATATCCTTAAATTTCTGAAAAATACAGAATATTATAACATTGATATAGAAAATTATGCAAAGGCTTTTTAGACCAAAAAAATCTAACAGAACTTAGATCTGGAAAAGTGGTACTACAAGGAAGAACTTCAGAAAAATTGTAAATGATACCAGACTGGAATTAGGATCTACATGAAGAAATAAAACCCACAAGGTAGGTTAAATATATGAGTAAACATAATCTTTTTTTTTACAAAAATGTTAGTACCTTTAATAAACAACTGACTGTTTAAAAAATGCACTGTATAATTTGTGACTTGTATATAAAATTGTATGACAAACTAACAAAGACAATGGAAAGATAAATGAAAGTACACTGTTGTGATGTTTTTATACACACATGATTGGTGTAATATTATTTCAGAGTAGGCTAAGCTAAGTTAAATATTGGCATGGCTAATGACCTGCTACGGTTTAAATATTTTTCCCTCCAAAACTCAGGTTGAAATTTTATCTCCAATGTGGCAGTATTGAGAGGTAAGGCCTTTAGGAGATGACTAGGTCATAAGGGCTCTGCCCTCATGAATGGATGAATCAATTCATGAATTAATAGATTAATGGATTATTATGGGAGCAGGACTGGTGGCTTTATAACAAGAGGAAGAAAGATCTGATCTAGCATGTTCAGCATGCCCACCATGTGATAACCTGCACAACCATGAAACTTTGCAGAGTCCACACTAGCAAGAATGCCGTCACCAGATGCAGTTCCTCAACCATGGACTTTGCAGCCCTCGTAACTGGAAGAAATAAATTCCTTTTCTTTATAAATTACTAGTTTCAGGTATTCATTATAAGCAACAAAAACCTAACTAAGACATGAACCAATAGTGGAGACAAATGATTCAATAAAACATATTCAATTCATTAATAAGTCAATGAGAAAAGAGGCAAAATGGAATGAATAACAGATTACTCAATATAAAAAGGAAAATACACAATTTTAAAAATGGGCAAAGATCTGAATAGACATTTTCCAAAGAAGATATACAAATGACCCTAAATCACACTGACTGTTGCTCAAAGTCAACAGCTATCAGGAAATGTAAATGAAAACCAAAATGAGACACCACTTCACACCAAGTAGGGTGGCTACACATATAAGAAAACGAAAAATAACAACTGTTGACAAAGATGTGCAAAAGTTGGAATCCTCATCCTCCTATACTGCTGGTGGGAATGTCAAATGGTGGAGCTGCTTTGCAAAATAGTGTGGCAGTTTATCAAAGGGTTAAACATGGAAATAGCATATGATCCAGCAATTCCACTCCTAGATATATACCCAAAAGAAATGAAAACACATGTGCCCACAAAACTTGTACACAAATATTCACAGCAGCAATATTCATACTAACCAAAAGTGGAAGCAGCCCAAATGTCTGTGAACTGATGAATTAATAAATAAAATGGATAAACAATAAAATATTACATAGCAACAAAAAGAAGTAAAGTACTGAAGCATTTTACCATATGGGTGAACCTTGAAAATATTATGTTGAGTGAAAGAAACCAGTCATAAAAGGACCACCTATTGTATGATTTCATTTATATGTGATGTCCAGAATAGGCAAATCTATGGAGAAGGAAAATAGACTGGTGTTTGCCTAGAGCTGGTGTGGATGGGAACAGATGTGGGATTGAGAAGGAAGCAATGTTTCTTTGGGAGCAATGAAAATATTTTAAAATTGATTGTGGTAATGGATGTGCAACTCTATGAATACACTAAAAGCCATTCATTGAATTATGCCATTTAAATGAATGAATTGTGTGGTATGTGAATTATATTCAACAAGGCTGTTTTACAAACATAAACAGATACAATAAATAGGAACAAATTTAAATGATAGATTAATTAAGCATAGGAGGATTTTGTCTTTCCTCTCCCTAAATCCCTGTAGACTGCTGTGCCATTCTTGTGCCATGCCCAGTGCTCTCCTTTGTTTGACTTGTGTAGTTTTTTGGAATTAAATTTTACACATTTTATATAAACTTGTGATTCTTTACAAAAGAGTGCTTTGCCTTGCATATTGTAGCACAATGCTATTTATTGAATAGATTTATATTTTGCGTAGTGGAAAATGAGTGGCATTTCAAATTATGGATTTTTGAGGCTGCATTGAAATTTTAAAGGTTAAATGTTTTAAATCATGGTCCACGATGATCATTTTTTAATGTAATTGATTAAAGTTGCAGATATACACAATAGGTTAAACATGATTTGTGAAATAACCTGATACAAAGTGCATAAAACCAACATTAAATTCTATAAAGATAAACAGAAGGTAATTAGGTTAAGAAGGTTATTTACATAAATGCAAATAACCCATGCTTAGCTTTGTACATAGACCAAAGACAAAGTTGAAGGTACCATGGATTACAGATTAAATATGTCATTGCTATAATTTCAAAAGAAAAAAGATACCAGGCTAAATAAATTGCAATGAGCTATGCAGATACTGCTTACCTGATCTTCTCAGTGTGGAAATTGGGATAATGACTAGTAACTAGTAATTATTAAATTTCAAAAGTTTAGGTAGTTTTCTTAACCAATATGTAAAGGGTTCTTTTGACAAGCCGTGTATTTGAAAATTAGTTGAAAGTGTTTATATCCATATTAATTGGCAAACCACATCTATTTTTATTGAATGTTAAGGGCTAGTATAAAAATAAATAATCCAAACTGGCCGGGTGCGGTGGCTCATGCCGTAATCCCGGCACTTTGGGAGGCCGAAGTGGGCAGATCATGAGGTCAGAAGATCGAGACCATCCTGGCCAACACGGTGAAACCTCGGCTCTACTAAAAATACAAAAATTAGCTGGGCATGGTGGCACGTGCCTGTAATCCTAGCTACTCGGGAGGCTGAGGCAGGAGAATCGCTTGAACCCGGGAGTCGGAGGTTGCAGTGAGCCAAGATCACCACTGCACTACAGCTTGGCGACAGAACGAGACTCCGTCTCAAAAAATAAAAAAAAAAAGATAAAAAATACATAATCCAAACTACAAATAGTGTATTATCTAAATAACTATAGTGTCGTTTTGGTATGCAGTATAGTTCTTTGTCCTGGTTTCCATTTTGTTGCTTCTTAACCTTCCTTCCTTCTAGGCTGTTGTGCACCTCACCCAGGTTCCCCAAAGTATACTGGTTACTGTATTGTATTACAACTAAAATGCTAAACACTTTAAAATCATGGTCTGTTTTCTGAATTCTTTTAGGTTTAATGTATAGATGGTGAGCTATATTTATATTGCTTGGTTTCTACTTTACAGCATAAATGTACATAAGTACCAGCACTACAAATAATATTTGTAGAGTGTTTTGCAATTGGAAAACATTCTCACAGGGGTTGTTTCTTTGATTTTAAAACTATCACATTTCCCACTTTTAAAAAATAACACTAAATCTCTAAGAGTTTTTTGTTTGTTTAAGGTAATATAGTAACTAGCAGAGCCAGGAGTCAAACTGCACCTTATACCATCTGCAAGATCTCTGCAAAATGACTTTCACAGGTGCAATACCAGGAGTTCATACAATTTCTTGCTTTTGGCAGAAAAAAAAAAGTGTCTCTCTAAATTTTAAATAGAAAATTATTCCCTATTGCTCAGAACCCACAATGGTGGTTTCTTTTCCTCACTGATTAAAATGGCCAGCTTTAGAAACACAGAGCCCTCCAAGTTGTACTCACTCTACAGTGGAGGATGTGTTGCTATATCTAGTACAAAGATGAAATTAGGCGGCAATCTGGGTGGCGCAGGTTCATTCAATAGCTGGATTTTAGTTGGGCTCATCAGAGAATAGTCCCTTACTTTGAACATATACAAGTAGGATCTAGATGACTTGGTCAGCAACCATAATTTGTGTGGCAGACCAAACATCTAGGCCCCTAGCAAAAGCCAGAAAGCCAGCAAAATTATAGCAAGGTTCGTCAAGCAGAGTATTGTCCAGAGCTATGAGTTATGTCCACTGAGACACTGTCACCCATCCATTCTCAACTAAGAACAGCTGGTGCTGAGGCTGAATCATACAGTGGACACCATCAAGTTTTAGCTTAGCGACCAAAAAATCAGTGTCTCAGGCCCAAGAATGTAGAGAAATCTCTCTAAATTGAGGAACCTATCAAACCAGTTTTGCTTCTGGAGGCAGAGGGGGGAATACAATTTCCCCAAAGTATAGCTACCTCTTTTTCATGTAAAGCTGAGAAGCTGCTGTGGCCTGGCTTGCTGTACTCTTGGATACATAACTTCCATTTGACAAGTGAAGCTTATTGGACATTCTTACTTTGTTTCTTGTTCTCCAGTTAGTCACAACTGCCAGCATTGTGAACTACCTGGAGCCATAAGAACTTTAATTCTAGTCAATGACTCCCTTATGGTTTCCCACAAGTTTTTTCTTCAGGGAATTCTGCCCCAAAGGATCAAATGTCCCTTATGGCATACAAGGCTTATGTGTATATATGTATGTATGTGTGTATGTGTATATATATGTATATACATATATGTTTTATACATACATGTTTTTAATATATACACTTATAAAACAACTTATACATATATATTTATATATACGTGTAAGACAGAACACCAAAAAACCTCATATGTTTTACCATCATCTTTGAATAGATCTAAAATTGGCATGATAGACTGCAAAGGGTGTTGAGCTGAAAGCAAGTATTTCCATTCTTCCAGAATAAGCATTACATGCTATTCTCCTCTTCTCTGAAATGAACTAGCCAAAATTTTAAAGATGCACCTAGTTTCTGTCATGCCTTTTGTGAATTTTCCTCCTTTCTTGCTAGTGTAGATGCTCAGCCCTGTAACTGTCATCTGAAAGAAAGTAGAAATCCTTCTGTCCTTTCAGGATCAATCTTAGTATTTGTTACAATAGGGTGGACTTGAGGTTCCTCCCCATGTTGGTAAGGAAATCTCCCTTCCTCCTTTCTCTTCCTTGCTCCTGACCCAGCCCTTGCTAGAGCAAAATTAACAACTACAGCCCAGGTTTAGATAGGCGTCCTTGAACCTACATACATGCACCTACCTCCCCAATTTCTTATTAACAAGCAACAAAGTTGAGGACCATTTACTTCCTGGTTGACCATATGGTTTACTTCCAGCCTCACTATACAATTTGGTAAAGATGTTTATTACCAATTCCCATGGACTTTCCTTAAACTCTGTTATCAGTTTATGTGACTCTCATACTTTCCCTTCTAGAAGGCCTTGTCTCTGTCAATAACCGATGTTCACTGCCAAAACATGTGAGATGGTTGGATATGTGTCCCCGCCCAAATATCATGCTAAATTGTAATCACCAGTGTTGGAAATGGATCCTGGTGGGAGGTGATTGGATCATGAGGGTGGATTTCTCATGAATGGTTTATCACCATCCTTTTGGTACTGTTGTCATGGAAGTGAGTGAGTTCTCGTGAGATCTATTTGTTTCAAAGTGTGTAGCACCTCTCACTTTCTCACTCTCTTGCTCCTGTTCTGGCCATGTGATGTGCCTCCTCCCCTTTTGTCTTCTGCATGATTATAAGTTTTCTGAAGCCTCCCCAGAAGCCAAGCAAATGCCAGTATCATGTTTCCTGTCCAGCCTGCAGAATCATGAGCCAATTAAACCTCTTTCTTAAAATAAACTACTCAGTCTCAGGTATTTCTTTATAGCAACGCAAGAATGGAGTGATACAATGTCTCACAAGAACTGTGAAGGGGCTAAGATCTTTACCTAACTGGCACAATAACAAGTTAGCCTGCTACAGTTTTATGGATGCTGGAAAAGACACAAGACTCCTGGGTCAGACAAAAGACTTTCTCATGGCAGTAACATTAGACAGACTATCTGAATTTTTCCACAGGTTGGAGGAACTCAAACTCTTACTGCGAGACATGAAGAGGCCTATGTAATCCCCGCAGATATAATGTGCTTCAAGAGAGGAACTCTAAACTTAGGGAATTTGGATCTTTTATAAAAGGAAGTAAGCATATGTGTCCTTTGCTCCTGTGGGAGTCATTATCTTGCTATGCTGGGCAGCAAGCAAGGCTACTTCTTGTTTCAGAGCGAGATACTATGTCTTTCAAGTGTGGTCATTAGGCAAACATCTTTGAAAAGACAGTTAAGGGTCCAGTATGGTGGCTCACACCTGTAATCCCAGCACTCTGGGAGGCTTGAGCCCCAGAGTTCAAGACCAGCCTGGGCACCACGGTGAAATTCTGTCTCTACAAAAAAATAAAAAATAAAAGCAAAAATTAGCCAGGAATGATGGCAACCACTTGTAATCTCAGCTACTTGGGAGGCTGAGACGGGAGGGCTGCTTAAGCCCAGAAGGCAGAGGTCGAAATGAGCTGAGATCACACCACTGCACTCCAGCCTGAGTGAGAGAACTAGACACTGTCTCAAAATAAATAAATAAATAAATAAATAAAATAAAATAAAGGAGACTTCAGAACATAAAGTCAGTAAGTGCTTCACTCACGGGACATGCTGACATATGAGTAACCCATTGAAAATTGTCTCTTAACAATAACAGTACATGAAATCGTCACTAAACAAAATTCATAATTTTGATAAAAATTGTCACAGACTCTTTTGGGGAATTGGAATTAACAATCTCTTTCTTAATGAAGAAATGTTTCCTATATAAATTTGGTGCTGTTATCTATGCAATCAAAGTGAATGGGTCACTGTCTCTTGTAATTCATGCATTAATATCATACAATTAACCCCTGATGTGTACACTATTTTACTGTAATTCAAATACTTGTTTTCATTCCCCTGATGAGCTAGTAACATGACAGTTTCACAGTAACTCAGCAACTATGTGTTCTCAGAAATAGCATAAAATGTTGTTTGAACATGGAAGGATAGAAACAAATCATGGGGTACTGTATGTGAACTGGACGGTGTCAAGGGAAGCTTGAAAAATCCAACTTGATATATGTTGGTGACATTGAAAGAAGGCAGTTCCTGGTGCTCAGAAGGCCTTACATTCTAGTCTGACATACATTAATGCATGTTTACTATGTAATAACATGCCTTAGATAAGAGAGCTAATAAGTTTTGTATTTGGTAACATCTGCTTATATTTAGTTGTAGTAGTGGCTTAACAGGGTTCACATGAAGTGAGGAGAGTTGTTTCACAAAAGTCACACATTAAAACAGTTTTTGAGAGGTGGAGTAGTGCTTCCTTCCTTCAAAGGTGGCACTTTATAATAATTTACTTATTGTTAACCATAAACTACATTTTTTTTCACAATGTGGATACTAAATTCTGGATGATTGTAGTGATTTATTTGCCAATGCAAACATTTTGTCGGTTTCTAATGATTTTTACAATTGTATTCTTAGCACATAGCCAAGAAAATATTTTAAAAATATATCTGGCTGGGCTCGGTGGCTCACGCCTGTAATCCCAGTGTTTTGGGAGGCCAAGGTGGGCGGATCACCTGAGGTTGGGAGTTTGAAACCAGCCTGACCAACATGGAGAAACCCCGTCTCTACTAAAAATACAAAAAAATTAGGTGGGCGTGGCGGCATGCGCCTGTAATCCCAGCTACTCAGGAGGCTGAGGCAGGAGAATGGCTTGAACCCGGGAGGCGGAGGTTGCAGTGAGCCAAGATCGCGCCATTGCACTCCAGCCTGGGCAACAAGAGTGAAACTCCTCTCAAAAAAAAAAAAATATATATATATATATATATTTATTTATTTATTTATTCCAAACACTCTGAGCCAGTAATAATAATAAAAAAAAAGATTTACCATCCCGGCTAAAACGGTGAAACCCCGTCTCTACTAAAAATACAAAAAAATTAGCCAGGCGTAGTGGCGGGCGCCTGTAGTCCCAGCTACTTGGGAGGCTGAGGCAGGAGAATGGCGTGAACCCGGGAGGCGGAGCTTGCAGTGAGCCGAGATCCCGCCACTGCACTCCAGCCTGGGCGACAGAGCGAGACTCCGTCTCAAAAAAAAAAAAAAAAAAAAGATTTAGGATTTTTAAAGCTATAGTCAGAGCCAGAGAAACATAGGATGGACATAAATAGAAACATTGTTCAAGTGTGATCTTCACTTAAGCCGTCTGCAAACAAAGCCAAAGTTTGTGACTCAAATCTTACTTTGCTTCTGTCTTCTCCAACTTGAAGAACTAGTCATGTGTGGCATAATGATGTTTCAATGAATGATAGATTGCATTTACAATGGTGGTCTCATAAGATTATGATGGAGGTGAAAAATTCCTATCACCTAGTGATGTCGCAGCCATCCTGACATCAAAGCACAATGCACTACACAAACACAAACATGTTTGTGTTGAGTAGTGTAAACAAACTTATCCTACTACCAGCTGTTTGAATGTACAGCACATACAATTATATACAGTACATAATACTTGATAATAATAAATGACTACTGTATTAGTCCATTCTCACACTGCTATAAAGAAATACTTGAGACTGGTAACTTATAAAGAAAGAGGTTTAATTAGCTCATGGTTCCACAGGCTGTAAAGGAAGCATGATGCTGGCATCTGCTCAGCCACTGGGGAGGCCTCAGAAAACCTACGATTATGGTGGAAGGTGAAGGTGGAGCAGGCATGTCTTACATGGCTGGAGTAGGAGCAAGATAGAAAGAAGGAGGAGGTGAAATACACCTTTAAACAACCAGATCTCGTAAGAACTAACTACAGAATACCAAGGGGAAATGGTGCTAAACCATTCCTGAGAACTCCACCTCCATGATCCATTCACCTCCCACCAGGCCCCACCTCCAATACTGGGGATTACAATTCAACATGAGCTTTTGGCAGGTACACACATCCAAACCATATCAACCAGGTTACTGGTTTATGTATTTAGTATACTCTATTTTAATAGTTATTTTAGAATGTACTCCTTCTACCAATTAAAAAAAACGTAACTGTAAAACAGTCTCATGCCGTTCCTTCAGGAGGTACTTCAAAAGAAGGCATTATTATCATGGGAGATGATAGCTCCATGTCTGTTATTACCCCTGAAGCCCTGAAGACCTTCCAGTGGGACAAGATGTGTAGATGGAAGGTAGTGATACAGATGACCCTGACCCCGTGTAGGCTTAGGATAATGTGGATATTTGTGCCTTATTTTTTAACAGAAAAAAATTTTCAAGTAAAAAGTAAAAAATAAAAAGCTTAAAGAATAAAGATATAAAGAAAATATTTTTGTACAGATATACAATGTATTTTAAAAGTTTTTTTGTTTGTGGCTTTGTTTGTTTGTTTGTTTGTTTTTGACGGAGTTTCACTCCTGTTGCCCCGGCTGGAGTGCAGTGGCATGATCTCGGCTCACTGTAACCTCTGCCTCCCTGGTTCAAGCGATTCTCCTGCCTCAGCCTCCGGAGTAGCTGATATTACAGGCGCCCACCACCACAACCAGCTAATTTTTTGTATTTTTAGTAGAGACGGGGTTTCATCATGTTAGCCAGGCTGGTCTCAAACTCCTGATCTCAGGAGATCCACCTGCCTTGGCCTCCCAAAGTGCTGGCATTACAGGTATGAGCCACCACGCCCCGCCTTAAAAAATTTTTTTAAGTTATAGAGTTTATAAAATAAGAAAGTTACAGTAAGCTAAAGTTAATATACTATTGAAGAAAGAATAATATTTTTAGGGGTGACAGCCCACCTGGGAGCAGCATGGAGCAAAAGGAACCCTCACCCCTAGCCAAGGGAAGCAGTGAGAGATTGTGCAACCCTGCCCAGGAAACCACGCTTCTCCCACGATCTTTGCAACCCATGGATCAGGAGATGCCCTCGTGAACCCATGCCGCCAGGGCCTTGGGTCTGACATACAGAGCTGTGTGGAGTCTCCGCAGAGCAACTGCTCAGGCGCACACAGAGCCCCAGAAGTTTTACATACTCTAGCCCCAGATTCCTGGCAATGCGTCAGATCCACTCATACATTCCCCTAGGAAAGGGGCTGAATCCAGGGAGCCAAGCTGTGTCATTCTGTGGGCCCCACTTCCAAAAGTAAAGACTCACTGGCTTGGAATCCCAGCCAATGAAAATAGGCTGAGTTTGCCTGAAACTAAAGAGTTTGGCCGGGGGTGGGAGGGTTAGGCGGGGCTGGGGGGAGAAGCAGCTGCCATTTCTGCAGTTTGGTTGACTCAACATTCCAGCCTCCTGGCTCTGGAGAGTCCAAGAGATCCTGACTTGGAGGGGTCTTCTTCAATGCAGCACACCTGCTTTGCAAAATTGCACACAAAATGCTTCTTTAAGCAGGACTCCAATCCATTCCTCCCCACTGGGCCAGGCCTCCCTGCAGGGGTCCTTTAGTCACTCCAGCCAGGCTTATATGAACAGAACTCTGATCTCTCCGTAAGAAAGATCCCAGGGGAGGGGTGACCACTGACTCCGCTGTTTGGAGAGTCCAGGTAGTCCAGATAAGGAAGGGCCACCCCTGCCCAATTCAGCACATCTGCTCTATCAAAAGCAGCCAGGCTGATTCTGTAAGCAGGTCCCTGATCTCGTTCCTCCTGATTGCCTGTGACCTCTCAACAGAGGTCTCCGGACAGCAACTACAGGAGCATTCAGGCTGGCAACAGGTGAGTACCCACCTAGGATGGAGCTTCTAGAGGAAGGAGCAGGCTATCACCTTTGCTGTTTTGCAGCAATCACTGGTGATACCTCCAGGTATGGGAAAAACTAAGGCAACTAGGGTCTGGAGTGGACCCCCAGCAAACCACAGCAGCCCTATGGTTGCTAACAGACAGAGGCCTATTAAAATAAAAACAGACATAAAACAACAACAACATCAACTAAAAATACCCCACAGAAGCCCAATTCAAGATCAGCAACCTCAAAGATCAAAGGTAGATAAGCCCACAAAAATGAGAGAAAATCAATGAAAAATGCTGGAAAATCAAAAAGCCAGAGTGCCTCTTCTACAAATGACTGCAGCATCTCTCCAGCAAGGACACAGAACTGGGCTGAAGCTGAGATGGCTGAATTCACAGAAGTAGGCTTCAGAAGGTGGGTAATAAACTTCGCTGAGCTAAAGGGGCATGTGTAACCCAATGCAAAGAAGCTAAGAAATATCATCAAGCAATACAGTAGCTGATAACCAGAATAGCCAGTTTAGAGATGAACACAGTTGACCTGATGGAGCTGAAAAACACAATATGAGAATTTCGCAATGCAATCACAAGTACCAATAGCAGAATAGATCAATCATGTGGAGAAAAGAAGCTCAGAGCTTTCAGACTATTCAGACAGGCAGACAAGAATATAGATTAAAAACCAAACACCGCATGTTCTCACTCATAGGTGGGAATTGAACAATGAGAACACATGGACACAAGAAGGGGAACATCACACTCCGGGGACTGTTGTGGGGTGGGGGGAGGGATAGCATTTGGAGATATACCTAATGCTAAATGACAAGTTAATGGGTGCAGCACACCAACATGGCACATGTATACATATGTAACAAACGTGCACATTGTGCACATGTACCCTAAAACTTAAAGTATAATAATAATAATAATAATAGATTAAAAAATAAAAAGAAATGAACAAAATCTCCAAAATTTTGGAATTATGTAAGAAAAGAGAATAAAAAGGGACAAACAGAACTTCTGAGAAATGTGGGATTATGTAAAAGGACCAAACTTATGACTGGGGTACCTGAAATAGATGGGGAGGATGAAACCAAGTTGGAAAACATACTACAGAATATCACCCAGGAGAACTTCCTCAACCTAGCAAGACAGGCCAACATTCAAACTCAGGAAATCCAGAGAAACCCAGTAAGATATTCCATAACAAGATCAACCCCAAGAACATAATCATCAGATGCTCCAAGGTTGAAATGAAACAAAAAATTGTTAAGAACAGCCAGGGAGAAAGGCTCAGACACCTACAAAGGGAAGCACATCAGTCTAACAGCAGACTTCTTGGTGGAAACCCTACAAGACAGAAGAGATTGGGGGCCAATATTCAACATTCTCAAATAAAAGAACTTCCAACCCAGAATTTCATATCCAGCTAAACTAAGCTTCATAAGCAAAGGAGAAATAAGATCCTTTTCAGACATGCAAATGGTGAGAGAATTCATCACCACCAGGCCAGCCTTGCAAGAGCTCCTGAAGAAAACACTAAATATGGAAAGGAAAAACCATTACCAGCCACTTCAAAAACACACTGAGGAATACAGACCAGTGACAGTATGAAGCAACCACATTAACAAGTCTGCAAAATAACCTGCTAGCATCATAATGACAGGATCAAATTCACACGAAACAATACTAACATTAAACATAAATGGGTTAAATGCCTCAATTAGAAGGCACAGAATGGCAAGCTGGATAAAGAGCCAATATCCATTGGTATATTGTCTTTAACAGACACATGTCATGTGCAAAGATATGCAGAGGCTCAAAATAAAGGGAGAGAGAAAAATTTACCAAGCAAATGGAAAACAAAAAAAGCAGGGGTTGCAATCCTCGTTTCTGACAAAACAGACTTTAAACCAGCAAAGATCAAAAAAGAAAAAGAAGGGCATTACATAATGGTAAAGCATTCAGTTAAACAAGAAGACCTAACTATCCTAAATATATATGCACCCAGTACAGGAGCACCCGGATTTATAAAGCAAGTGCTTAGAGACCTACAAAGAGACTTAGACTCCCACACAATTATAGTGGGAGACATTACTAGTCCACTGACAACATTAGGCAGATCAGCAAGACAGAAAATTAACAAAGATATTAACAAAGATATTCAGGACCTGAACTTAGCTCTGAATCAAGTGGACCTCAGAGATATCTACAGAATTCTCCAACCAAAAACAACGGAATATACATTCTTCTCATAGCCATGCAGTACTTACTCAAAAATTGATCACATCATCGGAAGTAAAACACTCTTCAGCAAATGCAAAAGAAATGAAATCACAACAAACAGTATCTCAGCCCACAGTACAATCAAATTAGAACTCAAGATTAAGAAATTCACTCAAAACCACACAACTACATGGAAATTGAACAACCTGCTACTGAATGACTCCTGGGTAAATAACAAAATTAAGGCAGAAATCAGGAAGTTCTTTGAAAGTAATGAGAAAAAGGAGACAACATATCAGAATCCCTGGGACACAGCTAAAGTAGTATTAAGAGAGAAATTTTTATCACTAAATGACCACATAAAAATGCCGGAAATATCTCAAGTTAAAATTCTAACATCAGAACGAAAAGGACTAGAGAACCAAGAGCAAACAAACTCCAAAGCTAGCAGAAGACAAGAAATAACCAAGATCAGAGCAAAACTGAAGGAGATAGAGATATAAAAAAATTCAAAAGATCACTGAGTCCAGGAGCTGATTTTTTTGAAAAAAAATTAGTAAAATAGCTAGCTAGACTTATAAGGAAGAAAAGAGAGAAAAATCAAATAAACACAATCAGAAATGCTAAGGGGAATATCACCACTGACCCCACAGAAATACAAACAACCATCAGAGAATACCATAAACACCATACAGTGCATATAAACTAGAAAATCTAGAAGAAATTGATAAATAACTGGACACATACACCTTCCAAGACTGAACCAGGAAGAAATGAAATCCCTGAACCAACCAATAACAAGCTCCAAAATTGAGGCAGTAAGAAATAGCCTACCAACCAAAACAGCTGTGAGAGACAGACTCACAGCTGAATTCTACCAGATGTATGAAGAAGAGCTAATATAATTCCTACTAAAATGACTCCGAACAATTGAGGAGAAGGGACTCTTTTCTAACTCATTCTATGAGGCCAGAATCATCCTGATACCAAAAACTGGCAGAGATACAACAAAAAGAAGAAAACTTCAGGCCAATATCCCTAACAAAGAGCGATGCAAAAATCTTCAATAAAATACTGGCAAAATGAATCCAGCAGCACATAAAAAAGCTTATGCTCCATGATAAAGCTGGTTTAATCCCTAGGATGCAAGTTTGGTTCAACATATGCAAATCAATAAATGTGATTCAAATGGTATTTCTAGTTCTAGATCCCTGAGGAATCGCCACACTGACTTCCACAATGGTTGAACTAGTTTACAGTCCCACCAACAGTGTAAAAGTGTTCCTATTTCTCCACATCCTCTCCAGCACCTGTTGTTTCCTGACTTTTTAATGATTGCCATTCTAACTGGTGTGAGATGATATCTCATAGTGGTTTTGATTTGCATTTCTCTGATGGCCAGTGATGATGAGCATTTCTTCATGTGTTTTTTGGCTGCATAAATGTCTTCTTTTGAGAAGTGTCTGTTCATGTCCTTCGCCCACTTTTTGATGGGGTTGTTTGTACTGGGTATATACCCAAAGGACTATAAATCATGCTGCTATAAAGACACATGCACACGTATGTTTATTGTGGCACTATTCACAATAGCAAAGACTTGGAACCAACCCAAATGTCCAACAATGATAGACTGGATTAAGAAAATGTGGCACATATACACCATGGAATACTATGCAGCCATAAAAAATGATGAGTTCATGTCCTTTGTAGGGACATGGATGAAATTGGAAACCATCATTCTCAGTAAACTATCGCAAGAACAAAAAACCAAACACCGCATATTCTCACTCATAGGTGGGAATTGAACAATGAGATCACATGGACACAGGAAGGGGAATATCACACTCTGGGGACTGTGGTGGGGTCGGGGGAGGGGGGAGGGATAGCATTGGGAGATATACCTAATGCTAGATGACACGTTAGTGGGTGCAGCACACCAGCATGGCACATGTATACATATGTAACTAACCTGCACAATGTGCACATGTACCCTAAAACTTAGAGTATAATAAAAAAAAAAAAAATTTAAAAAAAAAATTAAAAAAAAAAAAGAAAAAAATAAAAAATAAAAAATAAATGTGATTCATCACCTAAACAGAACCAAAGACAAAAATCACATGATTATCTCAATAGGTGCAGAAAAAGCCTTCGATAAAATTCAACATCCTCTCATGTTAAAAACTCTCAGTAAACTAGGTATTGAAGGAACATACCTTGAAATAACAAGAGCTATTTGATAAACCCACAGCCAATATCATACTGAATGGGCAAAAGCTGGAAGTATTCCCCTTGAGAATCGGCACAAGACAAGGATGCCCTCTCACAACACTATTATTCAACATAGTATTGGAAGTTTTGGCCAGGGACATCAAGAAGAGAAAGAAATAAAAAGCATCCAAATAGGAAGAGAGGAAGTCAAATTATCTTTGTTTGCAGATTACATGATCCTATATCTAGAAAACCCCATTGTCTCAGCCCAAAAGCTTCCTAAGCTGATATGAAACATCTGCAAAGTCTCAGGATACAATGTGCAAAAAATTGCTAGCATTCCTATACACCAAGAACAGACAAGCTGAGAGCCAAATTATGAATGAACTCCCATTCACAACTGCCACAAAAAGAATAAAATATCTAGTAATATAGCTAACAAGGGAAGGGAAGTGAAGGACCTCTTCAAGGAGAACTATAAACCACTGCTCTAAGAAATCAGAGAGGACAAAAACAAATGGGAAAAAAAATTCCATGTTCATGAATAGAAAGGATCAATATCACGAAAATAACCATGCGACCCAAAGTAATTTTCAGTTTCAATGCTATTCCCATTAAACTATCATTGATATGCTTCACAAAATTAGAAAAAAAAATTTTAAATTAATATTAAACAAAAAAAAGCCAGAATAGCCAAGACAATCCTAAGAACAAAGCTGAGACATCACACTCCCTGACTTCAAACTATATGACAAAGGTACAATAATCAAAACAGCATGGTATTGGTACAAAAACAAACACATAGACCAATGGAACAGAATAGAGAACTTGGGGCTGGGTGCAGTGGCTCATGCCTATAATCCCGGCACTTTGGGAGGCCGAGGTGGGAGTATCAGTTGAGTTCAGGAGTTTGAGACCAGCCTGGCCAACACGGTGAAACCCCATCTCTACTAAAAATACAAAAAATAGCCAGACCTGGTGGTGCATGCCTATAGTCCCAGCTACTTGGGAGGCTGAGGTAGCAGAGTCACTCGAACCCTGGAGGCAGAGATTGCAGTGAGCTGAGATCACAACACTGCACTCCAGCCTGGGCAACAGAGTGACTCTGTCCCCACTCCCAAAAGAAGAAAGAATAGAGAATTCAGAAATAAGACCGCATACCTACATCCACCTGATCTTTGACAAACCTGACAAAAACAAACAATGGGGAAAGGATTTCCTGTTTAATAAATGGTGCTGGGAGAACTGGTTAGCTATATGCAGAACACTGGAACTGGACCCCTTCCTTACACCTTACACAAAAATTAACTCAAGATGGACTAAAGACTTAAATGTAAAACCCAAAACTATAAAAACCCTAGAAGAAAATCTAGGCAATACTATTCAGGACATGGGCACAGGCAAAGATTTCATGATAAAAATGCCAAAAGCAGTCACAACAAAAGCAAAAATTGATAAATGGGACCTAATTACACCAAAGAGCTTCTACACAGCAAAAGAAACTATCATTAAAGTGAATAGACAACCTACAGAATGGGAGAAAAGTTTTTCAATTAATCCTTCTGACAAAGATGTAATATCCAGATTCTATAAGGAACTTAAACAAATTTACAAGAAAAAAACAAACAACACCATTAAAAAGTAGGCAAAGGGCATGAACAGATAATTCTCAAAAGACAACATACATGCGGCCAACAAACATATGAAAAAAAGCTCAATATCACTGATCATTAGAGAAATGCAAATCAAAACTACAATGTGATACCATCTCATGCCAGTCAGAATGATTATTATTAAAAAAATTAAAAAAAAACAGATGCTGGCAAGGTTACAGAGAAAAAGGGATGCTTTTACACTGTTGGTGGGAGTATAAATTAATTCAACCATTGTGGAAGACAGTGTGGCAATTCTTCAAAGATCTAAAGGCAGAAATACCATCTGATCCATAAATCCCATTCCTGGGTATAAACCCAAAGTAATTTAAGTCTTTCTATTATAAAGATACATGCATGCGTATGTTCACTGCAGCACTATTTACAATAGCAAAGACATGGAATCAACCCCAATGCTCATTAGTCATAGACTGGATAAAGAAAATGTGGTACATATACACTGTGGAATACTATGCAGCTATAATAAATTGAGATCATGTCGTTTGCAGGGACATGGATGGAGTGGGAAGCCATTACCCTCAGCAAACTAATGCTGAAACAGAAAACCAAACACCGCATGTTCTTACATATAAGTGGGAGCTGAACAATAAGAACATATGGACACATGTGGAGGGGAACAACACACACTGGGGCCTGTCAAGGGGGGTGGTGGGGGGAGTGAGAGCATAAGGAAGAACAGCTAATGGATCCTGGACTTAATACCTAGGTGATGGGATGATCTGTGCAGCAAACCACCATGGAACACATTTACTTATGTAACAAACCTGCACATCCTGCACATGTACCCCTGAACTTAAAATAAAAGTTGAAGTAAAAAAATAGAAAAATATTTTTAATATTAAATTTAGTGTAGCCTCAGTGTACAGTGTTTACAGTAGTGTAGAGCAATGTCCAGGCCTTCACGTTCATTCACTACTAACTGACACATCCAGAGCAACTTTGTCCTGCAAGCTCCATTCAGGGTAAGTGTCCTATACAGGTCTACCATTTTTTTTTGTCTTTTATATTGCATTTTTACAGTACCTTTTCTATGTTTAGATATGATTAGAAACATAAATACTTACCATTATGTTATAATTGCCTATGGTATTCAGTACAGTAACATGCTGTACAGGTTTGTATCCTAGGAACAATAGGCTATACCATACAGCCCAGATGTACAGTAGGCTATACCATCTAGGTTTGTGTAAGTGCACTCTATGATATTCAAACAATAATGAAAATGAAATGCATTTATCAGAATGCATCCGTCATTAAGTGACACATGACTATATTTTGATTTAGAAAATGACATAAAAGAATTCCATGATGGTTGAAGAGTTGGCATAAGTAATCTCTTTACACATTTTCATGTAGTCCACATTCCCAAATCTTTTGATCTATAGTGTCCAAATGTAACATACAAATTATTTAATGGAAAAAAGTAATTAAGCGAGAGTCAAGAGAGGGGCTGGGCTAACTTTGAGCAATTCTCTTAAACTCTTTTGGATTAACTTCCTGGGTTATAAAATAAGGTGACTGGAAATATACTTCTCTTTGTAAGCTGTATTTTGGATTAAGGAGGGTGTGAGCAAGTTTGATTGTCTGCAGAACTGGGCCATTAAGAGCTAGTTCATAGGGGACTGGTATTAGTACAGTACTTGTTAGGAACTAAACAGTTGATTAATGTCTGTTTCCATGATCCTTACATAGAAAATTACAAGAGAGACAATTTTTCAATTGGGCCATTAATTGTCACCATGCCATGCTGTGTATGTCTCAATAACAAGTCACTTAGAGAGTGGTGTGCTGTTTTCCAGTGTCTTTCGAGCCAAAGTTCCAAGATGTCTTGGGTAAGAAAATTAGCCATCATGATTTCTAGACTTATTGATCATACCTCCTAATAATTAACAATACAGGAAGGAAGTACAGTTGGTTGGTAGAAAGCAAATAAAATGTAAAAGTATTGAAATAAATGATAGAAGAAAGTTTATTGAAATAATAACAGCCCCTGAAGTTTAGCAGATTAAGCCAGTACAATACATACTACGGAAATGAACAAAAAACCCTCCAAATTAAACAGAATTAAATAATTTAAACTAAATAATTACTGATTATTTAAACAAAATTAAATAATCACATGACCAGCGCCAGAAATCTCCAAGGACTTTCATTATTTGACAGAAATGGTGACCTATGAATTTTATACTAACTCAACTTGTTACCTGAGAGTTCAAAAGCAGGGAATAGGTTTTAAAATGCAAGAGAACCAAGGAATATGAGACCCATACTCCATAATAAAATCCAGAACATAAAACAAACAAAAATTGTATGTCTTACAGGCACTGGATTTGTTTTCATAAATATCAGTCTTTCATTCTGTCATTCTTTAAACAAAGATTTAGCTTTCTTTTCTGAATCAGGCATTATGCTGGGTGTTGGTGATAAAATAGCAAACAGTTCAGAGGAAGTACCTGTTGTCATGAAGCTTATATTTTCTCCACTGCAAAGGTAGTGGTGGAAATAAAGCGATAATTTACCATAATGGTAAACAACTAAAAAGAAAATAAAACATGGCAACTGGAATCATAGTGACTGACAATAAATATAGGGTTGGGAGGTCTTTTATATAAATAGTTAGAAAAGCATTTTGTAAGTAGGTGACCAGTGTGCCAAGGATACTTACTAATTACAGCATTAGTACATGTTCAAGTGGTCAAGAATTCATCAATATTTTATACATTCTGCTTTCAATTCCTGCTGAACTCTTCTGGGAATAAACTACTCAGAATTCTACAGTTCCATGGGTTTTTATTTCTCAGCACTTAGAGTTAACCTTCCTTTCATTTTTATTTGTCACATGACTCTTTCCTAAGTATTTTCATATACTGCGTTTTTGTCTTTTCAATTAGAATGAGAACACAATAAGGATATTTTCTCACCTTTTCACCTGTTGGATTTTGACATACTTAATATGGTTTTGTTCCCCATGAATAATCTACCATGCAAGTCACATATCTCCACTGCATTATGGTTTAACTCTTCTCTACCATAGTGACTCTTCCTCCTGAGCAAATAAACTGTTGGTAGACATAAAAATATTAGGTAAAATAAACATGTAACTTTGGTGTAAGTTTGGTGTCACTTTGGTGTAATGGGGTGAGTCCTGATTTTACTCCTTTACTAGCTGTGGTGACTTTAGGCAAATTACTTATCTTCCCTCATATCACTGAAATTTGCATATTTTCAGCAAGACTGATTTTCATTATTGTGATTACCTGAACCAAAAATGGTTTTGCCAGGACTTTCTTAATTTCTATTCTTTGCATGCCACAGAGTTGAGTTGGCCAAATGATAATGTGGCTTTCAGTGGAGTGGCACCCTTATACTATTGTCAGTTCTTGAGAATGAAAGACAAACCCACTCCATTATATTTCTACAATGGCAGAATTTATTTAAGTCACTGGATCTCCTGCTCTATTAAGACCTCCACTCCTATTGTCATTACCTTGGCTCTTTGTAACTAACTCTCTTTTGTCTCTTTCCCATCATTTCTCTTTTGTTCTTTTTGCTTTCTCATTCTCTCTTAAACGGTTCTCAGGTTTTGTGCAATTGATTGCTGATATGAGTGTTGCTTTTCACTTGGTGTGAGTACAGCAATTTCGGAGCATCAGGCTCAATCCTTCTTACTCTGAGTTTGGCTATTTTCACAGTTGCTATTAATAGATGTTCGCAAGTCATGTTTATGGAGCCAGAGTAGTTTGTTATTTTCTTCTCTTTTTCTTCCTTCCCTGTTTACATTCTTTACCTCCCTGTCTGCCTGTAATTCGGACGGTATCTCATTCTTTAGCCTTAACAAGTATAAAGTTTGACTTCCAGATAACTGAGGTGATGCTATATTTATCTATCCATCTATCTATAGCTCAGAAAAAAGCTTTAACCTCTTGTATATTTACATGCTAAAGAGATTTGCCATATAAAATACAGGATGCCTAGATAAATTTAAATTTGAGATAAATAATGGATAAATCTTTAGTGTATATTCCAAATATTGCAAAAGATATACTACAAATTATTTGTTGTTTATCTGAAACTCAAATTTAACTGTGAATCCTGTATTTTCATTTGCAAAATCTGGCAACCCTTAAGCACTTTTTGTAGGCCATACAAACATGTTTTTCAATTAAGCAATATTAACAATGATTGTATAATTTTAAATATTAAACCTATGTCAATGGTCCAATAAGATGATGTGAACAACACTTACTATGATTAGAAACTGCCAAATTTAATGTGACAAAATGTTTCACTAATATATATTATACTTAAATAACTATTTTCATTTTTATAATAATAGAGTATTATATAGTATTATTTCTTTTAATATAACCAATCTCTAATTCATTTTACTGAAATAAAAACAGACATTTGTTTATAAATATATAAAAAGCCAACATATATCAGCCAATAAACAAACTTATTCTAAAATTCTTGAAAATTGTATTGATTCACTTGAGCAACTGATAACACTGAAGCAAAACTAAATACAACAAGTTTGTAATGAGAACCAGATGCTGAATTTGAAGCAATTGAATGGGTAATGAACAACAAATCATGATATTGTACTCTTTCCAGAAAAGTAGTACTTATCATAGAACATTTTCACATATATTAACAGAAAAAGCTATTTTTACATAGAAGTTCATCTTTAAGCTATATCATTCATACATAAGAACTGTTTATTATGTGTTGTTGCACCTACCCAAAATACACACACACACACACACACACACACACATACAGCACTGACTGGCTGAAAGGCATTCTTTTCCTCAGTCATACACATTATAATGACCCCTAATGCAGAAGCCAGGCAAATATTACACATACACAGACACACCTAGATGCACACACATAGAGGAGCTTTTAATCAAGAAGTTTCATGCGCGAATAAAAACTTACCTTACTATTATATCAATCCATGTGTTTCTCTGAATTTAAATCAGGGTAACCTAAAAATTTGCTGTCATTTACTTAGTACGGTAAAGATATTGAAACTTACCAAGCTAATGGAAAAAGTTTTAGGTTAAATTATATTTATACCTAGCTTGATATTTTAAATTCTGACTTTCTAGGGAGACAGATATTGATGATAACTTTTGAGTTAGCATCGATTTAGATATTCACAGAGTTTGAGAACTTTCAAATACTTTAGAATTTATCTGATTCAAAGTTTTCATTTCATAAATACAATATATAGAGCATAGAACAATTGACAGGCTTGCTTAAAGTCAATCAGCTACTTACTGATGGAGCCAAAGGTAAGAAACAGTCTCCAGACTACTGTCTTAGTGCAATTTCCAATATTCATTAATATCTCTTTACTGAAAGGTCATGCCATTTACTACAAAGGGAAAAGGAGGAGGAATGTATGGTTGTGTATAGAGACCTACTACTCATTAAGGAAAGTCTATAATATCTTTCTTGAGGAAAAGTATTAATCTTATTCTCTATAGAATCCATTCACGACCTAAGAAGCATGAAATAATGTCTTAAATTCTGATTAATGTTAAGGCACAGCTAAGTACATATATCAATGACAAATAAAACTTGGGAAACTTTTAAGATAGAATTGAATAATCTTATGCCATTATGTTATAGTAACAGAGGATCAAGTAATATCACTTTGTAATACTCTGAAAATATAGATTTCATTTGCATACTATATTCAATTCCAGTATAGAATTTAAGTAAGAGCTCATAAATATTTAAATAATTGTCATGTAATAATGGAGTTTTTTAAAATTAAAAACTTGGGAACATTATAGAGAGGATTCAAATCTGGATAGAAACATGGGCTATCTAATCTTTGCAAAGTCCTCGGAAACCTTGAGATGCAATATTTGATGGGAACTGTATGTATGCATTCCTTTGTTTAAACCAATTGTAGGTTCATAAACCAATTACAGAAACATTTTTCTGCTCCTTGTGAGTATCCCAAATCATGAGTCTTCATGTTTTTAATTTCATTGTAAAATGGAGAGAGTTGAATGGCTCTGCTGATAGTGTATTAGAGGTGGTAGTATTCTTCAGAATATGTGCTGAGAATGAAGGTTTTACACAGTGTGTGGATTGAAGCTCTAAAAATAACTGAATATATATGTATGTATGTGTGTATAAAACCTTATTAAAAATGATTTTAGCTATGAAAAACTATACAATTTCAATATGGAAAAATTGATTTAAAAAATCTGAAAGATCACATGCACTTGCAAGCTCCCCTGAATATTTTGCCTTATAAAGTAGTCGGATTCCCATTTCTGGTGGTCTTCAAGAAGTAGCTGAATGACTTTGCTTTAAGAATAATTAACAATATAAATTGAATGTTTGTGTGACCCCAAAATTCATATGTTGAAGCCTGAATCCCCAGTATGATGGTATTTGGAGGTGGGGCTGCTGTGAAGTAAGTAGGTAATGAAGGTAGAGCCTTCATAATGGGATTAGTGCCCTTATAAGAAGAGACTCTGGAGAGATGATCTATCTCTCTGCTCTGCCTGTGAAGCTCAAGAAGAAGGCCACTGTCTACATGCCAGGAAGAAGGCGCTGACCAGACACTGGATCTGCCAGTCCTTATGTTGGGCTTCCCAGCCTCCAAACTGTGAAATAAATGTTGATTGTTTAAGCTACACACAGTCTATGGTGTTTTTGTTATAGCATCCCAATCTGACTAAGCATGATTTGTTTTTCATTGGCTGAGAGCATGCAATGGGGCATCTGGTCCCTCCTTGTCCCACAGTTATTTTTTTCTATAATGTTTGAATTAACAGTTGAGCTCTCACAGTCATATTAAGTTTGATGTCAATCCAATTTAAATGAAAACGGAAAATGGGGCAAAATTTCATGTAAACAATATCTAGCTAACTTCATTATCTTATTTTGTTTTTAAATAAAGCAAGCATTTAAGCAAAACTCTTTAAAAGCAGAAAGCCAAAGAAGTCTTTAAAATAATTATACTAAGAATTTTTAAAGTAAAAATAATGGAAATGCTAAATGCAGGTGTAGCTTTGATATGAATAAATTAAAATGCCAAAAGCATTTGTATGTGTATATATTCCAATTACAGAATTACTGTATAGTAATACTTAAGTTGCATCTGTGGACAATTTATAGTATATTTGGTTATCCTATGGAAACTATAAGACTCTAAGTCAAGCCCTAAGATATTTGTCTTATTCCTAAGGTGGGCTAAGGTGACAGTGATCATTTTACTTTGAAATATAAGAAGATATCTGATGTTAACAAAAATCTTGGGTATAAATACTTCACACAAAATTTTTCTAATTCATTTTAAGACTTATTTTTTCACTTTTACCTAGATAAATGAATTTCAGTCTTATAAAGAAGAGTCACATATTTTACCAAAACAATTAAATAGGTATTGGCTGTAGTGTCAAATTATGATTTACTGACACTGAGTTATGTTTTTATATTAAAATCACACTGCTTCACGTTTGATTAAAACATGAAATACTTTGAAATAAAGTATTTATTTATATGTGAAATAAAGTAAAATACTTTGTCTTAGGTAATTTCAAATGACGGTAGCTTTTTTTTCAAATAAATTATTTTCACATTAACCCTAGGTTTTGAGACATGACTACTTTAAAATTTATAATGAACAAGTCACTTATTTTTTTGACCCATTGAATGACATAAAAGCACAACTACTCCAATATAACCAGAAACAGATATCTTAATGATATTAATAAAACCATGGTAACATTTGACATATATGATAGGGAAATTGACTCTCCTGGGGTGCTTTTTCTTCCTTTTTTTTTGAGGTGGAGTCTTGCTCTGTCACCCAGGCTGGAGTACAGTGATGCGATCTCAACTCATTGCAAGCTCCGCCTCCCGGGTTGATGCCATTCTTCTGCCTCAGCCTCCCGAGTAGCTGGGACTACAGGCACCCACCACCACGCCTGGCTAATTTTTTGTATTTTTAGTAGAGACTGGGTTTCACCATGTTAGCCAGGATGGTCTTAATCTCCTGACCTCGTGATCTGCCCACCTTGGCCTCCCAAAGTGCTGGGATTAGAGGAGTGAGCCACTGCACCCAGCCCCTAGGGTGCTTTTATAAATGTACATAGACAGTTTTTCCTTATTAGACTATCAGACCATTAGAACACCTCACCTCACCTGATACAGTGAGTCAGGTAGTGAAAGATGTAGAAGACTACTAACTTTATTACCATAATAAGTTTCTTAGTAACAACAAACAAAATAAGAATGATTCTGTCTATTTCAGCTTTGACAGAATTAAAGATGTGTGGTTAAAAGTTTTCAAGATGAGAAAACACACAACAAAAGCACGAAATATACTAAAATTATGGTTAGATGACTAAATACATTTTGGTGGAGATACCTATGTAACTGTGAGTGCATTTAGATTAAGAAAATAAAGATTGCTGGCCGGGCGCAGTGGCTCACGCCTGTAATCCCAGCACTTTGGGAGGCCGAGGCAGGTGGATCACAGGGTCAGGAGATTGAGACCATCCTGGCTAACACGGTGAAACCCCGTCTCTACTAAAAAAATACAAAAAATTAGCCGGGTGTGGTGGCAGGCACCTGTAGTCCCAGCTATTGGGAGGCTGAGGCAGGAGAATGGTGTGAACTCGGGAGGCGGAGCTTGCAGTGAGCCGAGATCGTGCCACTGCACTCCAGCCTGGGCGACAGAGCGAGACTCTGTCTCAAAAAAAAAAAAAGAAAAGAAAGATTGCTAAACAAATGCCCCCCCCAAAAAAGGTCTGGCATATTTTCTCATCTTTCTATTACTATCCTTCCTCTAATGATAACTATACTGATATGGGTTAATTCATTTTTATTTTTGTTCTAAAATGTGGAAAAAGAACATTGTACTTGGATGTTTATTTTCTCATTACTATTGAAAATTAGCTTACAAAAGGTTCTCTGAACTGTATAAGTTTAGATTCCAATTCAATGCCTCTAATTTAATATAAAATATTCAATTTTATATCATATATTTTCATAGCAATATTATTTTAATGGATGCCAATCTAATTTCCATTTCATTTTCCATTTCCTTTTCTTTGCTCCTGAACTAATGAAAAGTGTATTTAATACACTATGTAATAATACAAAAGGGACTAATTATATTTTGATAACAGACTGTCATTTTATAGCTCCTTTTCTTTATCATTTCTGCTCATACCAGTTAAAAACACAGCACTTGTTAATCCCCAGTAGAAATTACTAGAAATGGTCTCAGAGAGTCTTCACTTTAAAGGTTAACCAGAATCTCATTCAGTCTTTGCTGCCTGCCTGCTGAAAGTAAAGTATGCAATAGCCACATGCTATAATCTTTTATGCTTTTTAGTACTTAGAATTTTACAGAAAGCTTCCATGTGTAATATCTCATTTAATCCTCACAACTACCCAAATAATATGAAATACCACTGTATAGATGAAAAAAATGAAACATAAAAACTTAGATAATGATTTTTCTAAAGGTACACAAGTACCTAAAGGGATTCTCAATCATCTTCTCCATTTGCCTAGCCACTTACATAATGAAATGTGCTTCCCCATCATATTTCATCATTCTCATCATATGTGCTGTATATCTCAATATACCAAACCATGGCATGTCTGATAATCCACAGCATATTATCTAATGTTAGTCTACCACAATTATTTACATGGCATTGGTAAAAAAAAAAGGTGATGAAAATATTTCTTACACTGGGTTGTTTGTTTATGGTATTTTCTTGCATGCCTAAAGTAGTTTACGACGAATCTTTTTCTTTTACAAAGGCAATAAGTTGTAAATCAGAATACATGTGCATTTTTTAACCTTTGCCAACTAGTCACATCTTATTTAACATTGCTAAGCCTCAATTCCCTCTTCTGAATAATGAAGAGGAAGAAATTTTAAAATGTCCTTCTAATTTATAAATGCCATGTCTATGCTGAAAATTATACATAAGAATAGTTAAGTTTGGGGGGGATTCAATGAACTGATTTGAAGAATAATTGGAGACAAAAAAGAACATATGCATATACAACATATTGGAGGCTACTCCAGTGATTAGCCATGAAATGACAAGAGTATACATTTATAAGGGACAGTTATTAACTGCAAGTGCAGGTGAAGGAATGAATAAGAGTGATTTTGGACAAGGGTCATGATAGCTACTGGTGATTGATTCTGATTCAACACAGAACATAAATTAATATTAGAGTCAAAGGTGTGTTCCATGTTAAGTGGAATAGTGGGTCTAGATTGAAATGAGGAAAGTAAAGAATATACCATCTAAAGAAAAAGGTGGTGAACATGGTTGGGGATATGCTAAGTTTTAGGTGAAAGTAGTAATATGAATTCTAGACCATGGGACTAAATTTAAGGCTAGGGATACAGACCTAAAAATTATCAGAGTAGAAGTAACAGGTATAGACTTAAGAGGGAAGAATCTCTCTAGAGTGAGAGAAGAGCAAAGTTAGACTTCAAGCTTCTGCAACTCCAAGTTATTTGTTATAACAGACCATGGTCACTGGGAAGCAGATAACTGCATTGCTGGAGCAATGGTCTTGTATGGTTATGGGCACAACTATGGGTACTGAAAAGACCCACCTCTAGCCTAATAGTATACCTGATCTGGTGGGTTTCTCATAATTCCCAGTCATCTTGGAGCTCCAAACTTCAGGTACTCTATGACAAAAAAAAAGAAGGCACTGGGAGCCATTTCTTCACTCACTTTTACCAAAAGCATGTCTCTGTATTCTGTATTGATAGCTTCTTGTTTATTTCAAAAGGAATTCCAAATGAAAACAACTTTAAAGTTCAAAACTTCATCAATCTTAGAACCTAACCAAACTGAATTGGTTTATCGTAACTCACTTCATGTTTATCTTTTTAAATCTTCACTTGCTTTGTATTTTATAGTGGTTAATCAATGTCCTTGGAGGAATGAAGGAACTAAAAAGAAGACCACATATTTGAGAAACACTCATAGTTATGGAGGGGTAAAGAGCATAAATCAATGAAAGAAATGGAGAAAAAATCATACTATCTTCATAGGCAGTGATAATAGCTAGCAATTTTTCTTAGCTATCAAGTAGGAGAGTTGTTTTGCACAGAATGCATGTTCAAAAAAAAAAACACCATACTGCTGAAAGTTAGAAGCTATATCAATAAATTCAGGTCATGCAGTTATATTTTTGAGGGAAAAGCCAACATTTCAGTACCACAAGCATAACTCTGATTGGAACTGGTTAGCTCTCTTTACTTAGAGCATGACACTAATAACATTAAGGAGGTGGATACAGTGCAACTAAGCTGTCCTGTGTGCAAACTCTAGAACAGTGCTTCTCAATTTTACCATGCCTATGGAGCACTGGGGTATCTTGACACAGCCAGAGATTCCGCATTTCTGATAAGCTCCTAGGTCTTAAAGTTTCCAGAGAGAACACAGCTTAAATAATAAGCCTCTAGCTGATTGTTCCACATATGCATGACCCTGGTAATAACAGATGTGTGAGAGAATGCCAGTAGCTGGCACTAATTCAATATTCTCTGAATTTAAAAATAAAAAAACACTGCAGGTTCAACTGATGCAAGTAGGAAAGAAAGCATATTAGTTGATATGATGGAAGAATGAGCAAGTTTATGTAACTTCTCAAGCTACAGAATTCATTTCAAAGGCTCTATTTTACTAAGAAATCTGGTTCAATAAAGGCTATAGTACATAATTTATCTCCAGTGTTATTTTAGGTAGTTATTTACACATCCCAGAATGTGACTCAACTGCCCATTTTTAAGTATATGTCATTTGCCTCTTGTTAGGTTTACATATAATTTACTTCCTCAGACCTCTTGTCTCCCATGTAATATTTCATTGAATTGCTATTAACCTTTATCAGTGGCAATTACTACTTCTCTTTGGCTTTCTTATTTATTTTCATCTTTTTTTTGGTTCTCTTTTCTCTAGTCACATGTAATTCTGAGATTGTTCATTAGTTATGTGAAATTGTGAGAAGAGGGAAAGTAGTTGACAGAAAGCATACACAGCAAGTGCCAAGAGTTGTGAGGAAAGATTTCATTCATATCCTAAAGGGAAGGATGATATTCCATGTTTTATCTTACTATGCATAGGAAAACAACGCCCTCTCTAGGAAGACCACCAAGAAGCTCACACTACTAATACATGAGAATGGAAATTTCTTCGTAATTCTAGGCCCTTAAAAGATAAGTATATATAACAGATTAGAGATAGAATAACAAACCTACCTGACCAAGAAAGCGATTACATTTCTGCAGGTACCCATCGGAGTCAATATGTGAAACTTTGCATCAGGCTTATTAGACAAGCACAGATAGAAGGTCTATAAAGGCAGTAGATATTACATGCTTAATGGAACATATGAGGTAAAATATATGAGAACTAGAAGGTGACTGTCTGCATGGAATTAGCAAACAAACAGTAAAGGTAGTGAAAATCCAACTATTCCTCCTAAGAATTCCTTTGGGAGAATGTCTACAGCCTCAAATATGGTACCTAAGACTCTTGCTGATCTGATCCCTGCACACTTACTCATGCGACCTCTGACTCTGACCTTGCTTTACACACCCTAGCCTCTAGTCCTGACCAACTATTTGTAGTTCCACAAATGCCGCTTTGTGTATTTATTCCTCCACTGCACACAGGTCAGAAATATTCTTCCTTTTCCTATCTGCCCAGTACATTTCTTATTATTAGAGATTCCACTTGAGAAGCATGTATTTTGTGATCCTGTCTCCAAAAAAAAAAAAAAAAAATTCACGGAAAGTCAACTACTTCTTCCACCCTGTTCCATAGCATCTTGCTTTTGTAATTACCTGGGTCTTATGACAATGCAATAATTATTATATGTCTGTCCTTCTCACTGTACTATGAATCCTTCTGAGTCCCATCTCAGAAATGAAACAGTATTATCTGTTAGTATTCCTAGAACCTTGAATATTCACAGTATTTCCATAACCTTGAACACTCATTCATTCACTTATTGCTCATCAAACACTCACAAATAAGTTTAATAACTGTTTACAAATAATTAAAATCCTTATGGTAACCAATCACTAATTTGATATTATCTTTCGAATTTAGGATTTTCTACTTTCAATAGTTTTCTTCTCTTAGGATTGCTCTTTGAAAGCATAGCTTTCCTAGGACATCTCACTAGTCCAGGCCTTATAGTTTCATAGCTGGATTAAAACCTTATTTATTTATTTATTTTGAGATGAAGTTTCATTCTTGTCACCCAGGCTAGAGTGCAATGGCGCAATCTGGACTCACTGCAACCTGTGCCTCCTGAGTTCAAGTGATTCTCCTGCCTCAGCCTCCTGAGTAGCTGGGATTACAGGCACCCGCCACCACGTCCAGCTAATGTTTGTATTTTTAGTAGAGATGCGATTTCATCATCTTGGTCAGGCTAGTCTCAAACTCCTGACCTCAGGTGATCTGCCCACCTCAGCCTCCCAAAGTGATGGAATTATAGGCGCAAGCCACCATGGCTGGCCTAAAACCTTATTTTAATTGTTACCTCTTTGCATAGAGTCCCTTCCCATGGTCAATCCCATGCATAATTTTGAAGGTAATATTCCCT
The DNA here is from genome assembly GCF_000001405.40 of Homo sapiens. Taxonomy (NCBI): domain Eukaryota; kingdom Metazoa; phylum Chordata; class Mammalia; order Primates; family Hominidae; genus Homo; species Homo sapiens. Next base: position 88,330,183 of record NC_000008.11, on the reverse strand, counting down.
GGATACCTATTCATATTTAGAATGGTTTAGCAACCCTTGTTTACCAATTTGAGCAAATGTTAACTCAATATTTCATTACAAGTCCCTCTCCATACCTGTCCTCCACAAATACACTATTTTTCTTGTCTGAGCACATGCTTTAAAAAAAGAAAGAAAGAAAACCAAGTTGCTTATGGTGAAAAATCCCTCCTTACTGATAGTTTTGCAGTGCTCAACTTGCACTCCATGTCCTTGATACAGTCTTCTAATATTTGGCTCAGTTAGCAAGGACATCACCATTTAGCACTGTTTTCTCATGAACGTCTTTGGTAAATAATTTTTACCTCCTCCTCTTCAATAGTATCTCAAAGACTAGGAACTGAGTTTAAACATTTTTTTTGTATCATTTTCCCTCTCTAATTTTGCACTTTACTAGATATAATGCACACATAAAAATCATTCTTGATTTATTGACAAATACTTCACTACATTTCGTTACCTTATATTGGCACAGAACACCATATAAATTCTATATAATGACATTACTTTCATGTTGCCTTCTAGCTGTTTCTTTTATAAAAAATCATCTCAACCTATGGATTATAAAATTGCTAAGAGCAGGAATGAATTTCCATTTGGAAAGTCACTGGAGTATAGCAGGAAAATCACTGAACTGGGAGTCAGGAAACAAAAGTCTGAACTCTGCCACTTGTATGGTTTGCTGGAACGTTATATTTTATTGCTATCATTTACTTCATCTGTAAAATAAAAACAAAATCCTCAGAGATGGTGTGAGAATTAAATGAGATACTATGTCTGGAAACATTCTGAATATTCTAATGTACTATACAATATAAGACATTGCTTTTTATTACATCTTCAAAATTATTTTGTGGGCAGCACATGCTGGGCACAAGGCAGACTGTCAGGAAGGTCTCCCTGAGAACTTCTTGGGTCTTGGGTCAAGTTGGGTGGGCATTTCTTACATTTTTACAGCAACAGCTGCAAAGTCCCATTCCTCAGCCTTTTTTTCTTTTATTGGATAAAAGTTATTGCAGTCTAATACAATTTTTGGCAAACCATTCTCAGAATTTTCCATCTGCTTACCACATAGGACCTCTTGTAGTCCTGCTTCTTGCCTTTCCAACTCACCCATGAAATTTGCCTTGTCAATTCTCTCTTCCACCTCACCGAGGTAGCTGTCATACCTGGAACACTCTTTATTCTTAACCTCGCCTGCTTTTCTTTCCCGTGGGCTCCTCTTCCCCTCTGCTGGCTGCCAAGGAGAAGCACATTTACTGGCATTAGCCCCCAAACAGATGCTTGCCTCGCTCCCTTCCCCCTTCCTCTTTCAGCCAAACCATCACTTGCCAAGGGCTGGTGGTTGCTGCCCCCCCTGTCCACTGCCTCGCACTGCTACAGCTCCAGTCCTTTCTGGCAGCCTCCTCTGAAGTTCCCTGCCCGCGTTCGCCCGTGCTTCTTGCCAGCCGCCTCCCCCTCTTGCCTGCAGCTCTCCTAGCTCCCGCCAGCCTCTCCCCCGCTCGGTCTGCGAGCAGCCTCTTCCTCCCGCCCTTGCCAGCTGCTTTACTCGCCTTTCCTCAGGCTGCTTCTTCTCCTTCTTTCCCCAACCCTTCCCCTGGCTCCCGCAGCCGGTTTCTTTCCAGCGCCCCCATCCCTCTCATCGGATGTTTTGTTAACACCCAGGACCATCTCTCCCGGGTCCCACTGTGCGCGTGTGTCCACCGTTCACTTGGAAAGTGAGCGTTTTCATCCCGCTTCTGTATTTGTCTAGTCCGCCACCAAAACCCTGTGCCTACTCCTCAAGCCTGGAAGGCGGAATGTAGCTATGGTAGAGGGGATTCAGGAAGACACCAGGCCACAGGCTCGGGACCCCAACAAAGTTTTGGACGTTCGGGATTTGCTATCTCAGTCTTCCCAAACTTGGTCAGCCCCGGCCACCGACCCGAGCCACCCAGGGGCGCTCAGTGACCAGGCGCTCCTCTGATTCCCAGCGCCCCTATTCTTCCAGGGCCGCTTCCTCAGGAATGCCGACCGCTCTCCAGGACCAGGGTTGGGCCGCTCCCCAGGCCCCACTAGGGTCCGCAGCCTGAGCCCCACCCAGCTCATGGCTGGAGAGGGGCGCACTCGTTTTTAGATGCGAGGCGGCAGGGTGGGCGGGAAGAAAGAATGGAGCCGCCCAAGTTCCTGGGTGCCTGCCTCGGGGATGCGGGATGGGAGATACTGTCGAAGAGCTGTGCTCAAACCAGGGCCCTTGTCGCGGGCTGGATACCTCCGGTGCGCCCTACCGTAGTGGGGAATCCTTTATGAGCCGTCTCCTTTAAGAAGCGCGCGTGCGTGTGTGTCGGGCTGTGTGTATGCGCGCGTGTGTGTGTGTGTGTCGCGGTGTGTCTCTGTGTGTGTGTGTGTGTGTGTGTGTGTGCGCGCGCGCGCGCGCGCCAAGGGCCCCGAGAGCCAGGCAGACCCCGGGAAGGAGGAGTTATGTAGATTACGGATGAACATTCTGGAGGGGAGCGAGGAGAGGAGGGAAGGAGAAGCAGAGGCGAGAGAGTGAGGAGCGGCGGAGGCCCTTCCCGCAGGAGCTGGGGGCGGCGGCGGCGGCGGAGGAGGAGGAGGAGTAGGCAGTGCAGGAGGAGGACGCACGGGCTGGAGGCGGCGGCGGCGGCGGCGGCTGCTGCTGCTGCGGCTGCGACTAGGCTCTTTGAGCCGGAACCGCCGGTGAACTTAGGCGCCACGTTCCCGGTGACTGACCCCGGAGGATGGTGAACAGGAACTACTGCTGACCCTGTCTTCGCCGCTGCCTCTCGGGGGCTGCCGAGCGCGGGGCCCCTGTCTCCTCCCCTTGCCCGGCTGTGGGTGAACCTGCAGGCTCCTTACCCACCCGGAGGACTTTTTTTTGAAAGGAAACGAGGGAGGGAGGGAGAGGGAGAGAGGGAGAAAACGAAGGGGAGCTCGTCCATCCATTGAAGCACAGTTCACTATGATCTTACTCACATTCAGCACTGGAAGACGGTTGGATTTCGTGCATCATTCGGGGGTGTTTTTCTTGCAAACCTTGCTTTGGATTTTATGTGCTACAGTCTGCGGAACGGAGCAGTATTTCAATGTGGAGGTAAGAGTGCGAGGGCTTTCTTCCTCCCCCCGCTGCCTGGGCTGCTCCCTGAAACATTTCCTTCACTCCTGGGATCCTTGTAGCTCAGAGCAGCCTGGGTCCCAGCACGTTGTTTCCCTTCCAGCTGTGGAGACCCTGGTTCAGTTTAAGGGTGTTTTAGGTGACGGATGCGTGTGAGACCCAGAATCCGTTATCCCCGGCAGCACAAAGCACGATGCTGCGCGCTCAAAGACACAATTGTAGCCGGTCCATGCTTTTCACCCAGGGAAGAGAAGTCCTACATATAGCAACCGTGTAGCTAAATAAGGCAGCTTGAGTTTATGATGGATAAACAGCTCGGGGAAGACAGAATTAATTCCCTGGCATCATGTGCTGCCTAGGTATTGTTCCTGAAATCTTTCTCCCAGTGTTTGGTGCCTAACAAAGGAGGTTAAAAATCAAAGAATCTAGAGGAGAGCGTGGGAACACTAGATGTGTTTAATAACATTACTTTGTGATAAAACACTTGAGAATCTTTTTTTTTTTCATTTAGACATAACTTAATACACTGTAACTAGATCTGGCTACACAGAGGACATGAAATCCATCTCTTTTTAAGTGTCTTCTTTCCCCCTCCCCCGCCAATTGAAAATAAACGTGGCCCAATGTAATAGTTTTGAGGTGTGTTTTTAATTTGATTTCACACTCTCGTGGCAAAACGGGGAGGTTTTAGACTGTCATTTGCTTTACTTTGATAGCTTTGGGAACAGACGGCACAAAGCAAAAGGGAACTTAAGGATAGGGACTTGTCAGACCTCTGCCAAAGTACTCTTCCTGTCATCAAGTCAGCACTGAAGCCAGTAATGTGCAATAAATCAATGAAAGCGTGTATACACCTGGGCTGTAACACAACTTTATCACATATACGGTGGGATACAAAGCCAGTAAGAGGGTCTTAGTAACATTTACTTCTTTTGATTAGATCTGATGTCCTCTGAACTCTCAAACGAATTATGAATAATTTTTTAAGGAATAATGTGATTTTTTTTCTTATATTGTTGATATTATGAAGCTTATTGTCATTTTGCTGGGAGTGTGTGTTTACACAATAGCAAGACCTGTTGCACAGTATTTGAACATGCTTCATGTAACCAATTGATACACAGAGTGTGCATAATAAATGCCATGTGTAAAGGCATATTCTGAATATAACTGTGTTTATAGAAACTGTTCTTAGGACTTCATGTAATAAGTCATGGTTAGTACAAAAAAAGTATTTGAAAAAGTAAGAGCTATTATCAAGAGTTAAAGACCTTCACAGATATTAAGTATGAATAAATTACACAAAAAAAACCCAATTTGAAAACTAAAAAGGTTTAACCCTTTGAAAAATACAACTTTATTTTTCTAGATAAAAAGAGAAAGGGGCTTGAAAGTCCAGACTTTTTTTATTGCAAATTTGAACTTTTGGAATTACGTGCCACAGATGGATTTTTGTACCTAACATTTAAATCAAGAGATAATTTAATGTTGAAATGAAGGATTAGTTCATAGGCTGGAGGAATTAAAGTGGCAAGCTGTTATTTATAATGTTATAAACAGAAGGGCCTATTGCTTCAGGTTGGTGGTGATGGTGGTGAGGTGGAGTGTGTGGGAGGTGGTAAAAGTAAGTGCAAGGTTGTGTCTTTCTGAATAAGGGAAGGGAAGGACAGCCTGGATTGATGGTTACCTGCTTTAGGAAAGTATTAGATTTGCTTTCAGAGGTTAGGATAACATGAGTTTTGATGATTATTAGATTTTTTGTGAGACTAAACATAAAAGATTGTATTTCTTTATATTGGAATCCCTCAGTAAGTTCAGATATTATTATGCAAAAAAGTTATGATTGTACTAACAAATTTTATTTAATTTTGGATTCCAATGACCCCTTCTCTTTCTTCATTAAGATGTGTGGGGAAAAATGGTTTATGGAGAAAATAGTTATTTTCCCATTTTTAGAGGATTTAAATTATTCTAGTCATATTTATTACACAGATTTAAGCCTGACAGATAAGTCATGTGCCATCTCAGACCTTTAAAATCTTGCTTAATAAAATGGGAAGTTTTTCATGGTTTAGAGCAGATTATATGCCTTAGTTTATGTTATCCTCAAATAGTATTTTTAAGCTCTTGAGCTCATTTTGGTTGGATTTATAAGCTTCTTTATGTGTAATGATACCCCCCCTTTTTTTTAGATTGTAGGAGTAGCTGCTAGTGAAATGGAAATATTGTCAAGAACACAGAATGACGGGATGTTTTCTGACATAAATTTCTGCCTGATTCACTTCTATTTGACTTTTTTTTGATAGGAAACACTAATGGGAAGAATGGTCCATCACTTCCTCTCCAGAAGAGGCACTTACATTGTGTTCCTCATTCTGGTTGCAAAACATACACACTGGGAATGTTTTATTTGATTGATTCTCAAGGATAGTCTTAAAATAAACAGTAATGATATCAGTCATGCATGAAGCTCATATGATCATAAAATTTTTTTTCAGTAAGCACAGAAAGTTTTTATAGTTGGAACAAAGCTTCAGGGGGATGCTTTTTATGCTGACAACTAAGATTACATTGCTTTATTCATCACTAAACTTAACAATTTGTGGTCCCCCCATTCTTTTTTATCTCTGTGATTTAAGGTTTAAGACTGTATATTTTTCCCAGGGAAGTGGGGGATTTGAAGAGGGTGGTTGGCTAGAGGTATTCATGTTAACTCTTTCCTGTCTGATTTTTAAGGGTATAAATATTTGGAGTTGTCAATTATCGAAGTGAGAGATATTTTTAATATGGTGATGAAATCCTGTTACAGAAAGAGAGTGCATTTGGTTTTGCTTGGTTAGCTTGTTTTTTAAGAAGCAAAAAGGAACATCTCTTACAGCTAAGAAAGGGTCAGACACTACCAGGAGTAGTACTATGGAAGAGATTCAATACACTGCTCTACTTTCATTTCAAGTGGAACACTTTTATTGTTAAGTTTTCAGTATATACTCACTTAGGTAAAGATATCCATATATCATTGGATCCCTTTTTTAAGAGTTGGTCTTTCAGTATGTGATAATTAGCACGATGCAAGGGAACATTGCTAATATTAACTAAAAGTCAAAAACTGTTGTCATTGGACAGCAGTCTGAATCAGAGGTGTTCATTGGTCAGAAGCAGCTAAATTATTAACAAATAATTATTAATGTCTACTGTCTTAAAAATCATTTTGTTCCTAAAATAGCTATCTCATATAGGGATTTTCATGATCCTGTGGCTTTTTTTTTTGGTATGCTGTGAGCATTTTTGTTATGAAATTTGAGACAGAACATAGTTCATGATAGTAATACCTCTCATATCGTCAACTCTGAATAGTTTGTCAGATATTACTTATGTGAACAGCATATTCCTTATCAATTTCTAAACAATAGCATACATTTCCAGGGAGGAAAAAATTTTCAAGCTGATTTAGTGGTAAAATAAAAACATATAAAATTCTAAATGATGCATATATCAAAGCATAAAATGATTACTCTTTTGTGACAAAAAAAGTCTTGATAAGGCAAAAATTGATTTTGTTGTTCCTGATTAAAGAAAGCAGAGATATTTTAGATTTCAAAGGGGTCTTTTATGACAAATATGAATTGAGTATAACTATTTCCTAAATTTTTCTTGCAATATATTTACTTAACTGATTTAAGATTTATTCAAACCTTTGTCAGGTTTGCCTGCATGTACCTAAAAAGTCAGAGTTTGCATTGGGTACTTTTGTATTGCATATAAATTTGGTAATAATTAATCATGAGACATTTCAGAGATAAAAATTATATTTTATAGAATTTTACATTCTTATGTTGGGACACTGTTGCTTTTCTCTTGTTCTTTGCTTGCTTAAAAAATCAAGATGCATTATTTCATTTGGACATGGAAGAATGGTGGTACCATGCCTTCTTGAGTAAAGGTTGTCTCCTGAATATAGCCTATAATTCTCCACTGTAGCAGTTTCTAACTGGTCAACAACAGGGGCTGTATGACTGATTCATCAAGATTTTTATGTACCGCAAGATTGCAGGTTTAACAAAACGTCTCAAATATGCTGGCTGTTTAGGGTGCTCATAAGGGCCCAAAGCTATGATAAGGAGAACAAGAGTCTCAATTGTTTTAAGGTTCTCTAGCTTCTCCTACATGTTCTACCTTGACTATGCCTCTCTGTTCAGAGTTGCCTGGGCCGGATCACTCAGGTCTATGGTTATTCATGAAACCATTACATGACGTGATCATAGCTCACTACAGCCTCAACCTCCTGGGCTCAAGCAATCCTCCCACCTTAGCCTCCTGAGTAGCTGGCACTACAGGCACATACCACCATACCCAGCTTTTTCTTTTTTCTTTTTTTTTTTTTAATTTTCATTGAGACAAGATCTCACTATGTTGTCCAGGCTGGTCTCAAACTCCTGAGCTCAAGTGATTCTCCCTCCTTGACCTCCCAAAGTGCTGGGATTACAGACATGAGCCACCACATCTAGCCACATGTCATTATTATTAATAGAAAATAAAGGTCGATAAGGAAGTAATTGGCACCATAGCATCTAATGACATAAACATCTATCAGGTTAGGACATATCAATTGGTATAGGAAGATTTTATTTAAACACCTTTCCATTTATTAAAAATATAATGTACTGAAAATCAACCAAGCTAACATCAGTACATTTTCTTCCCGTAGGTTTTTCTTAGACAGTTTAGTTCAAGAATGTGATTTTCACATTTTGTCATGTCATCTGTTACTATCATAGAATATCAAGTTCAGCTCACACCTTCTTTTACAACATCACGTTCGCTGAAATCTGTTCATCTTTTCTAATGCCATAGAAAATAAATAGGCCTTTATAATTCAGTAGGCCTTTTTATTTTAATTGGATCAAACCCCAAGTGCTTCCTTTTCATAATATGGGTAGGATTCAATAAGAAACTTAAGCCAGCTCTGTTATACCTCAGATTCTGAACAACAACAAAAAAGTTTTTCAAAAATTATGTATAGGGAGGGATAAGAATTGACTGAAAAAGAAATTAAAGTGTTTTCTACAATAGTAAAAAATAGTGAAAAACATATCGTGTCCATATAACATTGGGAATGGCAAGATAGCTAGCAATGTGGTGTAATTGAGCACTGGGGGAGAAGTTGAAGGAAGTGGGCTTTAACTCAGGTTCTTTTGCTAACCTGGCTTTGAACTTGGACATGTAACTTATTTGATATCTCATCTGCAACAATGAGATGTGAACTAAACTGTCACTAAGGCCATTTCCAAATTTGAAATTTTATAGTCGTAAGCCTAGAAGCTTTAGTTTATGTAGCCAAAGGGGATGGGAAATGCAATATTGACCCTGTAAATTTGGTAACTACTGAATCACAAAGGTAGATAGTTCAGATTTTTTTTCTGAAATAAATGTCATGAGGAAATACAGAATGTGTAACTTAAATCTAACATGTGTTATCATCTGTAGTTCCAAAGGATGTTCCATTTTGGAAATCATCGTAGCCTTCTGCTGAGTAGTAAATACATTGGCAGCAAATGATACGTAATTTTAAAATCTAGTTTTGGCCAAGGTAGCAAACCTTAAAAATTAATTTAAAAAATATAATTTAGTGCCATTTTGAGAAACAAATATCATCTACAAGTGGTAATTCAATCATAAAAAGGCAAGTTGGAATAAGTTCAAAATCTTAAGTTTTAACAGTTTTTGGGAGGGAGTGTCTCAAAATTTAAATCTGTCTCTCTGTATATGTATACAAATATACACATATTTTGTAGTGAAATTAAGTGCTTATACTGTATTCTCCATTTGCCCATTGTGGGAAATAATTTGGGCATGTGTTCTTTGAGGATTTTTTTGTTCTTCACCACATATTTGATTTTGAATATGAAAAATCAGATTGCATTTATTTTATAAAATATGTAGTTTATGTGAACAATAAAAAATTCCATACTAAAAGGACAGAATGCTAAGTAATGATATATGGGACATTCACATTTTCTTTTGCCTTATTTTTCTTTTACTTGGGGAAGTTATTTATAGATTTTGAGGTTCTTCATGAAACCATATTTGATTGTTGTTTCCTGTCATTTAGCACTCTGAATTGATATTTTTTGCTTGGTGTTTCACCACAACTGTTTGGCATTGTGCATCCTTAGTTTTGGATAGTGGCATAGCTTGATGAGCCACATGACAGAAGCTGAGCCGAGAGAGTAAGTGTAGCCCCTAACCTTTGATTAAATGTGACCTCTTGGTGTAGTATATAAAAAGAGGCTAGAGGGAGCTATTGAGCTGCTTAAAGACTCCAATGGCTTGGAAGAACTTGGTTTAAAATCAAGGACAGATACTAGGTGCAATCAGATGTTGCAAAATGAATCATAGCCAATTGTAGATTTTGAAGAAATCAATGAACACAGTTCACGATTTAAGATGTAACCTGGTTTACTGAGGGCCTCTTGGCACCAGTGATTACATATTTGATGAACTAAGAAGGAAATTAGCACTTTAGGGAAAAATGTTCTGGGCATGGCAGTATAACAAAGAATATTATAATGCAGGAATGCTTTACATTTCTCTTATTTTTAGGTGTGTAATAGGTCAAAAACTATACATTGTAGTGACTAGGTGTTTTTGGTGTTCCTGTTTTAACTAAAATAACTAATGAAATAATTGTGGTTTTATAGATTAGAGGTGGAATAAATTTAATTTGATAATGCCTTTTAGATTATGTGTAGCAAAAATCCAATTTTAAAAGCTCACGAGACTAAAGTGATTTTAATTTCTAATGTTTACCATGAGTCCTTATTGAATAAATACTTTTCAATGAAAGCAGAGTTTAAAATCCAGTTTCTACCTATTCTTCCTTTTAAAAATATGTAAAAAACGATCCACAAAAGTGTGAAACAGTGTGGTTTCTTTAAATAGGAGCCTAAGAAATGTTTTTAGTTGAGCAGATTATTATTTGACCTCTGGTAGAGGTTGGGGGATAACAAAGGCACTTGCTAATGCATTAGGGCATGCCAGCATTTAATTAAAATATTATAAGCTTCTCATAAGCATCACTAAGTTTTTTGTAAGTTTTTTAATCTAGTCACTTAAGTGAGATATGGATTATTGAAGTAAGTCATGGACCCTGAGAACAGATAAATGTTCTCAAGAGAGATAGTCCTTAGAGTGATGTATTCAAATGACCAAAGAAACCCAAATAAACTATTCACTGAAACGGAATCTTATAGTATTTGTTTTAGCCCCGTTTAAGTTAAGGAGGAATAAACTGCCATTTTTTAGGGTAAGCTGGATACTTTTATAAACTTCATTTCATGTCCCTAAATTGCTTGCACCTGATGTGATGTCAATGGAATGTAGACATGTGCCTCTGCATGCGGCTGATGGAGTCAGACCCCGAATGATGTCAGTGGGGGCATTTTTCCGTGGGAACTTTTCACAGTTGAATTCCTACCATGTGTTGGTAATTTCTCATTGTTTATAATAATTAGAAATTTGTTTTTATTTTAGGTTCTAATGTCTGTGCATTCATTCCTTCTTTACTCTCAACAGTTGCAGTTCCTTTTCTCACGCTCTACTTGCTTCATCTAGTTGGCATCTTAGGGACTTCATATTTTAGTTACTTTGCAGGACCCCAGGCTTAGAAGTTGGGAAAAATTATGAAAAGTCACATTTTTACCCCTCCCCTCTGTCATCGTTAATAAAGTAAAATAGTTTCAAATAGCTTAGAGAAACAAATGTATACTTGATGGTTTATATAAAATTGAGAACAAACATAGAAAAGTCAAGAGCACTACTAAGATATGACTAAAATCCTTTTTGGAGGTTTGGGTATTCCTTGTATTACAGTAGTGCTACTCATATAACTCATTGTTTTGCCTATGTATGATGGACTGAGTGAAGTTGTTTGCTCCATGGGTGACTCAAGCAAATTGCTTAAGTAGTCTTTGCCTTGTTTGGGCCATTTATGTAATGGATATGTGATCTTTATTGCCTGTCTGTAGCGTGGATTTTATAATGACAGCATCCAGACACTGCCAAGCAGTCTCCTTTATAAGTAGGAATAACATGGTGTCTCAGTCCCTGAATTCCCGCTGATGACTGGGAGCATAGAAACACCTACATTCTGCCATTACATTCTGATTAAACAAAGGTCCAAATAACCAGCAACATGGAAATACCATTTGAACACTGAATCTTAATTATAATAAAAAACAATGTTAATTAACATTGGTTAAACACATGCTATGTGCCTAATAAGTGTTCTAAATGTTTCATATATAAACGCATTTAATTCTTATCATAATCTTGTGAGTTGGTATGACTATTTCTGTTACACAGTGTTGGATCTGCAACACAGGGTTTGAAGAACTTGCCAAGGTTATATTGCTATGAAGTGCTGAAGTGGGATAGCCTAAAATCAAAGCAGACAGGCTGACTGTCGTACCCAGGCTTCCAAACGAATAAATACAGGTGAGAATTAACTTCCAGGTTCCCAGTATGGATAATTTGATCCAGTTCCATTACGAACATCGTTTGTATTCCAAACTAAAATGATGTAACTAATATGTATAGTGGAAAAATATTAACCCATCCTGAGCAGACAGTCTTATCTGGACTAAAAACTGAATAAGGGATTGTTGATTTGATTGGTTGATTTAAGATTGATTATGTGATACTCAGTATAGTTTTACAGTTATCTAAATCATTAGATAATTGGTAATCCATGTATGGCATAATCTTAAACACATACAATATTAAATTGTAGTATTTTATTTGTCAATTATTTGTTATATTGCAGTTTACCATTAAATCTGATTTTCAAAGTATTCAGGAAGATTTGGTTACATTCTAAGATTAAAAGAATTGAACAATACAGAAAATGTAGTGAAAAACCTTTGTCAGAGACAGGTGTTCCAATGCCCTGCAGGGCAGGAATGTGTGTGTCTATAGCTACTGACTGGCATGTTTTATGAATTCTGGCATTTGTTATTTTTATGTGTTGCATCTATTGAGTAGAAGCTAAAAGGAAATATATTTATTTTATTGTTTTTAAAATATTTATTTAGTTTAATATAAAGCGACATTTTTCAGAGATAGATCAGTCCAGCGATGGATCAGGTGTCTCAAATGTTATTGAGTTCCTCCTCACTGTTTGAGAATAGGCCTGTTGGCTGGTTGTTGCCTTTATTGTGGAGAGAATAGAAACTCCAATATGGTGGTTGACCAATAGATGTAAAAAAAAATCTTCAGGCCCTAAGATTGTTCTTGTATGTAGCTTTCAGCACTCACATAATTTGTTTATTAACCTATCAAAGAAGGACTATTTCTAAACCAACTAACAAAGGTAAAAATCTAGCTGATTTTTACAAAATTTAAATATTCCTTTGGCTACTTTCTCACTTCCTCTGAAGGAAGTAAAAACATACCTCAGAGATATTGCTGGTTTGGTTTTCTCACTGCAATAAAGAGAAATTCACAAAGAAGTGAGTGACATGAACTTCTTGGTTTCCCAGTGCATATAAAAGTTATATTTACACTGTACTGTGTTCTATTAAGTGTGAAATAGCATTATACCTAAAAAAGCATGTACATACCTTAATTAAAAATACTTAATTGTTAAAGGACCATTCAGCCTTTGGCAAGTCCTCTTTTTGTGGCTGGAGGGTGTTGCCTTGATGCTGCTGACTGCTGACTGATCATGGTAATGGCCCTGGAGATGAGGGTGGCTGTGGCAGCTTCTTGAAACAACAGTGAAGTTTGCCACATTGATTGACTATTCCTTTCATGAAAGATTTCTCTTAGCATGCAATACTGTTTGATAGTATTTTTACCCACAGTAGAACTTTTTTCAAAATTAGAGTCAATCCTGACAAACCCTGCCACTGCTTTATCAACTACGTTTATGTAATATTCTAAATCCTTTGTTTTCATTTCAACAGTGTTCATAGCTTCTTCACGAGGAGTAGATGTCATCTCTAGAAACCACTCTTTGCTTATCTGTAAGAAGCCTCCTCATTCATTAAAGTTTTATAATGAGATTGCAGCAATTCAGTCAGATCTTTAGGTTCCACTTCTAATTCCCTCAGAGTCATCGACAGGGATTGGAATAAACTTTTTCCAAACTCCTGTTACTGTTGTTATTTTTACCTCCCCCCATGAATCATGAGGATGCTTAGTGGCATCTAGAATGGTGAATCTTTTACAGAAGGTTTTAAAGTTACTTTGCTGAGATCTATCAGAGGAATCACTATCTATGGCAGCTATAGCCTTACAAAATGTATGTCTTATATAATGAGACTTGAGACTTGAAATTACTCTTTGATCCATGGGCTGCAAAATGGATGTGCTAGCAGGCATAAAGAAAACAGTAATCTCCTTATACATCTCCATCAGAGCTCTGGGTGACCAGATATGTTGTCAGTGAGCATTAATATTTTGAAAGGAATCTCTTTTTCCTGAGCAGTAAGTCTCAGTGGGCTTCAAATACTCAGTAAACCATGCTGTAAAAAGATATGCTGTCATCCAAGCTTTGTTGTTCTATTGATAGAGCAGGGTAGATTTAGCATAATTCTTAAGGGCCATAGAGTTTTTGGAGTGGTAAATGAGCTCTAGCTTCAACTTAAAGTTGCCAGCTGCATTACCTCCTATCAAGAAAGTCAGTCTGTCCTTTGAAGCTCTGATGCCAGGCACTGACTTTTCCTCTCTAGCTATGAAAGTCCTAGATGGCCTCTTCTTCCAATATAAGGCTGTTTTGTCTATATTGAAATCTTTTGTTTACGGTACCCACCTACATCGATTATTTTAGCTAGATCTTCTGGATAACTTGCTGCAGTTTCTTCATCAGCACTGCTACTTCATCTTGCACTTTTAGGTTACATACATGGCTTCTTTCCTAAACCTCATGAACCAACCACTTCTAGCTTTCAACTTTTCTTCTGCAGCTTCCTCACCTCTCTCAGCCTCCAGAGAATTGAAGAGAGTGAGGGCCTTGCTCTGGATTAGGCTTTGGCTTAAGGGAACGTTGTGGCTGGTTTGGTCTATTCAAACCACTTAAACTTGTTCTGTAACAGTAATAAGGCTATTTCACTTATCATTTGTGTGTTCACTGGAGTATCACTTTTAATTTCTTTCAGAAACTTTTCCCTTGCATTTACAACTTGGCTAACTGTTCAGTGAAGGAGGCCTAGCTCTTGGCCTATCTTGGCTTTCAACATGCTTTCCTCACTAAGCTTAATCATTTTTAGCTTTTAATATAAAGTGAGAAATGTATGACTCTTCCTTTCACTTAAACATTTATAGGCCGTTGTAGAATTGTTAACTGGCCTAATTTCAATATTGTTGTGTTTCAAGGAATAGGGAAGCCCAAAGAGAGGGAAAGAGATGGGGGAATGGCCAGTGAGTGGAGCAGTCAGAACACACACACATTTAGTTACTAAGTTTGGCATCTTAAATGGGCAGAGTTTGTGGTACTCTGAAACAATTACAATACTAACATCAGAGATTAGTGATCACATAGAGTGAGGTTTGGGAATCTGTATTTTTAAATCCTGGAACCTTAGGTGAGTTTTTGGGTCTCTGTTTTAGTGCATATCTCACAATATGTTCTTCAGAAACTAATGCTACAAGATATTTCTCAGAAACATTCCATAGTCAAATAAATTTGGTAGGTGTTAAAAAAAGAAAAAGAACACTAACCACAGATCACCATAACAGATATCATCTAATGAAAAAGCTTGAAATATTGTGAGAATTACCAAAATGTGACACAGAGATGTGAAGTGAGCACATGCTCTGGGAAAAAATGGTACTGATAGACTTGTTTGATGGAGGGTTGTCACAAACCTTCATTTTGTAAAAAATACATTATCTGTGAAGTGCAATAAGGTAAAATGCAATAAACGGAGGTATGCCTATCCCATCCCAAAAAATGGACAAAATGTTTGAACAGTGATATTCAAGTCACTGGACTTTGGGTAATAAAGGAGTTATCCCTGAGAGATGGGAAACAAATGCAGTGAACCTTAGGATTATCTCAACTTGCTGCCTTGAGAGAGTTTCCAGCCATAGCACCAGGAAGGTGGAACTCAGGTTGAGCTGGACAGACTCTGAGTTAAGGAATGGAGCTGGGTGTATAAGGAGACCAAGGTGATTCACATTCAGAATAATGGAGAGAAGAGAACTGCAAAGAGCAAAAACACCAGAGATCTGCCCAGGGTTCCCCTTGAGTATGCAGTTGAGAACTGATCTGTGTCTTCCTGTGAAGTAACTACTGGTTGCCAAGGAAAGAATCAACCAAAACAGCTAGAGGGAATCATGCCCAGTGTTCATGAAGGCCTGGCAATAGTGCCAGCTCCCTTCAGCCAGACTGGATAACCCCATACTTCTTAGGGCAAAGGGGAGAGTGCTCAGAAGTGTCTTGCCTCAGTTATGAAAAATAATTAGCTCTGGACTAAACACTGCTTTCATTCAGCTTAACAACACTTAAAAGGAAGACTGGAAAGAATCACACTGTTCTGTGACTTAACTGATTTCACAACAAAGCTCAGTGATATTTGTTGGAATACAGAAATACCCAGCACCCAACAGGGTAAAATTCATAATGTCTAGCATATAATAAAAAATTGTCAGGCATACGACAAAGCAGAAAAACACTAATTAGGAGAAAATTCTGTATATTTAAATTGATTCAAAAATAGCACAGATGTTATAATTAGCAGATAAAAATATTAAAACATTTGTTATGACTATATTCTTTATGTCCAAAAGTTGACATATGGAAGATATATTGAAATTGAACTTTAGAGATAAAAATTACAATACATGAGATTAAAAATAAACTTGAAATTAACAGCAGATTACACATTAGTGAAGAACAAAATAAACTTTAGGTTGCAGAAATACAAGTAATTCACAGAAACACTAAAGGAAAATTTAACAATGAACAGAATATCAGTGAGATATGGGACAGCTGCACGTTACCTAATATACATGTGATATGGTTTGGCTGTGTCCCCACCCAAATCTGATCTTGAATTTTCACGTGGTATGGGAGGAACACAGTAGGAGGTAATTAAATCATGGGGACGGGTCTTTCCTATGCTGGTCTTGTGATAGTGAATAAGTCTCATGAGATCTGATGGTTCTATGGTTCTGTAAGGGGGAGTTTCTCTGCACAAGCTCTCTCTTTGCCTGCTGCCATCCATGTAAGATGTGACTTGCTCCTCCTTGCCTTCCACCGTGAATGTGAGGCCTCGCCAGCCATGTGGAACTGTGAGTCCATTAAACCTCTTTATTTTGTAAATTGCCCAGTCTTGGGTATGTCTTTATCAGCAGTGTGAGAACAGGTTAATACAACATGTATACATGTAATTTAAGTCTCTTAAGTAGGGAGAGGTAGAAAGAATAACGCTTTTCTTAATTTGATGGAAAATACATAAACTCACAGATCCAAGAAGGTTGATGAATCCCAAGCACAAAGAAAAAAGAAGAAAACTACAGTAAGGCACAGCATAATCAAATTGCTCAAATGAGTGATAAAGAGAAAAATCATAAAAGCAGACAGAGAAAAATAGACACCTTTCATATAGAGGAGCAAATAATTGCAGATTGCCTGTCAGAAATAATACAAGGAAAAGATAGTGGAGAAGCATCCTGAAAATACAGAAAGGAAAAAAATCTCTCAACCTAAGATTCTGTACATATTGAAAATATATTTCAGATACTTAGGCAAAATAAAGAATATTTCAGAGACACAAAAGCTGAAAGATTTATCTCCAGCACAGCAACACTGCATGAAATGTTAAAAGCTGCCCCCAAAAACTGGAGACAGCACAGATGTCCAACAACATCAGTACACAAAACTCTGATACATCCATATAATGGAATACTACTTAGCAATAAAAAGGAATGCACTATTGATACATTGTAAAATAGTAAAGAATGCCAAAACAATTAGGCTGAGTGAACAAAGCCCATTAAAAAGAGCACATACTGTGTGATTTATTTTAAATAAAATTATAAAAAATGGACACTCACCTTTTTTTGTTTTTGTTTTTGAGACAGAGATTTGCTCTTTATTGCCCAGGCTGGAGTGCAATGGCTCAATCTTGGCTCAGGCTCACTGCAACCTCTGCCTTCTGGGTTCAAGCAATTCTCCTGCCTCAGCCTCCCAAGTGGCTGGGATTACAGGCATGCACCACCACACCCAGCTAATTTTGTATTCTTAGTAGAGATGGGGTTTCACCGTGTTGGTCAGGCTGGTCTCTAACTCCTGACCTCAGGTGATCTGCCCGCCTCAGCCTCCCAAAGTGTTGGGATTACAAACATGAGCCGCTGTGCCTGGCTCAAATGGACACTAATCTTTAGCAACAGAAAGCAGATCAGTGATTGCCTAGGGACTGAGGGAGGAGGGCAGGAGGGCTGGGAGGGAAGGATTATAGAGTCCAGAGAAGACTTTTGCTGATAATGGATATGTTAATTTTCCTGGCTGTGGTGGTCTGTGTATGTCAAAACTTATCAAATTGTACACTTAAAATATGTGCTGCTTATTGTATACCAATCATACCTCAATAGAGCTGTTAAAAATTGCATATTGAATATATAATCCGGTTCTTAGTAACCAACCTAATAATGATAACTGCTGGTAGTTACATGTATGCTGTAGCCTAAATTAAGATGGAAAAGAATAGGTTTCAGTCTTCTATATGACACTATTCTATAGAAATAAAATGTCTAACTATAAAAGATTGGGTGATCAAGGCTTAGCTTTGGGCCATGTCTGACTCTGGAATCTGTCTTTGGATTCCTATGGCTTAAAATACCCGTATGAAGAGAACTGCCAGTTTTTATCTCCAGTTGGCATCTCTCTTCTCAGCTCTAGCCTGTATTCCCATCGTCTGCTTATCCATCTTACTGTGTACAATGACAGATGTTCTGATCTGCCCTGTCTCAGTGTTTCCTCTGACACTACTTCCCACCACTGTGCTGGTATCACCTACCACATGGGTGTTCAAGTTAAGAGTGGGCACCAAATCCCCAGTTTTCTGCCCCTTACTCTCTACTTCTAATCAATTGCCTCATTTCCTCTAATGTATATCTTAAGTCTTTTTATTTCTGATGTCTATTTTGGGTTGCAACCCTATTTTAAATCTTCGTTATCTCTGGTCTTGACATGTTATATTATTTATAACATGGCATGCAAGACCTCTCATTATCAGCCTCACCCCTTTCTCTAGCCCTGTAGCTCAGAGTTCATCTTCTGCTCACTGTGATCTAGTACAGTGGTTCTCACATTAAAGATGGCTGTCCACTCCTAAACATTAATGAAAACCCAGAATCTTCTATTATGGTTTATATCCATCTATATTTATGGTATTAGATAAATCTAAGAGAATTTTTAAATACTTATTTAGAAATTCATTAAAAATGACATGTCATAAATAACATTTTTATGAAAAAATAATTTTACAAAACAAAATAGTAAGAAAGGTGGCATTGTTTTAGATCTTTCCAGATACTTTAAATATCTGGCTTAACAAAAAATAGCTAGATTCTCATATCTCCTATCTCCTTATGCATTCACACTTCTGATGTTATAAATCACAAAGGCTCTGGTAAACTCAACTGTCAAATGCAAGTGAATGAGAGTAAAAAGGCAAATAACATCTTATTAAAATTGTTTGATTCCTGAAAGTTTTAGGACACTCAGAGGTTCCTGGATCAAACTTTGATGATCTCGGCTCTAGCAGGTATGCTGTTCCCCTTTTACCTCCTGGATATATCAAAATCCACCGTAGAGTCTTTATCAAAATGCTTAATTCCTTCATTTCTTCCCCATCCTAATATACATTTTTTTTGGTGTCGAGAATAAATATTAGTGAGCCGTCTCTAAATCTCCATCTTCACCCCCACCAGGTAATCCCCACATTATGCATTTATAATAACTTATTCTTATTTTTAAAGTATCCAATATAATTATAATCACAGTATTTTATTAATATCTTACTTCAAAGGCAGATAGCGGCATCTGTATGCAAGACTAAGGGACCTTAAAATTACTGTTGAAAATTATTAAATACCTTATTAATTGATAAAACTTAACTCATGGACACACAAAAAAACACACATCCACCTCCTTCTTTTCCTTGTGCCTTTGAGTTTTGGTCTTCCTGTGTCTAGAAATATGTAGGCCAAATTTATACTTGCTAGTAGAAAAATTTAAGGGGACAGAAATAACTTTTTTTCTCTCTTCTTGCCTGGGGGCATATGGGCGAATTCAGTACATTAGAACAAATTGAATGCCTGTACGAATAATCCATTGTACAAGGTGTTTGAATGATAGATTCACAGCTGTCTCTCACAGTAAATTATAACTTTGTGTTGAGCCAGAGTATATCTGTCTTCATCTTTAGTGTGTTCCATGAGCCAGACACCACCATGCAAGTAGAGTGCTCCTTAGATATGCACTGAAAAATGAGTGGATTACATCATCCCTATTCATGGGTTTTAGTTTCTAATGTAACTGGTATTTTCTGATCCATTTCAATAGTTGTCCTTTTTCTTAACTCATTTAGCCCATACTGGATGACAGTATGGTGCCTTTACCTTACATTTACTTCAATTACTTTATTAGAAATATTTAACTTCAAATAATCAAGGGTCATATTTATCTTAGTTATTAATGGTCAACTGGTGAGCACCTTGGACTTTGAGATTTTAAAAAATCATCTCCATCATATGACAGTATTTTTGGTATAAATAGCGCTTTCTATCTTCATTCACCAATAGAACGTTTATATAAATGCCTTTTGCCTTGGCATTAAAAATATTCTAAACTTCGTCGTTTTTTTCTGGTGGTGTGTATCAGAATACCTTAGGGAAAATATCAAAGGAAAATAACTTTGTTCTAGTTCAGTGACTTCAGTTGTAGTTATTACTATTATTGAACAGCAACTTCACCAAATGATTTTTAGAAAAGAGCAAAAACAGTTTTACTTGTATTTCACTGGAGGTCTTAACTGATTTCCATCCCTCTTTGAGCTACGTGGATGAGGAAAAAGGTGCATACACTGTCAGTGGCTGTGTCCATTAGCATGTAAAACTTGAAGACTGAATAATCACATAATAATTTGAATTTCTTTTAAGTAACTTACATTAAAATTAGATCATAGTGTTTTAACAGTCACAATAATGAAGGCCCATGAAGAGTTGACTCAATAAATGTTAAATATATGATGGATTTGCTTTTGCTATATTGGTGATAGGCAGGATAAAAACAGAGAATACAAGACCTTCTTTAGTCTTTCATTGATACATGTGCTGTCTATCTGAATTACATCTTAGGAAAAGTAGAGGAAGTGTAGTCTTAGAATATTAAACAGTCCGTTTTTCACTTTTGTGTTTAACAGGAAAAATGAGGCTTTTATTATAGGATCATATTAGGAGTAACGAAACACATGGAGCCTTTTCTTTGAGGACGTCCATCTGCCCAAGAGTTGCAGGTTTCAGTCATTTTTTTTAAAGAAAGATTTTCTTTTTGTTACTTAATTTCCAGAAATTTTCTAGACACACACAGTTCCCCCCCTCCCTCCTACCACCCTCCCTCTTTATAGACTTTCTTCCTTCCCCTGCCTTCCTTCCCATAAAAATGCATTATATATAATGTTCTGTATATTTTTAACATAACAATATACTTTGGAGATTTTTTTCTACCAGTGCATGTAGAACAACTTCATACTTGTATGATATTAATAACTTGTAACTTGTAATTTATTTAACCATTGCCAATTGCTGGACAAAGAGGTTATTTTAAAAGTTGTTTCTATAATTAAAAAATAATGCAGTGTACTTATCTAAGTACATGTGAGTTAATTGGTTTATGTAACGAAATTTCTGGAAGTGGAATTACTGCGTTAAGGGCTATATTTATTTATAATTGTAGTAGATTCTGCCAAATTGTCACTCAACAATGCTTGAGCATGCTTGGTTCCACACACACTTGCCAGTGCTTTTAAGTTTTTCCTAATCTGCTGGGTAAAATATTATTTTTTTTTGCAAGTGTAAATTCATAGCAGTATTGGGAATTTTTTTATGTTTTAAACTATTTGCATTTTTTAAATTATGAAGACTTTCTTTTTCTGCCAACTTGTGTTTTGTCTTCTCTTTTTATTGATTATATGAGCTCTGTATATATTAAAATTGGCCCCGTTCTGTCATAAAATGAATTTGTTGATGTTTTGATTTTGTTAATGTTTTTTAAGATTAGTCTTTATGTTATAACTTTCAGTTTTGTATTATGTTTCAAATCTGCAGCATTTCAAAACTTTCAAAGAAACCACCTTTTTTCTTTTTATGTGCATGAATCTTTGATATACAGAAAATACTTTTAGTGTAGATAAGGAAACTGGAATCTAACCCATTTTTCCTAAAATTACTGAACAGGTGCTTCAACACTATGTATTGAGTAATACATCTTTCCCTCACTCTTGCTCAGGTTTCGTTGAGAACTAACTACTATAGAATGTAATGGCTTAAGACAAATGCCATTGATCTATGGAACTATGGGTGGCTTTGGGCACCTCTTGCTTTATGTAGCTTGTCTGGGGCAATTCTACTGCATGTATCTGACATGATCCTGAAACCACTGACAAGATAGAACATGTTCCCTTGATAATGGCAAAAGCATTATAGAGCAAACATTCACATGTGATGCCTCCTACGTCTTAGCCTCATAATTAACAAAAGGTCCCTTTGAACACATTGATTTGCCTAATGCAAGTTTGCTGCATGGCAAGGTCTAAAGTCAAGGAGCTTGGATATACACTGTGTCTCTGATGTGGCCATGGTAAGGATATAGATACAGGGTGAAGTGAAGAATTGTGGCCAGTAATGCATTTATGATGTTTTCAATGCTTTAAATGCTGCCTTTATTATATACTAATTTTGACACATATTTCAGTCTATTTCTGAATACAGTTCTGTCCACAGATTTATTTAAACATTTCTGGGAAAACTATTTTGAAGTTTCTGCTTCTTCCCTTCAGTAGTGTTTTGCAGCTTTCTGAGATATGGAGTTATTGCATTTTTCTTATGTTGCAGTTTAGAATAGGATCTTCTGATATAATTACCAAGCGACTTTCATCTATTTATAAATTTTTGTATATTTTCATATAATCATATGAAACATAATCATAAGGTTTTATGTATTCTTTCCATAGATTATCTTGAGTGGTCTGATACATGGCTATATCATTCACACTTAATTTTGCCTCCTTTTCTGTTTTTTGTTCTCTTATTAATTCTAGACAATTGTAGTGTCTAGTTGTTCCAGAGCAGTATTAAGTAATTTTTGTGATACTAGGCATAATGTCTTTTATTCTGACTAAGGGAAATGGAGACTCATTTGTTTTCAGTTGTCAATTATTAACCTAAAAAAGAATTAAGATACTAGTTACTTTCTTTAGGATAATTCATTCTAGAATCTTTATATATTGCTATTAAATTAAGATTGATGGTGAGGACATAGCATGACCAGCCTGACAAGAATTGAAATTTGTTATTGTCTGTTTTTCTATTTAACATTCTCTATTTCCGTCTTAATTTTTAATGGATTGGTTGCTTCCTCCTATCACAATGATAGGAGGACAAAATTTGTTTTCAAATAAAACCAGAAAAGGATAGTTGAATATTTGATGGAATATGAGCATTTTATTCAAGACTTTCATTCAAGACTCTTCATTTCATGATACAAAAAGCCAATTTGAACTACCTTAAGCAACATAAAAAGTTTATTGGAAATTGCTAATGTAGTTCAGAGATTGTTGGATGGAGTGCACCAGGAAAGTATGGGGCAGTTGCAGATATCTTAAACGTGAGACCTTGATTTGGTTCTCTGCTTGCCTGTTGGCATATGGGAATGCTAGCAATTTTTGCACATTGATTTTGTATTCTGAGACTTTGCTGAAGTTGCTTATCAGCTTAAGATGCTTTTGGGTTGAGACAATGGGGTTTTCTAGATACAGGATCCTGCCATCTGCAAACAAAGATAGTTTGACTTTCTCTCTTCCTATTTGAATACCTTTATTCCTTTCTCTTGCCTGATTGCCCTGGCCAGAACTTCTAATACTGTGTTGAATAGGAATGGTAAGAGGGTATCCATGTCTTGTGCCAATTTTCAAGGGGAATGCTTCCAGCTCTTGCCCATTTAGTATGATACTGGCTGTGGGTTTGAAATATATGGCTCTTATTATTTTACAGTGTATTTCTTCAATACCTAGTTCATTGAGAGTTTTTAACATGAAGGGATTTTGACTTTTATTGAAGGTCTTTTCTGCATGTATTGAGATAACCATGTGGATTTTGTCTTTGGTTGTGTGTAGGTGATGAATCACATTTACTGATTTGCATATATTGAACCAACCTTGCATCCCAGGGATGAAGCCAACTTGATTGTAGTGCATATGCTTTTTTATATGCTGCTGGATTCAGTTTGCCAATATTTTACTGAGGATTTTTACATCCATGTTCATCAAGGATATTGGCCTGAAGTTTTCTTTGTGGTATCGCTGCCTAGTTTTGGTATCAGGATGATGTTGGTGTCATAAAATGAGCTAGGAAAGTGTCCCTCCTTTTCAATTTTTTGGAATAGTTCAGCAGAAATGGTACCAGTTATTCTTTGTATCTCTGGTAGAATCCAGCTGTGAATCTATCTGGTGCTGGGCTTTTTGTTGTTGGTAGGCTATTTATTATGGCCTCAGTTTCAGAACTCACTGTTGGTCTTTCAGGAATGCAATTTCTTCATGGTTCAGTCTTGGGAGTGTGTATGCATCCAGGAATTTATCCACTTCTTCTAGATTTTAGTTTATGTGCATAAAGGTGTTTATAGTATTCTCTCATGGTTGTTTGTATTTCTGTGGGGTCAATGGTGACATCCCCCTTATCATTTCTAATTCTGTTTATTTGATTCTTCTCTCTTTTCTTTTTCCTTAGTCTACCTAGTAGTCTATTTTATTAATTTTTTCAAAAAAAAAAACACCTCCTGGGTTCATTGATTTTTCAAGGGGCTTTTCGTGTCTCTGTCGCCTTTAGTTCAGCTCTAGTCTTGATTATATTTTGTCTTCTGTTAGCTTTGGGTTTTGTTTGCTCTGGTTCTCTAGTTCTTTTAGTTGAGATGTTAGGTGGTCAACTTGAGATCTTTCTAGCTTTTTGATGTGGGCATTTAGTGCTATAAATTTCCCCCTTAACACTGCTTTAGCTGTGTCCCAGAGATTCTGGTACATTGTCTCCTTGTTCTGTTTAGTTTCAAAGAACTTCTTGATTTCTCCCTTAATTTCGTTATTTACCCCAAAGTCATTCAGGAGCAGGTTATTCAATTTCCATGTAATTGTATGGTTTTGAGTGAACTTCTTAATCTTGAGTTCTAATTTGATTGCACTGTGGTCTGACAGACTGTTGTGACTTCATTTCTTTTGCATTTGCTGAAGAGTGTTTTACTTCTGATTGTAGGATCAATTTTAAAGTAAGTGCCATGTGGCAATGAGAAGAATATATATTCTGTTGTTTTGGGGTGGAGAGTTCTGTAGATATCTATGAGGTCCACTTGATCCAGAGGTGAGTTCAAGTCCCGAATATCTTTGTTAATTTTCTGTCTTGATGATCTGATATTGTCAGTGGGGTATTAATGTCTCCCACTATTGCTGTGTGGGCATCTAAGTCTCTTTGTAGGTCCCTAAACACTTGGCTTATGAATCTGAGTGCTCCTGTATTGGGTGCATATATATTTGGGATAGTTAACTCTTCTTTTTGAATTGAACCATTTACCATCATGTAATGCTCTTCTTTGTATTTTTTGATCTTTGTTGGTTTAAAGTCTGTTTTGTCAGAATCCAAGATTGCAATCCCTGCTTTTTTTGTTTTCCATTTGTTTGGTAAATTTTCCTTCATCCATTTATTTCAAGCCTATGTGTCTTTCACTTTACATGGGTCTGTTGAATACAGCATGCCAGTGGATCTTGGCTCTTTATCCAGCCTTTCATTCTGTGTTTTTTAATTGGGGGCATGTAGTCCATTTACATTTAAGGTTAGTATTGTTATGTGTGAATTTGATCCTGTCATTATGATGGTAGCTGGTTATTTTGCAGACTTGTTTATGTGGTTGCTTTATAGTGTCACTGGTCTATATACTTTAGGGTGTTTTTTAAGTGGCTGGTGATGGCTTTTCCTTTTCATATTTAGTGCTTCCTTCAGGAGCTCTTGTGAGGCAGGCCTCATGATGATGAATTCCCTCAGCATTTGCTTGTCTGAAAAGAATCTTATTGATCCTTTGCTTATGAAGCTTAGTTTGGCTTGATATGAAATTCTGGGTTGGAAATTCTTTTCTTTAAGAATGTTGAATATTGGCCCCCAATCTCTTCTGCCTTGTAGGGTTTCCACTAAGAGGCCTGCTGTTAGTCTGATGGGCTTCCCTTTGTAGGTGGCTAGGCCTTTCTCTCTGGCAGCCCTTAACATTTTTTCTGTCATTTCAACCATGGAGAATCTGATGATTATGTGTCTTGGGGTTGATCTTGTTTTAGAGTATCTTACTGGGGTTCTCTGCAGTTCCTGAATTTGAATGTTGGCCTGTCTTGCTAGGTTGAGGAAGTTCTCCTGGATGATATCCTGAAGTACGTTTTTCAACTTAGTTCAGTTCTCCACCTCTCTTTTATATATACCAGTCAGTCGAAGGTTCAGTCTCTTTACATAATCCTATATTTCTCAGAGGTTTTGTTTACTCCTTTTCATTCTTTTTTCTCTCTTCTTGTCTGCCTATCTTACTTTGAGAGATAGCCATCAAGCTCTGAGATCCTTTCCCCACTTAGTCTATTCTGCTGTTGATACTTGTGATTGCATTGTGAAGTTCTCATGTTGTGTTTTTCAGCTCCATCAGGTCAATTATGTTCCTCTCAAAACTGGCTATTCTGGCTATCAGCTTCTGTATTGTTTTTATCATGATTCTTAGTTTCTTTTCATTGGGTTACAACTTGCCTCTTTAGCTCAATGAAGTTCTTAATACCTACCTTCTGAAGCCTACTTCCATCAGTTTAGCTATCTCAGCCTCAGCCCAGTTCTGCGCCTTTGCTGGAGTCATTTGGAGGAGAAGCACTCTGGGCTTTTTGAGTTTTCAGTATTTTCGTGTTGATTCTTTCTCATCTTTGTGGGCTTATCTACCTTGGATCTTTGAGGTTCCTGATCTTTGAATGGGGTTTTCTGTGAGGGTTTTTTGTTGATGTTGTTGTTTTCTGTTTGTTTTTAATGGTTAGGCTACTTTTCTGTAGCGCTGCTGCAGTTTGCTGGGGGTCTGCTCCAGACCCTAGTTGCCTCAGTTTTTCCTGTACCTGGAGGTAATCACCAGTGAAGGCTGTGAAACAGCAAAGATGGGAGCCTACTCCTTCTTCTGAAGGCTCTGTCCCAGGGGGGTACTGTCCTAT
This sequence comes from Homo sapiens, assembly GCF_000001405.40. NCBI lineage: Eukaryota > Metazoa > Chordata > Mammalia > Primates > Hominidae > Homo > Homo sapiens. The sequence goes on along the minus strand of NC_000008.11, from coordinate 88,303,567 downwards.
TGCCAGCCTAAACTGCACCTATAGGAGGTGTCTGGAGACCCCTGTTGGGAGGGCACGCCCAGTCAGGAGGAACAGGATCAGGGACCCACTTAAAGAAGCAGTCTGGCTGCTTTGGTGGCACAGCTGTGCTGCATTGTGGGGGACCCCTCTTCTTCTGGACAGGCTAGACTCTCCAGAGCTGGCAGGCTGGAACAGCTGTGTAGACCAAACCACAGAGATGGTGGCCATCCCTCTCCCTGGGAACTTTGTCCTTCTCAGGCAGACCCCAACCTGTCATCGCTGGCTTGAGAGAATTCCAAGCCAGTGGGTCTTAACTTGTGAGGTGCTATGGAAGTGGGGCCCTTAAAACGACGCTGCCTGGCTCCCTGGATTCAGCCCCGCCCCCGGGTGTATGTAGCTTTGTATCTCCCTCCTTGCCAGGAATCCCAGGACCACAGTATGCAAAACTCCTGGGTCTCTGTGTGTGCCTGAGCAGCTGCTCTGCTGTGACTCTGCATAGCTCTGTGTATCAGACCCAAGGCCCTGGTGGCGTGGGCTCACGAAGGGATCTCCTGATCCACTGGTTGCAAAGATCTGTGGGAGAAGTGTGGTTTCCCGAGTGGGATCATACAATCACTCACCGCTTCTCTTGGCTGGGGGTGGGAGTTCCTTTGGATCCATGCCACTCCTGGCTAGGCTGTTGCCCCTCCCTGCTTTTCTTCATTCTCTATGGGTCGAGCTATTTGCCTAGTCAGTGCCAGTGCGAGAACCTGGTTATTTCAGTTGAAGGTGCTGAATTCGTCCCTTGCTTTCATTCTTCTCTGTGAGTGTTACAGACTGCCGCTGCTTTTAATCGGCCATCTTGGACCCTCTATTATTATCCTATTCTCTTTCTCCTTTTACTCACTTTAACTGTTTCCCCTTCCACTTCTGCATTTCCAATTTTCCCCTACACACATATGCATACCTATTTTCCTACTTTTTTTCATCCCCTTCTTTTCTCTGTTATTTTCTCTTCGTGTCTCCGGAAAATTAGGATTAAAGTGTGATTTAGGGTTGTTACTTATTTGGACACACTTGTCCTGAGTGCAAGAGTGAAATGTCAGTGGAGAAGGAGTACAACAGGGACTTTATTTTGTGCGCAGATAATATAACAAGGGACGCAAATTAGACTAAATGAGGCAGAGTTCTGCACTAGTGTGACTGAGAAAAACAAAGAGCTGAGAGGCATAAGGTTGGCCTTAAGCAATAATTTTGGGGTTTCTATGCCACGTTTTTCCTCAAGAGGTGAGAAATATTTTCTCCTCCCTCTGGCAACTTCTTCCACTGATTTTATTTGATGATGTGACAGCAAAGTGCTGAAAATGTTGCTCTTTGCCCTCCTAATTATTTTCCATGCTAGGATCTTAACTATAATGTAGATCTGTTTTTTAAATAGGGCATCTGGGAACCTGGTTGTGGGTATGATTTTGTTACAAGCTTCATAGAAGGTTAATGGCAGAAAGCAGAATAGAAAATGGGACTTTCCAGTGTTCTTGTGAAGGTTTCTGAGCAAGTGAGCTGGAGTGAACAAAAAGCAGGCATTCTGGCATCATAATAATGGTCAGATTTCAGAAAGTATCACTGATATATGTGACTGATAAATGTTATTTTATTATGTGGATTATCTCTCACTGTTGATAAAAATAACCTTGTGAAACAGTAAAAAGTTTTAGCCATTTGAATGTTGAGGTATGATATTCATTAACGTATTTCCTGAAGACCAGTTTTAATGGGGCAAAAGTGAATATTAGGATATTACCAAATATCTGCTAAATTCAAACTTCAACAAATTCAGTTTTAAAAAAATACATTTTCTTCCTCAATAGCAAAGGTGTTTATGTAGTAGCTATGATTCAGTCATCTCAGTTCTAGGCACTATTAAATAAGAGCATGTTTGTTTAAATTTATCTGTAAAGTTACAATTAAACACATTTCTAACTATATACACATAATGTCATATTCCTGCATATATCTGTATTTTCTTAAAGGGAAAATATAGAGTATAGCATACATATTCATGCATACATTGAAAGAGAGCTTTCAGTGATAAATCAGCTTCTTACATGTCTTGAGATGTTCATCTTATTTTTAAGCTTTGTGGCAAATAAGTCACAGAGATATTAAAAGAAAATAGCTATTTTCCTGCTTCCAGGAAGGAGTGAAGAAGAGGGTCAGACAGTTAAACTTCAGGGGTTCTTCTGTTTTAGGTTCTGTATGTAAGATTTATGCAGTTATAAAATGGAGAGAGGCAGAAAAAGAGGAAATGAGGAGGAGGTATATTGAGGGAACGAGAGAAGGCTGAGAAAGGACTTTCTTTCCCCCCGGCATGTTATCACTGGAAGACTTAGCATTGCTATGAAGAATATTTGTACTGTGTTCTACAATTATTAGAGCCTTATGAGAGATAATTCTCATTTTTCATTGAGCTAGGTTTAAAGGATGATACTGTTTTTTGTACAAGATAAATGATTGATAAATTTTAAGGTATTAATAAGGCAAAAATAAAGATTTAAGTGATCCCTGCTCTTACATTAATCTTTCACCTTCCTGTGTCTCCCTGCCTCTAAACACATGCATAGAAAATTATAAACTTTGTCTTCCTATTCTTGTTTTTTCCATTTTCCATCTACCATTGCTTTGAGGTTATTTTTGTCCTTCTGACTGATGCCATTTCATTAGCTGGTGGAAGAGTTACTCTTACTTCAGGCTCTTAAAAAAAAAGGGCCTTTCCTCAATCTTGGAGGCTTCTGTACTTTCCGATTCTCTCTCTTTCAGACAGTGAGAACTTGGGGACTTCCATTCAGCAGTATCCCCTTGTCTTCATGGGATAAGTTCCCTAGTAGATGCCTGAAACCAGCAATAGTACCAAACCCTACATATATATTTTTTTCTGTACGTACATACCTGTGGTAAAGTTTAACTTATAAAATATGCACAATGAAAGATTAACAACAATAACTGATAATAAAATAGAACAACTAAGTAAAATAAGGGTTTCTTGAATGCAAGCACTGTTATCTCACAACGGGTGATCTGATAACAGAGAGAGGTACTAAGTGACTCAAGAGCAGGTTGTGCCATCAGTATGAATACGTTGGATTCACGTCCAGGGCTGATGGAGTGGGATGGCGTGAGATTTCATCATGCTGTTCAGAAAGGTGCACGATTTAAAATGTATGAATTGGTTATTCTAGAATTTTTCATTTAATGCTTTTAGATTGTGGGTAACTGAAACCACAGAAAGTGAAACTGCATAAGGAGGGCTTCTGTGTACTACTTAGGCTTAATAATTATTTAACATAGAAAGTATGAATTTTGCAGTTTAAGAGATAGAAGAGTAGACAATAGGATTCCTATCACAGTTTCCCCTGATAGAATGCATTTATAATTTTCTATATACAAGTATGGTAGTTGATACTATTGGGATATTGGCCACTCTTTTCCAGAGATACCACTTACATGTGGTCTGCATTTCTTTCACCTTTTTAATGTGTATGTTTCTTGGCATTTCCCCACATGAAAGACATTTATATTTACTTTTATAGAAAAGAAATATAAGCATAAGTAATATGAATATGCATTCTAGTTTCTATTTAGTACCTAGCACACACAAAAAGTAAATGTTAAACCTTTTGCTGTTTATATAATCTGGAAAGACATGGGATGTAGGCATGAAATTAGTATAGGAAATAAGACAATATGCTTCATGTTTTGATATTTTTAACATAAGCTAACATTTATAAACAATTTTATAGACTCACAGGAGGTTAAAGAAGAATGATTTTGCAGATAAGAAAAGTTATTATCTATTGTCTGAGATACAATTGACTAAATGTTTTTTCCCCAAGTCTTATCATTGCAGTATACATTATAGACAGCCTAATAACATCATACTAAATCACCTCAAATTGACTTATTAGATGAAGTAGTGACAATTCAAGGTTCTGAGGTGGTAATAGGCTTTGGGTAATATCTGGATAGTTTCAAATTTGGCAGGTGGAATTATCCACTTTTATGTTTTGTATTTTAGGAATGTCGCGGTGGTGCTTTTGTTGGAAGTATTCTTTAAAAATTAGGAAGAAGTGGGTGATGGAAAATGGGTTTTTATCTCCTATGGTCCTTTCCTTTTCATCTTGCTACTTCCAGATGGGATCCAGATTGAGGATAAAGAGATACGATGCTAGCATTAATTAAAGAATTTGGAGTATGAAGTGTACTTTCTTTTTTTTGCCTTTTTATTTAAAGTTCATATTGATTTCCATGAATAAACAAAAGCACGAAGCCAGGGTTTATGCATTCACTTTCTGAGCAGAAGGGTTCAGCCATGAAAAACCGAACTTATCTGTTTGCAATATATTTTCTTCAAATTGGGAACAGATGCATGTGTCGTTCCAGAGTGTAGGTAAAAAGGACTGAGCTCTTTACTGAATAACCTCAACTTTCTTCCTTTGACCATTGTGACTTTTCTTCCATGGAAGGTTATCTGTCATCTATTTTTTTTCCCACTGTGTGATCTTAAAAGATGAATTCCAAAAAGAAAAAAAAATGGATTTTTACAAAACAAATTGTAAACTATAAATATAATGTTAGAAATGAACTAGACAATTTTACCCACTTTTTTTAATGATTAAAAACTCAGTAGCTATTTTAAATTAATTATAACCAGGTATTGAAATTCAACTTGATTCCTCAAACTGGGTACTCTGACCATGTAATGTGTGTGTTTGAAGTAAGAGATGACTTAAAAAGCAATATAGATAATTCACATTATGTAGCTAATCACAGAATAGCGCCAAATTGAAAAGATATATTCATGCTTAATTTATTATTCATCACCTCCTGCGGTCACTTTTTTCCTGTGCCATGGAGCAGAGGTCTCACGCTTCCATGTGCAGATGAATCACCAGGAGGAAGTTGCCTAAAGTGATGATTGTTTGGCTTCTTCTCCAGAAAATCTCTTTCAGGAGGTCGGAGTAGAACTCCAGAATCTACATTTTGAAAAACATCTCCCCTCCTCTCGTGTGATTTTTCATGCTGCCGAGCCATTGGTCTTGCTTTTGGAAGTACAGTTGTAGAATTTCCTGAAGGATTGCTATCTCAGCAATCCCACATGTTTTCCATTTCTTTTTCTAAATTGAATTCAGGTTTATTGGCCTATAATTCTCTGGTTCATCTCTTGTTCCACACGTAAATTTGGCAATTACAAGCAGTACATGTTCTACCTCCCAGTCTACACTTTGATAGTCACATGGATGTGCCTTCTTACACTATCCTAACATGGGGTGTTTGGGGAAGGGAAGTGGGAAAATGTTTTATGGTTGTTATTAGTTTTAACTGAACGTACTCAAAGTGTTCCTGCCCCATTTTTCCTTGTATTTTCTTAATGGTGATCTTTTATTACCTTTCTTACCTTCTCTTTTACCTTCTAATCACTTTGAACAGGCACAGGTATAATTATAACTACCTTTTTAATTTATTTAGCCATCATTTTTTCCCTGCCTTTTTTACAGGCCTAGATTTTTGCTTTGTGCACAACTGAGCTTACTGAGTTTATTTGTATGTGGTAGAATTGTAATGCTTGGTTGCATTGAATTTCCTTTCTCTAATTGTTTTCTTCCTAGACTTGCCTCCCTTGCCTTCAAAAATAGCCACATTTTCGGCACTTTGCAAATGTGCCAGACATTGTGCTAAATGTTACACATATTACCTCGTTCCATTTTTAACTCTCTGAGGTGTATTTGTTATTATTGCCATACTCATTTTACAGATGAGGAAACTGAAGTCACAGAGAAGTTGAGAAACTTGGCTAACTAAAGTCTTGCAACTAATGAATGTGAAAGCGAGAACTGGATTCCTGACAGTCTGCCTCTAGAGCACACTTGTGATACTACTGCACAGTACTTAGAGTTTATTAGCTGGGTAGAGTCTGGCTGAGAATCAGCCCCCATCCTGACTGTATCAAGACCCTCTCTGGCAGACCACTGCTGAGTCCTTTGGGAGGAAGTGCTGCCATTTCTTTTCTCTAATGATCAAGTCCTTAGTCCTGTGGTGACTCATTATTATTTTTGGAGCGGGCCATACGCAGAGAGGCCATCTCTATGGTTAATCATAATGACTGAGGCTGATTTCTTCTCTCAGGTACCTACAAAGGGCAGTTCTCAGGTCCCAGAGACCTCCTTGGTTATTATCCAGAAGTCGTTTGAGTTTGGGGAGAACACTTCTACAGGGCTTCTATTCTAGCTGTTGGCACTGCTTCCTTAGAGCACTCTGCTCTTTCTTCCATTAATAGCAGCCTTTGGTGGTAGGACTGTATTGCCTTTAACAAACTTCCTTGCCCAATTATTCTTGGGGGTTACTCTTTCAGACCTGAGTATGCATGTGGAGTGTCAGACACATGTATTTAGCTTTGTGGGAGCTGATCCTTTGGCTAAAATCATATCTTAGCCAATCTGATATAAAATATAGCTGTGAAACAGTAAAATATGGAAGTTCATGTTTGAATAACATTTTTATAATAAATATACTGGAAATTTATTTTTAATTTAAAATCATAACTTTCCCAGGGCACTAAGTTATTTTGAATTTTGAATTTGCTTTTTTTTATTATTTAATTATTTATTTATTTTCAGATAGAGTTCCACTTAACTGATAAATGAATAAATGGCTCTATCTACTTTATTGCAAGCTGTTTTTTTTTTTTTTTAGGCAGTGTCTGACTTTGCCACCCAGGCTGGAGTGCAGTGGTGCGATCTCAGCTCACTGCAACCTCCACCTCCTGAGTTCAAGTGATTCTAGTGCCTCAGCCCCCTGAGTAGCCGGGATGACAGGTATGTCATCCCTGTCATACCTGTCATCCTGGCTAATTTTGTATTTTTAGTAGAGAAAGGGTTTTGCCATGTTTCCCAGCCTGGTTTCGAACTCTTGGCCTCAAGGAATCTGCCCATCTCGCCTCCGAAAGTGCTGGGATTACAGGTATGAGCCACCTCACCAGGCCTGAATTTGCTTTATTTCAAAAGGAAAATGGTACCACCTATACTGTTAGAAGTAAATGTTGGTGACCATAGTTAATAATAGTGTATAAAATATTTCAAAATGGCTAAAATAACAAATGTTTAATGTCCTCATTATGAAAAAAATAAGTTGATGAGGCGATGGATGTGTTCATTAGCTTGATTGATTCTTCTTATGATATATACAGACAGAAAATCACATTGTACTCTGTAAATATACACAATTATTATTTGTCAATTAAAAATAAACCAATAAGATGCACTTTAAACCATTATTCATTTTATTACAGATATTATTCAGAATTGTTAAAGATAGAGTTATATTATTATCCATCTTTACATCCCAGCATAGTGTCTGTTAATTAGTAGAAGCTGGCGAATAATCGTTGAATAAATGAATGAATAAATGGATGAATGATGGAGCCTGAAAATTTGAGGTGGCAAAAAATATTGGATTATAAACACCATCTTATGTATTCTATTTGGACTAGTCTCAGTTAGTAAGTAGGATTAATATACAGTTAATATATGAAATTTTTATTAATGTATTCAAGCAAAGTATTATATCTAAGCTTTTATTTGATTTTTCTTATTTTTCCCACATGTACTGATTATGGCACTGTTTCACTTATTGTTAGAGAAAAATGGCACAGTACAGGGTTCTTGGTAATATCATCCTGCACATAAAAATATGTCTTGTAAAGCAACGTATTACCTACCATCTGTGCTTCACTTATAATCTTCTAAGAAATTACTACACAATTTTCAGAATTACCTTACTTCTTTAAACAACATGTGTTTTAGAAAAACAGATTAAGCGTTGGAGAACATTTCTGAATTCTTTCCAGAAACCACCATGTTTATTAGATTTGAGCAGCCATTAAAAAAAGACACTTGAAAATCTTTCTTTAATGAAATCAGCCCCTCTGGAAACTTGAGATCATCACTCACAAAATACTTAACTTAAATTGCTTTTTTGAGTATAAGATACAGCCTCTGTAGTATAAAGTTCCCTCTGAGAGAGTCTGTGAATACTGATTTTATTGGGCTGTGTCCAACCTGTAAATACAGATTACCTTTTTATTTTGTTCTATATTATCTTCAACTTTTTAGATTGTGTATTGCTGCTGCTAATAGCAGTTTCCACTTGAAATTGTTGAGTTTTTCTCTGCTCTTTTTCTTCCCAAGTGTTTAGGGCACCTACATTCTGGATTCTCAGAGTAAACAATCAAGTATTTGTTATTGATGGAAAATTAGAACTTGGTTTAGAACATTTCTTCTAAATAAGAGGAGAATTATTTTAAATTCAGGAGGAAACATCGAAGTAATATGTGTCTTTGTTAACTACTAGTCATATTTGTGCATTAAGACAAGGTTTGATTACTGTTTCCTTTATGCCATATCCCAAGTGTGCACAATATTTTGTAGGATAAAGGGGATACTTACAACACTATTCCCTTGAAAATAGGAGTTAAGCCTAAAGTGGATATGGATTTCATTGCTAATATTGAAATGTCAGGTCCATGCCAGGCCCGGTGGCTCATGCCTGTAATGCCAGCACTTTGGGAGGCCAAGATGGTTGGATCACCCAAGGTCAGGAGTGCGAGGCCAGCCTGGCCAACATGGTGAAACCCCATCTCTACTAAAAATACAAAAATTAGCCAGGCATGGTGGCAGGCACCTGTAATCCCAGCTTCTCAGGAGGCTGAAGCAGGAGACTAACATGAACCCAGAGGCAGAGGTGCAGTTAGTCAAGATTGCACCACTGCGCTCCAGCCTGGGCGACAGAGCGAGACTCCACCTCAAAAAATGAAAAACTAAAAATAAATAAATCAATTCTAATATTCCATTAACTAAGAAAACATTATAGTTATATATGTGTTTATATATGTCTATATGTACTATAATGTTATATATGTCTATATACATGCACATCTATGTATGTGTGTATAGAGACATATATACATATGTGTGTATAGAGACATATATACATATATGTGTATAGAGACATATACATGTGTGTGTAGAGACATATACATATGTGTGTATAGAGACATACATATGTGTGTACAGAGACATGCATATGTGTGTATATAGACATATACATATGTGTATATATGTGTATATATGTATATACATATGTATATATGTGTGTATAGATGTGTGTATATCTACATATATACATATACATATACACATATATAGACATACACATATAGACATATACATATATACATATATACATATATGTGTGTGTGTATATATAGATATACACACATGTCTATATATGTGTATATATATGTGTGTGTATATATATATCCAACACATATATAGTCTATATATGTGTATATATAGACATATATAATTATATATACACATGTATAGACATATATAACTATAATGTTTTCTTAGTTAATGGAATATTGGAATTTATAAGGCATCTTTATAGATAGTCAGTTAGACATGCAAATGTCTCCACATATCAAGTTTCAGTAACTCTGTATTTATTCTGATTGAGTGACTGTAAATTATAATTGGACTGATGGTTGGTCTAGCTTTGAAGTGTTTTAGTGTGGTCTACAGACTGCTACTTTTCTTTTCCTTTCATTCTTATCAAATTAGAAAGCATCCAGAAAAGTGTCTGGCACAGTAGTTGGTCATGAAACATTGGCTCATAGGATTTGGAATAACTAAGATAGCTTTATGTAAAGAAGAGAGATTGAGATGGGACACTGACTGTCGTGGATTTAAATCAAATCCTAATTTCACTCATACAATGCCGTCTTGGAAAAATTGTTTAAACAGTCTGAAGCTCCTTTTGGTTTTCTAAAAAAAAGTTACCTATTTTATAGATAATAGATTAATAGTGCCTATCTCATAATGTTTTCAGGATTAAATTAGCTTTAAATATATATAGTATATGTTTAAAAAGGATTTCCATAATACCCTTTTTATTTGTTCAAGTTCAAAGAAATGAGTGATGCTGTCTTTTAAAAGCAATGGATTAAATTTTTGAGAATATGTTTATTCTCACTGTCATTTAGATTATACCTTTATTTGAAGAACATACTAACTAAATTGGATTTTGTTACTCTAACAGATATTTGGAATTGGTAATGAATTTAATTAGATAGAGGCCCACTTACCAGTTCAAAGCTACTTTTTATCCATTAATCATCAACTTTTAGCATTGTCTCTTAAAAAAAAGCATTAAGTAGTTTCGGGGTAAGGGTAATCACTTAGATCACTCTCAGCTAAATAGGTAATAAGAGGAAACAGTGGAAGGAGGGAAGGTAGTAAGACATAAAAACTAGTTTCTATAACTTAGAAAATTATATTTAGTGTTAGGAGTTTCAACTCATTCTCTTTTATCTATTTAAAATAATCAAGATGTACTCAGTATGGATAATGATATAACCAAAAATATATTAATAATTGTGGTGTGTCATTTACTCTTAAAGTTTTATGCAGTTTTCACATCTGTGTTCATTGCCTGTTGAACTCTAGAGCGTTAAGTGGATAGACATGAAGGCACTGTGAACTCCTTGAGGTCATGTGTAGCATTTTTATATGTGCATTTTTCAGAAGTTCTTTCTTCAGGTTCTCAAAGGGGTTCAAAACCCATTGTCAATTAGGCATTGAAACTATTGTCACTGTATGTTAAATATTAAAAAATAGAGTAATACTTAAAAGAGGCTTATAGGTTTTTGTTATTTTTTAATTTACAAGTATAATTTCTTGTTAAATGTTCATCCTTTCAGCCATGTGTTTCTGTTGCATATTTGGTGGTGTGAATGGATTAAATAATACTTATAGATTTCCATATTTAGCTTTTTATGAATACTAGTGAGTGAAAAAACTGTTTAATTATCCGGATGCTAGATACAACTTATTTCATTAGCACTTCAGAAAGTGATCGTTATCTCATAGAGTTTGCTTCTCCCAATCATATGATTTCTGTTATGTATTTACCTTTCAAATAGGTATTGATTTATTAACATTTTTCTCATCCTGCAATTTGGGTACATAACAGCCAGTATTATTTCAAGACTGTTTGATCTGTCTAGCTAGGAGAGTAGCTGCACCTAGTGGCGAGGGCCCCTCACCTGGTGTTCACACGGGTTAAGTATATGGACATCAGGCTACTGTGAACTCTCTGAAGTTGAATGCGGTATTTGTATATGGGTATGTTCTTAGGGTCCTTTCCTCAGATTCTCAAGGGGATCCATAATCCCACAATTGATTAAGAGTTAAAGCTACTGACACTGTGAACTAATATAAAAAGTGAATAAAAATTAACACAGAGAGGTTTGAACGATTTTGCTAACTTCTAATTTTAAAATATAATTTTGTATTAAATGTTAATCTCTAGCAAAGCAGGTAATTCTTCTAGAATAGTTCTTTTTTAATAACTATTGATTGTCTTTCAAGGTATTATTTTCAGGAAGCAGCATCTATTGTGCAATGGAATAAGAATGGACTTTGTATCCAAGCTGATCTAACTTAAAATAATATCTCCTCAAAATACTAGTTACGTAGAACCTTAGGGAAATTATTTAGCATGTCTGTGTCTCAGTGTTCTCATGTGTAAATCTAACATCATAATTCTTACCCAGTACTACTAACACGAGGATTACAGATAATGCTTACAAAGCATCTAGTGAATATCAAGTCATTAAAAAAGTTAACATATTTATGTTTAAAAAACCTATCTATTGAAAATGTTTTCATTTTTCTTTCATCTTCCCATGTTTTAAATCGATTTACCCTAAATATTAACTTGCAGTAAAATATATTACTAATCGTTATTCTACAAAATTCTTAGGTTTTTGCCTTGCTTGGGACTTGGTATTTTCACTTGCAGCTTTTATTAATTTGTTCACCTCAATTATATTTTTCTACTCAAGAAGAGAGGGTTTCAGTTTGCCTCTACTGAAAATGTGTGTCTCTTTCTTTTCCCGCTTGAAGACACTGAGTTTACTTTTTAACTTCTAGTGAAAGCAGAGAGTGAACAATGATCATTAGACTGAAGTTTTGAAATATCTGTCCAAGGAATAGGAAGGATCTTTCTAGTTTTCTTCTCTCATTATAGCTCCCTGCAGTTTCTGGTAGTAGCTACTGGTTTTGTCACACAAGGGTATTCTATGTTAATTTGGGCTTCTAAAAATTTTAGCCACATTTGTAATAGAACATATTCTTAAACCTCTGTTTCTCTTAAAAGTTGACCTTATTATTTTCTCTTTACTTATTTTTTTAGAGACTGGGTGTGACTCTGTTGCTTAGGCTGGAGTGTAGTGATGCAATCATGGCTCACTGCAACCTTGACCTACTGGGTTGGGTTGATCCTCCTGCCTCAGCCTCCTGAGTAGCTGGGACTACAAGCATCCACCATCATATCTGGCTAACTTTAAAAAAATTTATAGAGATGTGGTATCACCGTGTTGCCCAGGCTGATCGCAAACTCTTGTTCTCAAGAGATCCTCCTACCCCAGCCTTCCAAAGTAGTGAGATTACAGGCATGAGTCACCACGCCTGGCCCTTATTTTTTATTTGACATCAAATGTCAAATTAAGCAAGGTTTTACTCATTAGAATCGGAGAATCTCTTCATTTTTTGAATATTTAAGGATTTCTTCTATTATATTTACATAAATAAAATATGAGTAAATCATATATCCAGCTTAGATTATGGTTGCTTCCCTGTTTCCTTTTATCTTAGAAAAGGTTGCAAATCAAGTAAGGTGTCATGATTTGGTGAACAGCATTCTTGACTTACCAGTTTGGGATTTTGTCTCTGCCAGATATGGTGGTGCGTTCCTGTAGTCCCACCTACTCAGGAGGCTGAGGCAGGAGGATCACCTGAACCTAGGAGGTCAAGGTTGCAGTAAGCCATGATCGCATCACTGCACTCCAGCTTAGGCAACAGAGTCACACCCAGTCTCTAAATAAATAAATATAAAATAATTAGGTCAATTTTTTTTTTTTGAGACGGAGTCTCACTCTGTCGCCCAGGCTGGAGTTCAGTGGCACAATATCTGCTCATTGCAAGCTCTGCCTCCCAGGTTCACTCCATTCTCCTGCCTCAGCCTCCTGAATAGCTGTAAGTACAGGTGCCCGCCACCATGCCCTGCTAATTTTTTGTATTTTTTAGTAGAGACGGGGTTTCACCTTGTTAGCCAGGATGGCCTCGACCTCCTGATCTCGTGATCCACCCGCCTCGGCCTCCCAAGTTGCTGGGATTACAGACGTGAGCCACCGTGCCTGGCCCAATAAGGTCAATTTTTAAGAGAAACAGAGATTTAGCAACTTTTATCTCTGCGTATAGATCATAGGGGGACATGAACTTATCCATAATATGGGTGTTCCATATGCATTCAGTGCTCATTATTTGTGGATTCCATATTTATGAATTTTCCCATTTGTGGTAATTTATTTGTTACCTCAAAATCAATACTTATGGCATTTTCCTGGTCATTTATGGATATGCACAGATGGACAAAAAATTTGTGTCACCCAGTAGGCATGTTCCCAGTTAAGGCCAGATAAAGCGAGAGTTCTGCCTTCAGATATCAGCTTTCAGAGGATGGAGGCAGTAGGGGGCAGTGCAGGGTAGTGCAGGGTAGTGAGGGAAGCACCCTAGAGCCAGCTGGAGGAAGTTTCAATCCCTACTCTGGCACTTGCTAGTGGGGTAGGCACAGGAAAGTTACCTAACACTTGTGAATTTTTTTTTCCTTTTTTTTTAAAAAAGAGGAAAATGGAATCTACCAGTCTGTGTTGTTTTGGGTATTTAAGATTATATGAGTGGGGTGTGTGTGTGTGTGTGTGTGTGTGTGTGTGTGTGTGTGTGTTTCCTCTAGGAGTAGCAGTTCAGTATTCACTAATTCAGAGTACACGGCAACTGTACAGAATGTAACCATCACATATAATGAGAAATGACTGTATTTTTAAGTAATGTCTAAAGTAAATTTTTGTATGAAATGACTATATTGCAAAAATGCTTTGTGTGCGTGTATGTGTAGATGTACAAATATTTTACTTGCTAGAGCTTTTGACATCTATTGCTCTTTTCTTCCTCACAATGGTCCTCTGATGTGAAAATTGTTTGATGACATACTTTATGGGTCATCTACATGTGCTATTATAATCATTTGATATTTTACTGGCTTTTTAAATGGCCTTTAAAATGTTCCTTTTTCTCCAATATACAATGTAGAAAATTTTGGCAGCATAGTAACATACAAAGATGATAACAAAAATGTCTGTGTTTCTGCAACCTATGATATTTTCCTTTTAATCTTTTTACTCTGCAGTTTTTTGCTGCTCTGATTCATCCCTCCAGTGTGCTGCAGTCTCGCGCTCACACTCTCTTTCTCTCTCTCTTCTTCTGTCTCTCTCTCTCTCTCTGTCTCTGTCTCTGTCTCTGTCTCTTTCTGGGCTGTACCATCTGATTCAAATGTTCTCCCCATTATCTAACTAACCCATACTTGGGGTCAAGTATTGGCGTGAACCTCTGTGATCCCCTTTATCTGCAAGAAGGCCCTTGCCTCTTTTGTACCAACAAATTGAAATTATCTTGTTTCTTGTGTGGCTTCCTACAGGGGCAGAATTTGTCTTGCTGCTTTTTTGTTCCCTCAGAAAATGTCCAAAGACTCTTTGTTTAATGAAGAGATAAAATGAGTGTGATAAATGACTTAGAGAAGAGTGAATGAGTAAATATATCTTCATCTACATCACTGATTATTTCCTTGAGCTAAAGTCCTAGAAAATAGAAACACTAAATCAAATCTTGATACACAATAAACATTGGTTTCCTGAAAGGATGTGGAAACTATTACTCCCAATAGGAATATATGAGAATTTCTCTCCTACTGCATTCTCACCAACATCAATTTCTTTGTTTTAAAAAAATATTTGCAAATTTGGGAAATACAAAAAATGGACTCTTTACTGTTTTATATTGCAACATTATTGCCCTCTAAAGATACCAGAACACTGGTCAGTTGATGTTTAGCAATTAGGGAATGATAGATCATATACCTCAGTGGCATACTTAATCAACCTCTTGTATGAGGTTAAATAGGGCTCAGGGTGTTCCCAGCATCTTTTGAAATACTTGATGCCAACAACCCACTGTCATCTGATATAGCACCTGGTGCCTATGGTTTTTCTGGAAAAAAAAAGAAAAAAGAAAAAAAATGGTGTCCTGAAATGTTTATGTTAATTGCTGCAACTGCTTAACTGCATTTGGAAGAATGAGGTTTCATAGAAATTCAGAGATGTGCTCATTGTACATTGCTCAAGCATAAAGGGAATTGTCTTTACTAATGGAATAGTTATATTGGTTTTGGTAACTGTTGGAGTGTATTATGTTTATTGATTTTTAAGTACAAGAGGACCCTTTATCATACTGGATAGATTTGTGAGTCTAAAGTAAATGAGGCTTTGAGTTAGTATTGTCAAAGTGGTGTGCCTAACTTTAGGGCTATGATATGTTCATGAAATTGATAGTGCATGCATTTGTGTTACGTTTGAAATATATGAGTATCTTTATTCACTCAAGGGGCTTAATCAGACTCTGAAGTTTGACTGACCTTGGTATTACTCTTACTCTTTCATTTACAGTTGCCTTTAGCAAATCATGTAACTTCTTTGAGCCCCAGTTTCTTTGTCTGTAAATGAAGGCTAATGCTGGTATCTGTCTTACAACCTTTTTGTTACAATAACACAAAGAAGTGCCTGATTACTCAAAGCTCTGGGCACCATGTCTGACACATAGGAAGTGATCAATAAATGTTAGTTTTGCTCATGACACTGCCTGTCACATAATGGGCTAATTATTTGTTGAAAGAATAAGTTTTTTCAACAAATATTTAGGCCCCTACAACTCATCCATTTATGTATTCATTATTTTGTTTGATACATATTTATTGGGTACCTGCTATATTCCAGATATATTAGGTGGAGGGGATGTAACAATGAACAAAAAGAGGCATGATTTCTGCATCAACCCGAGGGCCTGAATTTGGGGTATTATGTATGAAGTAAATAGAAAATTAGCAAAGTGGTAGCTGCTATGAAGAAGATGCACTTGATGAGATGAAAACTCATAACTTTGATCTAGCAGTGGCAAGTTTCTCCTAACAAGTGACATTTGATTTGCCTTCCAAAGAACGGGCAGGAATTATCTATTTAAAATATGAAGAGGGTTGGGAGCTTTCCAGGCAGACAGAATAACATACAGAAGGAATGGGGAGAGATGTTACTGAGAACAAAGGGCTGGAAAAAGGTCAGGGTGGCTGGCGCTCAGAGAGAGACTCTTAACTGGTTGTAAGTTGGGGCTGGAATATAGGCAGGGCATCAGAGCACGCAGAACTTGTTAAGTGGCTTTGTCTTTTATCTCCGAGCAACTTAAGCTTTCATAGTCCTCAGTGGGCATTCTTGGAGCAGTGGAAAGTGCTTACAGGTCTCAAGTGGTTATATGTTGCAGTGTGGAGAAAGTATTGAATTGAAACCAGAGTGGTTGTAGATAAACCAGATGTAGATGGCTATTGCAGCATTCTAGAAGGGGAGATGATGCTATATTTAGGGTAGTGACACCAAAGAAGGGATGAATTAAGAGGGAAATTTATAAAGTAAAATCTTTAGCGCTGTTGATCAAAGAGTTCCAGGCCGGGCGTGGTGGCTCATGCCTGTAATCCCAGCACTTTGGGAGGCTGAGGTGGGCAGATCACGAGGTCAGGAGATCAAGACCATCCTAACACGGTGAAACCCCATCTCTACTAAAAATACAAAAAATTAGCCGGGCATGGTGGCGGGCGCCTGTAGTAGCAGCTACTTGGGAGGCTGAGGCAGGAGAATGGCATGAACGCTGGAGGTGGAGCTTGCAGTGAGCAAAGATCGCGCCACTGCACTCCAGCCTGGGCGACAGAGCCAGACTCCATCTTAAAAAAAAAAAAATTGAGTTCCAGGTCTCTGACTCATGTAACAGGTTGAATGACAGTGACATTCACTGAGGTAGAGAACCTGGACAATAAAATGCTTTTATTAGGAGTTTGATTTGGAACATATGGAGTTTGAGGCATTTGTAAAGAATGATCAGAAAAACAATTTTTAATACTTATTTGAGCTCAATGGAAAGGTTTTGGTTGGACTGTCACATCTAAACATGTGAGTCCAAAATAATCAGGAGGTAACCAAAGCCAAGGATAAGGAGAATATTATTTAGGAAAGGAAAAAGTATACTATGAAGACAGGAGAGAACCTAGGGGAGAGTCTTCTGAGATTCTTACACTGAATGGCTTTGTGTAGGCAAAAGAACATGGACAGGATATAGGAAAGAAGTACCTGGAGGGAAAATAGACGATGTAGTGCACTGGGCCAGGAAGGTGAAAGAAAAAGTGTATTGAGTGGGAAGGAGTGGTGAACAGTTGATCATGCTGTTGAGAACTAAAAAGAGCTCCTTGAATGCATCCCTATGGAGACCTGTTACTGACTTTTTGAAATCATTTGGAAGAATGATACACTCAACCCAAATGGAGTGGGTTAGGAGTAAGAGGTTAGTGAGAAAGTACCATGGGATATGAAGCTGGCTTTGAAGAGAAGGAGTGTTGCAGGAGGAGGATGAGATGACATAACAGGTGACAAATAAGATGGCAAAACGTTTTATTTGAGGAATGCCTGAATTTGTTTAAAAGCCGTTAGTAAAACTTCTGGAGATGGATAATGTGTTGGTTGTGCAATAGTGTAAATATACTTGATGCCACTGAATTGTACAATTTAAAATGGTAAATGATGTATATATTTTACTGCAACATTAATTTTTAAAAAGGAAAAAAAGTCATTGGAAGGATTCAGTTGAGGGGGAGGGGTGAAATATATAAATAGAGACAAGATCATCAAAAGTTTTATCTCTTCAGTAAGGCAAGAAGGGGCATGGTATCTAACATGATTCAAGGGATTTTCCCCAGGAAGAAGAAATAGCTCATCTTTTATAGTGAGTGTGATACTTTGAAAGTGAAGAACTTTTCATGGAGGAGCTTCTTTGAGTTTTGTTGTCTAAAGATAAAATGGTGGGAAAGATAAAAAAACAGTTTCTGTCAGCTGGGCACGGTGGCTCACAACTATAATCCCAGCACTTCGGGAGGCTGAGGTGGGTGGATCGCCTGAGGTCAGGAGTTCGAGACCAGCCTGGCCAACCTGGTGAAACCCCATCGCTACTAAAAATATAAAAATTAGCTGGGCGTGGTGGCAGGCGCCTGTAATCCCAGCTACTCGGGAGGCTGAGGCAGGAGAATCACTTGAACCCAGAGGGCGGAGGTTGCAGTGAGCCAAGATCATGCTATTGTAGTCCAGCTTGGGTGACAGAGTGAAACTCCATCTCAAAAACAACAACAACAACAACAACAAAAACAAATAAACAAAAAACTGTTCTTGTCCCTGCTGGGATTTATAGTATGTCAGGAAGATGGACAAATAAATGAGGTACAACAAGAACATATGCTAAATGCTGTTATGGGGGAAATAAACCAGTTATGAGAGAATATTAACAGAGGCCCATAATAAGGACTAGCAAAAATCAGGGAAGTTTACCTTGAGGAATTTACATTTATGTTGCTGCCTCAAGGATAAGTAGGAATTAGCTGAGGCTAGACGACACTAGGGGGAAGAATTTCTGGCAGAGGAAATTAAAAAAAAAAAAAAAGGCATAGAGAAGAAGGAAGCACCCTTGGGGGAAGAGAGTTTGAAGCATTTGAGGAAGGAATTAAAGCAGTTCCGAGTTGGCTGAAGTGGAATTGTTTTAGGAAGCAGTGATGCAAAAACTGGAGCGCAGAAAGAGGCCGAATGTGTACATGGTGAGTAAATAGCACTTAGCAGCGTTCTTCTAGCCATCTCCATTGTCTGTCATCTACTTCTGAGAGGTGCTTCCCAGCACTTCCAGACTACAATGCTGGTATTCACACTGGTTTTAAGGAGACAACAGGCTGTGTTGAAAAGAGCACTGAATTAGAATGAGCAGGTCTACAATCTAGTATTGCCTCTACCACTCTTTGTTTGCATAGCTTTAGACAAGTTATCTAACTTCTCTCTTAAAGTCAGTATCGTCATTGTATATGGAAGAAATTAAGTGAGATGATCCTTGAGATCCTTTCTAACTAAACAATTTTTAAAATTATATGATAGGTATGGACATATTTGATATGCACCACATTAATAACAAAAGCCAAATGTTGACAGAAGTTGTTCAAGAGCAATTTATCCACTATTGTATGACTGTTACATAAACAGCATCATTTGTAAAATCTGTTAGATTGGCATGATAAGACATTGCTTTTTGTATTTGGAGGATTAATAGTACTGTGCTGCTGTGGATAATACAGAGCAATGTCTGTTGCCATTTCAAATGACTTTCACTAGAACAAGTAAAGACAATACTGTCCTAATAGTGTCATCAAGCAATTTTTGTGACAAAATACTGTTTGTGTACAAAAGGTGATGATGTTTGGGGGCAAACAATTCATGAAAGGTCAAGGACTCATTGTTAACAATTATCACCAGTTGTTTCAACATTTATTCAATGCTCAAATATAGAACTTTTAGCACCATTTGATGCTTTGCAAAATATTATGGTTCACCTTGTTGGCATTGGTCAGGCCATGTGGGTAATGATGTTGTGTAGTCAGTGAGCAGCTTATGTGGGTGTTACCTCTCTTAGCAGAAGAAAATATATCCAAACAGTACATTTATGGGAATATGAGTAAATTTTTATATGTTCTCGGTATCACAGGTCAGTGTATAACCTCATGATTATTAATAAAAAATTTTAAAGCATTTTTGGTTGTTTGGTTTTAGTATATTTGCAAAGAGCAGAATGTGTACTAGTCAGTGGAGGTGAGGATTTTAGACAAGACAATGTGACATTTCTAAAGGATATTATAGATCATGGACATACATCCATAAATAGAGAGAGTGGGGAGGTGCCTGGGGGTGAGATAGGAAGGGAGGCATAGCCCTGTCAAGTTTCTGTAAAGTGCTAACCACATTATGCCTATCGTGTCATTTAATCTTCACAATAGCTTTGTTTTTGAGTTCTGTTTTTATTTTTATACTCTATATAAGGAAACTGAAACAGAGAGATCAAATAACTTGTCTAGTGTTACACATCTGTCAGCTTCAGCACCTATACCCAGAAGCATGGTCTGCCTGACTCAAATGCTCATGCAATTAACACTCTGTTTTAGTTGTGTTAATATAAAAGGAAAACAAGAAAGAAAAGAAAGCCAAATAATGAAGAATATGAGTAGAATGGCTTTGTATAAATTATCTCTTATCGTGCAAGTCCCACAGTTAAATGGAATCAATGTAACTATGTTAAAGAACAGGAGAATTTATACTGTTTATTAAATGCTCATTTAATAAATGCCTCATTGTACCCAGAATGTGTTGTCCACTAATCCAGACCAGAGTATTATGCATGAGATGTTTAGTAATGAAAGATAATGAAAAAAATGCCCTTATATCAAAAGTCCATATCAATACCACATCACGTTGAACATGCCATATATAAAAAAGAAAGCCATAGAGTATTACCAACAAAAATTTCCATGTAAAAAACTTGAATAAGCTTGACTTAAACAATATATGAAAAGAATAATATGTGGAACCAAGTGAAACACATGTTGTTTTAAAATAAGAAATTTAGTAATATAATACCCTATGTTAATAGATTATAAAGACCATGTGATTCTATTGAAGAATGCCAAAAAGCATTTGACAAACTAATTCCCATAACTATTTTTTAAAAAACAAAACAAAACACATTCATTGAAAATAATAATATAGCTACCTCCTTAATCACCTCTTTACTTACCTGCATTGAGAAAAATAGTGATTCAATAAAAACATTTCTAATTCAGGGGGAAGTAACTTCAAAGACATTGTGTTCATTTATTAATATTCTAGAAGCCCTAGTCAATGTAATTAGGAAAGAGAAAGAAAGTAGCATATCTATCTACATTGCAAAAGAGGTGGCATACTCAACATTATTTGTTTTTAATATGTTTTAGTATTCCTACAGAACCCTCATAGATTCTATTGAATTAATTTTTACAGTTTTCAATTCACTATACTTTGTAATTCCTTGTATGCATATAGAAAAACTGGAATTTGGCTGAGCGCCATGGCTCACGCCTGTAATCCCAGCACTTTGGGAGGCTGAGGTGGGTGGATCACAAGGTCAGGAGTTCGAGGCCAGCTTGACCAACATGGTGAAACCCCATCTCTACAAAAAATACAAAAATTAGCTGGGTGTGGTGGTGCACGCCTGTAATCTCAGCTACTCAGGAAACTGAGGCAGGAGAATCGCTTGAGTCCGGGAGGCGGAGGTAGCAGTGAGCCGAGATCATGCCATTGTACTCCAGCCTAGATGACAGCAAGACCCCGTCGCCCCCCCCCCCCCAAAAAAGAAAAAAAAATCTGGAATTTTTAGTATTGATTTTAACTTCATACTGAAGTCTGTTAATATTTCTTTTAAAAAATGTGTAGAATTTTAGTTACCAAGAACAGGAAGGAAGTATTTGAACAAAAATTTAAAATTTTTGGACACAGATGAGCTTGTGGATGGGGCTTGTGGACATAGAAGAGCTTGTGGTGGTTAGGACAAGGGCATGGTCAGGAGATCCTGTCAGAAAGAAATTTCCAGTAGAATGAATAGACATTGTCGAGGCAAAGAGAATTTCCTAGGTTAACATGTAGCATGGCAACACTTGAGAAAACATGGTGGGCTGGGGAAAGCACTGGTTGTCCACCCCCTGACAGGGGGCAGCCTTGTGCAATGCTTCTACCAGGTGTGGGACAGCTACCTGTGGCTAGGTGGAATCAGATTTCTGAGCTTTGGGGGCCTGGTAAATTTATTGATTAACAAGTGACTACTGTGGACTCCCTGCTTAAGAGCTTGCTGACTGGAAAGACCACTGGCCAGAGGGTCATTAGGCCTGGATTTTAATTTGGTTCTGATATTAACATCCACAACAATCTCAGTTTCCTTCTCATGGCAGCTGAAGCTGTAGTCATTCCTGTATTACATCTTTCCTTCAGGATGATTTTGAAAATGGGTTTCACCTTCCTCTGACCCTTCCACTGATGTTTTGATGAAGAAGCATGTTGGAATGCTTTCTTCCCCTTGGGAGCTCTCTCTTAACCCTTGAGCTCATCATCCATGATCTCCTATGAGCCAATGCTTTTTGTAAATCGTAATTTTGACTCTACATGAATTTAAGATGAGCCCTAAATGAATTCTTATTAATAGTTTAAACAACCTTATCTATATAATTTGTTTTTCTTTTGCCTTCAAATATTCTTACAAGATATGGTTTTTAATTCTATCTGTATTGATAACCAGAAGAAGTGAGGGAAAATTTGGAATTGCAAAGACTTGTCCTTGATACAAGTCTTGTACTCTGCTTTGCTGTGTTTATGACTTTCTGCTCCTGCTTTGGAGTGAAATTTCATCGTTATTAATTTGTGCTCTCCTGATCTCATGTGTACTATGTGAGGTTGGTTAAAGCTAATAGCAATGTACTGATATATTAAAATATTGGGCAAGATATCATGGGACTGTTGGGATTCAGAAGAGCAGAAAGTGAAAAAAACAGAGTGAGATGGGGTCTCACTCTGTTTCCCAGGATGGAGTGCAGTGGTGTAATCATAGCTCCCTGCACTCTGAAACTCCCAAGCTCAAGCAGTCCTCCTGTCTCAGCCTCCTGAGTAGCTAGGACGACAGGCACCAGCACCACGCCTGGCTAATTTTTTTTGTTAATTTTTTTGTGGAGGCATGTTGCCCATGCTGGTCTTGAACTCTTGGGCTCAAGTGATCCTCTCACCTTGGCCTCCCAAAGTGCTGGGAATATAGGCATCCATGCCTGGGCAGATATTTTTTAAAAAACAAAAGAAAAACAAAATAAAAATAATTTCTATTTACCTGTCATCTGTCTGTGTATATAATTAAATGAAATATTGTAATGTTCACTAAACTCACATCTTAAGACACAGACCAGAATCATTCCTTTCAAAAACATGGAGATGGTATATTGGTATTTTGAATCTTCTGTTATTTTTTTTCTCGATCATAGTAGCATGGGTTGAGTTCTCTTTATTCTACAGAAAAAATCTTTCCTTTTTTGATGTCCTTACATGGAAAATAAGTTTTGCTGATGGAGTTTAAATTTTAGGATACTTTTTGAAACATGTCTGTTCCCTATGTGGACAAAAAGCTTGCAAGAAGTAAGTGGACACAGCTGCATTGTAGTATTAACTTCAGGATATCTTTGTTAAATTATGTAACACATAAAAAGAAAATACAAAGCAGACCATAAGTGCACAAATTTTGCCACTTAAAACAGATGCAGTTCAGTGTTTGTCAGCTCAGAAAGTTGTAAAACTACAATCAGATTCTTCAAGATTATCTACAGAGGGAGACTCCGCTTGGTCATGAGAGATGTGGGAGGGAGGGAAATGTTGGGGAGATCTCTGAATTCTGAACCACTGGGGTTCATCTGCCCCTCGGGAACCTCCTGTTTTGAGGTCATGAACATTCTGGCTCCTGGACATGTCTTTCTTTCTCTTTTTTAAAACGTGTCAGTCCAGGCAGTGTCATGGTTCTTACATAGTTTCTTACCATAACTCCCTGAAGCTTCATAGTATTTCACTGAAGGCTGCTGCATATTAGAGTTCCTTTTAGATGGATGATACCTTGAGAAGAAATATGGAGAGTCGTTGAATGTCCTCTAATACTAAGCATTTGTGGCAGACACTCCTCCCTCCATATTTTGTTTTTCCATTTTGATTACCAAATGCAGTGGCCCCGTTTACAGTGAAATAGATGTTGCCCCTCTTGAGACAGTAGTTAGTTAGGTCCCAGAAAAGTTCTGCCTGCAACTTCATGAGATTGTGTCTCCAAATTTTGCTGATGCTTCCTTACTCCTACATGAGAACAATGCAGTGACAATTTAGCCCCTCAAAACTTTTATGAAGTTTCCTTTGATGTTGTTCTAAAAGCCTCTAAAATATATCTAGAAGGATGTTACCTCACCCCTTCAATACATTAGACTAGTTCTGACCAAAAGAAATAGAATGCAAGCTATGTAGGTAATTTCAAACATTCTATTAACCATGTTAAGAAAGGAAAAAGGAACATATTATTATCAATAATGTTTTATTTAATGCAATATGGCGGATATATTATCATTTTAACATATGACCAATAAAAATATTAATGGGATAGTTTACATTTTTTATGCATTGCTTCTTTTTTTTTTTTTTTGAGACAGAGTCTTGCTGTGTCACCAGGCTGGAGTGCAGTGGTGCAATCTTGGCTCACTGCAACCTCCACTTCCCAGGTTCAAGTGATTCTCCTGCCTCAGCCTCCTTAGTGGCTGGGACTACAGGCACATGCCATCACGCTTAGCTCATTTTTGTATTTTTAGTAGAGATGGGGTTTCATCATGTTGGCCAGGATGGTCTCGATCTCTTGACCTCATGATCCGCCTGCCTCAAACTAGCCCTATTTCAAGTGTTCAATAGCCACATGAGTCTAGTACTACCATTTTAGACAGTATAGCAGTGGACCAAAAATGTGCCCTGGAGCTACTCTACTTCTTTAATTTTATGTAGCTATGTTATTTATGCAAATCTACAAGTTAGGATTGTACAATGCCCCTAGATAATAAAGTCATCCTATTCCCAGCAGAACATTATAAAATCTTTTCAGTTTGCCTCCTAGAATGTGAAAGCTTTCCTATTCCAATGCAATCCTTTGTTTCCATCAAATTACAAAAATGACTCTGTCATCATTATTCCATTTGAAAGTAGTGAAATTCAAAATTATGTACAAAA
This sequence comes from Homo sapiens, assembly GCF_000001405.40. Lineage (NCBI taxonomy): Eukaryota > Metazoa > Chordata > Mammalia > Primates > Hominidae > Homo > Homo sapiens. Next base: position 88,278,648 of record NC_000008.11, on the reverse strand, counting down.
TCCTCTTCATGCTTCTTGTGTGTTTGTTGTTTTTGTTGCTGTTTTAATTCTAAGCCAACTAAAGAGTTTCACTTCCATGTCTTTCAGAGCCTACATCATGTGTACAGCTGCTATAAGCTTGATGTGTCTTCCATGGTAATTAATGTAGCTTCTGCAGCACTTTAAAGATTTGGTTTTACCCCAGCCTTATACTTCTTATGCTTCCCATCACTTTGTAGTCCTAGGAAATTAGGAACCTGCATGAAAATATTGCAGCACCGGTATTACAACACACCCAGGTCTTAGAACCAAATGTGGCCAGTATAGCAGTTTATTACTCATGCTCTGTACAGCAGCATTTCTCAAGCAGTGGACATGTTCTCACTATCCATTACGAATCTTATATTTTATACCTATGTTGTACAGCTTAGTGTTAGCTGGGAAATCAAGTTAAACAAAGATATTAGAACAGCCAAAAATACAGGTTTCAGGATTTCAGCTTCAGTAGTGATGGTTTATAAAGTAAGAGACCAGGAGGAGGAGCAGACTTAAATGATCCAAGATGACAGTTTGTCTTTGGCCTTCCTGGTCTTTTCGTTCAAATATTTTTAGCCATTTTGCCTGCCATGTATAGAGTTTCAGACACATGTAACTAGCATTAGAGCCTTACTCATCGAAGATGCCAAATAAATTTTTGGTAATTCAGTGCAATCAGTAGTGCTGGAGAAGATCTTATAAATACCCTTCAAATATCAGCATATCAAATGTTACTGCATGAGGAACACCTACTGTTGAGGTAGGGCAGACCTGTCTTATTTAGTTTCTCAAAAGTTCTTCTGAAAATGCATAGACCCAATGATATAGAGCTAATCTTATAGATGAAAAGTAAGTGTGCTAAAATTATTCTTTGCATCACTGGTCTTACACACAGTGCAGGCTTAGTAGAGATCAAAAATTCATTCCTTGTCAAATACAGCATCCCAAAAGTAACCAACTTGATAACCTAATTTTTAGTAATAGTTAAGTAACCATAATTACCCTTATGGTTTACAAAGGCACTTGTATGTTATATTTCAAGTCTGGGTAAACATTAGTTTTCAAAATAACCATTACAGCTGCCGGCAGCACAGTTTCAGCTATAGTCGATCCAGAAAGAGAAAAGGATGATACACGTTTTGTTTCCAGTCTGCTCTCTGGAAGACATCTGTGTTTTTCTTAATTAGAATCTCCCATCTCCCAGAAGCTTAGATGAGCTTCATCTTGATAGCACACCTGGGTGGAGATGTAGATCTGGAGGCTGTGAGACTTTATCTGAATAACCTGAATAGAATACTTGTAATTAAAGGGATTTGAAGAAGATACACATAATCATAGTGACAAATTAAATATATAAGCGAGATGCATCTAAAGTAATTAGAATTGGGCTACCGAGTTTTTCCCTGCTTTTGCCCATATTCGGAATTCCAAATGTTTTGAAATGGAAATAACAATTAATATGTAAAAGTTGAACACCTTTAGTTTTACTGTGGTGACTTCAGAATAGTTAATATGTATTGCATATGTTATTTTCACTAAAAGATTTATTTCACTTCTCTTTTAAACTGTATAGTGTTATTAAGATTTTCTAATTTTAATAATATCCAATATACCAAAGAGGAAAACATTTTACAGTGAAAATCTTTAATGTGAAAAAACATGTAGCCAAAAATAAAGATAATTTAATTGTAGTTTAGTGTATTATTATTGAATATTTGTGATTTATACATTCAACTGAATCACTATATAATTTCCTTTTTTAAAAATGACATGGACATGGAAAGAATGAAACTTGACCTAATCACCATTTTATTAATTTAACCAATGCAGAGTGGTTAATAAATCTTACTCGGGTTCTCTTATTCATAATTGAGAGATGAGAGAGTTAACTTCTCTTCAACGACAGATAATTATCAACCCCCAAGCACTATTGGGTAAGAACATCTGAATAGGAATGACTGTTTTATATACTTGCTTTTATGACATAGGCTATGGACTGATGAAGCAGGAGATTTTAGTATTGTAAAGCCTACCTATTTAAAGGAAATTTTAAAAATATTTTCTTTGAAATCATGGGTAACTAATTTTGTCTTCACAGTTATTTAAGGTAGTTCTTCTCTGGAATTTTCCAAGAGACTGGGCTGAACATTTGCATAAATACAAAGCAATGCATTTGAGTGCAGGAAGCAGAGAATTACTTTCATATCTTATTTAAGCTTCTGTAGAGACTGTGGAATTATCCTCAAGGGAAATGAGTAATACTTGAGACCAAAGATGCAAAAGACCACAGAATATTGGCAGAATATTAAAACACGTGCACATGCACACACCCACTTACTGACACATACATTTACAATTTAGGTATATAAGATGCTACATATTTTTTGCAATGTAAGGTATACTTTTGTGTGTCTGAGCTTGGGTACCCCACTGTTTTCATAGTTTCTTAAGAAACTCATCATGGCTTCATTTTCTCTGTCCAATTCTGCAAATTTTATGATTTATTTGCTTACAGTTTTAATTTTATAAACTGCTTAACTTTAAATGTTAAGAGACTTGAGTTATACTAGTCTTAAAATACATGTACAGTACACTGGATTTCAAAAATAGGATTTTAATGTTACAACTAGAAGACAGGAATATCTTTGACACCTTTAAAATCCTACTATTTGCAAGGGACTAGGAGTGCTCTTAGTTGATTTTATGAAGGTCAGGCATGAGTATGTCAGATTCATAGCTTACAAGGCTAAAAAAATTGGATTCCCATCTTAAGAAGAAGCTAAACACTGCTATGTGTTTTTTTAGTGTTCACAATGGTATTATTTATAATGTAGGTAAGCAGTGTTCTCTGGGATTGTTACTATGAGTATTAATAATAGGCTAGCCCATGATGTAGTTTATTAGACCCAGTTCTGATATTTTGATATTAAGTAATATATGGCAAGGGCTGAAAAAGATGAAAGGGATCCTTAAAAGAAGATAAACACTGCTATGTGTTTTTTAAATATTCACAATGGTATTATTTATAATGTAGGTATGCAGAGTTCTCTGGGATTGTTACTGTAACTATGAATATTAATAACAGGCCACCCCATGATGTAGTTTATTAGATCCAATTCTGATATTTTAATATTAAGTAATATATGGCAAGGCCTGAAAAAGATGAAAGGGATCCTGAAAAAAATGGCTAAGCTATATTGGAACTAAAGTCATTATTCAAACCCTTTTCAAGAACAGAGGTAATTTATCTTAATCTTAAAAGATGTTAAGGAAAGGCATTATATAACTGTTTATGCTTATTCCACAATTCTTGATCAATTAATAAGTAATATTTTATTCCATATATTCTTAGTTTCATTTTGTATATCTGTCATGTTCTTTTTAAATTTGTAAATTATTAGCTATTAGTCTTTTTAATCTTTACTTAGATTCACACAAAATAATGGGAAGATAAAGCTGCAATTTGATCCTCATAGCTTTTTCAGAGATGGTAGTAGAAGGCTAAATGAATCATACTTCTATCCCTCTCAAGTGTAATGTCTGGTTAACCATTGATTTAACTATGGTGACTTTTTATTATTATTTACTCCTTAATGTGATTCTCTTTTAGAAGACAATAATCTTTTGTAAGGATAGGTGAGAGAATTGGGTAATGATGCATGAATGTGAGTTTGTATACATATGCATGAATGTGAGTTTGTATACATATCCAGGATACTTTTTGGGAAAACTTTGGTGATACATCGGTTGAACTTTTCTTTTTCAGGTTTGTTTAGGAATGTTCTTGGTAGTGATGTCAGTTGCTCTGATTATTTATTTTCTATCATGTAATTATCTCTTTTTTGATATTATTTTATAAAATCACCTTGAGTTATAACAAATATTAATTGTTTTCCTTTCTTAAAGAACACAGATGAACAAGCCTAATCAGACTCATTTACCTTCCACAGACACAGAAGTTAATAATTACAGATTGTAACTTTTACATTGGGCAGTGCATTTGTTGGAATCTCTTTTTAGTTGAACTTTTATGTTCATTATTTTATTCAAGCAGGTGTTCCTTCATGCATTTATTCAATGCATTTCTTTTTAGTATCTACTTTGTTCAATACATTTAATTGTAGTACCTGAGTAAATATGATAGAACCTCTGATGTATTTAGGAACATGCAAGGAGCTGAATATGTCTGTGGACTTACGTATTAAAGGTAAGTGAGAGAGAAAAATACAATATTGGAAAAGTAATCAGAGACTAATCACAAAGCTTGTTATAAAACACACCTGCAGGATTGGGTAATAATTGAAAGACATTATAATCCCTCCCTTAGAAGCATATTTAAATTCTTCTTCTGTTTCTTCTTTCATTGTACTCATCAGGCAAGTCTCTAGTTCTTTGTAAATTCAGCTATACATATATCCTGTGCTTGTACTTAAGTAATTGAACATACCTGAAAAAAAAATTTAGTGATTGGTCTCACTTTAAATTCATCGTCATAAATCTCAGACACTCAACTCTGCTGAATAGTCTACTCCTTCTATGGTACGTTTGCTTTCTTAGTATCCAAAATGATTATTTTATACCTTCTTCTCTTCCCATAAAACTAGTATTTCTCTCAAAGTCAATAAACGTTAGCAATGTTGATGATGATGATGATGATGATGGTGATGAAGAAAATGATAAAAATAACAGCTATGACAACCAAGGTTGATGATGTTGCTGTTTTGTGGTGTCCCCTCCTGTTATGTTATCAGGACTTTGATCTATACTTACTTTTTTCTATTCTTGTAACATCAGTTTTTCTTGTCTATACTCAGGTTGTTTCCATTGACATATAACCATATATTCTTTGCCGTTAAATTATTAAGGGGAAATTGTATTTGAAGATGCCTATTAATATTTTCTATTATTTATAAGCACTCAGCAACAATTCTATGTGGATTTTTAAATATTTGAATCAGAAAATATATTTCACAGGTTAAAAAACCCTTTAAATTTGTAAAACATTGTAACAAATGGACAGTTGATTTCAAACATTCTAATTAGGAAATCATGTTGATAAATGACCATTTTTAAAAATTTACTCAATTTAATTTGTAGCTAGAATATACAGTAGTGCTATTCTGTGTCAGAATTGATATATGATATATCACTCTGTGCAAGATTAACCAGAGTGAAATGGCATGTTCCTGGGTCAAGTCGGAGGATTGAGGACCAGTCTCTCATCAAAGGCAGGTTATTTTCTAGGCCAGGTGCGGTGGCTCACGCCTGTAATCCCAACACTTTGGGAGGCTGAAGCAGGTGGATCACATGAGGCTGGGAGTTCAAGACAAGCCTGGCAACATGGTCAAACCCCATCTCTACTAAAAATACAAAAAAAAAAAAAAAGCCAGGCATGGTGGCACGTGCCTGTAGCCCCAGCTCCTCAGGAGGCTGAGGCAAGAGAAATTGCCCAAACCTGAGAGGGAGAAGTTGCAGTGAGGTTAGATCGTGCCACTGCACTCCAGCCTGGGCGACAGAGCAAGACTCTGTCTCAAAAAAAAAAGGGCAGGTTATTTTCTATTTAGCTATTCAAAGCAAGAAGGATACCTTTTTTTTTTTCTTTTTTTTTGTTTTTCTTTTTCTGACATGATTTGTTTGAAGCCAGCTTAGTGGCAGGAACTGAGGTCTGGTGTTCTATTCCAGTTCTCTTTCCTTTGATTTGGCTAAAATGACAGAATCATAGAATTTTAATTCTTAACAGTCTCTGGGGAAGAAATGTTGAGGTCAGATATTCCAAGCTTCTATTCAGTATTCCTGACATACTCGCTTTTGGTGGTCACTACTCCCTTCTCTGTGTGCTTACAAAACATCTCTGCTAGAATTTCACTAGCGATCAATGTTCACTGTTCTGCAATTTTGAAAATTCCTCTCCTGCCAACCTTTTCAACATAGGTTTCACAATTGTTCTGCATCTTGTTTTGGCCACTTTCCCGTTCCTTGTGACAACACAAATATTATCTACCCTAGTTATGTGATCACATTTACTTACCAATTGTCCCATTGCCCCCAGAATATAAATTGTCTGTATTTAAAGATAACTATAGTGCGTTCTTAGTTTCACTTTTTTGTTTTTTAATCTCAGGTTTTAGCCCTCTCCTAATCACATGTGTACTACCTTTCACTGTTTATGATCATTTTCCTTGATAGAGAAGCAGAAACAAAATAGGATTCAAGATGTTCTGCTGTTTACTGGATTCTGTTATAGCACATATGTTCAAGCACTAAGCTTTATATATTCTTTGCTATTTTTCTTACTCTGACATGAATTAACATAACTTTATTCTTGTTCAAAGTATAGATTATTGGGAATAATGATGATCTTGATGATATTGCTGATGGGATGCTAATAATAATGATAATGTGACTCCCAATATGATACCATTATAGCCACGAGGATGATAAAAATGATTGATAAATAATACTGCTAATAATACAACATCAACACCACTGCACCTGTACACACTCGCATGCACATATTCATGGACATGCACATTTAACTGTTTGCTATGTGCCATTAACTATGTTATTAATGTAGTTTATATATTGTCCCATTTAATCTTCATGAAGTTTTATCAGGTGCGTGTTGTCTCCATTTTATAGATGGACAAACTGCTAACTTAAATATCTCTTAGCTGGTAAATTGCTGAGCCAATGTTCAAATTCTGCCTTCTCTAGCTCCAACGCCCATTTATATCACTATAATGCATAAGATAAGTACAAATTTTACATGCGTAAACTAACTTTCCTGTTATCTACCAAGTTCTCATGTGTTTGTTTTGTGGCTGCCCATTTTGGCACTTCACATTTAAGCCAATGTTTTCTAACTGGGACTCAATTATGAGGTCTTTTCCATTTTAGCATTTGTGTCCGTGGGATCATACTAAAATACTTTATCTGAAACTTTGAGAATCAACCTTTTCTAAAATCCAAATCTGCAGCTGAACGTGTTGGCACATACATGTAATTCCAGCTACTCAGGAGGCTGCGGCAGGAGAATCGCTTGAACCCGGGAGGCGGAGGTTGCAGTGAGCCAAGATCGCACCACTGTACTCCAGCCTGGGCGACAGAGTGAGACTCCATCTCAGAAATAAATAAATAAATAAATAAAATAAAATCCAAATCTGTGAGTGGCAATGACTGATATGAGTCACACATTGTGCTCTTATATAAAAATAATTCTATATAGATTCCTCTTGTATACTCTGCAACAAACCATTTTTTAAAATCTTAGAGTCAAATTTAGAGAAGTTCCTACATTTGCTTTCATAATCCAAGTTATGGAAGAATGGTGCAAAGCACATCAAGAATCCATCAGTGTTATTCCTTAGTAAATTAGAATTCTACCAGGTCATAAGTAATTGAAGTTTCTTCCAAGTACTGTCTATTTCCCATCAGTTTTTTAATCTATAAACAATCACTTCTTTTTCTATCTGGTTAGATACCTGTTTGTATACTCTGCTACAGAATATCATGTTTTACTTCATTCATTTTATCTTAATCTCTCTTTGGATTTAAACCATACTCTAAAACCCAAATTAAGTGTACCGACTTTACTTTAGTCTTATTCATTTATTATTCATTCATCTAGCAAACGCCAGGCACTATGCCAGGTCTGGGTAGATACAAAGGTAAATAAGGTATACTCATGATATACTCAAGATATACTCATGATATTTTCAAATAGTTGCTGGAATGTCTGGAACTTGTTTGGGTTGCGATTAAAGTAAGGCAGTTCTTTCTAGATCTGTTGGGAAGACAGTTTTATAAAACTATTTAAGTTGGATAAATGCTAAAAGAGAAATCAGGACTAGAAAGGCACAAAATAAAGAGATTTAGCCTATTCTAGTGTTTCAAGAAGACATCTTGAAGAAAATGACAATTGACCTGACAATTAAATGAAAAGGAGTTGCCTTTGGATGTTTATTTTGTGCCAAAGACTTTATATAGGCTCAGGCCAGGCATTTATTAATTCAATAACCATTTAATTCTTATCTCTTTTGCTTACTACTGGGAAATTCTCTGATTCTCTGCTTCCTTATCTACAAAATGTACATTAAAAGTTATTGTAAATATTCAGTGGGATATCTGTGAATATTTTTGTAAACTATACATTGACTTTTAGATTATTTCTCTTATTTTGCTTCTAATTATATGTCAGATACTATATGAGTTGCAGTGGGAATACGCTATTGCAGACCTTATTCACTGATTCCTGTACCAGTTACTTATTCTCCTTTCTGTTTCTCCCTGGTATTCACAGAAGCAATCTGATAAATTTTGGAGGAAATTTAGAAATGGGATTGTAGTATCAAGATTTCTAAAATTTATTAAAATTGTTTCATTGATTGCCTGACTTGAGTCTGGCTTTTAATTTTCTACTTGAGAGTTACTGCATTTTAATAATCCTGTAATGCATTTAGTCAACTTTGTTGAGATCCTCTATGAGTCACCATGTTGAGCTCTGGAAATATGATAACTGTTCTTTGTCTTAAAGAACTGGGTCAGAAGGCAGTAACATTCCAAAAGTGTTGAAGTGCTTGAATATGAACATGAGCCCATCAGTTTAATCACATACTGTCAGTGTTAAAAGGTGCTGTATACTTGATTCTAACTAAATAAAAGAAACAAAAGGTAAATACTTTTTATGCCTGATTATAATATGAGATATTTTAGTATTATTGAATCTGTGAAACAGTTATGCATTTAAAAGAATGGCTTATGAAGTAAACTCTTTGTTTTGTCTGGTTTTTCTTTGAAATTCTACCACAAAAACTGCTATATTTGAAATGAGTCTCCAGCAACAGTAATACGAAAATATTTTAATAGGTCGTAGAGCAAAGCAGTGGCCTGTAGGGTGGATGACATTCCAAGAGCTGGATCAGGATCTAGGAGGTGTCTGATTAACACTTCAGTTATTGGGTCATTGATTATTTCTAGGGAGTGATTAGGACAGTGACTATTTTCCAGGCTGAATGGAAGAAGTCTTCTGTTGTATAGTAACAATTGGTCAGGTTGTAATGACGCATTCCAGCTAGCCATCAGTTCTAGTCTCAGTATCAGTTTACTTGTTCATATTGAACATATTTTTATGCTTCTAGGTAAATGTATTATTCCCCTCAACTCCCTTCTTTTGTCTCCTTAATTCATCCCTGAGATGGGTGCAGGGACCTTGCCCACTTTTGTTATGGCTCTGTGAAGATATTATCTTGGTTGCCCTGTGAAGGTGTTACCCCATAGAGAGAGATCTTGATATTTTGCTCTTTTTATGTTTTAGGTCATTCACAGTGAAAGACAGGCCATGGTGTCCTTAACAGGGTAAATGGTGCTCCGGTTTACATGCCTTAGATAAAGCCATTTTGAGGTACTACATAGTACTATTTTCCATGAGTAAAATTAAAAGTTAAAAAATTCTTAAGATGGTAAAATGCTAATGTAGAAACACCTTGGCACATCCCCAATATGCAGTGCTTTCCTGTGGTCTGTTCTGCAAAGTCTATAAGAGGCTCTCTGTGATTAGGAAGTGCAGTGGCTTCTTACTGTCTGTTATATATAAAACTGAGTGCTTCAGTCTGGATTGCTGCTTTTTACCTTAGGGAATCCTGCCTAGATCCTCCATCCCAAGGTGCTGTGAGAAACTCATCCTGTATTTGTATAGGGGATGTATCAAAGAACCATGGCTGATGTTCAGTACTTTCAGAGTGGAAGGCAACAAACACACTGGGAATGGAGAGAATGGAAGAAGAGTGAATAGAAAGTTAAAAAAAAAAGAACAATAACAAAGTGTGGGATTTGTGAAGAAATGGAGAAAGAATACTTATTGGTATAAGGGGGAACACACACAGTGCATCCGTATAGATGTCTGTCATATGGTTGGGAGGAAAATCAAAACCTTTGCTTAAAATTGAAATGTTTGGAAGACTAGACCAGTGATGGACAAATTGACTTCTGGGGTGATATTGGCTACTAAGGAAAAAAGAAAGTTGACCTATTATGGTCCTCTCCTACCCTTTTAACCAGAAAACCTCTGTTTTATCTCTTTTGTATATTAGAGTTCTTACTAAGATTTCATTTGAGGATGGAAAAAGAACTGTCTGGGAAAAAAGTATGGAAATCATAGAACTAGAATACATATTCCTTGAAGCTTCTTCTTGTCTTCTTTGTGCCTGGCATCAAGTAGATATTTTGTTGAATAGACGAATGAATGAATTTTTTTGTTGTTTTTGGTTTTGGTTTTAGTTTTGGTTTTCTTTTTGAGACAGAGTTCCATTCTTGTTGCCCAGGTTAGGGTGCAGTGGTACAGTCTCGGCTCACTGCAACCTCCACCTCCCAGGTTCAAGCGATTCTCCTGCCTCAGCCTCCCAAGTAGCTGAGATTAGAGGCATGCGCCACCACGCCCAGCTACTTTTGTATTTTTAGTAGAGACAGGGTTTCTCCATGTTGGTCAGGCTGGTCTCGAACTCCTGACCTCAGGCAATCCACCCACCTTGGCCTCCCAAAATGCTGGGATTACAGGCACGAGCCACCGCTCCCGGCCTAGGAATTTTTTATGGTAAATCTGTTGTTCTCTGGAGATCCCAGTACAGTTGGTAGGATCTTCTATTTTATACAGATAAAACCTTGCATAAATGTAGCCTTTTTAATTTAAACTATATTAAAAACTGTGGTTTCTTTGTTTTGACCACTTCATTCACACTCCTGTGTAATGACAGGATCATTGAATAGGAATATGATGTCAATTTTGGGACCAGTTACAGGACTTTATCAAAGTATATTGCCCTAATTTCTATATTCTCAACTTCTTACTTATTTGTTAATAAACAATTATGAGAATACTCAAATTTGACTATGCTGACTATAATATTACCTGAATTTTCTCATGATCTTTCCTTTCAATATTTAGTAATAACATCATTTCACCATGTGCTACCTTTGATAATTCTACTAACTCTTAATATTTTTACAAAGAATAAATATGCAACTAACCCTGAGGTGGCATTCTTTATGTATTCAGTGAGCATTTAGTAGGTGCCCACTATGTGCCAGGTGTTACGCTAAGTGTTGGCTATATAAAAGTAAGGCAGATGTGGTTCTTAGCATACAGAAATTCACAGTCTGCTGTGAGGAGGCAGGCACATTAATAGGTGCAAGTGTTATATTAGCAGGCCCCTTTGGGGTTTTGTGGGGATACCCAGAAGTCACAGCAAATGGGAGAGAGTCTTGGGTAAGGAAAGTGTGTGAGATCTATAGTAAAAAGATTTATATTTAAGACTTAACCACCACTAGCTGTGATGTGTCTTGGGAAAGTTACTTATCTTTTTCTCCTCTCAGTTTTCTCAACTGTAAAATGGCAATGGATGACCACAGAATTTTATAAGAATCAAATGGTCATATTTTCTAAACTGTTTTGTGATTCATATATACTATATGAATATTAGCTTTCCTTCTGTGTGTCCTTCTAAGGAAAAGCAGATGAACGTTCCTAATATTTATTGGCAGATGTCAGGTAGCAAAATGTGAGAATGACTAAGAATGACATCTTAGTTGTCCACAAGTGCCATAGAAATTAGCATTCATCACACCAACATCTTCCTTCTATATGCATATTAATTTTCTGTGATCTTTCTGCATTTGGGACTATTTTAGAATAGTTAATAGATTCTCAACTCATGTGACCAGTTTTTGTGAGGAAATGTATAAAGCAAAGGTTGTCAGGAGTCATGAAATAGCAATTTGAGGATAATTGCTACTGATTCAGCATGATTGAAATCCAAAGATAAAATTTGGTAGAGGAAGATTGCAATATGTTCACTTTTTCATGCTCTAGGGCCTCCCATTAAACAACGGAACAGTTGCTCACCTTGGGTAGGCACATTTTTTTTTTCTGTGTTTTTACAAGCTACTAAGAAGATGGTCTCTTTGAGAACAGTAAGTAGAACTGCACTATTACGAGAAAATTTCCTCAAAATTATGAAATGCCCATTTTACCAAAGTAGGAGGGAACTCAGGAAAATGGGGACGCCAAATGGGTGGAAGTACAATGCCATAAAGATTCCTGGATGAGGTGCCAGAGACCTGGCTCTTAATTAATTATGCTACAATTTCACTAAGTTATCTGATCTATAAAATGATAAATTTATACTCCAGATGAATTTATATAATCTCCAAAACCACCAATGACACTGTTATTTCATAAAATGTTATTGAACCTGAACTTGAAGGTGACTTATTTCAACTGAGAAAAGTATGTTAAAAAATAGCATACTCACTAATAAGGAGATCACTAATAAGGAGATGGTCTTAGTCTGATGGATATAAACATAGTTACAGATGACAGAATAATAGACCTGAAGGGAAATTAGTCTATTTACTCTCTTGGTTTCCATCGTGGGTTGTACTCCACAGTGGGCTGGTGAGAGAATTAGGAAGTGTTAGGCATGTATTTTTGTTACAATAATGGGAGCACCTCTAGCATTTTGAGGGGCAGGGATGCTAAAGGCCATATGATGTTTGGAATTCTCCTACACAGAGAATCATGTCCCTTGCAGAATGCCAGTGGTGTCCCATTGAGAAATATGGATAGAGCAAGCTCTCATTTTATAATCGACAAGGCAGTTCTAAGAAGTAAAGAATAATAGTCCTGATTGCTGAGCAGTCAGATCCAGATTGCCCTGATTACTAGGCCATTCAACTCCATTTCTTTGTTTCCCTAATGCCTCAGTTGTCAGTGTAGATTTGCTTTCACCTACTTGGGAAAACTCTACCACCAAACTGTTTGCAAGGTTACACAAAAGTTACCCAAAATGTAAAGTCATTTGTCAGTTTTTTGTTCTAGTTACATTATTTTCCAAAGCATAAATTTTCCTATAGTCATGGACTAGCTAAATATGATATTCTTAAAAAACAAGATATGATTTTGCGTGGGACTTTGCTTGTTTATTTATCTGAAGGTACTTTCAGACTATGCTGGAAACATAATCACAGATTATTTCCTATGTAAGGCATCACTTCTACTGCAGACCGTTCTCTAACTTGTCCAAGTCTACATATAAACTTTACCCATATTTTACTAGGTTGTCTCTGTCATAGTACTTACAGCTTCATTTTGATTACCCAGTTAATGATCATTCTCTCCCATTAAACTATGAACTCCCTGTGATTAAGGACTGTGTTTTTTTCACCACTGAATTCTCAGTGCTTCATGCAGCTTTTAGCTTTCATAGTATATTGAATGCTTGAGACACTTAAAGAAAATCCAGAATGGATTCAGAGTCAGAGACCATGATGGAAACCACATTTCTGCCAAATTAGTGGTCTTGTGAACTTGACCTCCCTAGGACTCTGTCTGTATCTGAAAAAAAAAAAAAAAAAAAAGGAAATGGTCATTTCTACCCTTAGTTTGTCTACTTGAGGGCTGAGTTTGAGGGCTGGTGAGAATCAATACTCAGGTGCATTAATTATATCCAAATTAAACTTTTCTGCAGTAACGTAAAAGGATTCTGCTTACAGCAAAGGGTTTTTAGGTAGCATCAAATAGGAAATATTTGATCAGCTCATTTTCTCAGGTCTCAAGTTCATCATGGTAGACATACCACAGGGAGAGGATCGGTAGGGGCAGGGAATTGGTAGGCCAATGCAAGGCAGTCTTGCCAAGTCATTGGAAACACTAGTCGTCTTGTCCTAGTGTCTGAAACGTTAGCATAGTTTTCTATATATGTTTGTATAAACTAACATCTGAGGTTAGGGCACGATTTTTGAGATATGCCATATTGTTGTATTAGCTCTGTGTTATAATAGTACTTAGCTATCACACATGGACAGCACATTGCCACTGTGTAATGATGACTGGTCAGTGCCATGGCAATCATGTATGTGCTGTGCCCAAGGCCCAGGGGATTCTGAGCATAGCAGTCCTGGCCATGGCCTGAATCATATTTCAAATGATCATTTCTGAGGATTCAGATAATCACCTGCATGTGCCCGACACTTAGGAGGTACTTGCTTCATAATGATACTCTATAGGGTTTACCCAGTCTGTATTTCTAATACTTTAAAAACATGTGAGATATTTCTAAATGATCAAAAATATGGACTTGTAGCTGGGCATGGCTGGTCGTATCTGTAACCCTAGCTCCTCAGGAGGCTGAGGTGGGAGGAGAACTTCAGGCCAGGAGTTAGAGATAAGCTTGAGCAACACAGCAAGATCCTATCTCTAAAAAAATTTTTAAAAATCAGCCGGGTGTGGTGATGCATGCCTGCAGTCCCAGGTACTTGGGAGGCTGAGGCAGAAGGATCACTTGAGTCCAGGGGTTGAAGGCTAAAAAGAGTTATGACTGTGCCACTGTACTTCAGTCTGGGAGAACACAGTGAGATTCCATCTCTAGAAATGTATGTGTGTGTGTGTGTATGTGTGCACGTGCACGCACACTCTTTGATTTCTGATAAATACATATTGACTTCTTTCCTATGTCTAGCACTGACCTAAAGTAATATATGTATACACACACACACACACACACACACACACACTCTCTCTCTCCCTATATATATATATATATATATATGTGCCATTTTTGTAGGGAAGTTGCACACACACACACACACACACACTCTCTCTCTCTCTTTCTCTCTCTCTCTATATATGCCATTTTTGTAGGGAGGTTGCGGCCAAAAAGTGCATCAGTCAGGCGTACTACACATTTTGTGGAGGATTTTTAAGCACCAGTCCCTGAATGGAGGATGTTATGGATTGAATTGTGACCCTACAAAATTCGTATGTCAAGGTCCCAACCCCCAGTACCCCAGAATGTGACCTTATTTGAAGATAGGATCTTTATAGATGTAAATAAGTGAAAATTAAGTGATTAGGGTGAGCCTAATCCAATATGACTGGTGTCCTTATATAAAGGAGAAATTTGGACATAGAATCATGCACAGAGGGAAGATGATTTGAAAAGACATAAGGAGTAGATAGCTCTCTATAAGCCAAGGAGAGAAGCCTGGAATAGATGCTTTCCTTGCGGCTGTCAAAAGGAAACACCCCTGCTGTTACCTTGATGTTAAACTTCCAGCTTCTAGCACTATGAGACAATAACTGTCTGTTGTTTAAGCCACCCAGTCTGTGATATTTGTTATGTCAGCCCTAGAAAACTCATGTGTCGGATGGGTGGGGAATTTTTCCATATAGATTTCCTCTCTGCCTTGGCTTTCCTGTAATTTAAGCCCTGCTCTAAGTAATCAGCCAGAACAGTTTATATATACTGTGATACATTTGAGAGGATAAGTGGCTTTGGAAAAGTGGATCAGTATAGCTGCATGTCTAAAAAGGGAAGAAAAAATTGAATTTTTTTTTTAGGAAATTGCATCTTTATGTTATGTTTGTTTTTGAGCACACATTGAGACAATAGAAAATGACATTATTATAATGCACAGAGCAAAGGGTGTTGATTGTCATGATTGATTTTCTGTCATAAATTTATATAGAAATGTGGTGGCAATGATAGTGGTGTATCGACACTCCTTTTGAATTAAAAAAAACTTTTTTTATTTTATTTATTTATTTATTTATTTATTTGAGACGGAGTCTTGCTCTGTCGCCAGGCTGGAGTGCAGTGGCGCGATCTCGGCTCACTGCAAGCTCCACCTCCTGGGTTCACGCCATTCTCCTGCCTCAGCCTCCCGAGTAGCTGGGACTACAGGCACCCGCTACCACGCTCGGCTAATTTTTTTTTTTTTTTTTTTTTTTTTTTTTGTATTTTTAGTAGAGACGGGGTTTCACCATGTTAGCCAGGATGGCTACGATCTCCTGACCTTGTGATTCACCCGCCTCGGCCTCCCAAAGTGCTGGGATTACAGGCTTGAGCCACCGCACCCAGCCTGAATTCAAAAACTTTAACTTACTCCAAAATTGCCAATTACTTGAAAAGAAGGTTTTAAAAGTAAAGAAAGTTTATGATGCTTGCAAAGCCCAAAGAAACAGAAATCTAGAAAAGAGACAGCCAACAGCCTATATAACTACCACTATATTGACAAAAGCCAGCAAAGCTGAACATGCAGATTCTCAGTAGTAAGCAATACTGCTAGCGAGGAGCCTCAAGTGTGTACTTGCTGCCTAATGGGTGCATAAACAGTAAAACAAAAGTGAGTAGTTTAACCTCCGTTTCTGATGAAGTTCCGGAAAAATACTTTAGAGTTTTATAAAATGTATTCTTGGTAGACAAGTCCATCAACATGCCAAGCTCTTGGAAAATCTTGAGAATCAAATCAAATACAAACACAGCCTGCAAAAAGGAAATATTTAAAAAATTCATATCTTTTCTTGCTTTAGTAAAATGTGCACTATGCCACGTTTGATAAAATTTCCTGTGCCCACACTTTTCCTGTAATAATAATACATCTCACTGCTGCACATAGTCTGGAGTATGTTTTATAATTTTGTTTGTTTTTGTTTTTGGTGAGAATGGAGCTGTGGCTTGGATTATTGACTAAGGTTCAAATATCACTTTATTACCAGACATTGAAACACCCATGTTTTGGCCCTGTGCTAGGCACTGGAATGTAGAACTAGAGAGATCATAGTCCTTTGCCTTAATGAGCTCATAGTCTTTAGACCTTACTTAACATTCTACCTAAGTAACCTTGGCCAGAGTACTTTCTGAGTCTTTAGTTATTTATAACCTCATGGGGTTGCTCTGAAGATTAAATATTAATAATATAATATGTGAATCATGCTAAGTGCAGTGCCCAGTGCATAGGATACACTCAGTAAATGTTATCCTCTTCCATCAGTAAATGGTTATATGGTTGTGTGTGTGTGTGTGTGTGTACATGTACATATATGTATGCATATGTATATGTGTATAGATATGTATGTGCATATGTGTACATATGTATATGTATATAACATACCTAATGGGAAGTGCTTTGAGTTGCTTCTCTGGTCTTAAGTATGATGATGATACGCAGTCTCCATTTCCTGGTATCTTTTTTTGCCCAGTGGTTTATAGAGTCTGAAGGGGAGGAGTTTTAATTGAGTGACTGGGTGGAAAATATATGCTAAATAGTGAGGTAGAAAGAGAAACATCGATTATACTATTAAGTATGGTAGTAAAAATATGAACGCTAGGGTGGGATTTTAGGGGATTGCAGTTTAGAATTATAATGCTATTATAAATTGTTGGATTATTTTTTTCCCCCTCATAAAACTGATGCACTGATTATACAGTAACATATTTTTCTGGGCTTGATAATACAACTATCCATGTGATATTTTTGAATCCAAGATAGGCATGTTTGTCTCCTAAATGTTTTATAATCTCAATAAATGAAATAACCAGAATCAGTACAGATCTAACCCACTGTGCGTAACTACCTACTCTTGGATCCTTGTAAAATGATTGTTTATAGTGGTGTTCTTGAGACCAGAGGGAATGATTAAATTAGAATCAGTATGTCTGCATGATAAAGCTAGGAAATTTATAATATATTTGAGGCATATCTTCAAGACAAAGTGTTAAATAACTTCAGTATTTCAAAATGCAATGTATTCCCTTGCTTTTGGCAGGCTGCCTGAAATGAGCTGCCATGGTGTTTGAGTACAAGATACTTGTTAAAGTGCATTTGTTATCTGAGGTCACTAATGTAAAAATTTGCAAATTAATATATTAGAAGCCATGTATAACTTAAAACAGTAATGCTTATCCAATGGAAACAATTTACTTCTCTAAAGTATTTATAGATTGAAGTCTGGTGGTCAATGGTTAAAGGATTTGTTAACTGGGAAACATAACACAATTCATTAATCAAACATGAGGATATTTTAGTCATTTAGCTATGTTTATACTTCATATATTTTTTCTAATTTTTAATCTATATTGTAATTGTTCAGGTTCATCTGAATGTTATCAGTTGAAATGTTGAGTTTTTTTCCCTAATAATTTTGGTTAGTTGGCTTTTTTCTTGGTAGAAGTAGAAGAGATCATTTCTTTGAATTTTATTTGTAAACTGATAAAGTCATTTAGGATTTTAGACTATGGAGAGATAATATCCTGTTTTTATTGGTAACATGAATGCTCAGTTAGGGCTCTACAAAGTGGAAATAAAATATCAGTAGATACTTATTTTGGCAGCCTATTCAGAGAGTTTCAATAATTGACTCCAGAAATCCGAAAAAAAATAAACTTTTAAGTGAAAAAAGTAGCATAATTTGAAGTCTTAAGTAGCAAGGAAAATAAGTGTTTTTTGCCTTATGTTTTAATTTCTTTCTTTGATTTTGTAAAAAACAAAACAAAAATAAAAACAAAAAAAACATGTATTCCTTAAATATGAGTGTTTTGTGAAGGAACTGTTTCATAGGAATGACAATACAGTTAAAAATATACTCAAATTTTTTTGTGCGAAGCAGTTGAACCATATTATAGAAATATTTTTAAAATGCTGGAAGAAGAAGTATAGTTTTTATCACTTCATGTCTTCTTACTGGTATATTTCTTTCCAATAATATCACCATGGGCTTGTTTTTTCTAATTCCTCATATTGTGCATTTTTTGAATATGTAGCTTTTCACCTCATTTGGTCAACTAAGTTAAACCAGTGCTTTCTACCTTTACCTAGTACAAATAAGTAAAATTTGGGGGGTTTAGGAAGCAACAATTAAGCTACCTATTGGATTCTGACTTATTCACACCAGTTTACCAGACTGAACGCTTAGGGAATCCATCTTCAAGTCAGATTCTTTCCATTCTCATTGACATTGATGCGTGAGGCAGGGTGCTCAGTAGTAGCTGGAGCTGAGTGATGGGACCAACATGTATCATAAGCATTTGTACCTTTTCCTAAAATAATCTTCAAAATAACCAGTATTTTTTATGTCCGCATAGTATTTAATGGAATCAGTGTTCCGTTGTTAACATAGTTATAGTCCTAATGGTTGGGAATCCCTTCCCCTTCCCTTTCCTCTTCCCTTTCTCTTTCTCTTTCCTTTCTTTTTTTTATTTTTATTTTTATTTTTTTGCTTGGCTATTAAACATAAGGATAAGGTGGATCCTTCTGTACATATCACATTTCCCACACGTTTAAATTATTTGTCTAGGATTGATTCTCCAAAGTACTGTTGCTATTTTAGGTTGTGATAGATGTCACCCAATTGCTTCATAGTAGGGTTGTGTAGTTACATAAATGCCTTAAATAACACACACAGTGCACCCTCACCAGTGTATGAACATTGTCATTTTGTTCTAATACTCTAGTGAGCTTTGCTTTAATCATCATAATATACTCTCTTTGAGACATTTCCGTTGAAAATGCATCCAATTTCCTGACTTTAGCCTATCTTTTTCTAAAGTTGTGACTTTGGCATGATAGAAAGTATCTAGATAGTTACATGTATACTATATATAGGTAGCATCCATATATAGGTAGCTATTGCTCTCCAAAAATCTTACCTCTGGAGTTACACAGACGTGGGTTCAAATGACAGTTCAGTTACAGGACAAGGCCCTTAATCCACTTGTGCCAGCATCTTCATTTTCTTCATCTGTAATGTGGAGGTGATGTATGGTGAAAGGAGGAAAGGAAAGGAAGGCAGGCAGGAGGCATGCTTCCTTGTGAAGCTACCACATTAGGTTCTTGGGATTTTTATGGTGATTTCAAAATTATTATGTTGTTGTAAATGGAAGATGAAACCTCTGAATCATGGCTATGCAACTTAAGATATGTTAAATAGAACTCAACCAAATATTTTGACTTAATTTCAGTGATAGTTCTCTTTTTCTTTCTGCAGTATTCCAACTTTATACTGTGTCTTCTCTGTAAAAGAAATGACAACATTTCTAAGTTATTGAGATAGGCGAACAATAGCAACATGATTCATTTTGCCTAGGTCAGAAATGAAAATGTAGTTTTCTGAGTCGTAAGCTCTCCGTCTTCCCTCTTATTGTAAACCATTATTTAACATTTAACATTTACAGTGCATCAGGCAGTGTGGCTATCACATAAAACATTTTTGCTTAAAAGGCCTACTTTGTTCATATGAGGTTTTATTTGGTCTTGCTTTTTTTAGTGATTTTGTTTTAGACAAAAGGCAACTAACATAGTAGGGGATATTTAGGGGAGAATGAGGGCTTAGGCAGGGAGTGATTTCTTAGGTCAGGGAGAGACCTGATATGGCATTAGACAGGCATTAGTATGCCTTACAGCCGACTCACTGGAAACTCACTCTGGTAACTTATTCATAGTTTTGGAAATTGAAAGCCTATTTTAGCCACTGATCTTAAGTATAGGCTCCTGAGTGCAGAACTAGGTGCATTTTAATCATCTTTCTTCTTGAAGGCTGGCAAGAAAAGGAAATTTTATTAACACAGCAGAGGTGTTAGCACAGGCACCCTGGACAAAGCAATCAGGAGGGAAAAGAAGATGTGAAGCAAGTCCTGTTCAAAAGAAGAGTCATTTGACGTGAACCCGGGAGGCAGAGCTTGCAGTGAGCAGAGATCGTGCCACTGCACTCCAGCCTGGGTGACAGAGCGAGACTCTGTCTCAAAGAAAAAAAAAAAAAAAGAAAAAGAGTCATTGCATTTTGACTTTTCTAGCTTCAGCCAGTGAAGCTAGATGCCCTTCCTGTGTTATGACTATTCCTTACCATTAGCCTACCCTTCTGTTCCTAGAAAGCATTTTTTATTTCAGAGTTGAAAAGTAACTTAACTGACCAACTGACCTTACTATTGCCTTCCCTTTAACTGTAAAGTAAATGTTGCAAATACTTACAGTATTGTTTCTTTTTGTATCACCTTTAATAGGATAGTGAGGTCTAGTATAACCCATAAGGTAAGTGCTCTGTTCATGTTTATAAAATGAAATACTAGGATATTTGTTCATTTAGTCAGATTAACAAATATTTGTTCAATGCATAGTGTTTATACTCCATGCTTATAATGCATTGGTGAACAAAAGGAGCTTTTATTCTACCAGAATTCATGGCAATAAATTATAAATAATATTAAACTGAGCTTTCTTTTCAATGATATTAAGCCCCATAAATGGTAGGTCCCTTAGAGGGCATTAATCTATCTAGAAAAGTTGAATATTTGCTAGGAGAATGGCATATGCCAGCAAAAGGCAAAAGTAATTGTAAACTAGATTTGACTTTTCATTTGTTTGTAGCTTTGTTTCCACAGAAGCTACATTTTTTGCACATACTTCAAACATCAGCATAGGTATGACCTCTAGTAAATGATCCCAACTGCTGGAAGGTTACTCCTTTCTCTACTCTACTCTACCTTGTACAGGTTCTAAAGTGCATTGTCCATATGTATTTACTATTATGTATACACAGGTAACATGCTAAGACATTCTGAGCCCTGTAAGAGCAAGGACTGTCTCAACATGTTTGTTGAATGGATGTAGGTCCTTAAGGTTAAATATAAACCCGACTTGCTATGAGTAGACTCAGTATAGATCAAGTGAAATAACAATATGTTCAGCCTTATGAAGTGTTCAAAGAACAACTGTTAAAAGGATGCAAAGTGACAACTAGTTATAAAATTTAAGAGAATGAAATTACTGAATTTAAAACACTAGAGGCTGAGAAAAGACATTATTGTATGGAGAGCAGGGGTCATGCTTACTGAGGATAAAACAAATGAAATTTGACAGAATTATAATGAATCTACAGTTATGCATTTTGAAAACTTGAACATTATATTCAGAATTGCTTAAATAGGCTCTGAAATAAAAGAAATAAAATAACATTTGGCTATGATGACCTCACAAAAGCTTCTAGCAAGGAAAACCTGATCATAAAATGTGGACATTTGTATTGCTGCTAGGAGGGTTATAAACCAGGGACCCTCTGAGTTATAAGTGTGTACTGTAGTTCCCCTGATGGATGGTGTGTGTGGGGTGTGTGTGTGTGTGTGTGAGAGAGAGAGAGAGAGAGAGATGGGGTGATTATGGAAGGATATAGTGAGAAGGGAGAAGGGAAGATAGCAAGATGGTGACAAAATAAATATGCATCCTTCAGTAGTTTGTCTTTCTTCTCAGAAAAAGTCGGTTTGATTCAAAAATAAGTTTATTGAATTCTGAATGTCTTGGGCTTTTCTTCTGAGATGGGAAAGAGATCAGTATTTTACACTAGACAACACTTTATTTAAAAGAGAAAACCAAGCAGTAGGTGACATAACCACATATTTGGATCATTTAAGATTGGAGGTTGTTGTGTGAAGTCGATTTGACCATTCAGTTTTTGATTTCAGAAAGAGAGAACATTAGCCCATTTGCCTGTTTAACTGAAAAGATTGATTCTTATTAGACACATGCTAATCGTAAATTAATAAAATTATTTTTACAAATACAAACCTAATCTATTACTCCTGTCTTTGATAAAGAAAACAATGGAATTAAAAAAAATAAGTATTTAGAACATTACAGGTTATAAACTTGGCTTAGAATGTATTTAACTATTGAAGATAGAATTAGTGAAAGAAGAATAAATGGGTTAAAAATACTGCCTAGAAAAAAAGCTGAAAATAGGAGATGAGCTGTTTTAATAAGATCAGGGACACCAGGTGCAGACATATTACAAAAATAAGCTGGGACAACCTTGAGATTCAACCAAGAGAAGAGATAAGAATGACCTCTGGATAAATGAAAAGATAACAGTAGGAGAAAATGAATCCAGCATCTATAGAAAAGTTCCCTAAAGCCATGACTGCAGAAATTGGGATCTAAATGATTGAATTCCACCACTTTCAAAAAAGGCCTGCCCAAGCCATGTGCCTTAGTGGGGGAAAAATCAGACCCTTGCTCAGCAGTTCGTCAGTGTGGAAGTCTGATATGTTTCATGCACCTATATAAAATCCCTAACAATCAGCCCTTAACTTCCTGCCCATCCTTCGGCAGAGTAAAACATACTGTTTTTAACTAAGATGGAAATTTAAAGTCCTTATTTACAATGAATGTGCAATAAAGAGGCAACGGTTTTACTGGAGGAAAGCTTTGCTTTTAGATTTGAAAATCCTATTATGATCCAAATTCATCCTTTGTGATCTAGACAGATCACTGGATCTATAAGAAGCTCTGTTTTCTCAACTGTAAATTAAGGTAATACCAATTTGTGTGTGTGTCTTCGAGTTTGTATGTGTGTTAGTCTGTTACACTGCTATAAAGAAATACCACCTGAGGCTGGATAACTTAAAAAGAAAGGTTTATTTTGGCTCATGGTTCTGCAGGTTGTACAGGAAGTGTGGTGCTGGCATCTGCTTCTGGCGAGGGCCTCAGGAAGCTTACAATCATGGCGAAAGGTGAAGGGGGATCTGGTGTATTACATGGTGAAAGAGGAAGCAAGACAGAGATAGAACAGGTGCCAGGCTCTTTTAAATGACCAGCTCTTGCCTGAACTTACAGAGCAAGAACTCACTCATTACCATGGGGAGGGCAACAAGACATTCATGAGGGGTCCATCCCCATGACCCAAACATCTTCTGCCAGGCCCCATGTCCAATATTAGGAATCACATTTCAACATGAGATTTGGAGGGGACAGATATCCAAGCCAAATCACCGTGTGTATGAATTTTTTCCCATGTTTTTTAAATAATAATTTGATTCACAATAGATTTAGATTAACAGGAAAGTTGTGATAATACATACAGATAGTTCTTATATTCTCCAAAAGGAGTTTCTCCTTTTATTAATATCTTATAGTGATGTAGCACATTTGTCACAATTAATGGCCTAAGATTGATGCACTATTGTTAAGTAACATACACAGTTTATTAAAATTTCCTTAGTTTTTATCTCATGTCCTTTTTCTGTTCCAGGATCCCATCCAGGATACAATGTTGTATTTTGTTGTCATGTCTCCTTTGTTTACTCTTTGCTATAATGACAGTTTCTCAGGTTTATCTTATTTTTTATCATCTTCACAGTGTTGTTATGTACAGGTTTCAGACATTTATTTATTCAGCTATCAGTTGATCTATTTTATATTTGTTATCTTTACATTTTTATTCAAATAAAATACAAACTAGTGGATGCATTAAGAAACTAAGCATTTTGCCATGCATGTGGCTCACGCCTGTAATCTCAACATGTTGGGAGTTTGAGGCAGGAGGATTGCTTCTTTTTTTTTTTTCCTTTTTAACTTTTATTTTAAGTTCAGGGGTATATATGCAGGTTTTTTATATAGGTAAACTTGTGTCATGGAAGTTTGTTGTATGGATTATTTCACCACCCAGGTATTGAGCCTAGTACCCATTAGTTATTTTTCCTGATCCTCTCCCTCTCACCCTCCACTCTCTGATAGGCCTGTGTGAGTTGTTTCCCTGGACGTGTCCATGTGTTCTCATCATTTAGCTCCCATTTATAAGCAGGAACATGCAGTATTTAGTTGTTTGTTCCTGCATTCATTTTCTAAGATAGTGGCCTCCAGCTCTATCCATGTCCCTGCAAAGGACATGATCTCATTCTTTGTTATGGCTGCATAGTATTCCATGATGTATATGTACCACATTTTCTTTATCCAGTCTATCATTGTTGGGCATTTAGGTGGATTCCATGTCTTTGCTATTGTGAATAGGGCTACAATGAACATACATATACGTGTGTCTTTATAGTAGAACAATTTATGTTACTTTGGGTATATACCCAGTAATGGGATTGCTGGGTCAAATGGTATCTCAAGGCAGGAGGCTTGCTTGAAGCCAGGAATTTCAGACCAACCTGGGCAACAGTGAGACCATGTCTCTACCAAAAAAAAAATTAGAAGAAAAATTTTAAAACATTAGTTTGCATTAAAATGATTGCTGTTTAGCTAGTTTGTAGGTGAGAAAAATTGAGTAGATTTTATACCCTGAATTGAATCCTGAAGAACTGATTGCTATATCAGGTTTTTCTTTTTATATATTATTTATTTTTATTTTTAAATAATATATTGACATTATAGTTGTGTGTTTTTACGAGGTACAAAGCAACATAATGTAAAATGATTAACTCAAGCTAAGTTTTGAAACACATCAGTCAGATATTTTTGTAGCCTGCCCCTCAATAGGGATTTGTCTGATGTTTTTCTCATGATTAGACTGGGGTTGTAGGTTTTGGGAAGGAAGACCACAGAGGACTGTTGCCATTTTCATCACAGCATATCGAGGTACATACTGTTAACATGACTTATCACTGTTAATATTTATCTGGATCATTTGGCTGAAGGACTGTTTTTCAAATTTCCCTACTGTAAGATTACTCTTTTTCCTATCTGTGTGTATTATACTCTTTGGAAGGAAGTCACTGTGTGCAGTACACACTTAAGGAATAGGGAGTTATGTTCTACCCCTAGGATAATACTTATGTATGAGGGCAATTCTGAGGACTAAATGAGAAAATATGTATGGAAGACCTGGAATAATATTAAGTGTTGTCTAAATAAATATTAGTAATGATAATCATAATAATAGCTGTGTCAAATGCATTCTAGTTGTGTTTCTAAACCAGTACCTCTGTAAATAACTGACAAGTATTTCATAAAGTTAAGGAGATGGAGAAAAAGAAAATAGAATTTTAATTAAGAGAGCAACAGTTTTTCTAAAGAATTGTCCTATCAGGCTTTTTATTTCCACTGTTTACCAAGTATCTGAACTAGTTCCCAGAGAATTGCACATTTATTGATCAAATCTACTATTCATTTAGCAATTTTTGTCCAATCTATTTGGCTTGAGTCAGATAAATCTAGTTATCTAATTTGCATTATTCTTTTACGTATTAAATGTTTCTACATTAGTGCTTTGATCTGGCTAATGTATTAAGGCTGGATAGTCTCAAGATAATTCTAAGTTGATTTAGTTTTTATCATACAACTAAAAATATTTTTGGAGTATAATTAAAAATTCTGAGAATGATAAATGTAATTTAAATTACTGCAAGTCTGTTAATTTGGTTAAATTTCTTTCCTTTTTTTTTTTTTTGCTAAGAGGTGGAAAACCCCTGTTTCTGAAATTTTCATATTAAAAATACTATTCAACTTCATTTATATCTGGATCTTGATTTTTTTTATTTTTGAACCTTATATACTCCTTTTTTATGTTTGACATGTAAGAGATTATTGGTTTGTTTTTACTAAGCTGGGAAAAATAGTTCAAAAGGGAAGTAAATAAAATGTGTCTGCTATTTGATAGCTGAAGGTATAGGCAATAATGAAAATATTTCTGTTACTTGTAGTGACTGAGAAATCAGTTGGAGGGCTACAGTTGTCCATTAAGATAATGAGCATGATGAGCTAGAACCAGCATATGTGGAAGAGGCCGTAGTACAATCTACCCTAGGGAAGACTGCAGCCATCAGAGGGTCATAAAGACTAGAGGACATTTGGGTTGGTTCCAAGTCTTTGCTATTGTGAATAATGCCGCAATAAACATACGTGTGCATGTGTCTTTATAGCAGCATGATTTATAGTCCTTTGGGTATATACCCAGTAATGGGATGGCTGGGTCAAATGGTATTTCTAGTTCTAGATCCCTGAGGAATCGCCACACTGACTTCCACAATGGTTGAACTAGTTTACAGTCCCACCAACAGTGTAAAAGTGTTCCTATTTCTCCACATCCTCTCCAGCACCTGTTGTTTCCTGACTTTTTAATGATCGCCATTCTAACTGGTGTGAGATGGTATCTCATTGTGGTTTTGATTTGCATTTCTCTGATGGCCAGTGATGATGAGCATTTTTTCATGTGTTTTTTGGCTGCATAAATGTCTTCTTTTGAGAAGTGTCTGTTCATATCCTTTGCCCACTTTTTGATGGGGTTGTTTGTTTTTTTCTTGTAAATTTGTTTGAGTTCATTGTAGATTCTGGATATTAGCCCTTTGTCAGATGAGTAGGTTGCGAAAATTTTCTCCCATTTTGTAGGTTGCTTGTTCACTCTGATGGTAGTTTCTTTTGCTGTGCAGAAGCTCTTTAGTTTAATTAGATCCCATTTGTCAATTTTGGCTTTTGTTGCCATTGCTTTTGGTGTTTTAGACATGAAGTCCTTGCCCATGCCTATGTCCTGAATGGTAATGCCTAGGTTTTCTTCTAGGGTTTTTATGGTTTTAGGTCTAACGTTTAAGTCTTTAATCCATCTTGAATTGATTTTTGTATAAGGTGTAAGGAAGGGATCCAGTTTTAGCTTTCTACATATGGCTAGCCAGTTTTCGCAGCACCATTTATTAAATAGGGAATCCTTTCCCCATTGCTTGTTTTTCTCAGGTTTGTCAAAGATCAGATAGTTGTAGATATGCGGCATTATTTCTGAGGACTCTGTTCTGTTCCATTGATCTATATCTCTGTTTTGGTACCAGTACCATGCTGTTTTGGTTCCTGTAGCCTTGTAGTATAGTTTGAATTCAGGTAGTGTGATGCCTCCAGCTTTGTTCTTTTGGCTTAGGATTGACTTGGCGATGCGGGCTCTGGATTAAGAAAATGTGGCACATATACACCATGGAATACTATGCAGCCATAAAAAATGATGAGTTCATGTCCTTTGTAGGGACATGGATGAAATTGGAAATCATCATTCTCAGTAAACTATTGCAAGAACAAAAAACCAAACACCGCATATTCTCACTCATAGGTGGGAATTGAACAATGAGATCACATGGACACAGGAAGGGGAGCATCACACTCTGGGGACTGTTGTGGGGTAGGGGGAGGGGGGAGGGATAGCATTGGGAGATATAACTAATGCTAGATGATGAGTTAGTGGGTGCAGCACACCAGCATGGCACATGTATGCGTATGTAACTAACCTGCACAATGTGCACATGTACCCTAAAACTTAAAGTATAATAAAAAAAAATTAAAAAAAAAAAGAAAAAGACTAGAGGATTAGGAAGACTACACCAAAGAATTACAGGCACTGAGGGCTACTTTGGTAAATTTCTCGGGTTTCTTAATGAAACTTATATATATTTAATATGAATTTTAAGAGATGAAATGTTTTCAGCCCCTACTAATTGGTCTTTTGAGTAGTTTGTATAGGATAGATATTGTTCATGATTTTTGGTCATCATGCTACAAAACAATCTGATTTAATAGTTGTGATCCCTTTATGCTTTCTCAAAGAATAGTAAGTTGAGCTCAAGGGAAAATAAAATAGCTTTTATTTGATTAAGTGGTTTAAAAATTGAATTAATGGTAGTCTCACATTTAAAATTTTCAGGCCTTTATTTAATTTGGAAATTTTTATTTTCTTATAATAACACTTCAGTAGAAGACATTTTCAGAGTGTCAAGTACGTAGACTTGAAAACTAAGAAAGACATGATTCCTGTGCCCACCCGTTCTTAAGTAGATCTTTATATGGAGTTTTTAGGGTTTCTGTTTAGGGAGCTATTAAGTGTTTATGATTTCTGGTGGCTGGATCATGCAAATGGACTAGAAATTTGTCGGGCAGGAATGGAACATTTTGGGTACTGAGAATCAATGTTTAGGCAAGATATTAAGATAGTATAATTTACAAATGGGATAAGAGTTCTCTACAGCTAGAACATATTTCTGGTGGTCAGGAAAGATTAGAAGCAGCTGCATTAAAGGAAGATATGACAGCTACAGAGATGAGTTTTTGCTTATGTAACCTGATTCTTAATGTTTGCAAATAGTGCTAAAATAAAACAAGTAAAATATTTTAGGAACATTACATAAAATTCTTGTTGAAAATCAGACAAAATATTGAATAGGCAAAATTTTAAACTTGGCCCTTTCCCAGTTGGGCCCTCTTGCTTTGGGATATTAGAAACACCTAGTTGGACACAGTTCCTTCTGTGTGCCAACCCTGTTGCTCCTATTTCTCATGGATTTCCTCTACCCTTGCAGTCTTGATTTTGTGGTGTGGAGCTCTACAGCCAGTGGTAGTCTTGCCTGCCTTCTCCCTAAAGCCACTGTCTGGAGGAGGTGTTTGCTCAGGAAAGGAAAATGATATTCCCAAGAGCTACTTGTCTAGCCAGGTGAAGGGCATTCTCAGGCTTGTCAACAAAATGTGGTTTCTAACACTGGATCACTCCAAGTAAAAGGCTCCCTCTAACATAAGGTGGGAAAGTTACTCCAAGAATCAGAAAGCTAGACATTGTCTGTAAAGAATAGGAGATGCATCTATTCCCTTAGGCTGGGGAAATGCTATGAGCATAATTGTAATATCAGAAAGATCTCACTGCTCTTTGCTTGAACCATTACCCTGCTTCCTTTCACCATTTATGAGGCCTCTGCTGAAACTAAAAGCCAGTTACAAAGCTGGCAGTTACTCAGCATCCCATTGGAGTACTTTATTTGATCAGGACTTATTACATTCTTTTTTTACCTCTCTGGCTTCCAAATTTTGTGTTTTCTCTTAAACTTCCCTCTGTTTCCATCAGATATAATTCTTTTCTGCCGCATCCATTTCCTCACTACCCCCACCAGGCATGCTGCATGACATTTTGAACGTTAGCTCTCTTATGTATCTTGGTGGTTTGTCTGCCTTTCCAGCTCAGTGTCCCCTATGCCTCTCTGGTGAAGGTTGTTGGTTCCAGGCGTCTCTGAGGAACTCTGAATCCTGATTCATCCCCAGCCAACTAATTTAAAGAGTTGCGTTGGTGATTGGCCTTTTTTGTTTGTTTGTTTCTTTGCAGTTTAATTTTACAAGAAATTAAGTAAGAGATTTTCTCTAAAACAAAAACAATTACAGATTACATTTGATGAACATATTTCTTTAAATATTAGATATTGGTCATAGCAATATCTGCAGTAAAATTGGGAAACACAGTAAATATCTGCAGTATAATTGGGAAACAGTAATTTTTTTTTTTTTTTTTTACTATGTCCAATACAACCTGCCAGTGAGATTCTTCTCACCAGCCTCTCCCTAGAGGACAACTCCTTTTTCCAGTTGCCACACTAAGCAAGTCCCTCTGGGAATATTCTGATGATCAGATGTGTGAGAAATTACTGACCTCAGAGACCCAGAATGGAAGTAGTACTGGAGGCACTAGAAGCCATGAGCACTTAATCCAGGAGGATCGGGCAATGGACGTTTTCCAGTAAAGAAGAAGGAGGGGAGCTCATGGAAATCTCTGCCATTGATGAGGATCTTAGTTTTTGCCATTTCTGCCTGTGTCCTCTACATCTCTTAAACTTTTTTTTACATTTTCCATCCTTTTATTCCTTACTGATGGCTCCTGAGAACATTTCACAATCTACATTGTTGGCTCACAAATTCACTCTTTACCCTAAATCATTTGCTCTTTAGTCAATCTGGTGAATTTTTAATTTTCACTTTTATGTTTATTATCTACAGTTGTACAGTCTTCTTGTGCATGCTTATATACCCAAAATTCTTATCTATTTGATGATATTCAATATGCTTACTTCAACTATTTGTTCTGCTTGCATCCATTAATTTTGCATCCCATGCTGTAGATGGTTTAATGCATTATCTTTCTTTTATAGAGATTGTGCATAAGTGGGTAGATGATGACAGACTGTCAGCTAATGCAGCCCCAGCCTCAGCTTTGTGTCTCAGTTTTGGGGAGGTGTATGTATATAGGGGATATTTCAACATGGTGAATGATCTAATCTGGGGAAATTTCAAAAATATCCACACCTTGGTGCCCACTCCCCAATTCAAATTCACTTGGTCTGGGATTGGGCCCAAGCTTTCATAATTACTTTGATGACGTCAATGTGCAACAACGTTTGACAACCTCAGAGGCCTCATCACTGTGATGAGAGAGAGTAGGGGGAGGAAATGTACAAGATCAGCCAGATTCCCCTACACTGTTATGTGCCCCCATGACATTGTTACTGCAGCTGGGAATGAAGATGAAATGATTAAAGATGTGTACAAAGCAGTGTGGAGCGAAGGTACAGCTGAAGTCTATGTTAATACATTGCCTATTCTATATTCATGACTTTTCTCTGGACTGCTCCACCTAAAATTGTTCCAGGGTTTTCCTACCTTTTATTGTCAATCTCTCTCTCTTTTGTGCATATTTTCCTGGATTGGCAGGAAAATGTTCTTGTTAAGAACCACAACAGTGAACCCTCGAGCCTCATTCCCTGTGAATCCTCTAGTCTGTCAGCCTTTCCCTGGGAACAGAGATAGAGAATGCACAGGAACAACTAGTGCTGCACAAGAGCTGACTTGAACGTGCCACGTGTTTCCTCCATAGCTGTCACAACTTTATACCCTCTGGGCGCCTCGTCACATGTTTCTGAAAACTAATATAATGATGGCAATTTGTATTATTTAAAGAGTTACAAAATTCTCAAAAGGACAAGATAGAAAGTGCTAGACAGTAGAAATGATTCCTGTGGAATATTTATACTTGAGTTATCACAATAGACTTTTGTTGGCAATCTTTTACAAAGTTACTACAAAATTTTCCTACTGTATTATATAAACACTGTCTTCTGGATCTATTTTAAACATTGTATGAAGATTTAAGATACAATGAATGTTGACCGTGCCCCTACCCTGAATGACCTCATTATGGCTCTGCGGTTCTTGGAGCTATTGGTTATCTTTATTCTTCATTAGTTAGTTATTCTTATTTCCTAAGGTCTTTGGAAGAACTGCTTCCTCTGATTCACTGTCTTATTTTGTAACAATTTCAAATGAAGAGTTGTCCATTCCATTTACCGTCACATGATAAAAAGTAAATACACTCAGAATAAGATTTAATTCGATGAATGAAATTCAATGTAAAATTGTTTAAAATTTATTTTTGACTTCTGAGAAACAATATATGGCATATTCTTATTTTAGAACTATCTCTGGATATTTTAATTACTTGATTTTAATCACCACTGGATAAGAGAAAGTTTATTCTAATTAAATAGTATCACATATGTCTTGATAGGTTATTTTCCTTAAACAACAATAGGCTTAAATTTATTCCCTCATTCAGTACCATTTATAAGCATACTTAAAAAAATGTCTGGAGTACATGACTAATTCTTTAACTGATACTATTCTGGATCCTTCACACATTTCCGTAAGCATTCAGTTATCTACTGAAGGTAAAGTTGGGCTGGGTAGTATTTATCATTTGGTATATTTTTGTATATGTCTTTATGCACAGATGATATCCCACTAAACTGATAACATCTTTTCAACCATCTTAATAGTTGATATGAGATCGCTACACAGTCTTCAAGGTGACCAGATTGGCCACATGGCTTATCATTTTGCTTGTCACACAGATGGATTCATATGCAATAACTTTAGTTGTGCTATGTAAGATGTGTCTGGTTGCCTGTAACTGAATTGGAAATGACCAAATTATTTCGTGTATTTAATTTTCTATATATAATGAACAGTTACAAAAATACTTGGTCTATAACTTGACAAGTCATCTAAATGAATAATAAATCACACAGATTTTCTACCATTAATGTTACTGTTCTGTTTACTTTAGTGTGACTGCCAGTGAAGCTATGTCATCTTTCTGGCCTTTCATTACTTTTGTTTTAGCTGTCACATACGGAGATTGGATTTGGGGATTTTAACCTAGCCTGTGTTTTCTTCTTTTACCCCATAACATCCTTAGCTGTTTTTTAGCCCTTGCCTTATAAAGAAAGGGGTACATTAACAGAGAATTTCTTGCTTGCTTTTTCTCTCATATTTCTTTTAGAAGAGAAAAGTGAACTTGAAAATGCACTTAACATTAATCATACATTTTTATTTATAGAATTGATTTAATAAAGCCCTAGAAGGCTTAATAAAGATAGCTTTATAATGATTATTTGAAAAAGGGTGCTTTATTTATTATTGCTCTGCACCTTGGGAATGTGCATCACTTTTCTCCAAAGGCACACCTTGATATTGTCACATTTCTTTTGCCATCTGTTCCCTTCATCATTGCCTGATGCTGTTGAATGCCGCTTCTGCTGAACACCTGAAATTTGCAGCCACTTGGGCCTGTAGTGATGCCAAAAACAACAGTCCTGTTGGGTCCTTGACCTTATCATTTTAGGGGACTCTGCTGATAATCTTTTAGGTCTTTCTCCGTCTCATACAGATTGGTCTCCATATTCCTCTTGTGTTCACCTTGTCCAGGAAAACCTGACAGTATTCCAGCTTTTCTTTCTTGCTTTGAGGCAGTTCTAGTGGTAATGCATTTCTCTTCACCCTTACACAGGGGACTGCCTCAGAGCGCCTAGCTCAGCTGTCAAAATACTGTAATGCTGTTGATTTCCATGCCTGTCAGAGAGTGCATCCATATGACTTCCATACTCAGAATGTCTGATGTTTTAGGAATGGCTAAGGTCATATACTTATACCTTTCAGAATCTTTAAAATATTTATAGTGAGGAACAGCCTGTATATTTATTGGTCCCCAGGTGGGAAGAACCTTGTTTGGTAAAAACTAACTACGATATGGAAACATAGATCTATACATGTATTTAAGCAGAAGAATTTCAATTCCAATATTCGCGTATTGAGAGTCACACCTTTTAGCCATAGTTAGAAAACAATTCAGGGTTGAGAGAAGAAAGGTCACAGAAAACATGGCAAAGAAGGAATAGAGATTTTGAATTAAAACCTCAGGGAAGAAAAACAACGTGAATTTACATCAGTCTGGGCCTTAACCACCTGCCCCTACCCGACCTCAATTTCTATGTATTGGTGCAGAAGGAAGTTGCTGAGAGATGTTTCACTGGAATTGAAGACATAGGTTTGACCCAAAATTTATTGACAGCCTGAGGCACATTATCTCTCGGTATTAAGAAGATATCTGAGTAATATCAACTGAGACTAGGAGAAATAATAATAGCACAAATATGTTCAAAATCTTTCTCTAACATAATTTTGTACATGTCTATGAAAGTCACGAAGGTAAAGAAAGATGTTATAGCCAGGTAGTTGAAAATCAAGTCTCTGAGCCACACTGCTTGTGTTCAAGCACCAGCCCTACCTTTTACCAACTGTGTGAATTTAGGCAAGCTATGTAGCCTCTCCATGTCTTTGTTTTTTCATAATGTATAGGATAGGACTATGATCAGGATCAATTCAGTTAATATATGTAAAATACAAGAGTGCTTGATTCATAAAGAATGCTCAGTACATGTTAGTTTAAAAATCATTATTAGAGAAACTGTTACATGTATTATGAAGGAAAGGAATGATGTACCACAAAGTGAATTGGATGTGTTTTTACTATTTTGCCTTAAATTACTCCTCTTCAAATAGTTTTCAGTATTTCATTGCCAGAGTTCGATATGGCTTTTACATTCAAGTCCACTGATGCTTTTCAGTCACGTTTAAGATTCTGCAGGTAATGCAACCTGTTTTTGTAAATTCACAAAATAATACTAATATCTTACATTTTTATATTTCCCAATTATAAAAGTTGTTTGAAGTAGGTAAGGTGGTTATATAACACAGAAAAGTAAGTCGGCCGAGGAGTTTGCATTTATGCTTGTAATTTGATACACTGCAGTGTTTGCTTCAGGCCAAAGAACCGTTTGTGATTAAAATGGTAAACAACTGTTGCCCTGAACAAAGGAAACACGTCAGCTTAATTCTAAAGGTTCTTTACTAGAACTTTTCACTGGATGAATTAAAAAAAAAAACTTCATTATTGTTACCTTTAATAAAAAACAATTCCAGTAACTGATTTACCTGTATTAAAATATAAAATTACAGCTGTCTTTTTCTTTTATACTTCCCTCTCCATTGATACTTTGACTCAAATGAATGGCTGTAAGACTAAAATTCTGGCAACCAGAACTTTGTAATATCTTCGACTGGCAACCCGAGGACTATTACCTAGAAAGCAGTTTATTACTCATCTCTTTTGAGCAGTTGCCCAAATAAAACAATGGTGTCATACATTATGTTAACACGCAGCACAAACGATCCCTGCTTACTAAACAATTCTGAGCTCCACTGAAGGATTTGGGCCTTCTTCCAACGATTAACGTAAAAAAATTACCTACATCAGCAGAAAGCAAGTATTTAATGCAATGCCATCATAAATTTGAGGATTCTTGCCCAAAAACAGACTTTTAAGCGTCTACTATCTCATTCTGCCTTCCTCCAGAGTCTACTGCAACATTTTCTGGGTGAAATCATGCTGACTGGAAACAAATTAGAATATATACGACAGGAATTAAGTATCTTTGGTCTCAAGAATGACCGGGACTACTGTCCCTATCATTGCAAATGGAGCCTTAAGGCAGTGATGTGGGGACCAGGAGCTGGCGTTGCCTGGTGCATCAACATTCTGAGGAGGCTTCCGTCTCCCTTCCCTGTGGCTCACTCCTGTGGGCAAAGATGTGAGCAAAATACATCAAATGCTTCCCTAAATCATGCCAGGCAGGATGATTCCTAATGGACTTGAATCCAAATACTATGCTTCAGCAAACATATATGACCTTGGTAATATATTGTATTTATCTTTCTATCCTAAACCTTGACAACAGTAACTTTCATTTTTGGACATTATCTTCAAGCCTGGAACTGAGATTGGGAGGCAGATGATAGCTTCACATGATGACTGAGAACTCCCATTCTTGAGAACATGGGATCCTGAAAAACATTCTTGCAAGTATATTTTAACTTTGGTTTCTGAGATTATAGGGCATTTCTTTTTAGACAGGTTAAAGACATACAGGTTTACCATCACTTTCCAAATAAATGCCTATCTAGTCAGCCTAAGGACATTAAAAGAAAAATAGTGTCTTGGTAATATATGCTAACAAATAACACTCTTCCCTAACTCATTTGCTTCACTGATGTCAGGATGTGAGGATTAACACCTGTCTATCTACTAACCAGCCTGAAGGATAAGGATCAAAATTTTCCAGTCACAGTATTTTAAAGTGTGACTATTCTAGGCCTTTATTTTTATGATTTATATTGTCCATAATAGAGTTCTGCTACACTTAATATTTCAGAGTTCTGTTTTTACTTTAAAATGTACTCAAACCATCAGTTTCAGCATTCATGTGGCATTCAGATGGGGTGTTTACTGTGACTCAGTGTAAGTTACTTGGATGACTCAATGACAGTGCATTTCTGTGGCACTGTCCCTCTCTACAGTTTATGAGATCTTGGTTTCAAGTCTTTGGACCAGTTTTCTGAGCCACACTTCTTTATATTGCTGTGTTCACACAGGGCAGCATACTTAACTTTATTGCAAAGTATCATTTGGCTTAAAATATCTTCCCTTCCACTATAATCCTTGTATGGAAGTGTCTTGAAAGGATGTCGTTGATAAGCCCTAAGTCTATGACAACTGATATAGAAATTTTTCCTAGAATTTCTACTACAAAATGAAAGACATAAATGTTAGGAAACAAAGGTAAAAAAGAAAGAAAGTGATGAATCTTGATTTTTAAAATGCTTAAATTCTATTACCTACAACTGTGTGCTCTTGTCCCGTCTCCATTAAGGGAGGAAAATAAAATGGGAAAAAAGATAGCTGTTACATTATCTCATTTCAACATCTTCAGATGAGCTGGTTGTATATCTTTCTTTTTTATTTTCTATCCAAGCACTAAAATATTATGTATGTTGCCCTGTGGCTTAAAATAAATATCACCTGTTTCCTAATACCTCATTTAAACTGAAAAATTGATATACATCTAGTTGTTCCAAGAAAATTTAGATATTCAAAAATATGGTATTTAAGATACCTATAATTATGTAAATCATATTGCCCTTGATATCTTTTCATATCCGTCTTAGCTAAAAATAGTACTTAATAATTTATGGTATATTTTCAAAGAGCTAGACGAGAGGATTTTGAATATACTCAACACAATGTAATGATAAATGTTTGAAGTAATGAATACACTAATTACTCTGATTTGATCATTACACATGTATCAGAATATCACACTGTACTTCATAAATATATACAATTATTATTTGTCAATTAAAAGGAAAAAGTTCTCACCAAAAAGTGATAAGTACATGAGATAATGTGTATGTTAAATAGCTTGTTTTAGACATTCCACAATGTATACTTATATCAAAACATCATGTTATATACCATAAATATATCATTTATACCATAAATATGTCCAATTTCTATTCATCAAATAAATAATTTTTAAAAAAGAAAGAGAAAAACAGCTTTTCTTCCCTTTTTTACCATATGAAACTCTCTACCTAAATAATCTCATCTGCTCTCAAATGTTCATATTTATCAAGAATACTTGGGGCATTTTTAAAAACTGATTTGCTGGACTATAGTTAGCTTCACCATGTAAAAAACTTCCATGCATATTTCTGATAATGCAATAAGCTAGAAGTAAAAAGAAATATGGTAAGAAAAGCGACATAGAGGTATTTAAAAATTTCAAAGCATGCTTCTAGAGACTTCCGAAATTAAAGAAATCATAATGAAATTTCTGAAATATTTACACAGAATGGAGGTGCAATCACTACATATGAATGCATGTTGGAGGCAACAGAAGTGGTACTTTTTTGTTGTTTCTGGTCTTTTTATTTTTTAAGAACTATCCCAGTTCTATTTTGGTCTGTTGAAGTACTATTTAAGAAAAAAAAAAAACAAAACAAAACTTAGTCCAGATGCTACATTAGAAAGAATAAAAGTTCAAGATTCACGAGTTCAACACCCAAGTTAGAAAATGATAGCTTAATATATACAAGAATGTAGAAAGGAGGAAACAATGAAGATTATATCATAAATTAATGAAGTAGAAAAATCAGACTGTGACATAATAAACATACAATGCTGTGGATCCACAAAGCCAAGTTGATTCTTTGAAAGGCTAATAAAGACAAGCCTCTGGCAAGATTAATAATTATAAAATAGAAAGCATGCATGAATAGGGAATAGGTAATTTTAGATACTAGATGTGGAACTAATGATAAGAGGATATTTTGATCACCTTTATGCCAATAAGCTCAGAAAACAGATGAACTGGAACAATTTCCAGATCACTGTTGTTGCCTAATGAGTGGTTCTCTAGACTTGGTCGTTTTCTCCTCTCAGTCCATTATCCACATAGAAAATTCATCAGTTTACAAAGAAAATCTAATTTTGCTCCTCTTCTGCTTAAACATAAGCCTTGTATACTTCTCAATAGTTTAAGAAGAAAATATAAAATCCTCCTTCTTTGCAAGACCCAGCATCTTGCCTCACCTGCTTTTCTACCTTCATCCCTCTCCACTCTGTCCTTGCTGCTCTCCTGACACACTGTTTTCCTTTCCCTGTGTTCCCCAAATGTGTTGAATTTCCTTCTGCCTCAAGGCCACCACTCATGCTATCCTCTCTGCTGATGGCATTTTTCACTACATTCTCTAGGGTAATTCTTATCTTTCAGATTGCAACTAAAATATTACATTCTCAATTTGATCCTCCAAATATCTGGGTACCATGGCCGAGCCCATTGACACACATAAAATTAACAATTGCTGATGGTTAGTGACCAGTTGACCTTAGGTGAGTATGACACAGAAAGGGTTCATGTCCGTGCATTTCCTGTGCTCCTCATTCAACATTGTACAATGGGCATTGCGTAAGTTGACTCCTTTCAACAGCTCTTCCCAACACTAAGTGAGTAAGTGAACACCCTGAGTATGTAAGGCAGCATGGGTCTTATGTTGGCCTCTGAAGGCAGACCTCAAGGCCGGCAGCATTAAAGGCTAAAGGGTATGTATGTAGGTCATCTAAGTTAACTTTGTAAGATAAGTGATTTCTTAATAAATCCCCAAATATTTTTAACTCATGTTTTAAGAAATGCATAAAAGTAGAGCATATTAGTTCTTATATTTGATTTGGGAGGGGAGGAATTATATCTCTTCTAACCAGTGTTAATTTTTGACTTTTATTTCAACTGAAGGCAAAAACAACACGTGGCAGAATGCTACAAGTTATTACAGTTAAAATAGCTCCAAAAGCATTCATGTTATGTCATTATCTGATTTATCCTCCTCATCACAAGGACTATATTTAAAAAACATAAGACGCTTAGATGAAACTCTTAGCATTTTAGTAGTCATGTAAAGGTTTTGTTTACATCTGTGGAAACCATGAGATTTTTCAGCTTAATTCTCTACCCATTTTCTCTTTTCCATTCTTTAAAAAAAAAAAAAAATTTTATAACACTCAGCTATTTCCAGAGAACTTACGGTAGATGCCAAGATAATGGTTTGCATTTTTAGCAATGTACCTCAAATAGATTTTACAATGAGGTAAGGTAAACATGATTCATATTTATTTCACTCGATGACAAGTTAAAACTTGAAGATATTTTATACTAACCTGTTTTTTAAAAGTGAAAACACTGTTTTAATTGATTTTGAAATTTTCTTTTTTTTTTTTTTTTTTTTGAGACTGCGTCTGTCTCTGTCTCCCAGGCTAGAGTGCAATGGCACAATCTCAGTTCACTGCAACCTCCGTTTCCTGGGTTCCAGCGATCCTCCTGCCTCACCCTCCCAAGTAGCTGGGATTATAAGCAAGCGCCACCACGCCTGCTTGTAATCACATTTGGGGAACACAGGGAAAGGAAAACAGTGTGGCAGGAGAGCAGCAAGGAAAGAGTAGAAATGGATGAAGGTGGACAAGGAGGTGAGGCAAGATGCTGGGTCTTGCAAGGAAGGAGGATTTTATATTTTCTCCCTAGACTAATGGGAAATATACAAGGCTTATATTTTTGTATTTTTAGTAGAGGCGGGTTTTGCCATATTGGCCAGACTGGTCTTGAACCCTTGACCTCAAGTGATCCACCCACCTTGGCCTCCCAAAGTGGTGGGATTACAGGTGCAAGCCACTGCACCCAGCCAAAATTTTTATTTTTTTCTATCATAGTATTTTCTCATTGGCTATTATGAACTTAAATATCATAAACTTTTACATATGCCTCAAAGTTATTACAGAAATAATACACATATGCAGTATAAAAAAGGCAGAAGGATAGGAAACAAAGAGCCCACGTCTTTTTTTTTTTTTTTTTTTTTTTTTAACAGAGTCTTGCACAGTTGCCCAGGCTGGAGTGCAGTGGCACAGTCTCGGCTCACTGCAACCTCCGCCTCCTGTGTTCAAGCGATTCTCCTGCCTCAGACTCCTGAGTAGCTGGGATTATAGACAAGCCACCGGGCCCAGCTGCATCCAGCTAATTTTTGTATTTTTAGTAGAGAGAGAGTTTCACCATGTTGGCCGGGTTGGTCTCAAACTCCTGACCTCAAATGATCCACCCACCTCGGCCTCCCAAAATGCTGGGATTACAGATGCAAGCCACTGGGCCCGGCTGCACCCGGCTAATTTTTGTATTTTTAGTAGAAATGGGGTTTCACCATGTTGGCCAGGCTGGTCTCAAACTCCTGACTTCAAATGATCCATCTGCCTCGGCTTCCCAACATGCTGGGATTACAGGCGTGAGACACTATGCCTGCCCAAGCCCAAGTCTTGTTCAGGATCTTTGATGTGTGTATTTTCCCCTTATACATGACATTGACGATCTAGATCATTGCTTGCCTAGTACAGGTATGGTAAGGAGACAGGCAAGATGACCTTCCTGTGACAGGTTCACCATATTTCACCTAACTTTCATAAACACAATAGGTATATTTCCTGAAATAATTCATCACTTTATAAGTAATTTTTCTTTGCAAGGCTGGAGGAAGTACATGTTACTTTGAAGTTCATCCTGCCAACTTTAGATTGACTGATGACCCAGTTTTTTATGAAAGAGTGATAGGGATAGTCTTTCATGTGCTATAGTACTTATAGTGACTCATATTGCCATAAGCACACAAATCATTTCCAAGACGTAAGATTGTTCATAATAGAGTCATCCATGTAGGTTACCATGCTGCCATGGTATGCATTTTCAGTCTTTGAGAACAAAAGCATACACAAACGTAAATCACCAATAATAGCCTCAACCTCTTTCACAAATACTTTGCTTCGTGTACGTGCCATACCCAAGATGCAGTTGTTTTTTGTTGTTGTTGTTGTTGTTGTTGTTCTGTTTTTTGAATCGGAGTCTCACTCTGTCGCCCAGGCTGGAGTGCTGTGGCGCGATCTCGGTTCACCGCCAGCTCCGCCTCCCGGGTTCCCGCCATTCTCCTGCTTCAGCCTCCCGAGTAGCTGGGACTAACAGGCACCCGCCACTACGCCCGGCTAATTTTTTGTATATTTAGTAGAGACGGGTTTCACTGTGTTAGCCAAGATGGTCTCAGTCTCCTGACCTTGTGATCCACCCGCCTCGGCCTCCCAAAGTGCTGGGATTACAGGCGTGAGCCACCGCGCCCGGCCAAGATGCAGTTTTGAAAAGCTAAATTCAGGCATGTAAATTTGAATCAGCCTTGTTACTTAAGCCTAGCTGTGTGACTTTGAGCAAAACGCATAATGCCCATCCCTTCGTTTCTGCATCTATAAAATAAGGTAGTTGAACAAAAAGAATTTCAGATCCCTTTTACCTTTAATACTGTTGTCAGACTTTTTGTAAGAAATGTTGTAGAGGATGGTCTTATCAGTGCAGGGGTGATAACTGAAGTTTAAGAGGATTATTAATTACCAAGCAGACAGGTGCTTATATGGTCATTTACAATTACTTTATGAAAGATTTTGAGCAGTTGCGGAGATTTAACTTTTTTACCTGTAGAAATAGCGATATTTATAACCTCGCCTGACTTGTCTGTGTTGCAGGAACTGTGAAGTACTATATGGACATATGATTTTATTTTTATTACTACTAATACTAATTTTGCCTTAAGTGCTATGTAGCATGAGAAATCTTGAAAGGTGTAGCTGATGAGTAAATGTTGGAACAGGTGAGATGAGCAGTGGCCCAGCTCTGAAAAGTGAGTCATCGCAAGGTGAGAGAAGGTGAAAAGCTTTGATCATAGGGCTGGTCTTCTGTTTGTTGTTGTTATTTTTCAGAGTCTCGCTTTTTACCCAGGCTGGAGTGCAGTGGTGCGATCTCGGCTCACTGCAGCCTCAACCTCCCAGGCTCTAACGACCCTCCCACCTCAGCTTCCAGAGTAGCTTGGACTATAGGTGCACGCCCACCACACCCCACTAATTTTTTGTAGAGACGAGGTTTTGTCATGTTGCCCAGGCTGATCTCACACTCCTGGACTCAAGTAATCTGCCCCCTTCAGCCTCCAAAGTGCTGGGATTACAGGAATGAGCCACTGTGCCTGGCCCTAGGGCTGGTTTTAACTACTTAATGTTCATTTTAGGCAGGAACTTCTTCCATCCTGATTATTGCCACCAGCAGCTAATGTCATCAGCAGCTGCTAGTTTATGAGTGCCTACCGTGTGTCAGGCACTGTGCTAAGCACATTGCATTTGAACCTCACAGAAACCTAAGGGAGTATAGATTTTGAGGCCATACCTTTAACTAGTAAGTGGTAGATTTAGATTCCGCTGCAGACTTTTGGACTCTAGAATATGTGATCTCAACCATTCTAGCACCCTGCCCTGTAACTGTGCTGTTCTGTCTCCTCTCCTTTGTGCACTTTTTGTATACTTTGCACCTCTAATTTTCATCTCCCTGCACAAATTTCCACTTTATGAAACTCCTGTTTCCAATAAATCATCACTTTTAAGACTTAAAAAGTTGGTGGTTTACTTTATTGCTATAGCATTCCTGCTAAGACATCTAGTTATGTGAGTAAAGACACCTATGCTTGTGTGCTGGGAGTTATGTTCTTGATCCTTGACTTGAACTTTATGAGGTTTGAAAATAATATATATGAAACTTTTTTTTTTTTAGGAAAAGAGACGAAAATATAATTTCACTTTATTAATAAAGAAAATACAAATGTGTATAGAAAACCACCTTGTAACTTGATTTGAACATTAAGTCCATTGTTACATAACAATGTATTGGAAGTATGTAGGGAGCATGGCCTGTTGACAGGGTTCAGGAATGTCACTACAGAGTGTACCATTTGAGAAAGATTTGGGAACATTCTGGGCACCCCCTCTCCGAAAGAGCTATGCAAGCTAGACAAAGCTTTCTAACGCTAGTAGCATGCCAAGTTTTCTAAGAGATGTATTTCCACTTTTTTGTTTTCCTAGTAGGATTATTACTAGTAGGATCTACTAGGATTACTACTACGTCATAGAAAAACAAAAACAAAATCAAACCCTGTACTATTTTTCTCAAAATCAAATAGTTTCTAAGTTTAACTAGCAGGTTAGAACTTTGGCATTTACCTGGCATATCACTTACTACTTATAATACCATGTTTTCTCCTAGTTTGATTTTTTTTTTTTTTTTTTGAGATGGAGTCTTGCTCTGTTGCCCGGGTAGAGTGCAGTGGTGTGATCTCAGCTCACTGCAACCTCCGCCTCCCAGGTTCAAGCGATTCTCCTGCCTCTGCCTCCCAAGTAGCTGAGATTACAGGCATGCACCACCATGCCTGGCTAATTTTTGAACTTTTAGTAGAGACAGAGTTTTACCACGTTGGCCAGGCTGGTCTCGAACTCCTGACCTCAGTCTCCCAAAGTGCTGGGATTCGGTGCCCAGCTTCTAGTGAAACTTTTTTAAAAAGTCAGTTGGGCATAAATTAATCTTTTAACACTTATTATTCTGTGTCAGTGATCCTGAAAATTTTGGGGTGATACAGAATCCTTCAAGAAGATGGAGAAGCTAAATGCAAAAAGAAAGAAACACATAAAGAGAATTTTCCTAGAATTCAAGGGAGTTGGACCTTTTGAAGCCCTCGCTGGGGTTAATAACA
Organism: Homo sapiens; assembly: GCF_000001405.40. Lineage (NCBI taxonomy): Eukaryota > Metazoa > Chordata > Mammalia > Primates > Hominidae > Homo > Homo sapiens. Next base: position 88,234,929 of record NC_000008.11, on the reverse strand, counting down.
CCTGATCCATGGTTTGAGTAAAATACATTTACCCACAGGCTGTAACTTGGGTAATGTTGTAAACTTATTATTATGTTACTTTCTGAAAGACATTTAAACAATGAATAAGTGGAATAAAGGGCAGTATATGCTTTGGGATTTTGAAAGGCCACTTGACATCTTTCTTCCATCAGTCTGTAACCTTTTTTGACTGCCCTGCTTTACAGCAGGTTGGCTTTATGGAGTCACTGTAGTTAAAAGAGCCCCAGCTCTAATTGCATGTGTAAGTAAAGGTCAGAGTCTAACTCTGAGTTTGCTCTATTTGTCCTAATATCTCTTGAAAGAAACAAAAGATCTGCTGCAGTTAAAGAAGGGTCAAGGCAGAAAAGTGAGTTAAATGATTAAATCAGAAGCAGTCATTAATTATAAAATAATTTCTGGGGGGACCCATGGCACCCAGAGCCATTAAAACAGAAAGAGTTTGGATACATCCATTCTAAGGCCAAATCTTTTTATGGAATGAGAGGGGAAGAAAAGTAATTGTGTTCACTTGATTTGGATTGTATCATACTCTTGCCAAAATACTTCAACTTTTATTAAATTCTTAGGAAAGCAGTAATACCACATTTTAGTTCTGTGGCATACCCAAGTTCTAGCTTATATTTTAGGTGAAATTACAGTTTCAAAATGACAAATTCACATGCATAAACAGATTTAGTTAAATAAATGAAATTCTAAGTTACTTATCTGCTATTCGGTAATATGAATGCAACTCCACTTTATGTTTTTCTCTTAAGTGATGTATGGTTTTTTCATCTATAAAAATGAGCATAAATCTTGTTTCTGAAAGTTGAACACATACACTTAATGAAACACTGATTTAATGATTCATTGCTAGGTTCTTTTTTTGAAAAAATCTTTAATTGCATAATATTATTCTTAATAGGCTGGATTTAGCTCCTTGAAGTTGTACCTAATATATGTTAGTTTTCATGTTTGACTATAAAATAGAATTATCATTGTGAAATAACTGGATCTGGCGCTCACTTTGGGAGCCTTTAAAATAATGAACAAAACTGGAAAGCCAGTGCTTTTGTATCCCATGCATTAAATATCTGTTCAAATGTGAACAAACTTTGCTGAATGAGAAGGTCCCACATTAGGGACAAGTTGTGTCTTAAAATTTCTTTTGTCTGTTTCATTCCTCACTGTTTAGCATTGGTTTCAGTCTTGCTTTGTGCAGACACTGTGCAGGCAGCTCTGGTCTTTGAAAGAGGAAAAAAGCCCAGTACCAGACAGTTAAGAGCTCAGCTTCCGTAGTGGAAGGTGCTCCTTTGTTCAGAAAGAATGTGCTCTTGGAATTAAAACAAAATGACTTTGTATCTGGTTAGTGGAATCAGACTTGCATCATGAAAGAGGCAGCACTTAGATCTGACCATCAAGGAACTGAACTGATGAGAAGAGCATTTGGGATTGATCAAAGGAGATAAACCAAGGTATCTCCTATGGGTAGGACATTATGGTGGGAAGGATAGGACATTATGGTGAGTATTCTGAGAAGGGCAAGGTATCTGGTTTGACCTCAGCTTGGATTGCCAATAAGGAGAGTGGTGTCATAGAAATGTAGAAAAGCAGACTGGGCTATAAAGTGAAAGGACTCAAATTTCTGCCTTAGATGCAAATAATTTATCTGATCGGCAACTTTAAAGGCCTTTTTTAAAAAAAATAAGGAGTGGAGTGTCGTTGGAATAATAATATCTGGCATTTGTTGAACACTTGCCCTGTGCTAGATACTCTGCTAAGAATTTTCATGTATTACCTGATTTAATTCTAATGGCAAATTTTAAAATAGGTAGATTATTATCCCTATGTAACAGATGAAAAATCTGTGGCTTAGAGACACTAAGTAAGTTGCTCAAAGTCACACAGGTGTTATAATAAGTGGGAGAGCCAGAGTTCAAAGCTTGATCCCCTGACTTCAGAATCTAACTCTTCTCATCCACTACACTGTGATTTGATGTAGACCTTAGGAAGTACATATGTGAATATTCTATTTTTCAAGATGGGGTTTTAAACTCACCAAAAGCAGGATTTGCCTCTCTTCTTATTGAGCCTATTCCACACTGCTTTAACTGGTTGCTAAATATAGCTGTTACTCAAAAAAATTGTCACCTTACATTGAAAGTCCATTTGCTGTTTATATTGACAATATTTGATTCATTTCACTGTGCAGGATAGGTGTTGCTGACTTGCATTGTCTCTGTTCCCAGGTGAAGTATTGTTTGAAAAGTAATCATATATTTAACACCAGATATTTAAAGGACTTGAGTGCTTCTCTTAAGATTAAAACTATTTAGAAACTCTAGGACATAATGTGATTCTGTTTGTCTATGAAGAGTCTCACCATACGGAACATATGTGGATCATTTAATCTAATCCTGTTCTTTATGTGGCTATGTGACATCAGGCAGAAATGATCTTATATATAGTAATGAGAGCTCTCCAAATATGTAGTTAATCTATTTAGTATGTAGTAAGTGTAGTTCTGCCAAACTTGCAAACTATTTGCCGGTTTTACAGAATCTAAATAGTGCTTTTTTTTCTAGGTCCCTGACCCGTTGGGAGATTGCTTCAGTTTTCCCACCTGTAAAATGGCATTTTCTATGTAGTGTATTGTTAAGTCAATGCAATTAAAGATGTAAAACCGAATTTCTTACAAAATCACTTTGAAATCAGAGATGAAAGGTACTTCAGAAGTTTAAATTGACATTAAATATCTATCAAGGTTTAAATTGATGAGGATGACCACTTCTTTACTTGCCCATATGTGAACTTGCATCCTCATAGATGAAAGAATCTGGAAGTAAATGTATGATAACCTCTCGATTGCCTCCCTACTCCATTCCTTCTCTTTATGGTTCAATGTCCATGCAGGAAAACGAACTCAGAATTTTAAAATATTTTGATGGAGGAAGTATCATTAGCACTCGATCATGTTAGAATCTCAAATGTTTTGATGGATTTTAGATAGGATAATGAATGGGAATATGACATTTTCAAGATTATAACATAAAAATACATATATTTGTTTATCATATTTATAATTATTTTAGAGAAAAACTTTTTTAAAAAATGGTCACATCATATTACAGAACTTGTTTTCAACTTAAACATATTTTAAAATAAAGAAGTTACAATCATTTGGGTGAAGTTGATATCTTTAGGTATAGGGGAGTGGGAACCTACCAGGAATGTTTTCACAGGTGTTACTTAGGTTGTAGAAGACTTGTAAACTGTTAATATTTACAAGCTGGTCACCTAGGTGGCCTCCCAGTGACCTTTCATGGCAGTCATGAACTTTGGTTAGAGAAAGAGTTTCATGGCTTAGATGTGACATGTGTTTTGGTTGCTCTGCTTTCTGCCACTGCTGGACTTTCATTTCTAGACTGGGTGGATAGGTCCTCGTCAGCACCTTAGTTCAGTTCTGACACTGAACTTTCTGTGTAAGGATTTAGGGGAAAGAGAAACCAAATAATTTTGGATTCAACTTCCAGTTGGTTATATGGAAGATATGTAAGATAAAACTGATCAAATGAATTGCAGCACACACTAGAAATCTATTGAATAAAGAATTACTAATTTTATGTTTATACTGGGTTATATCTAGAACCGCTCAGTTTTGAGTTGGATAAACCCCTTTTATTTCAGTGAATCGTTAGAGAATCTCTTCACTCTTTCTGGTCTTTATTGATTCCATTTTATTTTCTCAAAACCATCATAGATACAAAGAAGAATCCAAAAGGAAATTTCAAGTTGGTATTACAGCTATTTCAAGCAAAACATCTAAATAATGATTATTGAAGTTCATCTTTATATTGGACACTGACATATATATTGCCCATTCCATTTCAGCAATATTTTGAGGTGGAAGTTTTTAATGTCTATTTTACCAATAAGAATACTAAGATCCAGAAGGGGCACATGACTTCCTATATCTGCACAGATAGTAAATGTCAGAGGTCTTTCACTAAGTGTCTTAGAGTGACTTCATTGCTGAGTTCTAAGATTTTGCAATATATGCAACTTCATATGACTCACAGAGAGATCATGAATAATGGGTATGCAGGTTGCAAATTCATGAATAAGAAAAACCATGTAGCTTGTTTATCCAGCATTTATAAGAATGCATCCAAATATTAAGAAATATGATCACATTTCTTAGAAGGTAGTAATGTTGCTTTTAATCATTGCTACTATTTTTTAATGCAAACTTTAAATAGCTTATGTATGGTTGACTTTCTACCACCCACTGTATAAAATGGCATGTTATGTATCAAGAATCAATATATAGTATGGGGAGACTTATTTTTTGTTTCTGTTGCTTTTTTGATCCTTACTAAAAAAAAAAAAAAAAAGAAAATTGATCCAGTGACTAGCAGTAAGTATTTAGGCTTAGCTTAAAACCTCAGTCTATGTTATCTGTACTTTAGTTGGTGATGCCTAAACAATGAAATGCTCACATGGTCAAATTTTCATTTTACCTTCCCACTAAAGATCTTTTATGTAGCCTGCTTCAGAGTTATCTTTTAAAATGTTAGGTTTTCGCTATATTTTGTTTACCCTCAGTTACTTAAATTCGTTTATTTTTACTATTCACAGGGTAATATGGCTCTAGGGCAGTGGTTCCCACATATGGTCCCCATCCCTAGACCAGCAGCATCTGCATCTCGTGAATGAGAAACCGAGGGGTGTAGCCTGGCAATAAGTGTTTAAAAATGTCCTGTCTCTGTTGATTCTAAGGCACAATAAAGTTCGAGAATCCTTGTCCTAGAGATATGTCAAAATGATGATGGACACCACAAGTAGGCATTTCCATGGTATGTGACACTTAGCTTTTATGTAATATTGGCTTGTTGATACATTTTATTTCTGAATGCTTTACTTCTAATGAGAAGGGGATTTGTATTTTGCTAGGGTACTATTATACATGGAGGAAAGACGCAGTGATTCAGAGGTGAAGAAATAAGATAAAATATGTTGGATCTCTTAACTACATTCTAAATTTTCCATTTTCTCCATCCCGTGTCTCAATATTCTTTAAATACAGCATTACTTATTCTCTCGGTCATTTAGACTTGGATGTAGACATCCATAGAATTTTCATCTCTCTTGTTATTCACATCAACTAATCTTGAAATTTACCAATTCTACTTCAGAATTGTTCTCAATAGCATTCTTGTCTTTTTTTTTTCTAACAATCACTAGGTGATTAAGTCATAGCTGTGGCCCCTTCACTGACTGGGTGCCTCTGGATTTTTAAATCTAATGCATTTTGTACAGATAAATGCCACTAAAATATTGCTTTGTCCCTGTTGTTCTTCTGCAAATAAAAACCAAATTAAACAAAACGAACTATTTCTTACCTCATAATAGTCTTACCCTGGCTAAGATTTCACTGTAACCTAATTATAACCTGTCTTTTCTACCTTCTCTCTCATTTTCTAAAACCATGCTCTGTAGCCATGTTGAGATTGGAGAGCATACCCCGTTTTGATTTGTTACTTTTTTCTTCTGTTTTGTTTAGTTTATGCTTTAGTTTACCCTAGCATATGTGTTGTCATTGAATGCGGTCATCTCACAGAACTGCATTCTTATTTTTAATAGGAAAATAGTTACATTAATATGAAAAGAGTTATATATACACGTATATTCTGGAAAACTCAGCATATTCACAAAATATCAAATAAAGTAACAACAGTTTTATCATATCACTTCTATATTAGTGACCCTATTATTTATCTTCTTCCTTTGCATTTTTCCATCATTGTAACCATATAGTTTGTTTCACTGCAGCCTTGACCTCCTGAGCTCAAGCAATCTTCCCACCTCTGTCTCATGAGTAGCTGGTACTACAGGTGTGTACTACCACACCCAACATTTTTTTTTTTATTTTCATAGAGACGAGGTCATAGATGTTGCCCAGGTTGGTCTTCAACTCCTGGGCTCAAGTGATCATCTCATCTTGGCTTCCCAAAGTGCTGAGGTTACAGGCATGAACCATCATGCCCGGCCTGTAGTGCTTTTAATAAAGATTTTTGTACTATTAAAGTGTTGCTTTTAAGTATAATTATATTGACTCCACAATAGCCTAGTAAGAATGTTCCAAAGTTTACTTAATAGTTGCCTTCTGATACATGCAGACTATTTCAGGCTGTATTTGTGAGCAAAGGGGTGCATTATAAATATTGGTCTAAAGAACATCTTTGTATATCAGTAATTTGCACATATTTTTGGTTTTAAGACAGACTCTCAGATGTGTGAAGTTATTCTGTTTAATTGTATATACATGTAAGTAAAAATTGCATTTAATATGTCACTTAGAAGGAGCTACACATTTTATTATAATAAATGTACTTCAAGTCCTATCTTTGACAGTCATTTTTATTGTCATTGGTAACATATATATTTTTCCTGATATTTTTCCATTAACATTTCACATAAGCATTTTACCTTGTCATTAGAGTTTATAAAAATCACTTTGATGGCTATGTAATATTCTATTCAAAAAGTATCAGTGATCATTTTAATCGTTCTGCAGTTATTTTGATATCTGTTAAAAATAATTCTTCATGAAAATATTTGTAGAAATGTATGTTTCAATTCTCATATTATTTTCTTATAATAATCTCCTAGAAGTGCATCTAAGGGTATGAACAAATTAAAGCTCTTGAAACATCATGCCAAAATTTTTTCCAGAATGGTTTGCCAATTTATACCATTAGCAGCATATGAGAATGCTTGATTCAGTGCTCCCTTTTTAGCATTGACGATTGTAATGTTTTAATCACTGCTAAGTTTACAGGGGAAAACAGTATTTTGTTTTAATTTGCATTTCTTTGATTAGTCGTGTTTGAATATTTTCATGTTCATTAGTCATTTGTATTTCTTCTAGGAATTTTCTGTACATAGTCATTGCCAATTCCTAAATTGTGGTTCTGCAGCTTTCCATTTGCTGTTAATGATATTAACCCTTTGTCTATTAAATATATTTTTTTAAATATGACTATTGTTTTTTAAGTTCCTGGGTATTTTAGGGAATGGGCTCTTCAGAGTTAAATGAAACAGAGTAATTGTTGTACTTCTGATTTGAAGGGTCAGCTTATGAAGTAAATTGTAGGCCAGGGAGCAGAAATTAAATTTTACTTTATAGATATCGCAGTGTCTCAGAAGTCCTTTGAGCAAGAGTGGAAAACACAGCAGTCTTTATACATTAGAAAGAACAAACAGAGAGCCCTGGAAAAGGATACTAGAGTGGGCCCTTGCCTGAAAAAGGAGCTGGCCATTCAGATGCTGATTCATAATGTGGGTAGGATTACCATCGCCTGAGCCTTGACAAGAGGAAAGTCAGAAGAATCAAGCAAGACACATACCCAACCAAGACAGATAGATCTTTGTTAGGTGTTGATGACAGGGTTATTTTGGCTTCCTGAAATTTCTTATATTTGTAATAGTCTATACTTTTTAGATGTGGGAGTTTTAAATATGATGTTGTGAAATCTGAACTATTTCTGTGGTAATTTTTCGTCCCTTTTAATCACAGACGTTCCTTCTTTTGTGAAATATGTAATGAGCATTCACCATTATTATATAAAAACATAACTTGATGTTTTATATTTGATCCTTTAAATCTCCTAAAATTAATTTTGCTATATGTATATTGTAAGAATTTAAGTTATTTTCCTTTCCCCCCAAGATTTAACCTACTGTCTGAAAGCAGACTTAGCTGCCTTTGTGAGACACAGTGTGATCTCACAGACTACACATCATTATTATGTATTTTAATCTCTTTGTGAAGCTGTTACATAGGAAGTTATGTTACTTATAAAACACAGTTGCCTGATTTGCTCACTCTCTAGATCACTTTTGTTTATTTGTAAGTGAGAAGAAGAAGAAACAATATCCAGAGTGAACTAGATATGAAATCCCTAGTTATTGTTTTCGTGTTCTTAAATGTTTTAATCAAAATGATTTCCGAGAGAATAAATAAATAAATAAATAAATAAATAAATAAATACGTGTAGGCTGAGTACTCTTTCATTAACATTTAATAGGAAACAAAGTCCTCCTGAATGTTTTACCAGGGACTGAGTTGAAGGCAGTGCTGACCAGAATGGTCAACTGAAATAGGCAGAAGAGACCCTGGTCAGCACTCTCGGACATGCCTTACCAAGACAGGAGGACACAAGAGCTGGCTTTTGGGCAGTAAGAAGGAACCTGTAGGAGCCCCATAATCTATGAGAAAAATACATTCCTAGTAGAAAGAGTTAAGAATTTTCAAGCATGATCTATGTGCAAACAACTAGAAAATTTTACTGAATACATGATTTTAAAAAACTAAAACATGCTTCTTGACTGAACAACCCATGTTAAATACCACAGAACTTGAAAATGAGTCTTCTACAGTTAAAAGGTATGAGTTGAAATCCTGTGTCCAAGATTTATTTGTTGGGAATTAGTAAATTTCCAGAAATATCTTAATTGGTATTATTAAGTCAGTAGTCATACCTGCCCCATAGGGTTATAAAGCATTTAGAATGTAGCCTGGAATATAGTCAGTTTTAATAAGTGATAGCTGTTTTATGATAATCCACCAAAATTAATAAGTCTATTCAATATACTTACAGTCAGAATCTAGGAGGAAGAATAGAAAGGAGAACACAGATTTAAGAAAGTAATTCTCACTTTCACCTGAAAAAAGATGAATGTTTGAACCTTTTGAAAAAAATGGGAAAAGGAAGTTAATACACCTAATATATATATTTGTGTGTGTGTGCGTGTGTGTGTATACACACGACAGTCTATTTGTTAGTTGCCATGAGCATGACTGAAAGGAAACTAAGTAGGAAAATATTCTTAGTGTATATGAAATTTTTCTCAAAAGTGATTATAAAATAGTTGTATAAAAATGGGGGACATACCAGTAGAAAAATGGATAAGGGAATGAATGCGCTATTTCTACATTCACACACAGACACACACACACAGGTTAATTTTCCTAATAATCTAAGAAATAGAAATGGAAAGAATAAGGTACAGTGTCCCATACAAAATAGACAAAACACTTGTGATTCAGAGTGTTGTCAAAAGTGTGGGGGAAATGAGCAACCTCATGGCTTATGGGAGAAGTGAAAATAGTACACCTTTTCTAGAAGGCAATTTGGCAGCATCAAAACTTTTAAATATTTATATATATTGATACTACTTGAGCACTTGTGTGTGTGTGTGTGCCTGTTATTGTAGGTGTGTGCATGGGTCAATGAATATTCAAAGATGAAAACATTCAAAGTGAATACATGGAAATGATCATGATGTATGGCTGAATAGGTGGGATTAATTTTCTTGTATTTTTTATTCAATGAATAATATGTATTTCTGTATACTCTTGTATTTCATTGTTTTTGGATATTGTTACAATTATTTAAAGCAAAAGTATTTTTAGTAATTATAAAGAAGTATCTTTAAAGATAATAAATAACCCTCAAGTCCAATTAAATGTGGTAATAAATTCAAGTTAATTCGGATAAACTGATAAATGGTGTGAATGGTAAGAGAAGAACATGGACAAACACAGTCTGTATGCATTTTTAATGTGTCATAGAAACATTTCATGTGAAGTGTTAAGTTTTAATTTGAAATAAATAATATTAGTGTGAGCTATTCTGTTTTCTCTTAGTGCATTTTTATCCATTTGAAACAACATAAAATATCTCACAGCTATTTCACATTAAAGCTAGTGAAATTGTAAACTATATAGTTTCAGAATTTATTTTTTATTTGAAAGGGATCTTTTATGCCTCAATGTAAAATGAAAGTATTTCAAATATTTAAACAGGTGGTGCTTGTTCATAAATGATTTGAAGTGTTAGTCAGGATTTATTTCACACCTCACTCAGGGAACAGCAAAAAAGATCAGAGGTTAATCTAATCCTCTAGGCCAAAAACTCTCTCAAATTGTGTTCAGAGATGTTAATGGGTATTCCGGAAAAAATACATAATTTAAAGGTTGTGTGGTCAAATAAGGCTGGGAAATACTGTCTACTTTAATCCTATTGTTGATTTTTCATCTCACATTAACTCTCTGAGGTTCTCAGAAAGAAACCTGCTTAGCTTTGTTTAACTCAGCATTTACCACCTATATTTGACTATGAAATCCTTTTTTTTTCCACAGATCTCCCATTAAACTTGTCATAAAAGTAGAGTTTACAATTTGAGAAATGATGTGCTAAATTATTCAGTTCAAGCATAGGTTACTTGCTTGAATTTGTATATTCTTGTTTCCAATAGTCTGCATGGTCATTTTATTCTGATTAGTCTAAAAATAAGAGTAAAATTATGTAGTAACTAGTAGTTTGAGATAAAGTCATCAAAATTCATTTCTAAGCATTTTGTGTACAAGTGGCATAGATGATCATTTTATATAAACTGTCTAAAGAAACACCCTTTGGAAGCAATAAATACAAGCATACTGGGAAAAGGTAACTATTAATGGACAAAAGTTACCAAAACTATCTGTTTATAGTATATGTACCTATTAATGTCCTGCTTATCTGATGATGTATATCTTAATCAGTTATGTGATTCATATCATATGGCATCCAGAAGTTTGTATTAAATTCTTAAAGAGGTATTAAGATTAAACTGGAACTTTGTTTATAGCCTAACGTTGATGCCCAGGATAGCAACAGACCAATTTTCTTATTAGTCAAGGCTACCATTTGTTACATAGAACCAACAGTGGCGTTTTAAATTTTGAAACTGTTTTATATGTTCAGATCATAATACAGAAGTACCTTCCTCACAGTCCGCCAGAGGCCCCTACAATGCAACCTAATGCAGTTTTTTAATGTTCTTGTCCATTATCACTCAATAAACTTTTCTCATGACTTTTCCTTCCATAATCTGTGCATCTTTGGCTCTCCTATCCTTCATCACATTCCTAGAGGTCATTCTCACTATTTTTAGCTATTCTCACTATTTTAGCTATGAAACTCTCCCACTTTTCAGGTCCATATCAATATTTCCTGGTAAAATATTTTCTTTTTTTATTATTATTATACTTTAAGTTCTAGGGTACATGTGCACAACTTGCAGGTTTGTTACATATGTATACATGTGCCATGTTGGTGTGCTGCACCCATTAACTCGTCATTTACATTAGGTATATCTCCTAATGCTATCCCTCCCCCCTCCCCCCACCCCATGACAGGCCCAGTGTGTGATGTTCTGCACCCTGTGTCCAAGTGCTTTCATTGTTCAGTTCCCACCTATGAGTGACAACATGCAGTGTTTGGTTTTCTGTCCTTGCCATAGTTTGCTCAGAATGATGGTTTCCAGCTTCATCCATGTCCCTGCAAAGGACATGAACTCATCCTTTTTACGGCTGCATAGTATTCCATGGTATATATGTGCCACATTTTCTTAATCCAGTCTATCATTGATGGACATTTTGGTTGGTTCCAAGTCTTTGCTATTGTGAATAGTGACACAATAAACATACGTGTGCATGTGTCTTTATAGTAGCATGATTTAAAATCCTTTGGGTATATACCCAGTAATGGGTAAGCTGGGTCAAATGGTATTTCTAGTTCTAGATCCTTGAGGAATCACCACACTGTCTTCCGCAATGGTTGAACTAGTTTACACTCCCACCAACAGCATAAAAGCATTCCTATTTCTCCACATCCTCTCCTGCACCTGTTGTTTCCTGACTTTTTAGTGATCACCATTCTAACTGGTGTGAGATGTTATCTCATTGTGGTTTTGATTTGCATTTCTCTGATGACCAGTGATGATGAGCATTTTTTCACGTGTCTGTTGGCTGTGTAAATGTCTTTTGAGAAGTGTCTGTTCATATCCTTTGCCCATTTTTTGATGGAGTTGTTTGTTGTCTTCTTGTAAATTTGTTTAAGTTCTTTGTAGATTCTGCATATTAGCCCTTTGTCAGATGGGTGGATTGCAAAAATTTTCTCCCATTCTGTAGGTTGCCTGTTCACCCTGATGGTAGTTTCTTTTGCTGTGCAGAAGCTCTTTAGTTTAATTAGATCCCATTTGTCTGTTTTGGCTTTTGTTGCCATTGCTTTTGGTGTTTTAGACATGAAGCCCTTGCCCATGCCTATGTCCTGAATGGTATTGCCTAGGTTTTCTTCTAGGGTTTTTATGGTTTTAGCTGTAACATTTAAGTCTTTAATCCATCTTGAATTAATTTTTGTATAAGGTGTAAGGAAGGGATCCAGTTTTAGCTTTCTACTTATGGCTAGCCAGTTTCCCAGCACCATTTATTAAATAGGGAATCCTTTCCCCATTTCTTGTTTTTGTCAGGTTTGTCAAAGATCAGATGGTTGTAGTTGTGTGGTGTTATTTCTGAGGGCTCTGTTCTGTTCCATTGGTCTATATCTCTGTTTTGGTACCAGTACCATGCTGCTTTGGTTACTGTAGCCTTGTGGTATAGTTTGAAGTCAGGTAGCGTGATGCCTCCAGCTTTGTTCTTTTTGCTTAGGATTATCTTGGCAATGCAGGCTCTTTTTTGGTTCCATATGAACTTTAAACTAGTTTTTTCCAATTCTGTAAAGAAAGTCATTGGTAGCTTGACGAGGATTCTGCCTGGTAAAATATTTTCTAAATAACTCAGAATGATATAATTAATCTCTTTTTCTCATGAAGGTTGCTATTTATAGTATTTTTTTAAGTCTTGATTGTGCACTCCTAAAAACAAGATTCCATGTCATCTACACACTTGTTTTTCTACAATACTGTTAAGATGGGAGTGAGACACCTGCCTGGATTTTATAATTACTCTATCCCAATAATAAAATGCTATTTTTATATTAATATATTTATCAAACATTTTTACAAAGGTATAAAAAAAAGCAGGAGGATGATTTTCTTCTAAAATAAAAAAATGAACAAGTATATAAAAAGACAGATGTTTTGTAATATATCATGCCAAAAACCTCCCACAGCCTTGATGGAAGACAATTCATGAACTGATTTGTATTTATCTGAAATCAGTATATGATTATAGGCTTTCAACTTCATATAGGTCTCAGTGAACCATAGGGTGAGAATGTCAAAAGTAAATATAATTGCTTTTTTCTTCACTTTCTTTCTGGAGTCTGTTAATCAAATGTTAGAAGTTTTTAACTGATTCCATGATTTTTTAAAAAATCTTCTCTTATTTTGCATGCATTTTCATTGTACTGTGTTTTTTGGAAGTTGTGTTAATTCATCCTGTCTACTGGTCATATTTTATTTTAGTTTGAGAATTATATTTTTTAATCTTCCAGGATATTTAATTGTGTTTAAAAACTATTTTTTTTGGTAGAATTCTCTTCTCTCTGGGGTTATTATTTGTAACGATTTTGTTTTGTTTCTTGACATTTTTGTGCAGTTACTGCATGGCTCTTTTTAAATGTTATGTTATTTGCTTGTTTCGGATTCTCATTTTGGAGGTTTTCTTCAATTATCTGGTGATCCTTGGTGCATACGGAAGACGGAGACGCTGAAAAGATTATTGAATGTCATGGCCAGCCTTGCTAATTGGAGGGCTTCACTGTGCATACACTGTGTAGTAATCTGTACTTTCAGATTTCACCATTTATAAGGAGTTTTCTTTTGGCATTTGACATTTGATGTCTCTTGAGGAAGTATTAGGGCCTGAAGAAAACAAACCTGCCTGGCTGTCTAGGACGCAGGTGAGAAAAAGGACAGGGCATCTTGCCATTTATTGGGCAGACTGTCACTCACTCCCCACCCCTCCCAGCTATTTTGGTACCTCATCTCTGTGCCTTAGCCCCCAGCTCTACCATGGCTGGTATTCCTAAGTCCTGAAGCTTTCTGGTTAAGTTTTCTCTGAAATGAAGCCTCATCTGGTTAAAGGATAGTCACCTGGGTACATAGCTCACCCAGCCTGCATTCTTGCGAATTTAACTGGTCCTTCCATGAGTTTTAGACAATTCTTTGTGGATTTATTTATTTTCTAATTTAGTAGGGTTTCAGGAGGGAGCAACAGAAATACATATACTCAATCTTCTAAGTTTATCCAGAAATCTTAATCATGCCTTTAGGACTTATATAAAAAATTGATATCGTAAGACGCTGGACAATAGTTTGGGTGGAACAGAGCACTACAAGCCAACTCAGCTGCAGCATCCACCTCACGTTGACTTCACTGAAGTGAATCTTCTTCCTTTTGTTGATAACACTTTTCTTTCATCCTCACAGATAATTATGTCTCTAAGAAATAAGGACTTTGCAACTCCTAATGAATAAATGTGCCTAGGCAATGATTATCAATGGCTTGATGAGATACATGCTGATGGTGTACGACACTACCTATGTTCAGACTAAAAAAAAAAAAGTCATGCACACATACAATCTGAATGTGAACAGTTCTCCAGATCTGCCAATTTACAGGACACAAAGGGAACTGGGGAACATGGTCAGTGATACTGTGGAGATGTAATCAGCAGAATCTAGACATACAGACAAAGGGATTTCTATAGAACAGTCTGGTTCCTTCAACAACAAAAAATGGAAGAAATAAAAGGAAAGATAAACTTTCTTTTAAACTAAAATACAAAACTTAAAAGTCATAACAAAACACACACAATGTTTGGATTCTAGTGAAAGCAAGCTATAAAAATAAACTATAAAATAATTGAGGAAATATGGAAACTGCCTAGATATTGAAGATATTAAGAAATTATGGTGAATTCTTTAGGTGTGATAATGATATTGTGGTTATTTTTAAGAATTTCTATATATTAAAAGCTGATTCTGAAGTAAATCATCAGTTAACTGATATAATGCTTGTGATGTCTTAGATTTGCTTCACAATAAACTGGATAGAGGAGTGAGTAAGGGGTATAGATGAAACAAGATTGTGAATGTATTGATAATTATTAAAGGCGGTATAAATATATTACATTCATTTACCATTCTTTCTACTTTTGTCTTTGAAATTTTTCATAAGAAGAAATTTAAAAAAATGAAAAGACTGTTTTGACTCCTTTCAAAAGATGAATATATCTGCTTCTGAAAAATTCAACTCAAAAATTCAAAGCTCTTCGGATTCAATACACGAAAATGGCATTAAGGATGCTAGTGTACAGTTTGGAATGCAAAGCTCTGCATTTGAAGCTACAATGTCCACACTGAAATATGCATACTGATCAGAACTAGATATTGAAAATTTTATAAATAACTCTTGCATAGTTTGAAGTTTTATTTTAATGCAGTGCATATTGTTATTGTACAAAATACTTTTAAATGGCTGTTGGTCTCATAGCTGAGGGTGTCTCTGTTTTAAATGAATGAGACACTGATCCCAACAGGCTACCTTTCAAATAAAATTCTTATAGAAGAATAAAGCATGCATTCTCCAGTGGACATGGTCTCATGCAAGAACAACAACAAAAAGTCTTTAAAGCAACCTGCATAGTGTAACATTTCTTGGCTCTCTGAAACTTTTTTGACTTCATCTCCTCTTGCTTTCTCCTCTCTTTCTCCATTCCACAGGCATACTCTTGTCTTGCCTTTATGATTGCTATTGCCTCTGCCTAGGAGGTTCATAATTAACATCAGTAATTATGATGTTAATTCAGTATCACATCATGAGATTTGCCTGATGTGCGATGCTCCTTCTTCCAGTGTTTATTGAAAATGTCACCTTCTTTGTGAGGTCATGCTTGGCTATTCTGTCGCTAATTTGTCTTTCTTGATCCTTCCTTCTTTCCTGCTTTATTTTATTTCCCACTGTGGCTCTTATCTTCTATCATAGTCTATATACCTTTTTCAGTCATCATATGTATTTATTATTTATTATCTTTCTTACCTCACCAGCATGAAAGTTGTGTGAGGCCCGAGATATTTATGTCTTTTCTTGTATGGTCTGCTCTAATCCCTGAGATCCTTGTGTATGGTTGACGCTCCATTAATACTTAGGGATTTGATTTAATAAATGATCTGACAACGATGGGCTACCTATTTTTAAACTTAGCCAATTCTTAAGAGTCTCTAAAATGTTGTAATAATGAACTACCATTGGGTCTTTTTCTGTAGTTTACTTTAGATTTTAATTTGATACCATATTATGAAGTTTGACTAATGTGCAGCGCTTCTCTTGAGCATGTGTATAAGCACAAGGGCATTTTGTCAATATTCTGGAAGGATTCTTGACATTAAGGCATCATTAATATTGCCTGTATTTAGTGAATATTTTCAAATTGATGCCAATGTTTATTTCATTTTTTCCAGTTTTATCAAGGTATAATTGATAAATCAATTAAATGCATTTAAGGTATGCAACATGATGTTTTGATAAACATACATTGTGAAACAATTACCACTATCAAGTTATTTAACATATCTATCACCTGGCATAGTTAGCAATTTTTCTTGTGTGGTAAGAAATTTTCAGATTTACTCTTCTAGCAAATTTCAAGTATACAATGCATTATTAACTAAAGTCACCATGCTGTATATTAGATCTCAAGAACTTATTCATCATACAATTGAAAGTTTGTCCCCTTTAATTGAAATCCTTCAATTTCCCCTACATTCTGACTATAGATTTAAATTGCTCCTAATTTAGGTCATTGAGATTTGCTTAGCTTCCTGTGCATCATTAGAATGATGCATATTTTAATCAAAAGTTCATATTTTCCCACTACTGTACTTTAAGAAATGAACATATTGTGTTTCAGATATTGATAATTCATGTCTTAGTTGTGAAAGGATGGATATACATAATACCCCTCTCCAAGTTTTTTCCTTAGAGGTTGTTTTGCTTACTGAAAATAAGCAGATAAAGAGTAGAAGTCAGAAGATCTTTTGCCTAATATAGTGGACCAGAGAAAGCAAATGAAACAAAACAATAAAAGTAAATGGTATAGCCCATCTTTAATCTTCTCTCAGTGCTTTGTCATGCATACTAAAGAACCAAGGTGCAGTGTTCTGTGTGATGGAAATTGAGAAACAAGTTCACACAGACATATGCATTACTTGTGATTTAAAGATGTGTCTCCAAGCATCTAACTTACTGGCTCAGCCATGTGATTTATTTTAATTTTCTCCAAAATTATGTAATGTTCAAATATGTTAATTTCTATTTTTCTCACTCATATTTTCATATTTTTATTTTTAAATTTGTATTAAGTGGAAATAGTGATAGTAAGGATCAAATTTTTTCTAATTTTAAAGAAAATGTCTCCAGATGAGAACATCTTCAACTGTCTGTGGCATGCAGAGGCAGGGGAATTGGTGCTGACACAGATAAGAGATTGGTAATATAAAGGATTGATCATATAACTGAGTAGGTTTAAGATGATGAAGCCAGTTCCACATTGGCAGAGAAGGGTGTAAGAAGTGCAGAAAGGAAGAAAACTGTATTGAACCCTGTGGTGGATTAATATTACAGATATTCTTATTAAGTCATGGTTTTAAATGTATAGATATAGATATGGGAATGAATATAGATTTAAATATATGTATTTGTTACCATAGTAGTAAATATAAATGGGCACATGTATATGTGAGTATGTCTGTATACAGGCAGATAGAAACATGTATATGCATACATGCGTGTATTCCCACAGTTTATACATTGAGAGAACTGGGATTAGTGACAACCACATAATAATAAATACACTTTTTGCCTGGATCTTGGTTTCTAAATACCATTATCTATTTAAAGCAGCTGGCTTCTTAGAGAAATGACTGATTTCAGGGCAAAGTAGAGGATGATCCTGGAACACCTTGTTTTGTCAAAATGCCAGTAAATGCTTGAAGAATTACAGAAAAACATTGGAAGAACAATGATACTAGTTTGAAGGGTCTTCAGTTGTTTGAGTCAGAGACAGATAAGCATCAAAATAAGTAATGATAGTTACATATTATAATCCACTTAATAAAATAGCAAGCCATGAGTCCACATATATATAAATATAAAAGTAAATAATTTGAAGTTACTGGAGGAACCAGATATTTATGTAATTCAAAATATATATCCAATAAAATTGTTATTATTGACAAAGGGGAAAAGTGTAACTTCACTGTGGAGAAACTTTGCAGATACCACCTTAAGCAAGTGATCAAAGTAAACATTATAATTAATGGGACAAACTGAAATCAAATGCCATCTGATAGATGCATCCAGCATCAATTGAGATATTTCTGAAAATGATATTTAACAAAATATAATTATGAGACAATATCTGCAAAACAAACTTGATAGACATTCTCCAAAATAACTGGCTTGTAGTATTCTGAAGTGTCAAGATTATGAAAGTCAAGGAAAGACAGAGGCACTATTCCAGACAGAGGAAACTAGCATGGCATCGACAGGCAACTAATGATTTTGAAATGGACTCTTTTGCTATGAAAAATATTTTTGAGAAAACTGTATGACTTTAAGTGGGATCTGATGATTAAATGATAATGTATTGATGTGAACTTCCTGACATTGATAGTTATATTTAGCTTTGTAGGAAAATGTTTATGTTTATACGAAATACAATATTCAGGGTATTGAAGCATTCTTTCATTGGCAGTTTACTCTCAATGGTTCAGAAAAATTAAAACTTTGTTATTTAACCAATTTTTACAAGTTTATGACTATTTTAATTTTTTTAAAAAACTGTCATGAAGAACTTTTAGTTTTAGTTTATAATGGATCAATGCTTTTGTAAAACACAGTAAAAATAGTACTTAATGCCAGATTACTAGAACAGTTTCTAAAAGCTTACTCTTATTTTTTGTTTATCTCAGACCTCAGAGACATACCAGTCTGTGCACCACAGTTTGAAGAACACTGCTCTAGACTAAAATTGTCTTTTGTGATAAAATACGTAATTCTTCTTCTATGAAAATGACTTTCAGCTGCCACAAATATATGTAAAATCATACCAAATATTTTGAGCATGCATGGTCATTATCTGATGGTTTTTCTAAAGGCTATCAAGATGATATGTAAAGATGATCCTATACTGCTGCTTTTTTGGTTCATGGAATACACTCAAATTGGCATGTCTATTAGCCATACATGTCAGTCAGAATCCTAGCACGAAAAAGGCTGCACACTCTGAAGTGTCTAGTCAAAAAAAATTTCAGTATGAAACTATTTCCTGAGATTTAGGGGCAGTTAAGAAAAACTACAGGAGATGGTGAACTCTACTGAGATTAAGAACAGCAGTAAGTCATCACTATTCTTAGGAGTAGGAGGGGAAGGGAAGGTCACTTAGTTTCAGAGCCTGGTGAGATCTGGTGTCATGGAAAGGTAATTAACTGCCCAAGAAATGTGGCACCGTAGAGAACGGCATTGAGGTTAGGGAGGGGGCATGAATATCTCAACCTGTTCTTTCTTTTGTCTTCTTTTCTCTGTGGATAGAGCTTCCTGTTGTCTCAATCCAACTGAAAGTCAAATGGCAAGGGATCCTGGGTAGTACAGTCCATAGAGGTTAACCTCTCTAGCCTCTGCAGAGCTGAGGAGGACAAACAAATCTTAGAAGGACAAATGGAAAATAAATAGCATTAAAAAATGCTCTTAGATTCAGTTGCTACTTTTTTTTTTTTTAGACAGAGTCTCACTCTGTCACCCAGGCTGGAGTGCGATCTCAGCTCACTGCAACCTCCGCCTCCTGGGTTCAAGCAATTCTGCTGCCTCAGCCTCCTGAGTAGCTGGGATTACAGGTGCCCACCACCACGCCCAGCTAATTTTTTTGTGTGTGTTTTTAGTAAAGATGGGGTTTCACCATGTTGGTCAGGCTGCTCTTGAACCCCTGACCTCGTGATCCACCTTGGCCTCCCAAAGTGCTGGGATTACAGGCGTGAGCCACAGCGCCCAGCCTCAGTTGCCACTTCTTAATTTAAATTTCTATCTATTCAATAATGAAATTTGTCACTAATTTATTATCTGAGGGTACCTTTTCAGATTTAAGGTTTAGAATGATAGTTCCTTCACTGAAGGAGGCTCACTTATTCTGTGTTCTCTCCTTCAAGTGTTTGGAAGGCTCTATAAAGATTATCACACTGGCAGTAAACAGGGAGCTGAATCAGGACTAGAGATGGGGGACATGTTAGGAGGTCACTACTGTTTCTCAGTTTAAAAAGGTTAAGATCCTTGTCAGAGGACACAACGTTTCAGTTAGACAAGAGGAATAAGTTCAAGAGATCAGTTATACAACATGATAACTATAGTTAATAAGCAGACGATTTATACTTGGAAATTGCTCAGAGAGTAAATTTTAAATGTTCTCATCACAAATAAATGATAAATATGTGAGATAATGTACATATTAATTACATTGATTTAGTCATTCCATATATATACTTACTTCAAAACATCATGTTAAACACTATGAATAGACCTAAGTTTTGTTCATTAAAATATAATGAAAAAAAACTAAAAGGTTGAGGTATTCAGCTGAGCCTGAAGATAGTGAGATAGAGATGAGTCTTGGTTGTATTCACTGTACACAAGCAGTTGGGTGTGTAGACTGATTGATAAGTTGAGAAAGTTAAGAAAAAGAAATGTATTTTAGATAATTTTCAGATTTGGAATTTGATGGATTGGAATGGTTTCATTTACCTATATAAATAACAGAAGACTGGGCTATGTTTTGCCTGCATTTGGAGCCAGATGAAAAGTGATAAAAGGTTCAGGTTTTTGCCT